>NC_000019.10:29115874-29740874 GCF_000001405.40 Homo sapiens
TAGAGACGGGGTTTCACCGTGTTAACCAGGATGATCTCGATCTCCTGACCTCGTGATCCACCCGCCTCGGCCTCCCAGAGTGCTGGGATTACAGGCGTGAGCCACCATGCCTGGCCAGTGGTCTTCATTTTAACACAGTGCTGCAGGACAGGCATCCTGGGGGAGGACAGGGAGGGGCAGAGGGTCCCTGTGCAGTTGAAACAACTCTCACCCTAAATGTTCTTCTCTCTCAGTGGATTTCCATTGCTTTTTCCTGCCCAGCATCCATTATTCCCACCTTTTGGAAATAAGATACTATTTTTTTCTGTCAGCTTGTATAGAGCGTGAGAGGCTGACCAACCTTCTGGATGTGGGTGTGGGTGCAGAATGCAGGCCTGGCCAAGCTGCACTTCATTCTCCAGGACACAGTGATTGGCTCAGAGGCAGCAAGTGACCCAAGACCCCTCAGCCAGAACAATTACGGGTTCATTTGCAGGACAGCTGACTGCCCTGGGCAAGGTGACTTTCCTTAATCGGGATTATTAAATGGCTAGGATATGAACTTGGAGCTGCTGGCTCTGACAAGAGGGAATTGAGCTTGAAATGGAGTCAACACAGGATAATAGAATCAGCAGATGGTGAACATAAGATTCCTGTAATGCTGAATGTAATGATGACCTCCTTGGAGACCCTGGATCCAGCCTTGCCTGAAAGCCCTTTCTTGGACTTTTTAGTTAAGAGGGACAATATATGTCCTTTTTAGTTTAAAGCAATCCCAGTTGATTTTCTACAGTTTTTCTCTGTGATTCCTGATTAATACACTTCCTTTGGGGAGAAAATGACACAGCACTTTATCCTCCTCTCATCTGGAGAATGTCCCTTCCTCAAAGGCTCTACTCTTCTCTCTTGCTCTTTTCTGTTTCTTCAGGACTCATGGGTGGACAGTGAGTTCCCTATCACTGAAAGAAGGTATGTGATATGGTTTGGCTCTGTCCCCACCCAAATCTCATCTTGAATTGTAGTTCCCATAATCCCCACATGTTGTGGGAGGGACCAGGTGGAGATAATCGAATCGTGGGTGCAGTTATCTCCACGCTGTTCTCATGAAAGTGAGTTTACATGAGATCTGATGGTTTTATAAAGGGTTTCCCCCTTCACTTGGCTCTCATTCTCTCTCCTGCCGCCCTGTGAAGAGGTGCTTCTGCCATGATTGTAAGTTTCCTGAGGCTCCCCGAGCCATGCAGAACTGTGAGTCAATTCAACCTCTTTCCTTTATAAATTACCCAGTCTTGGTTATTTCTTCATAGCAGCATGAGAACAGACTAATACAGTATTTGATGATTTGTTGCCTACCTGGTGGCAATGTGGTGAAGGGAAAGGTGTTTAACTAAACTCTGCTTTTCCTTCCCCTCTAATCTAAGACCTTATATCAGTATCTAATGGGAACCTTCCCATCCGTCAAATGAGAGGGCGATGAACAATCCTAAATGATGGGACACATTTGCTCTGTGTCAAGCACTGTGCTAAGTATTCCATATGTTCACTTCTTTAACCCCAAGGCGCTGAAGGGCAGGGGTTGCTGCCCACTCCTTGCCAAGATTTAACAGCTGCTGGAGGCTGTATGGCTTGGAGGCTGTGGTGATGTGCAGATCCCATGGTGTGAGTGCAGGCTCTTCACTGCTAGGTGAGTTACGGGACCTGGTGGGGCACTGGACTGGTGCGCACTCCTCTCCACTTCCTGTATGGATAGACACCTGCTATCTGTGCCTCTCCACCTCCTCTCCTTCCCTCTCTTTGGCTAAGACCTGGGCCTTGATGGGAGAAAACAGGTTCAGAGCAGTAGGACCTAGGGAGAGAAAACACGTGAGCATAAAATAGGAGTGGGAAGGAGAGGGCTGGTGGCTGGGGCAGTAGAGGGAGAGGTTCCCCTTTAGAGGTTGTGAGATGGAGGCCCTGGTGGGTCAGGGGTTGTGGGAGATGTGGAGGAGAAGAGATAGAGGACAAGTGTGTGTGTGTGTGTGTGTGTGTGTGTTATAGGTTGGGTTCCTTTTAATCACTTTTGGGAGAAGTTCAAGACTTTAAGTTATTATTATTACTACTACTCTTTTTTATTTTTAGCCCAGATGGTGTGTCTCTATAGGGACTGGACCACACGAGTCAGGAAGACTCATATCAGAGTTTGATTGCGTATTTCTCCATCTACCCACCCCCGACTCATCCATCATCCTCTCTCCCTCTCTCCTCCCTCCAGTTCATGGGAAGTTAGCATGAGCATTCTGCCAGCAGACTATGGAGAACAGTGCAGGGGGGTGAAAATGAAGAGACAGTTAAGAGAGCAACACACGGGGCTAAGAGGCCAAGCTGATCTGCTGGGCCTTACACCTGGGTGTATCAGTGGAAGTGTGATGTGGACAGAGCACCCGAGCTTCTCTCCAGCTTAGGAGCAGTCCGCGTTGGGGGAAAGGGAGGGGGTTGTTTTTGTTGGCTTTGGCTGTCTCCCAGCCCATTAGGGATCAGGGTCTATGCTGTGTGCTGTGTGATGCTCTGAGGGCTGCCTTAGCTCCGGGTGAAAGAGGATATCTGTTAGTTTTGGAAGTACCAGTGTCAGGCAGCTGAGTGTTTTCGGCTTTCAAAGATGATGCCCTCTGTGCTCCTGGAGCCATTCTGCTAATGGAATGTGGGGCCTGTTCTGAGGGATTAAGCCAACCCTGTGGTCAGAGCCAGGGGTCACTGGGTGTTCTGTCTCCTGGAAGTGAAAGGAGGTGGTTTCACACCAATGATTAGGAAAGCAGTGAGCATCAGAGTGGGTCTGATTGCAGAAGCTCTGTGTTTGCAGGAGAATCCAGGCTCCTGGGGACCGGAGGTTAGTCCTGGCCATAAGTCTATCCTGGAAGGATAGACTTGAAGCAGGGGACAGTCACAGTCTAAATGGCTTTGGGGCACATGGTTGGTACTGGGTAAATACCTGCTGACTTGAATTAAAAGAGAGTTTTGTGATTTGACTCCTTAAAATAATGTTTAAATGACAGATGCCTCCAAGGCAAAGCAACAGAAGCTGAGATTATGAACAAGGTCCCAGCACCTGTGTCCTCTGTGACCGATGGTTCAGGTGTTGCTGCTACCAGGAAGTGATGGAGAGAGTATCTGGGCTGCTCTGGGTAAATCCCATCCTTTCTCTGGGCCTCCTCTTTCTGATCTGTAGAATGAGATAATAAGAGTATCTCCCTTACGGGGCCATTAGGAGAAGTGCGTCATGGCCGAGGGCACTGCATGGCCCCTGCTAAGCTGGCAGGTGTGGCCCGGGTCTCCTGCTTCCAGTTCTGAGAATTCCAACTCTGAGGCTGCTTGCCTAACAAAAGCTTGTGTCCCGGCTTGCACAGAATCACATTGAGGGTTCCACTTTGTTCCTAATGAGGTAAATATAACAGCAGGTTCCAGTGAAACAATTTGTATGCCCATTTGAAGCAAGACTTCAGCTCTGCCATGCTCATTTCCAATACATTTGTTACTCTTACCTATTCAATAGCATTCAGATCATTCAATGTCTAATGGAAACCTTCAGTCTCCCTACCCTGTCCTGTTCTTACTTCTTTTACCCTAATTCAATTTTCTCTGTTTCATCTTCCCTGATGTTTCAGAAACATCATGATTCAGGCCACACACACATAAGGAGCATCCATCAGGGCTATGACCCCTCCAGCCCTCACGAAGGTGCTATATGGTTCCCAGCAGTGGGGGAGACAGGCACACTGTTACCAGGTTGCCCTGCGTGAGCCAGTGAGACACGGGTGCTGATGGCCATGAGGTGGACCGCCAGGACCCAGGTCCCACTCTGGAAGCCAGGTTCATCGGCTCTTCACTCTTACTGCTGGGAACTGCACGGGGCCTTGGGAAGCCCTCTTTTTCCTTCTGACCACCGGAGGGCAGAAAACTTGCAGGGCTGAGCTGTCCATGGTGTCACAGGCTCTGTCCACTGAGACCAGGTGTGAGAACAAGAAATGGACACTATCTAAAAGGGAGGGAGTGGGAATGTTCTGTGTGTACACACAGGAGCCCTGGAGGAGCTCGGTCCATGCCTGGCTGGGGTAACCCGGGTAGGCAGTCTGGAGGAGAGGGCTTGAGCTCGTGTTGACCAATGGATAAGAGTTCTACAGGCAAGCACAAGGAAGGGAGGACAATTGAAAGAGGGACAGCAGGACCAGAGGCATGGAGGTGCACTGTGCATGGTGTTATTGTGAAGAAGAGGTGGAAAGGAGAGCATCCAGGTGGCCCCCATGCACCAGGGGCTGGGACAGTTTCAAGGCAATTGCTGAAATCTCACGATAGTCCTGAGAGTGGGTGTTTTGCATGTGACGACCATGAAGCTCAGAAAGGTAAACCTATGGGCTGATGTCCCCCAGCCGGACTCTTGAGCCCTGGGTGTCTGATTCCAAGGCCACACTCCTCCTATTGCACAGGTGTGCTTTCAACCAGACACTGCCTTCCCAACTCCCCCTGGAGGGAAGGCTTGAGCGCTCTGGTTTACACAGGGCCCGCTGGATTTCTGTCAATAGGGAACGTGCCGTTGAAGTTGTACCAGACCTGGGAGAGCCTGCAGCCTCGCCTGCAAGCACAGCCTCCAATTACGCCAGTGCATCTCCTGCTCATCAATTCCCCTTGGTGGAGTAGGGCCATGTGTTCTTTGTTTGGATCTAAATCCTGCTGCTCTATTGATTACTATAATTCAGCCCTAATTGGACTTCTGCAAAGCACAGGCACAGATGACAGCAGGCCTCCAGGCAGCGCAGCATCCATTATTAATATGATGGTGTTGGCCTTTCCCCTGCACTCTGCCTTCACCTCGAGGAGTCTGGAAAACAGACCTCCCGAGCAACGTGCCTTCCCTGTGAAGTCATCTCCTCAAAATATTTGTTTCCTCTTGGAGAAGAGGTGTGCAAACCGCACAGCTAGCAAACAATGCTTTAATTGCCTTTCTGCCAGCCCAGGGAAACAGTCTATGAGCCCCTCCTTCCAAGTTGGGGAGGACACTCAGACCCCCTCGCAAGGAAGGGACTGACCTTTGTGAGTAGCCAGGCTGCAGGAGAGCTGCAGGCAGACTCGGGGGCCAGCCTAAATTCAGAGAAGCCAGTGAGGCAGAGACCAGAATTTGTACCTGGCTGCCCATGAGAATGGCCCAAGCAGAAGGGTCACATTGGGCCAAGCACTGGAGATGGCCAAGTGGCAGCAGAGAGTGGAGCTGTGTTCCGTGGGCTCAAGCAGAACAGATTCTCATTATTGGAACAGGCCTAGGTAGCCTTGCTACCTAACAAGAACTTGGGCACAAGTGAAGAGTTTCATAGCCTGCTGAGGAGTGAAATGTCAGCACATTTGTTCAGCTGACCGCAGTGAGCAGAGCGCCCAGGTGGCAGCTCTGGTTAGCGGACTCTGGCAAATGGTATGCCCTTCCAACATGGGATTGAGTATTTGTAGGATGTCAGAGATGGGAAGAGCTATGCAATCGTCTTGGCCAGCCACTCTGTTTATAGATGGGCAAGGTAAAGCTGAGATCAGAAAAGGAAGCTACCTGGGGTCATGCTTTTCCATTCTCCAGACATTTGGTCTCCTTCCCTAATCGGGGGAAAGTCAGGTGACCACCACGGATCTGGTCAGACAGGGCCCAGGGCAGCTATATGAGCTGCTCAGATTCTGAGAGGACAGGTCAGGGCTGGGTGTAGACTGAGCCAAGCACCTAGCCTGGAGGTTGATTTTTCTAAAGCCAAGTCACTGACTCTTTGTGAACAGTGGCAGGCAGTCAAAGTCCACAGTGCACCCACACATCACTTAGATCATTCCACAAACCTTACTTGTGGGATTAGTCTGGCGGGCTGTGGGATAACTCCAGGCATGGCTGACAAAAACCCTGCCCTCCTGCTGCTTATGGGAAGACAGACTGTAAACAAGTCAGCAAACATACAGACAAGGGCTTCAGGTCACCCAAAGGCTGGAAAGCAATGGCACTGCACGGGGAACATGAGGAGGAGTGGCCGGAGGATGAGCTTTGCCCATCATTAACAGTGACATTTCCATTCCCTGGGCTGCCCCCTGCTGCCTAAGGGGCTCACTGCAGGGGCCTGCACTTGGCCCTTATTCTGCAAGTTGTTCTTTGTGGGAGAATGGAGTTGAGATCAGGCATGTCCTGCAGCAGTCTCCACCCCTATCTAGCCAGCCACAGGAGTCTACCATTCCCTCTCCTGCTCTGCAAGTCCTAGAGTTTCTCTTGCAGTGGACACAGGTGTTCCTTAGGAGCACAGGCCATGCCAGGTGTTTCTGCCTGTCCTTAGTGCTTTAGGAACACCCTATGAGTGAAAACATGGTCATAGGGAAGGAACACAGTGCTGGGTGGAGATGGAGACTGACAGCTTTGTCTACCCAGCTCTACAAAACGCTGGGAATAGCTATCCCTGGGAACCTTACCAGGGGGCTGGGAGCTGGTGCATTCCCTACCAGAACAGGCAGCCTCATTAGCTCCCATCTGTTCACACCCACCCCCCACCAGGAGACAGGACTGCTGTCTCCTACATCTACACGGCTGGGCCCCTGGCTGCTGCAGTGGGACCTGGTGGGAGCCGATGTCTTCTTTGCGCCTTTCTCCTCTTATACGTCTCTGTCCCCTCTCCTTCTGGAGAAGAAGGCTGCCAGGACCTGTGATCACAGCCAAGGGGTCAGTCCCAATCTCAGGGCAAAAATGTGAGGACAGGCAGGAGTAGCCCTCCTTCCTGGGGAGCATAGGTGGGGTGGCATGCATGTAAAATACATGACCCTTGCCTGTCTCTTCCGCATGTCTGCACCTTGCTTTCAGTCAACTTCCTTGTGTATCTTTGCACTGTGATCCCAACTGTTATGTTAGTATGAAATCTCAATCACTTGTGGAGAAGATGAGCAACTGCCTCCTTCTAGTTGTGCTTTGTTGGGGAGGAACAGAGCTGAGGCCTGAGGGAGAGCAGGGAAAGAAGTAAGGGCCTTCTGCCAGTCTCATGGCACCTGAAACAAGCACCCTCACTCTACCACCAGCCACTCCTGCCGCCTGCTCCATCATCTTTCCATTCACCGTTGAAAGCCTCAGTCCTCCCTGTGTTTTATTTGCCTCTGTGTTTTATTTGCCTCTGTGTGCCTTGAAAAACAGAGCAGTCCGTGTACTACTGAGTGACTGTGAAGATCAGTGAGGGTAGGTAAAGCCCAAAGGACAATGCTGGCAGGTGAGTGCTGGTCAAGGTGGCCAACTCCCCTGTATTAGTCCATTTTCACACTGCTAATTAAAGACATACCCAAAACTGGGCAACTTACAAAAGAACAAGGTTTAATGGACTTACAGTTCCACATGGCTGGGGAGGCCTCACAATCATGGCAGAAGGTGAAAGGCACATCTCACATGGCAGCAGACAAGAGAAGAGAACTTGTGCAGGGAAACTCACCTTTTTAAAATTATTTATTTATTTTTTTGAGACAGAGTCTCACTCTGTCTCCCAGGTTGGAGTGCAGTGGTGCCATCTCGGCTTACTGCAAGCTCCACCTCCCGGGTTCATGCCATTCTCCTGCCTCAGTCTCCTGAATAGCTGGAACTACAGGCACCCACCACCATGCCCTGCTAATTTTTTGTATTTTAGTAGAGACGGGGTTTCACTGTGTTAGCCAGGATGGTCTCGATCCCCTGACCTCGTGATCCACCCATCTTGGCCTCCCAAAGTGCTGGGATTACAGGTGTGAGCCACCGCACCTGGCCGGAAACTCACCTTTTTAAAACCATCAGATCTCATGAGACTTATTCACTATAAGGAGAGCAGCACGGGAAAGACCTGCCCCCATGATTCAATTACCTCCCACCAGGTCCCTTCCACAACACATGGAAATTCAAGATGAGATTTGGGTGGGGACACAGCCAAACCATATCATTCCATCTCTGGCCCCTCCCAAATCTCATGTCCTCACATTTCAAATCCAATCATGCCTTCCCAACAGTCCCCCAAAGTCTTAATTCATTTCAGCATTAACTCAAAAGTCCATAGCCCAAAGTCTTATCTGAGACAAGGCAAGTCCCTTCTGCCTGTGAGCCTGTAAAATCAAAAGCAATTTAGTTACTTCCTAGATATAATGAGGGTACAGGCATTGGGTAAAGACAGCCATTCCAAATGGGATAAATTTGCCAAAAGAAAGGCTCAGGCCCCATGCAAGTCTGAAATCTAGTGGGGCAGTCAAATCTTAAAGCTCCAAAATGATCTCTTTTGACTCCATGTCTCACATCCAGGTCATGCTGATGCAAGAGGTGGGTTCCCATGGTCTTAGGCAGCTCTTCCTTTGTAGCTTTGTAGGGCACAGCCTCTCACCTGGCGGCTTTCACAGGCTGCTGTTGAGTGTCTGCAGCTTTTCCAGGCGAATGGTGTGAGCTGTCACTGGATCTACCATTCTGGGGTTTGGAGGACAGTGGCCCTCTTCTCAGAGCCCCACTAAGCAGTGCCCCAGTAGGGACTCTGTCTGGGGGCTCTGACCCCACATTTCTCTTCCACACTGCCCTAGCAGAAGTTCTCTATGAGGGCCTCACCCCTACAGCAAACTTCTGCCTGGATATCCAGATGTTTTTATACATCCTCTGAAATCAAGGGAGAGGTTCCCAAACCTCAATTCTTGACTTCTGTGTACCCACAGGCTCAACACCAACCACATGGAAGCTGCTAAGGCTTGGGGCTTGCACTCACTGAAGCCATGGCCTGAGCTGTACCTTGGCCCCTTTTCGTCACAACTGGAGCAGCTGGGACGGAGGGCACCAAGTCCCTAGACTGCACACAGCATGGGGACCCTGTGCCCAACCCACTAAACCAGCTTTTCCTCCTACACCTTCACCTCTGGACCTGTGATGGGAGGGGCTGCCACAAAAGTCTCTGACATACCCTGGAGACATTTTCCCCATTGTCTTGGTGATTAACATTTGGCAAACTGTTATGTATGCAAATTTCTGCAGCCAGCTTGAATGTCTCCTCAGAAAATGGGTTTTTCTTTTCTACTGCATCGTCAAGCTGCAAATTTTCTGAACCGTTTCACTGTTTCCCTTTTAAAACTGAATGCTTTTAACAGCACCTAAGTCACCTCTTGAATGCTTTGATGCTTAGAAATTTCTTCCTCCAGATACCCTAAATCTTCTCTCTCAGGTTCAAAGTCCCACAAATCTCTAGGGCAGAGGCAAAATGCTGCAAGTCTCTGCTAAAACATAACAAGAGTCACCTTTGCTCCAATTTCCAACAAGTTCCTCATCTCCATCTGAGACCACCTCAGCCTGGACCTTATTGTTCATATCACTACCAGCATTTTTTGTCAAAGCCATGCAAGTCTCTAGGAAGTTCCAAACTTTCCCACATTTTCCTGTCTTCATCTGAGTCCTCCAAACTGTTTCAACCTCTGCCTGTTACCCAGTTCCAAAGCCAATTCCACATTTTTGGGTATCTTTTCAGCAATGCCCCATTCTACTGGTATGAATTTACTGTATTAGTCTGTTTTCATGCTGCTGATAAAGACATACTTGAGACTGGGCAATTTACAAAAGAAAAAGGTTTAATGGACTTACAGTTCCACATGGCTGAGGAGGCCTCACAATCATGGTGGAGGGTGAAAGACACATCTCACATTGTAGCAGACAAGAGAAGAGAGCTTGTGCAGGGAAACTTTTTAAAACAATCAGGTCTCTTGAGAATCATTCACTATCACGAGAACAGCATGGGAAAGACCTCCCCGCATGATTCATTTACCTCCCACCAGATCCCTCCTACAACACATGGGAATTCAAGATGAGATTTGAAGGAGGACACAGCCAAACCATATCATCCACTGCTATAGCAAGCACAGAATAAAAAGCTTTTGTTTATTTCCACAGTCCTGGTTCATCCCTGCCCTGCTCCTCACCTAGAAAGATGAGCCCTAGAACAATGCCCATTCTTTCTCTTGCCTGCCATGCAATTCTCACCTCAGCAGGTAAGTGGGAGTCCCCAGTGGTGCCAGACCTCCTAGATGAGCCATCTGGAGATGGACATGCAACCTTCTGTGGACACACTGTAGAGTGCTGCATGGCCTGAAACCCCCTGCCTGGGGAGGGCCAGGTTAGAATGCAGGACATAGGAAAAGGAAGAGGGTGGCAAGAAGAGGAGGGGCAGAACTTGAGTTTGAAAGGCCCAGGCGTGACACAGGGGTGGCATCTAACCCAGGCCTTGAAGGATGAATTAGAAAAAACTAAGGAAGGTTTGGGGCCAGTGGGAGTGAGGCATAAGACAGACCAAAAGAAATGCACAGAGGCGGAAAATTCTGAAGGAAACATGACTATTTGTAGCTCAGAGCTATTCCTGCTTCCCTGTGGGACCCTGAATGCCGGTAGTTCAAAAGCACTTTCCAACGAATGCAGATTAAAAAGACTTAAACCTCTGTTTCCCTTTTCTCCATATACATAAAATGATAAACACCCCTGGGACGGCTAGGATTTATATAGGCAGATTTTTTGAAAGTTTGTCTTATATATCTGGACTATGGCTTATAAATCAAATTTGGTTCTCTTTGCTGGAGAGTAAATTATTTATCCAAGGCAGAGCACCAGGCGATAGAAGGAGAGGCACAGAGAAGACACTGTTTTCCAGAAGTCATTTATATTCCCCAAGATGAGGAAGTGTCGGGGGTGGAAGTTTCTGAGTTACAGATTCTGGCGTTCCTTCTTGATTCGTGTGCTCTCTGCTGGTAGCCATGGACTCCTGAAATTGGCTTTCTGTTGAAGACATCATTTGTGGAATTCAAATCAGTGTTTTGCATTTGGGTCCAGCACCCTGGGTGGATGGCTGCCTGAATTGAGCAGTGAACATATTCAGCTGGGGAATAAGGGGACCATCCTGCGAGTCCATCAGGCTGCACTGAGTTCAGCTCCACCATCACTCTCCCTGGGATATCAAGCACACTTAGAACCTCGCTGGGCTTCAGTCTCCTTATAGCTGGAGCCAGAGAGTAACATCTGCCCCTTGGGGTCTTTGCAGGGTTGAATGTGACTGCATCGCACACAGAGCAAGTAATAATAATAAGGGAGCTCAACCCCAATGCCCTACCTAAGAGTCATCCCAGTGGGAGTTGTCCAAATGTGCTCCAGGAGGCTTCCCTGCTCCAGAACCCCAAGGGAGGTCTGTGAGGAGGTGAAAAATGTCTACACTTTTAGTCAAATCTCTTAAGGAGAAAAACCACTGGTTTTATTTCTTTTCTCTTTTTGTCATTACAATTTCCAAGGATCGAGTGTGAGTGTTCATGTATGCAGGGCCACGATGCCATGCTGGGCTGGACCCAGGAGGTGCCTCTCTTTCTCTGTTATCACCAAGCACCACACAGAAATGTCCTTCCACCAGACAGGCACTCAGGAAGCATGGGCTGATAGATACACTTTAGGAATCCAGCAAAGAACTGTGAGATCTACACTCTAAAAATAGAACTATCTGCTCTCAAAATTTACTATGGGATGACATCCTGGGAGCTACCCATCACTGTCCCCATAAACCTAGTGCCCCAAGGTCCCATGAACTTCAGGTCACCAGAATTATTTTTCTCTGAATTTGACATTTAGGAGAAAGTAACGGCTGATAGGGAGCAGTGCTGGGTTCGCAAGGCCTGGAACATCCCTCCTGGGGGCTGCCTCTGCCCCACAGACACCTCCCAGGTGGTCACCAGCTTCTGCAGCTGCCTCTTGCATGGGGTGGAGCCATGCTCAGAGCTAAAATACTCAGTCGCTGCTGGTCTTCAAAATCCAAGGACAGTTCCGTTTTATTTAACAAACTAGATTTCCTGAGGCAGAAAGGTAGACTTGTCTTTTCCAGAAATAATGCTGAAAGTGTTAAAATAAAAATAATTATTTGGAAGCCCAAGTTGATTCCAAAATTAATCTAAAATAATTCATTCCCTGAGCATTTTGGTTTATTGAGGTTTTACAGCCTCATGCACCAAGTATTTCCATAGTGCCACTGTGGGCTTAGCACTCCCACCACAACACCAGGCAGGCAGGGCGGGCCTGCGGAGGAGCATTTGCTATGTGCTCAGAGGTCTGGAAGGGTGGCTGTGACAGTGTGGAACCCAGGGACAGAGCTGTGCCCAGGATGAGGAAATGCAGAAGCACCTTCCAGCTGCGGAAGAGCAAGGGGAAAGCGGAGGGTTGAGCTGCATCCCCCACTAAAGACATGTGGAAGTCCTCACCCCAGTGCCTCCTGATGTGATCTGATTTGGAACAGAGTCTTTACAGAGATAAGTTAAAATGAAGTCATTAGGGTGGGCCCTAGTCCAATATCCATATAAAAAGGAGAAACGTGGACCCACAGATAGACACATACAGAGGGAAGAGAACACAAGGACACGCAAGGGAGGAAGGCCATGGGAAGACAACACAAGGACATGCAGGGGGAGGACAGCCACAGGGAGATGATGTGAGGACTCACAGTGGGAGGATGGCCATGGGAAGATGACATGAGGACACGCAGGGGGCAGATGGCCATGGGAAGAGGACATGAGGACATGCAGGGGGAGCGCAGGCACAGGAAGAAGGCACGAGGACATGCAGGGGATGATGGCCATGGGAAGATGACGTGAGGACACACGGGGAGAACAACCATGTGAAGAGGACATGAGGACATGTGGGGGAAGATGGCCAAAGGAATATGATATGAGGACACACGGGGAAGATGGCCACGGGAAGATGATGTGAGGATACATGGGGGAGGACAGCCACAGGAAGAGGACATGAGAACACACACAGGGACGATGGCCACAGGAAGAGGATATAAAGACATGGAGGGGGAGGATGGCCACGGGAAGACCACGTGAAGACATGCAGGAGGAGACAGCCATGTGAAGACGATTTGAAGACATGCAGGGGAGATGGCCACAGGAAGATGATGTGAGGACACACGGGGGTGGGGGCATGGCCATGGGAAGACCACATGAGGACACACAAGGGGAGGATGTCTGCGGGAAGATGACATAAGGACACACAGGGGGAGGACATCCATGGGAAGATGACATGAGGGCACGTGGCGGAGGACGTCCATGGGAAGATGACATGAGGACACGCAGGCAGAGGACGTCCATGGGAAGATGACATGAGGACACACAGAGGAAGGACGTCCGTGGGAAGATGACATGAGGACATGCAGGGGGAGGACATCCATGGGAAGATGATGTCAAGATATGCAGGGGGAGGATTGCCAAAGGAAGATATGATGTGAGGCCCTGCAGGGGGAAGATGTCCATGAGAAGACCACGTGAGGAAAAACGGGGAACACGTCCATGGGAAGACAATGTGATGACATGCAGTGGGAGGACAGCCAGGGAAGATGATGTTAGAACACACACAGGGACGATGGCCACAGGAAGAGGACATGAAGACCCACAGCGGGAAGACGGCCATGAGAAGACCATGTGAGGACGTGCAGGGGGAGGACAGCCACGTGAAGACGATTTGAAGACACATATGGGGAGATGGCCATGGGAAGATATGTGAGGACACGCAGCAGTGGGGATGGCCATGGGAAGACCACATGAGGACACACAGTGGGAGGACATCCACGGGAAGATGACGTGAGAACACACAGGGGATGACATCCATGGGAAGATGATGTAAAGACACACAGGGGGAGGACGTCCATGGGAAGATGATGTGAAGACATGCGTTGGGGGATGGCCACAGGAAGACTACATGAGGCCACACAGGGGGAAGACGTCCATGAGAAGATCACGTGAGGAAATAGAGGGGGAGACAGTCATGGAAAGATGATGTGAGAACACGCAAGGGGATGACTTCCATGGGAAGAGATGATGTAAAGACACACGGGGGAGGAAGTCCATGGGAAGATGATGTGAAGACATGCAGGGCCACAGGAAGATGACATGAGGCCACTCAGGGGGAAGGCGTCCATGAGAAGACCACATGAGGAAATAGAGGGGGAGATGGCCATGGGAAGGTGATGTGAGGACAAGCAGGAGGAGGATGTCCTTGGGAAGATGATGTGAAGACACACAGGGGATGGCCCTGTGACCCAGAAATGCCAAGGACTGCCGGCAACACCAGAAGCTGTAAGAGGCAAGGAGGGATTCTCCCCTAGAGCCAGCAGAGAGATGGCCAACCTTTTGAATTCAGACTTCTACCTCCAGGCCTGGGAGACCATCTGTTACAGCTGTTTTGGGCCACCAGTATTTGCCACTTTGTTATGACAGGCTCAGGAAACTAACGCAAGGAGCATCTTAGCTTTTGTTCCTCCAGAAGCTCACCCAGAGAACAGGATGCACACACAGGTAGATTTGAGGGGCAGGACTCCAGGAAACACTGGTGGAGGAGAAGGGGAATGAGGCAAGGAAGGGATGGTAGCAGGCAGACGCTGTGCTGTCCAGCCAGGGGCCTCTGCAGACAATGACACTTAATGCCCATGGGGAAACTGGGAGTTAGTGTAGAACATGCACTGCAGCTATCTGACTCAATGTTAGGGAGCTAGGGTATTTATACACCAATGTCCATGAGCTGAGGGCTGCTGTTACCAGGGCAGCCCTGATAAAAATAACTGGGAAAGTTTATTTTTCGTATTGTTTTCCTTTATTCCTTCATTTACAGGCACAGCTACTTAAAGAAACCAGGGACTATGCCAGAACTTCTTGACCTCTGGCCAGGTACCAGAGGAAGATAAAACCTCACAAACTGGTGCAAACTGGAACAGAGGATCCCTGGTTGCCTTTAGATCATTAAGATATTATGGTGCTAAAATTCCCTCCCTTAAAAAAAACTCTGCCATCTTTTATACATGTGATGTATGAAGATGTATGTGTATGAATTGCACCTGCCCATCTGGAATCTCGCATGCTCAAGTTCCTCTCCCAGCCTGTAACCAGTCTTTAAAAACCCCATGTGTCCTAGGCTTCAGGGAGAAGATGCATTTAGAATATCAGCTTGCCATCCCCATTTCTAGCCAGTGAACAGAAACTGGTTGCCTTTTCCAATTAGACTTTTTTTAAATGACCAATACAAAGTGGAAAAAGAACTCTGTTTACTGGTAACACTACTGCTTGAGGATAGGGGTGGTGTTAATTCTCTGGCACTTGGTGTAGGTAGCAAACTTGCTCTGGAGACCAGAGAAAGCCCTAGGAAGGGCCTGGGCTGGCAGGAAAGCCCTCAGGCAGGGCCTGGGAGGCAGTAGGGACAAGAGGCATGGATGGACACTGACAGTGCTGCTTCAGGGAACATTGGGAAGGGGGAGAGAAAAAGGCAGGAAAGTTACCTGTGAAGCCAGACTGCCAAACTTGGATGTCAGGCTAGAGTCTGGACTTCATTCCTTAGACAGTAGGGAGGTGATAAAGGTTTCTGAGTGGAGGAATGACCAGATTAGAGCTCAGCTTTTGGAAAATGAATTTGGCAGGGAGAAGAAAAAACAGAACACTGACAGTTAATTGTGCTTGCCTGACAGTGCTCAGTGAGAAAGACAGGACTAAAGTGACATGGCAAGGAGGAGAAGGCAGTAGGAAATGCTGGCTAACTGCCCCATAAGCCACAGAGTCCTGGTTCATAGACTGTCAAGGAAACTGAGGGTCAGGGTGTGGAGAAGGGTGGCTCCAGGGCACCTGGGATAAGCAGGTTTGGGAGAAGAACTGTCCACCATATCCTTCACTCCCTGTCCTGAGTCCACATTTCAGACCAAATGAGAAACATAAGCCACTGGGAATTGAGCAGATGGCTTTTCCAAAGCTTCCACAGTTTTCATTCCATCCAAATCAAACGTGGATTGGAAGCCACAGGGTTTGTAAATGCCACTGTGCCATTTGAAGCTAGGATCTCGTTTGCCAACTTGCAGCCTGCACTTCAGATGCTTCAAAAGAGAGGGTTATCCACACTGACTTATAAATAAATGAAGAAACTAAATAATGCATTCCATCCTAATATGGCTCTCATTTCCTTGATGATTATGTAAAAAATCACTAACCTAAATTGCCCAATAGATAGAAGACCCTCAAAAGGAAACCCGAGGGAGAACTGGCCTTTATCCATTCCATATAAATCACAGAGATGCTGCTTTTCCTCACATCTGAGGAGAGGGGCCTCCAGGCTGGGGCTGCACAGGGCGGTAGATGCTTCCTCCTCCTCAGCTTCCTGACTGCCTGAGAAGAGTCAGCCTCTGTGTAGGGGCTGGATCTGTCAGTTCCTGGGTTACCAACAAGCCCGGTGCTCAGGGAGGGAGTAGGGACAGTGGGTTCTCAGAAGCAGTTCTGAGAGAATCCCGTTGTGGACTTAGCAGGCTCAGGCAAAAGAGAGGATTAACTCTGCTTGGGCCAAACCATGCGATGCATCTGCTTGCATTGGGAGGAAGATGGTCACCAGGAGCTGGCAGGACTGTTGTTCAGAAAGCAATGCCCCAAAGATGCATTTACTCATTCTACTGTCAAATAAAGGAAGGGCAGGAAGTTTTTCAGAGGGAAGGGAGCCTGAGGGTCCTCACTTCCCAAATGCCTGGCATTTACTCATTTCATCTTCACAGTGAGTCCTACTGCCACCACTGTAGATGAGAAAACTGAGTTTCAGAGGTGGAGCAAGCAGCCAACATAACACATTTGTTAAACAGCTGGGTTGGGACCTCATCTCTGGACTCCTACGCACACCCTCCATCCACACTGTAAGCTGCTGGGGAGGAGGTTAACAGCACTTCCCACTCTGAAGTTGCCTTTAAAAAAATTATGGAGGGAGGTTCCAAGATGGCTGAATAGGAACAGCTCCCGTCTACGGCTCCCAGCATGAGCGATGCAGAAGATGGGTGATTTCCGCATTTCCAACTGAGGTACAGGGTTCATCTCACTGGGGCTTGTCAGACAGTGGGTGCAGCCCATGAAGCACAAGCCAAAGCAGGGCGGGACACCACCTCACCTGGGAAGTGCAAGGGGTCAGGGAATTCCCTTTGCTAGCCAAGGGAAGCTGTGACCAATGGTACCTGGAAAATTGGGACACTCCCACCCTAATACTGTGCTTTTCCAATGGTCTTAGCAAACAGCACACCAGGAGATTATATCCCATGCATGGTTCAGAGGGTCCCATGCCCGTGGAGCCTCACTCACTGCTAGCACAGCAGTCTAAGATCGAACTGCAAGGCAGCAGCAAGGCTGGGGAAGGGGCGTCTACCATTGCTGAGGCTTGAGTAGGTAAACAAAGTGGCCAGGAAGCTCGAAATGGGTGGAGCTCACAGCAGCTCAAGGAGGCCTGCCTGCCTTTGTAGATTCCACCTCTGGGGGCAGGTCATAGCTGAAGAAAAGGCAACAGAAACTTCTGCAGACTAAACGTCCCTGTCTGACAGCTTTGAAGAGAGTAGTGGTCCTCCCAGCACAGAGTTTGAGATATGAGAATGGACAGTCTGCCTCCTCAAGTGGGTCCCTGACCCCCGAGTAGCCTAACTGGGAGGCACCTCCCAGTAGGGGCCAACTGACACCTCATACAGCCAGGTGCCCCTCTGGGATGACGCTTCCAGAGGAATGATCAGGCAGCAACATTTGCCATTCTGCAATATTTGCTGTTGTTCTGCAGCCTCTGCTGGTGACACCCAGGTAAACAGGGTCTGGAGTGGACCTCCAGCAAACTCCAACAGACCTGCAGATGAGGGTCCTGACTGTTAGAAGGAAAACTAACAAACAGAAAGGACATCCACACCAAAACCCCATCTGTACATCACCATCATCAAAGACCAAAGGTAGATAAAACCACAAAGATGGAGAGAAACCAGAGAAGAAAAGCTGAAAATTCTAAAAATCAGAGCACTCTTCTCCTCCAAAGGAATGCAGCTCCTCACCAGCAATGGAACAAAGCTGAATGGAGAATGACTTTGACGAGTTGAGAGAAGAAGGCTTCAGACGATTGGTAATAACAAACTTCTCTGAGCTAAAGGAGGATGTTTGAACCCATTGCAAAGAAGCTAAACACCTTGAAAAAAGATTAGACAAACGGCTAACTAGAATAGACAGTGTAGAGAAGATCTTAAATGACCTGATGGAGCTGAAAACCACGGCACAAGAACCACATGATGCATGCACAAGCTTCAGTAGATGATACGACCAAGTGGAAGAAAGGGTATCAGTGATTGAAGATCAAATGAATGAAATGAAGCAGGAAGAGAAGTTTAGAGAAAAAAAAAAGTAAAAAGAAATGAGCAAAGCCTCCAAGAAATACGGGACTATGTGAAAAGACCAAATCTACATCAGATTGGTGTACCTGAAAGTGACAGGGAGAAAGGAACCAAGTTGGAAAACACTATTCAGGATATTATCCAGGAGAACTTCCCCAACCTAGTGAGGCAGGCCAACATTCACATTCAGGAAATACAGAGAATGCCACAAAGATACTACTTGAGAAGAGCAACTCCAAGACACATAATTGTCAGTCACCAAAGTTGAAATGAAGGAAAAAATATTAAGGGCAGCCAGAGAGAAAGGTCGGGTTACCCACAAAGGGAAGCCCATCAGACTAACAGCGGATCTCTCGGCAGAAACTCTACAAGCCAGAAGACAGTGGGGGCCAATATGCAACATTCTTAAAGAAAAGAATTTTCAACCCAGAATTTCATATCCAGCGAAGCTAAGCTTCATAAGTGAGGGAGAAATAAAATCCTTTACAGACGACATGAGCAAATGCTGAGAGATTTTGTCACCCCCAGGCCTGCCCTAAAAGAGCTCCTGAAGGAAGCACTAAACATGGAAAGGAACAACCAGTACCAGCCACTGCAAAAACATGACAAATTGTAAAGACCATTAATGCTAGGAAGAAACTAACAAGCAAAATTACCAGCTAACATCATAATGACAGGATCAAATTCACACATAACAATATTAACCTTAAATGTAAATGGGCTAAATGCCCCAATTAAAAGACACAGACTGGCAAATTGGATAAAGAGTCAAGACCCATCAGTGTGCCATATTCAGGAGACCCATCTCAAGTGTGGAGACACACATAGGCTCAAAATAAAGGGATGGAGGAAGATCTACCAAGCAAATGGAAAACAAAAAAAAGCAGAGGTTGCAATCCTAGTCTCTGATAAAACAGACTTTAAACCAACAAAGATCAAAGAGGACAAAGAAGGCCATTACATAATGGTAAAGGGATCAATTCAACAAAAAGAGCTAACTATCCTAAATATATATGCACCCAATACAGGAGCACCCAGATTCATAAAGCAAGGCCCTAGAGACCTAGAAAGAGACTTAGACTCCCACACAATAATAATGGGAGACTTTAACACCCCACTGTCAACATTAGACAGATCAACAATACAGAAAGTTAACAAGGATATCCAGGAATTGAACTCAGCTCTGAACCAAGATGACCTAGTAGACATCTACAGAACTCTCCACCCCAAATCAACAGAATATACATTCTTCTCAGCACCATATCACACTTATTCCAAAACTGACAACATAGTTGGAAGAACTCCTCAGCAAATGTAAAAGAACAGAAATTATAACAAACTGTCTCTCAGACCACAGTGCAATCAAACTAGAACTCAGGATTAAGAAACTCACTCAAAACCACTCAACCACATGGAAACTGAACAACTTGTTCCTGAATGACTACTGGGTACATAACATAATGAAGGCAGAAATAAAGATGTTCTTTAAACCAATGAGAACAAAGACACATCATACCAGAATCTCTGGGACACATTTAAAGCAGTGTGTAGAGGGAAATTTATAGCACTAAATGCCCACAAGAGAAAGCAGGAAAGATCTAAAATGAATACCCTAACATCACAATTAAAAGAACTAGAGAAGCAAGAGCAAACACATTAAAATCTAGCAGAAGGCAAGAAATAACTAAGATCAGAGCAGAACTGAAGGAGATAGAGACACAAAAAAAAGCCCTTCAAAAAATCAATGAATCCAGGAGATGGTTTTTGAAAAGATCAACAAAATTGATAGACGGCTAGCAAGACTAATACAGAAGAAAAGAGAGAAGAATCAAATAGATGCAATAAAAAATGATAAAGGGGATATCACCACCAATCCCACAGAAATACAAACTACCATCAGAGAATACTATAAACACCTCTATGCCCATAAACTAGAAAATCTAGAAGAAATGGATAAATTCCTGGACACATATACTCTCCCAAGACTAAACCAGGAAGAACTTGAATCCCCGAATAGACCAATAACAGACTCTGAAATTGAGGCAATACTTGAGAGCCTACCAACCAAAAAAGGTCCAGGACCAGATGGATTCACAGTCAAATTCTACCAGAGGTACAAAGAGGAGTTGGTACCATTCTGTCTGAAACTATTCCGATCAATAGAAAAAGAGGGACTCCTCCCTAACTCATTTTATGAGGCCAGCATCATCCTGATACCAAAGCTGGGCAGAGACACAACAAAAAAAGAGAATTTTAGACCAATATCCCTGATGAACATTGATGCAAAAATCCTCAATAAAATACTGGCAAAGAGAATCCAGCAGCACATCAAAAAGCTTATCCACCACGATCAAGTCGGCTTCATCCCTGGGATGCAAGGCTGGTTCAACATAGGCAAATCAATAAAAGTAATCCGTCATAGAAACACAACCAAGTACAAAAACCACATGATTATCTCAACAGATGCAGAAAAGGCCTTTGACAAAATTCAACAGCACTTCATGCTGAAAACTCTCAATAACCTAGGTATTGATGGGCTGTATCTCAAAATAACAAGAGCCACTTATGACAAACCGACAGCCAATATCATACTGAATGGGCAATAACTGGAAGTATTCCCTTTGAAAACAGGCATAAGACAGGGATGCCCTCTCTCATCACTCCTATTCAACATAGTGTTGGAAGTTCTGGCCAGGGCAATCAGACAGGAGAAAGAAATAAAGGGTATTCAATTAGGAAAAGAGGAAGCCAAATTGTCCCTGTTTGCAGATGACATGATTGTATATTTAGAAAACTCCATTGTCTCAGCCCAAAATCTCCTTAAGCTGATAAGCAACTTCAGCAAAGTCTCAGGATACAAAATCAATGTGCAAAAATTACAAGCATTCTCATACACCAATAACAGACAAACAGAGAGCCAAATCATGAGTGAACTCCCATTCGCAATTGCTTCAAAGAGAATAAAATACCTAGGAATCCAACTTACAAGGGATGTGAAGGACTTCTTCAAGGCGAACTACAAACCACTGCTCAATGAAATAAAAAAAGGACACAAACAAATGGAAGAACAATCCATGCTCGTGGATAGGAAGAATAAATATTGTGAAAACGGCCATACTGCCCAAGGTAATTTATAGATTCAATGCCATCCCTATCAAGCTACCAATGCCTTTCTTCACAGAATTGGAAAAAACTAATTTAAAGTTCATATGGAACCAAAAAAGAGACCGTATTGCCAAGACAATCCTAAGCCAAAAGAACAAAGCTGGAGGCATCACACTACCCGACTTCAAACTATACTACAAGGCTACAGTAACCAAAACAGCATGGTACTGGTACCAAAACAGACATATAGACCAATGGAACAGAACAGAGCCCTCAGAAACAATACCACACATCTACAACCATCTGAATTTTGACAAACCTGACAAAAACAAGAAATGGGGAAAGGATTCCCTATTTAATAAATGGTGCTGGGAAAACTGGCTAGCCATATGTAGAAAGCTGAAACTGGATCCCTTCCTTACACCTTATACAAAAATTAATTCAAGGTGGATTAAACACTTAAATGTTAGACCTAAAACCATAAAAATCCTAGAAGAAAACCTAGGCAATACCATTCAGGACATAGGCATGGGCAAGGACTTCATGACTAAAACACCAAAAGCAATAGCAACAAAACCAAAATTGACAAATGGGATCTAATTAAACTAAAGAGCTTCCACACAGCAAAAGAAACTACCATCAGAGTGAACAGACAACCTACAGAATGGGAGAAAATTTTTGCAATCTACCCATCTGACAAAGGGCTAATATCCAGAATCTACAAAGAACTTAAACAAATTTACAAGAGAAAATCAAACAACCCCATCAAAAAGTGGGCAAAGGATATGAACAGACACTTATCAAAAGAATATATTTATGCAGCCAAAAGACACATGAAAAAATGCTCATCATCACTGGACATCAGAGAAATGCAAATCAAAACCACAGTGAGATACCATCTCACACCAGTTAACAATGGTGATCATTAAAAAGTCAGGAAACAACAGGTGCTGGAGAGGATGTGGAGAAATGGGAACACTTTTACACTGTTGGTGGGAGTGTAAACTAGTTCGACCATTGTGGAAGACAGTGTGGCAATTCCTCAAGGATCTAGAACTAGAAATACCATTTGACCCAGCCATCCCATTACTGGGTATATACCCAAGGGATTATAAATCATGCTGCTATAAAGACACATGCACGTGTATGTTTATTGTGGTACTATTCACAATAGCAAAGACTTGGAACCAACCCAAATGTCCATCAATGATAGACTGCATTAAGAAAATGTCGCACATATACACCAGGAATACTATGCAGCCATAAAAAATGATGAGTTCATGTCCTTTTGTAGGGTCATGGATGAAGCTGAAAACCATTATTCTCAGCAAACTATCACAAGGACAGAAAACCAAACACTGCATGTTCTCACTCATAGGTGGGAATTGAACAATGAGAACACTTGGACACAGGGTGGGGAACATCACACACCGGAGCCTGTCATGGGGTGGGGGGAGAGGGGAGGGCTAGCATTAGGAGATATACCTTATGTAAATGACGAGTTAATGGGTGCAGCACACCAACATGGCACATGTATACATATGTAATAGACCTGAACTTTGTGCACATTTACCCTAGAACTTAAAGTATAATAAAAAAAAAAAAAAGCTGAAGATGATTAAAAATGATAACAAAATAGGCAAAAAAAATTATGATAGAAAGAAAATCTGACGTAATTGACTCCATCTCACTTCTACCAGGCTGAATTGCTTTTGCTCATTCTTGTGTGGAGGCCATAATAGTCCTTTTCTTGATTTTCTCCCTGCCTTGTTCAAAGGTTGAAACTATATTTGTAAAGACTGATCAAAGGCCAGAAGGTCAGAATTCTGGTAGAGGCCTGAACTTTGCTAAAGAATGGGCACAATTAAACAATAATCAGCCATTGTTGGCTCAGCTTAATTTTACTGCCCCAGAGTCACATAACAGAGGTCACAAGATTTGTAACTTCCCCAGCTGCTCCTACAAGTAACATCACTATTGTGAGGCCTAAAGGACTGGTCTTTGAGATATTTTTCTGATTTAGCATTTTGCTAAGAGTTACCACCTGGGCCTGTGACCAACACCAATGGATAGACTCAACTGGCCCTGTGACCCTTGGGTAAGAAATGACTCAGCCACAGTTTCCACACCTCAGTGACTTTATCCCCAGCTAATCAATTGTTTCAGTTTCCCAGTCCCCTCCCCAGCAAAGAACCCATAAAAACCCTAGCCTCTGAATTCTCAGGGAAGTGGATTTGAGAATCTCTCCCATCTCCTTGTGTGCCTTCCCTGTGATTATTAAACTCTTTCTCTGCTGCAACACCTGCTGTCTCAGTGTATTGGCTTTTCTGAGCAATTGACAAGAAGCACCCATGGGGCTCTGACAACATCATGGTAGCAGCCTGCTCCTTCAACTGCTATTGAGTGGAAAGGAAACCCTGGTGTCCCTCCCCCTTCCCCAGGAAGGACTGGGCACTAGCCCCTGAGGGTTGATGGTGGATCATTATTCATTCATTAATTCATTCATTCTCTTATCAGCACCTTCCAATATCCAGTCAACAAACAAGCTGAGAAGGCCCAGGTGATGGAAACCTCCTCACAGAGGCTGAGGAAGGGAGATGGATGAGCCCCAAAGCACACTACCAGGTTACAGAATAAGTGCTGTGGCACCAAAACAACATGGTGGCATGGTCACAAGAGTGAACCCCACACTCAAAGCCCTGGGCTGGAGTCCAGCCCTCACCAACTACAGGACTCAGTTTCCTCATCTATAAGATGGGGGTGATAAAAATGCCCATTTTATGGAGTGTGGTGGGAGGACTAGAGGAGATGTGAAGGTGTTTAGAAAATCTCTGGCATGTGGTGGCTGTCTCATGAGGGACTAGCCATGGTCACTAAGTATCACTGTCATGAGATGAGAACATCTTCTTGGGTTTGCAGATCTGCTGTGAGGGCACTGGCCTGGGTTTGCCACATACCCCTCTAGGTATTCACAGGCATTTAAATGCCTTTAGCCTTCACAGTGACGGTCACCCTTTAAGAAGGACACACATTAGCATCTGTCTTTGACAGAGGAAGAACCAGTGCACTGACGGGCTAAGTGACTTGTACAGGACACAGTGCTAACACAGGGGTGAGCCTGAATCCATCCCAGACAGTGGCCTCCAGCAACTGCTTTCCCAACCACTGCAATTCCACTGCCAAAGAAAGGAAGGGCAGGAAGTCTTTCAGAGGGGAGGGAGCCTGAAAGTCCTCACCTACCGAATGCCTGGCATTTACTCATTTCATATTCTCAGTAAGTCCTACTGCCCTCACTGTAGGTGAGGAAGCTGAGGTTCATAGGTGAAGCAAGCAGCCAAAGTCACATATCTGTTAAACAGCTGGGTTGGGACCTCATCTCTGGACTCCCCTGCACACCCTCAGTCCACACTTCAAGCCACATTCTCCATCTAGCCTCGCCAACAGGCCTCAGGACCTACAGCTATGACCATCCTGTTCACAGTATTTGCTTTGTTTTGATTTTAATGCTTCTCTGAAAGGATGATGTTCACCTTTCTTGACCTCAGAGAAGCCAGAGAGGAGATAGTCATCTCCGTGGATGGCAAAGGCCCATGTGTTGTGAGTGGCAGCCACCCCCTAGCTGGAGGTCAGGTCCACATAGAATCCCCATTGTAAGCACACCACAGTGATATGGCTACCTGAGTAAATCCTGTGGGGAAGTCTGTGGATGCAAAGACTCACCTGTAAAGCAAACGGTCCTGCTTCCATTCACCATGTTCATCTTCTGATAATGTAAGAAGCACATCGTATGTGTGATGTGCGTGGTGACTCACACCATAACAGTGGCTACCACTTATTGAGAATTTACAAATGTCAGCAGCTATCCTAATAATGTCACATGTTATCTCATTTATCTGGGACAACAGCTCTATCAGGTAAGTTCTGATGTTATCATCATTTTCCAGGTGCTACCTCAATCGAGAAGGCAGGGCAGGGACACTCCAAGTGTGCTCCCTGGATCGATAGCATCAGTGTCACCTAGGAATATTGCAGAAAGGCACATTCTTAGTCTCAGATCAGGTCTGTTGTATCAGAGCCTCTGGGCAGCACCCCGCCATCTGTGCTTTCATAAGCCCTCCAAGGGATTCTTTTTTTTATGTTAGTTATTTATTTTAGATTCAGGGGGTACGTGTGCAGGTTTGTTACACGAGTATATTGCATTATGACGAGGTTTGGGCTTCTAATGATCCCACCACCCAAGTGGTGAACACAGTGCTGATACATAGTTTTTCCATACTTGCCCCCCTCCTTCCCTCCTCGGTTTTGAAATCCCGAGGGTTTATTGCTCCAGTCTTTGTGTCCATGTGTATCCAATATTTAGCTCACTTTTTTTTTTAGATGGAGTCTTGCTCTGTCGCCCAGGCTGGAGTGCAGTGGCGCAGTCTCGGCTCACTGCAACTTCTACCTTCCAGGTTCAAGCAATTCTCTTGCCTCAGCCTCCCAAGTAGCAGAGATTACAGGTGCCCACCACCACGCCCAGCTAATTTTTGTATTTTTAGTAGAGACAGGGTTTCACCATGTTGGCCAGGCTGCTCTTGAACTCCTGACCTCAGGTGATCCACCTGCCTCGGCCTCCCAAAGTTCTGGCATTACAGGCGTGTGCCACCATGCCCAGCCCCGTTTAGCTCACTTTTAAGTGAGAACATGCAGCATTCAGTTTTCTATTTCTGCATTTCTTCACTTTAGGATAATGGCCTCTAGCTGCATCTATGTTGCTACAAAGGGGTTTTGTTCATTTTTAATAGCTACACCTGCAGGTGAGTATGATGTGTTAAAGTTTGAGATCAACCAGACTAGGGATAACAAAAGACCTCAAGATCTCAATGGCTTACATCAGGGGCTGTCAAACTATGGCCAAAGGCCAAACCCAGCCCACTGCTAGTTTTTGTAAATGAAGTCTTATTGGAACACAGCCATGTCCATTGGTTTGCAGTGCTGCCTGTGACTGCTTTGCAGATACAGAGGCAGAGTTGGGTAAGTTTGACAGAGACCACATGACCTACAAACCCTAAAATATTTTCTCTCTGGTCTTTTTTCAACCCTGGCTTCGAGCAACAAAGGTCATGTCTCGGATCCACTGCAGGTCTATGGAGGCCAGTTGTGGCTCTACATTCTGTCTCTCTTTCTGTCCCAGGCTGCAGTGGCAGGCTCTGCCTGGGGCTTTGTAGCACATTGGGCTAGGAAAAAGGACACAGGGAGACACATGCAACAATTAAAGCTTCTGCTCTGAAATAACACACATCATTGGGTCATATTCCATTAGCCCAAGCCTAATGTCCTTGGAATATTAAAGAATAATCCAACCTCCACACTCAATCCATCTAATCCGACAATCCAGCCCTGTCGTCGGGTCACAAATACCCAGCTTATTCTCCTTCCACATGCAGAACCCATACCCCTCTCCCAAGAGAGGTGGCCTAGCTAGTCATAACATCAGGCTCAAGGCCCATCTCAGGACTGTCTCTGTGGGGCAGAGTGATCTCTCTGACCTCCTGAACAAAGATAACATGCACCATGGAACAGAGACAGGGTGGCCACAGGGACATTCCCAGCTGGATCAGGTGGGGGCGGGGATGGGAGCAGTCTCAGCCCTACGGGTGGATATTGATACCACTCCATAGGAAGGCCCACAGTACCTTGTCTTCTGTGCCCCTTAAACTATAGCCTGGCATTATCCTAAGAAAATTAAGGCAGAAATAGAAAACCAAATACCGCACGTTCTCACTTAAAAATAGAAGTTAAATGTTGGGTACACATGAACACAAAGATAGGAAAAATAAACTTCAGGGATTCCAAAATGGGGGAGAGAGGGAGGGGTTGAAAAACTACTTATTGGGTACTATGTTTGCTACTTAAGCAATGGGACCGTTAGAAGCTCAAACCTCAGCATCACGCAACATATCCATGTAACAAAGCACCTCGGCATCACATGATATACCCAAGTAACAAACCTGCACTCAGCATCACACAATATACTCAAGTAAGAAACTTGCACTCAGCATTACACAATATACCCAAGTAACAAACCTGCACCTCAGCGCCACAGAATATACCCAAGTAACAAACCCGCACCTCAGCATCACACAATATACCCAAGTAACAAACCCGCACTCAGCATCACACAATATACCCAAGTAAAAAACCTGCATCTCATCATCACACAATATAGCCAAGTAAAAAACCTGCACCTCTGCATCACACAATACACTCAAGTAACAAACATGCACGTCATCACCAGCAAATACCCAAGTAACAAACCTGCACTCAGCACCATGCAATATACCCAAGTAACAAACCTGCACTCAGCATCACACAGTATACCCAAGTAACAAACCTGCACTCAGCATCACACAGTATACCCAAGTAACAAACCTGCACCTCAGCATCACAGTATACCCAAGTAACAAACCTGTACCTCATCATCATACAGTATATCCATGTAACAAACCTGCACCTCAGCGTCACCCAATGTACCCAAGTAACAAACCTGCACCTCAGTGTCACACAATGTACCCAAGTAACAAACCTGCACATGCATCCCTTGAATCTCAAATAAAAATAAGGTAAAATGCAGATTCTCAGACACCAAAAACAAAATCTATGGCACAAGAGGTTTTCTCTGTTCTATTATTCTTGTCCCCCTCTAATGAGGGTGGCAGAAAATAAGCTCTACCTGTGGAAACAGTTCTGTTTCCTCAGCCTGCTTCCTGACCAGATGAGGCCGGGGGCTCAAGGGTTGTTTTAAGCCCCAGACAGGCTTTGGCTGTATTTGCCCAGGTCTGTGATTCTTTTGCAGCAGAATTCTCTTAAAACATATTTGTTTCTTATTTATTTGATTCCAGGCAGATCCAGGTAGCATTGACCACACTCATGTCCAATTCTCCTGACTTAATTGTGGGTGCCCTGATTGCATCTGGCTTCTATGGGACAGTCACTCCCTAGTCTTTTGTCCTGGAGCCATAATGGGGAAACTGAGGCTCAGAAAGATGAAGTAAACTTTCTCTGGCTTCAGCTCTGGGATTGAACCCAGCTCTCTAGGTCTCCAGAGCTGTCTATACCACCTCTGCCCATCATCCAAAATGTCCAGACTTATACTCCTATTCTGTGTCAAATAATTCCACAGCCTTAATAAGCAATTGTCAGAGGCTTGAAGAAAACTGAATTAGATGTCCCTAAGAACTGCAGAACTCTCAGAACTTAAAGACTCTGTTCAGACCCCTGCCCTAAGATGCTTGACCAAACTCCAGCATGGGTCCTAGCAGGATGAGGCCATGTCCCCAGGATGACCCCAGCCCCCGATTAAAATGCCTGCCTGAGAAAGATCAACATTGCCAGGAAAGTTTACTTTTCATTCCAGGCCACACCTGACCTGGGCCTCTGACCTCCCTTTCTTAAAGCATTTACTAAAATGAGCTTATAATTGTGAATGTATCTTCTGCAACTCAGGAGCATCCTTGTGGAGGACCCAAGAGCTGTTCCTTTGAAATGCAGTCATTAAGAAGGATAGTGCCTCTGTCTCCCAGCCTCTGTCAGAGAATGGAGCCCTAACTTAGATCACTGCCCACTGGCAGACCCGATTGGCCTCACCGCATTTACCCCAACCAACCCTCTGACCATTTTCCCTTCTCTGGCTCTGCTGAGCCCCCACTCTTCCCACTTCCTCCTTCTCCCTTTAATACACCCAGCTCACCTCTGCAGGAATCAGAATGGGGCTCTGCTCTTCCCCGCACTGGATAACCACTGTTATCCAGTAGTTACTGGATAACTACTGTGGATAACTACTGTTATCCAGTAGTTACTGGATAACATCTGTTTTCACCACTTTAAGTAGTATCCGGCTGTGTTTATTTTTGACACCCCCTTCTCACCCAATACTTCTTTCACAGACACCCCTTTGCTTTCTCCCAAGGCTCAAGTGTCCTTATCAAACTTTAAGGAATGTTAACATCACTGGGAGGTGGGAGCATGCTTGTTAAAAACACATAGCTCCAAGCACCAATCTCTCGGGATTTCATTTCATAGAGTGGGTAGAGACTGGGAATCAGCATTTTAGCAAGGAAGACTACCTCCTCAGCCCCCCAGGGGATTCTGGTGCAAAGGTAGGCTTGCCACTCTTTGAGGAACATTGCCCTATCAGGTCTGTAATTTCCACCTGCTAGGGGATGAATAACGTTCTGTGAGAAAGTAGCAAGTTCTTCCAAAGGTGCTTGCAGACATGTGAGAAGAAGCACTTCATTAATTTGCACCCCAGTCCTTGGAGGTGGCACCGTGACAGTTATAATTATCCCTCGATTACTTGGAGGGATTTAAGTGTTCTTAGAGAACAAACTTAGGCACAGAAGTTAAGTGACTGCCAAATGCACCCAGCAGGCTGGTGGTGGGAATCAGGCCATGAAGGGGCAGACCAAGGACACACAAGTCCCCGCAGAGGCCAGACATTAGCTACAAGGTACAATAAATCACCTCCTCTTGTGCACCAACCCAGAAGGAGGGAAGAAAGCAGAGAAGGACAAGACAAAAGGAAGAAAAGAGTCAACTAATGTTGTCTCAATCCACAGGCCATAGAAGTGCTTCACTGAATTTCATAAAACACTGAGTTAGTTGCCAATAGTTTCAAATCAGATAGCTGCACATAAGAATGTAAATCTCAGCTTCTCAGGAAAAATCAGAGGCTCTGGAAACACACAGAGCTAAGGGCAGCAATTCACTTTGGAGGCAGCGTGCAACCTCCTGCCACTAAATGACTGCCATGCTCATTGACCTGTGCAGGCCCCAGAGGTGACCCCGGCCCAGTCAGTGGATCATACTTCCCGTCACAGCTAAGCTTGGGGAGAGGACTAGCGTTTCCTCTCCTCACTGAGTGTCAAATAAATACCTAGCTTGGAGGGTCTGCAGAGTGGGGCTCCTGTGATGGACAAGTGCTTCCAGTGAGTGTGGAAAGCCCTTTATCTTCTTCCAAGAGATCTGTGCAAACTCCCCCTCCTCCAGCAGAAAAGGCAATGGTCTGGACATTTCATTGCACCTTGGAACAAGTAAATCACTTTGGACTTTCCTAAAACCTGCTCTGTCACCATCGGCCATTGCCAGGCCAAGGAAACAGAGAAGAATTTGTGGAAGCAAAACAGCTCCTTGCGGGTGAGAAAAATCTTACTTAGGTTTTTCTGGCAGCAGAAGCAGTTGAACAAAGAGAGACTTCTAAGAGAAAATGAAAAGCTTTAGAATGAGTTTATCGCCAACAAAGCCAGCTCAAGCTTGGGGCTTTTTCATAATATTTTAAAATTAAGTTAACATTCATTTAACACTAAAACAGGAATTTAATGAAGTCTGAAAAATAATCCGGCCTTTGAATGAGATATCTAAAATTCCATTTTAATATGCAAAACAATGTAAGATAATTGTATTCAAGCAATAATTCAAAAACATTTTATCATAATTGCAAGTTCACACAAAAATATGAAGGAACCACTGTAATATTCTCAATATGAGGAAATATGGGGGAACTAAAAAAGTAATGGTCTTTAATTCAAAACCAACTAATAAGGCATATAGATAAGTATTAGATTACTGTACGATTTTATCTGCAACAGTTAAACCCTGGAACATGGCTGAGAATCAGTGAAAACCAAAGTCATCCTCTGTAACCAGCCAGATGCACAGTCACTTCTGGTCGCAATTAGCCATGCTTGGACAGTCACGTTTTCTCCTTAAGAAACCAAACAGAATTCCAGATTCTCTCTATCCTGCCACAGGTTCCCTGTTCATAACACATTTTTTATTCTTGAGTCTATTAGCTCCAGATGATATCCAGAAACTCATTTTCAAAAGCAGCTTTTAGAAATGGCACAAAACGGCTGGGCGCATTGGCTCACACCTGTAATCCCAGCACTTTGGGAGGCTGAGGTGGGCAGATCACTTGAGGTCAAGAGTTCAAGACCAGCTTGGCCAACATGGTGAAAACACATCTCTACTAAAAAAAAAAATACAAAAATTAGCTGTGGGTGGTGGCACAGGACTGTAATCCCAGCTACTTGGGAGGCTGAGGTGGGAGAATTGCTTGAATCCAGGAGGCAGAGGTTGCCATGAGCCAGGGTCATGCCACTGCACTCTAGCCTGTGTGACAGAGCAAGACTCTGTCTCAAAAAAAAAAAAAAAAAAAAAAAGCACAAGACAATATGGATATTTTCCTGTAAGTGAAATTTATAAACATGAAGCCCACAATTATAGAGCAAAGATAGTTGCTTTGCGTTTCCTAGGATCAAATGGAAGCCCCTATTCAGAACTAAATGGGCTGGCTGTGGTGGCTCACACCTGTAATTTCATCACTTTGGGAGGCTGAGAAGGGAGCATTGCTTGAGTTCAGGAGTTCAAGACCAGCCTGGGCAGCACAGCAAAACCCTGTCTCTACAAAAAAATACAATAATTAGCTAGGAGTGGTGATGTATGCCTGTAGTCACAACTACTCGGGAGGCTGAGGCAGGAGGATCAATTAAGCCCCAGAGGTCAAGGCTGCAGTGAGCTGTAATCACATTATTGCACTCCAGCCTGTGCAACAGAGTGAGACCTTGTCTCAAAAAACAAAACAGACAAATAAAGCATAAACAATTTAAACCAGGAAATTTCTTCTGATCTATTCTGTGTGTATGAAGCACCTCCTATCTAGAACATGGGAGTGATATTGTACATATATGATAAATCCAATAAGATCTCTTTGGAGTGAGGGGTGACATGAGCATAGGAGACTGGCTTTATGCATTGCAAAATTGTCAAATGCTGTCTTGGGACTCCTTGGGTTATAGATGACATAAGCCTACCCAACTCAACTTAATCAAAAAAGGAATTACCGGTTCTTGCCACTGAATAGTTGGGTTTGGATGCAGCTGGTTGCAGGAGATTCAACACTGTCATCAGAACTCTGCATCTCTCCACATCTCTTCCTGGTGTTGGCTTCATTCTCAGACAGTCTGTCTCTTCATATAGCTTTCTGCAGGCTCACAGTTACATTAGCCTTGCAGCAATCTCAGGAGGAAAAGTGTCTCTTACCCTATGGTTCTAGCAAATATTAAAGAGTTGGCTTGTTCTGACTGGATCATCTTGAATTGAGGAGAAATCCCTAAACCTACTGTAGTAGCCATCCATGGAAAAGAAGTGTTCTAATTGGAGAGAACAGGTTTATGGACTCACTCCAGGATCCTTGGGAAAGAGGTCTTAGCCCCACCCAAATGTCATAGATTGCGCTTGGAGGAAAGGCTAACCCCCTAAGAAAAAATCATGGTGCTGTTATCACAAAAAGAAGACAAGAATAATAGACAAGTAAAAATACCCATTGCTTCCTACACATGCCCTAGAAGACATTTAATGTATGTGCAGTGGGCATTCAGAGAGAGAAACAGAAGTGTTATAACACGTGCACTGCCTCACATGTAACAGGAAAAGGACAAGGAGAGGGAAGGAATGGAGGGGAAGCTGCCCGCACACTTGGCTTGAGTTCAGTTTCTTTGGATCCTCTATTTTCTCATAAATCACAGCCCATTTGACGATAAGAATCACCTCTTCCAGTACCCAACCATTGTGGACCTAAGAAACTAAAGTTACATCGATCTATGCTCCATTCATGATTAATTCATTCAATAAATACTGATTTAGCAACTACTCTGGGCAGAGTCCTCATCGATATTCCAGAGTTAGAGTAATGACAATGAGCACACAAAAATCCTTGTCCTTGTGGAGCTTACAGTCAAGTCAATGGACACAGATAACAAATAGGAAAGAAAAAAATTAACATAAAGGATGTCAGAGGGTGATAAGTACTTGGGAAAAAAACAAGGCAGGAAAGAGAAAAGGTGTGTCAAGGGTAAAGAGACATTCTTACAGTAAGATTATGAAGTCTAAAGAAAGTGAAGGAGTACACCATATGGCTACTTAAGGGAAGAGCATTCCAGGCATAGGGAACAGCCTGTGCAAAGCCCTGAGGTAGATCTGTGCCTAGACGCTTTAAGAAGACCAGTGTGGCGTGAGAGTGAGCAGTAAGTAGATGAAGTGAGAATGGTAACAAAAAGTAGAGGGTATAGGACCTTAGATATTGTAAGAATGCTGGTTTTTACTCTGAGTACCTGGGAAACAGTTGGATTATTTAAATAGTAGAGGCCATAATATGACATCTATTTTTAAAACATCACCCTGGAATGGACTACAGAGGGAAAGAGCAAAAACAGGGAGACATCTGCAATAATCTAGGTTAGAGATGAGACGGTGGCTAAGGAATTTTGGCCATACTTGGAAGGTAAAGCTGACAAGATTTGCTGAAAGATTTGATTTGGGCTATTCTCCAAGAGAGTAGTCAAGGATGACCCTGAGAATGGGTCATCCATCCATGGAGTTGCTGTTCATTGGTGCAGGGAAGAAAATAGAAGAAACTTGTGAGAAGGTGGTAGAAGGTAGGAGTTTCATGTTGGACATGTTGGGTTTGAGATGTTGGTTAGACATCTGAGTGAGTCTGGAGAGTAGGTAGCTGGTATACAATTCTACAGTTCAGGAGGCAAGTCTGAGATAGAAATGACCATTTGGAAATGACCATTTTTGTCGTGTGTATAAGGTATTTAAAGCCATGAGATTAAAGGCAATCACTGAGAGAGAGACCGTTAATAAGAGAGGATACGTATAAAGACAGCCTGGGGACGTTCCAATTTTAGCAATCAAGGAAAGGAGGAGAAAATGGCAAAGGGATCTGGAAAGCAGACCCAGTAACGTAGAAGAAAAGCTACAAGAGTCTGGCTTCCTGGAAGCCAAATGAACAAAATGTTTATGGAGGAAAAACTTTTCAAATACTGCAAATATTTAGGAAATATTTCAGATTGCAAATAGGCCAAGTGAGATGAAGGCTGATAATTGACAATTTCCTGGCCAATGTGTAGGTCATTAGCAGTTTCAGTGTAGCTATAAGAACATAAGAACTGGAGATAAAAAATAGCAGCAATTCTTTTGTAGAGTTTTGCTGATATATCAGCTATTTGGAAAGGTGACCTGCTGGTTCACCAGCTTCAAAAAAACTCTTTAATTTATTGTCTCATATTAATGTATGATGAGGAGCCAGACTCTGTTGGAGTTATCCTCTGCATAGCACTTTTCAGAAAGAATAAAAATCACAGAATGACAATGTAAATCATCAAGACCAAGGTGTTTCCAACCAATCTCAAATTAAGATAAGCACGCTGTTCATATGAAATAAGCCAGAAGTTCTCTATTTCATTCTTTTTTTTTTTTCTTGAAACAGAATCTCACTCTATCACCCAGGCTGGAGAGCAGAGGAGCAGCTCACTGCAACCTCCGCCACCCAAGTAGCTGGGATTACAGGTGCCAGCTACCATGCCCAGTAGAGACAGGGTTTCACCACATTGGCCAGGCTGGTCTGTAACTCCTGACCTCAAGTGATTCGCCCTCCTCGGCCTCCCAAAGTGCTTGGATTAAAGGTGTGGGCCACCATACCCTGTCTCTCTATGCCATTCTATATATCAACACAAACATTTAAAAATGTTTTATTCTTTCTTCTTTCTTTTCAGTAATATTTTCAGATTTCCGGTTCCAGGCATGGTAGAACCTTTCTACAGATAGCAATTACAAATTCTAGGGGAAAAAATATACTAGACCTGGCCACTTAAGGGAACTTGGAAGCAACCAGAAGCAAGCAGAACCTGAAGAGATTTTTCATTGCAAATAAGAGAGTGCACAGAGAGTACGACCCATATTCATACAACTTTGTCCCTTAGGTGCAAGCTGAAAACTGTAGTTATATTGACTTGAGATGTCAAAGAAGGGAGTTTGAAACTGCTGGTGTGGATGAAAAATGAAGGGGAAATCCTTTAAAGGAAGAAGTCACAGAGGAGGGGGAGTCACCAAACCTGTCTATAAGCTACGCTCCAATCTAGACTCATCCCTAAACTGCATGTGAATGATGGAGACTTTAGGAATCAAAGGAAATAACAATAGCTGGAAGGCTAAAATACAGACCAGATATGTCAGCCTCTTTTCTGTGCATGGGAGCCAGCGTTTGGAGCTTGTATCCTAGCAAGTTAAAGGGGCCTGAGAAAGACTTCAGGCATTCCACTGAAATCCTAGAAAGACTGCACCTTAGGAAAGAACATTCTACCCCTGAATTAAGGGATTCTTCCTAGGTCTAAGGGCAAAACAATGAACTTACCCTAACCAAGCCTCCAGTGGCTCCAGATGGTCTACCAGGAATTTATCTGGGACCAGGGGCAGTGGTTCATGCCTGTAATCTCAGTGCTTTGTGAGGCTGAGGCAGAGGATCACTTGAAGCCAGTAGTCTGAGACCAGCCTGGGCAATGTAGCAAGACCCCATTTGTACAAAAAAATAAAAAAAAATAGGAGTAAATGCCTGTAATCGCGATAACTCAGAAGGCTGAGATGGGAGAATCACTTGAGCCCAGGAGTTCAAGGCTGCAGTGATCTATGATTGTTCCATTGCACTCTAGCCAGGCAACAGAACAAGACCCTGTCGAAAGAGAAAGAAAGAAAGAAAGAAAGAAAGAAAGAAAGAAAGAAAGAAAGAAAGAAAGAAAGAAAGAAAAGAAAGAAAGAAAGGAAGGAAGGAAGGAAGGAAGGAAGGAAGGAAGGAAGGAAGGAAGGAGAAAGAAAGAAAGAAAGAGAAAGGAGAGGAAAGGAAAGGAAAGGAAAAGGGAAAGGGAAAGGAGGAAGGAAGGAAGGAAGGAAAGAAGGAAGGAAGGAAAAAGAAAGAAGACTTGGGAACTTAGTAATAGGAGAAAAAAATGAGTAAAACAAAACTCAACACTCTTAAGAAGAAACTAACAGAATTCAGAGTCTTTACAAAATATCATTCACAAAGGCCTCAGAAACCTCACTCCTGGCCCCACTTGTCCCCAGCTCTCTGTGGAGGAAAGTACATGGAGCCCCTGGGAATTGTGGGTTTCCTAGTTAAAAAAGAAAAATCTTCTAGCAAAACTTTACACTGTAGGCCAGGTACAGTGGCTCATGCCTATACTATAATCCCAGCACTTTGGGAGGCCAAGGTGGGAGGATCATTTGAGCTCAGGAGTTCAAGACCAGCCTTGGCAACATAGCAAGATCTCATCTCGACTAAAAATCCAAAAAATTAGCTGGGTGTGGTGCCTCACCTGTAGCCCCAGCTACTTGGGAGACTGAGGCAGGAGGATCACTTGAGCCTGGTACATTAAGGCTGCAGTGAGCTATGATTGTGTCACCGCATTCCAGCCTGGGTTACAGAGAAAGACCCTGTCTCAAGAAAAAAGAACAAAACAAAAAAAAAAACACTGTAAAAGAAAAAACACAGGCCACTCCCTCTAGGGTCACATAATCAAGCCATCGAACCCAAATCTAGGGACCCTGAGATTACTTTAGGATGGTGTGACATTTAAATTAGAGCCTGAAGATCTGGTAAGCCTGAGCCAGGAAGAGGAAAACGATCAAATGCCCAGAGACGAGAGAGAACATGGGTATGGCTGGAGTATAGGGACCAGGGAAGGGAGGGGAAGGACTGGTAGGAAATGAGGCAGGAGAGGCAGGCAGATGAGAAAGAGCCTCTTCCATTGTATTAAGCAAGTTGGGTTTTCCTGAGAGTGATGGGGTACCAACAAAAAGATTCAAGAAAAACTATATCAACAAAATTTTAGTGCTGAAATATCCTGGCTTCTGTAATGAGCCGATCTGGAGAAATTAAGTATGAGGTATCCACCGAATGTCCAGATTCTGTAAGAAATTTAGTTCATTGGTTCAGAACTCAGCATAATGGTTTAGGCTGCTATGGATTCTTCAGCCTACTAGGTATGACTAAAACCCTGGAAGTAAATGAGATACTCAGGGAGCAACTGGGGAAATAAAAAGGCCCAAGGCAGAAAACTGATAGTCACCAGCATGCAGCCTAATTGGTTAATGCATTAACAGATAGCACTGGCATAACATATTTTATAGTACAGATAGGGCCTCCTTGAAATCAGTCTAAATTAATGAGGTGTCCAACACTCAGGTCACTTAATTGATTTCTGTTTCTCTCTCTGTTTTAGAGGATCTTGTAGAAAAGTGGTTCTCTATCAGTGGACATGTGGTATGTCTGAAGACGTTTTTGGTTGCCACAACTGGAGGGGGGATGACTATTAGCACCTAGTAAATGGAGGCCAGAGATGCTGCCAACCACCCTAAAATGCACAGACAGCACCCTATAACAAAGAAATATCTAGCCCTACATATCAATAGTGCTGAAGTTAGGAAACCCTGTTGTAGAAGCACTTTGACTACCGTAGGCTTACCAGCCCATGCACACTGATAACTTCTGCACTTTCTTCCCAAGCATTTCTGTAGGGGGATCCCAGTTTATGGTTAATATCAAAGGACCCTCAAGCACACTGTTAGCATCACATAACTGAATAAATCTAAAATCTGAAAATACCAGACTACACAGATTTTGGGGAATATGGGAACTATTGCTTTTACTTATTACTATCAATGTGAGAAAACTAAACAGACCAATTCAGTGACAGAGAAGGAGTGCTTAGGTCAGCACTGAGGGTTCTCTGCTAAGAGGGATACAGCAGATGTCTGAGGAGGCTCAACAGGCATCACGGATCCTGTGCAGGAGGTCTATGATGCCATGAACACAAACCACATACAGTTATGTACAAGAGGGATGAGTACTGCCAGGAAGTGCTTAGTATTTCACGTGTAGAATGGTCTCTCTGATCTTGGAGGAAATATTCAACCAGTAATTTGATATTTGGTTTCTGTTAATGAGATAAGTGAGGATCATGTAACCAAAGATTTAAAGAGTAGCAGAGAGTCCCGTTCACTGATTATGCTGGTGTAGTGCTGTGCCGCGCTGTTATCTAAAGGAAAGAGGGAAGACATGGGATTTGCTTGGAGCTGAGCCTCAGGGTGACTTTGTCCTCCCAGAAGTGAATTTCCCACTGTCTTAAGCCCCTGCTCTGACGCAAAGCAGAGCTGGGCTCTAAAGCCCAAATGGAGAAAAGAATCCAGTTTGAGCCAAACCATTTAGCCTGGTATTCCAATGGGAATGGGTGTGTCTGGCAAACTGATAAGATAGTGGACCAAAACTCTACTTGAATGGAGAATCGCAGAACCTCTCAAAAGAGTACTGGAGGGCAGAGTGAGAGAGAGAGAGTGAGAGTGAGAGTGAGAATGAGAGTGAGAGAAAGAGCAAGAGAGAGAGAGAGCGTGTGTGTGCACACAAGTGAGCATGCTTAAGCAAGTGAATCAGGCTACCTTCCACTCCAAGTGTGGTCCTCCAACCAGCAACATCAACATCACTCGGAAACACAGAAATCTCAGGCCCACCCTGACCTACTTATTTAGAATCTGCATTTTAGGAAGATCCCTGGTAAAGTCTGAGAAGCACTGATTTTACCCTTTGTTGAGGGAAGAGGGTAATGTCCTCAGGTACAGGTGGTTACTGTCTACCAGAAACCCTCTCCACCCATCCCCTTAGTTCATATCTAAATGCTGTGGCACCCCTAGAAGAGCTATTTCATTGAAACTCTGCTCACTTGTTGGGTTAAAGACAGATACAGCTTTGGTACAGGGAGCACATTAGGCAAATCAAGGGAAATACATTTCCTCACACTTTGCCAAACACAGCTACGGCACCTCTCAACCCATATTCAAGGCTCTGTCCAGATTCCTCAAACATCTACTCCCTCCCTCTGAGCAGAGGACCTCCCAAAGTTGACTTAAGTAATCAGATGGAAACACCTCAGCTCTCCTCTACCCAATACATAAGTACATCTGGCTTCCTCTCACAAACCACTTAAAAGAGCAGAACTCCTCTCTCTATACAAGGTCAAATCCTGCAGGGCTGCCCTGGAATGCAGACAGCTGCTCCCTGCTTAGAGATCACATCATGTCAAATACCCTCTCCACTGGCTTCATCCTGTTGGCATTAAAGCATGCTGAATTCTCTTCGAGAATTACTTTGGAAAGAATTACTACCCTGTAAGCTTTCCTATTCAGCCATGTTGACTTCAAAATTTGTTTAGTACAATATTTCAAACAGAAATTTTGTGTCTGCTGCCCATTTTGCACAACTCTTAACCCTTGTTTACATTTGTTTCAGATACATTTGTATTTCCAAAATAAAACAATTGTTTTAACTAAAGTTCCCTGTGTTCCTCTCTCTGACCTCTGCTAAGAGGTAACTGCTGCCCTCAAGTGTGTCCATACACAATTCATGAATGCTTTATGTTTGTACTATATGGGCATGTTTCCATATGCAACATAGAGTATTATTTTGCAAACCCTTAACATTAATTAGAAGGTATAATATTATATGGATTATTCTGTATCTTGCTTTCACATGAACAGTTTTTGAGATATTACAATGTTGACTTCATGCTCTCTTTACTTCTATGCTATTGCTGGCATTTATATTTCCTCTTTTTAAAACCCCATGACATGTTCTCATTGTTTTATTCAACCAGAGTTTGTGTGATTCACCTACACGGTTATCCCATCCTTTTTTTATAATTTTTCCCTTCATGTTCGCCTTCTATTTACAATTACAGTCCTTCTGCCTAAAATGCACCCTTTAGAATCCTCTTAATGAGAGTGTGTTGTGGGAAAACTTACTCAGTTTTTATCTGAAAAATATCTATATTTTACTCTCATTGTTGAAAAATATGTTTGCTGGGTATATAATTCTAGGTTGACAAGTTTTTCTCTAAGCATAGTGAACATAGCAATATTCCGTGGTTTTCTGGCTTTTATAACTTTTATCAAGAAGTTTACTGTCAGTTTTATTGTCTTTCCTTTGATGATTACCCCTTTTTTCTGATCTCATTTTTAAGGTTTTATCTTTGCCTTTGGTCTTCCTCTGTGACACATAGGGTGTATTTTTTGCTTAATTATTTTTCTTTTGTTAGAATTCACAAATCTATAGAATGGCTTCTTTCATCTCTTCTGGAAAGTTCTCAACCATTACCTATTCAAATATTGCTTCTGTTCCATTCTTTTTCTTTTTTCCTTCTGCAAGTTTTATTGGAAGTGTGTTAGAACATCTTACTTCATTCTTCTTTCTCCATTATTCATTCTCATAACTTCTGACAGGCTTCTCATTTCTTTGATTCTGTGCTATCTTCTGGGTATTTTTTTGCTCTATCTTTTGCTTTATTGTGCACATTATAAGCCATTATATTTTGATTTCTAGAATTATTTTATTAATACAGTCAGTCCTATTCTGTAGCACCTTTCTCTTTATTTGTATTTTGTTTATTTCTTAAAGCATATTCAACGTGTTTGTCGGTGTTTAATAATTTTACTCTCTGAAATCTTTTCCATCCTAATACTTACATTTCTGCTGCTCCTGATTCCTGTGCGTAATTTTTTATTGTGGGTTATATTTTTAGAATTTTATCTGTGGAACTGGAGACCTGGTTAGAAAGCAAGATCCCCAAGGAGAATTTTGATTTGCTTCTGCCTCATGCCTTTGGATCTACCAGCCAGAATCAAGTTGCACTAAATTTTTGGCAAAAAAAATTTTGGCCTATTTGGGTGGTTCAATTTTGGGTTGCAAACCTACGTGAGAGATAGTTTGTGGTTACGAATTTTAAGAGGTTTTTTGTTTGTTTGTTTGTTTTTGTTTTTGTTTTTACTCTCCTTCACCTACTCAGCTTCAAACTTTGAGATGGACAATTTTCTTTAAAGTTCCCTGGTGAGTGGTCAGTCATGAGACTGAGTGGTTTATTTCTAGTTCACAATTACAAGGAACATTGGCCATTTGAGATATAAGCTTTCAGTGTGGGGAAAGGGAAGGGGAAGGAAGAGATTTCTACTGGACTCCTACCTTTGGACAGACTCTAGACTTACTATGTGCTCTACAGAGCCACAAAATCCAAAACTCAAGGTTACTCAATTTAGCAAATACCCTCAAACTGAAAGCTGGTTTAAATGCTCTTCTTGCTTCTGGGCTCCTGGTTTTACTTAGTTTTTGACCTCTGACTATTCCCAATGAATGCACGGTTCAATGATGCATTTTCCAATGAGTTATATACCCAGCGTTTTAACAGAAAGATTTACCGGAGTCCCTAGTCTATTTTTTCTATCAGAATTGAAATTTTCATCTACTCTTTATATAAAATTGTACTTCTAAGGTTCACATTTGCTATGGTTTGAATTCTTGTCCCCTTCAAAACTCATAGTGAAATTTAGCTGCCACTGTAACGTATTAAGAGGTGGAATATTTAAGAGGTGTTTTCATGAACTTAATGCCTCTCTCATCCTCTCTTTGCCTTTCCACTATGTGATGTTTTCTGCCATGTGAGGATGTAGCAAGAAGGCCCTTACCAGAGGCCAGCCCCTTGATTTTAGACATTCCAACCTTCACTGTGATATTCTGTTAACAGCAGCACAAAAAAATTGACTAAAAAACATTTAATTAAGTTATTCTGTTTAAAATCTGTGTGGGCTCCACATTGCCCTAAGGGAAACACCGCATCCTTTGCATGGCTTAAAAGCCGCCTCCGTCTTGCCTCTGCAGATCTCTCGAGGCTTTGTTCTTATCAGTCGTCTCCCATGAAGCTTTTTTGCTGAAGCTGGATTAAACTGCTTGCAATCATCAGAGAACCCCACATCCTCTTCCTCTCTAGGTATTCAAATGCTATTTCCACCCCTTCTTTTTTTCTCTCTTTCCTTCTTTTCTCCATATTCTGCCTTTTCTTATCTGACTGCTGGTCATTGTCAGGTTTCAGTTTTATCGTACTTTATGGTACTTTTCCTAGAAATCTGGACTCAGGGTCTTTCCTCTGTGCTTCCACTTTACCTGTCTTAGTGTAATTGCATCTTTACAGGTTTGTGTTCCCTGAGGTTTAAGACTGACTGTGAACTTTCCAGCATGGTGTCTGGAACTCAGTATGTATGCAATGCTGATTCTTTGTAATAAACTTTTGTTACAGGAGCTCTTTGAAGCTCTAGTTGTCATCATCATGGTACCCGTCAGAAGACGGTAATAGACCAGGCAGAAATGACTGTGAACCCTGCCTGCTGTAGATGAGGTCATCAAAAGTAGATGCTGCATGCCAGGTGGACACAGTTGTCCAGGTACCTCAGTGGCCATTGTCAGCAGACTCAACAGGTCTGTAAGTGTGACCAGATCCAGCAGAGGGGCTCTGGAGTGGCAGTGGAAGCAAATGAGATATCACTCCGGACAACTGAACACACTCACTTGTAAGAAAGTGTGAGCCACCCCCTGGAGGCTTCCAAAAGTCTTGAGTGACTTTTATAGAGAAATAGAGCTCTAAGTTAGCAGTGCAGAGCCAAAAGTATGTAATGGAATTCATTGCTTAATTGATTCTATAGGCAAGTGAGGCCCAGAGAAACTCAGTTTATGCCCAGATGGATATGACATCATTCCTGCCCCTCAGTTAACTTACCAACTAGTGGAAGAAAGAGCAAGTTAACAAAATATTAACTTTGCAGGATGAGAAGTGCTACAGAGCTAAGCTATCAGAGCCCTGGTGACTTAGTAACAAAATAAAGGGGCCTAACACAATTGCTACTTCTCCCATTACCTCGCCCATAAGGGACCCAAAGTGTGACCAAAAATCAGCATGGGATGGGTGGAGCTGCTGGTTTCCTGATACTCTTATCTTCATTATATATAATTATTTTATCATTCAAAGTATTTATTTTTTTTCTAATCTCTAACCAGGCCACATTTCTTCCCAACTGGAGAAGCAGAGGGCTAGCTGTTTGAGTCTAAAGAGTGGAGTGGTGAGGGCTGAGCCTGGGAATTATGAGGCCAAATCAGAGGGCTTTATGTATAAAACCAGGAGTCTAGACCCTTCTTGAGGGGAAAGTGGGATCCTCCTATAATCTAGTTTCCTAGAGGTTTTTTTTTAATCACATTCTAGAGTCATTGGTCTCTGACAGAGCCCCCAGATCAAATACTTGAGGTCCATGCAGGTAAGACAACAAATGAACCTGGCCAGCCTCCTGATGGGGGTATGGCCACTGCCCCGGCTAAAAGGGACAACATATCCCAGCTCCAAGTTCCTGTCCTGTGAGATTCTAAGCTCAGTTTTGTGAGATTCATGGTTTTCTAAAAAAGGCCAAAAAGTCTAGATTATTCAAAAATCATATGATCATCTCAATAGATATAGAAAAAGCATTTGATAAAATTCAATATCCCTTTATGATAAAAACCCACAACAAAATTGGCATAGAAGGGACACACCTCAAAGTAATAAAAGCCATCTATGACAAACCCACAGCCAACATCATACTGAATGGGGAAACCCATTGAGAACTGGAACAAGGCAAGAATGCTCACTTTCACCACTTCTATTCAACATAGTACTGGAAGTCCTAGCCACTGCAATCAGACAAGAGAAAGAAATAAAGGGCATCCAAATTGGTAATGGGAAAGTCAAACTTACAGTATAATTATATACCAAGAAAACCCTAAAGACTCATCCAAAAAGCTCCTAGATCTGATCAATGAATTCAGTAAAGTATCAGGATACAAAATCAGTAGCACTGCTATACACCAACAATGACCAACTTGAGAATTAAGTCAATAACTCAATCCCTTTTACAACAACTGCAAAAAACAAACAAATAAATAAATAAATAAAATACTTAGGAATACACTTAACCAAGGAGGTGAAAGATCTCTACAAGGAAAACTACAAAACATTGCTGAAAGAAATCACAGATGACACAAGCAAATAGGAACACATCCCATGCTCATGGATGGATAGAATCAATATTGTGAAAATGACCATGCTACCCAAAGCAAGCTACAGATTCAATGCAATTCCCATCAAAATACCATCATCATTCTTCACAGAACTAGAAAAAAATCCTAAAATTTATATGAAACCACATAGCCAAAGCAATACTAAGCAAAAGGATCAAATCCAGAGGCATCACATTACCTGACTTCAAATTACACTACAAGGCTATAGTTATCAAAACGGCATGATACTGGTATAAAAATAGGCAGATAGACCAATGGAACAGAATAGAGAACCTAGAAATAAAGACAAATAATTACAACCAACTCATCTTCAACAAAGCACACAAGAACATGAAGTGGGTAAAGGATACCTTACTCAATAAATGGTGCTGGAAAAACTGGCAAGCCACATGTAGAAGAATGAAACTGGATCCTCATCTCTCACCTTATACAAAAATAAATTCATGATGGATCAAAGACTTAAATATAAGATGTGAAACCATAAAATTTCTAAAAGATAACATCGGAGAAACCCTTCTAGAAATTGACTTACACGAAGAATTCAGGACTAAGAACCCAAAAGCAAATGTAACAGAAACAAAAATAAATAAATAAGACCTAATTAAACTAAAAATCTTCTGCATAGCAAAAGAAATAATCAGCAGAGTAAACAGACAACCCACAGAGTGGGAGAAAATGTTAGCAAACTATGCATTTGACAAAGGATTAATATCCAGAATCTGCAAGGAACTCAAATCAGCAAGACAAAAATGAATAATCCCATCAAAAATGTGGGCAAACAACATGAGCAGACAATTATCAAAAAAGACATACAGGTGGGGGGCGGTGGCTTACACCTGTAATCCCAGCACTTTGGGAAGCCAAGGCAGGCAGATCACCTGAGGTCAGAAGTTTGAGACCAGCCTGGCCAACATGGTGAAACACGGTTCTACTAAAAAATACAAAAATTAGCCAGGTGTGGTGATGGATGTCTGCAATCCCAGCTACTTGGGAGGCTGAGGCAGGAGAACCACTTGAACCTGGGAGGCAGAGGTTGCAGTGAGCCGGGATCATGCCACTGCACTCCAGCCTGGGTGATGAGAGCAAGACTGTCTCAAAAAGCAGAAAAAAAAAAAGATGTACAAACACCAACAAACAACAAACATATGAAAAAATGCTCAACATCACTAAGTGTCAGGGAAATGCAAATTAAAACCACAATGAGATACCACCTTAATCCTGCAAGAATGGCCATAACTAAAACATAAAAAAAAAATAGATGTTGGTGTAGATTTTGTTAAAAGGGAACACTTCTATGCAGCTGGTGGGAATGTAAACTAGTACAATCACTATGGAAAACAGTATGGAGATTCCTTAAAGAACTAAAAGTAGACCTGCTATTCGATCCAGCAAATTCACTACTGAGTATCTACCCAAAGGAAAAGAAGTCATTATATGAAAAAGACACACACACACATGCAAGTTTATAGTGGCACAATTTGCAATTGCAAAAATATGGAACCAACCTCAATGCCTATCAATCAACGAGTAGATAAAGAAAATGTAGCATATATACACCATGGAATACTACTCAGCCATAAAATGGAACAAAATAATGGCCTTTGCAGCAACTTGGTTGGAGCTTGAGGCCATTATTCTAAGTGAAGTAACTCAGAAATGAAAAACCAAGTGGGAGCTAAGCTATGAGGATGCAAAGGCATAAGAATAATATAATGGACTTTGGGGACTCAGAGGGAAGGGTAGGGGGGAGTTGAGGGATAAAAGACTATACATAGGGTACAATGTACACTGCTCGGATGACAGGTACATGAGAATCTCAGAAATGACCACTAAAAAATTGCCCATGCAACCAAAAGCCTTCTGTATGTATCCCAAAAACTATTGAAATGAAAAAATAAAAAAAAAATTAAATTATGTAAGTCTTAAATTTTTAAATATTTATTCAAAACTCTTTTTAACTCTTTGAGGACTGACAGGGCACCCTGGGTGACCTCTGGTCTATGAGCCAAGACTTCAATGCCCCAGCCCAACTCAGCCAGGACTGCACTCTAGCATCTTTTGGAGAGGAACCCTTTCATTGTGAAATTCCTCTTTCCTCTCACCAACCCCCTGGGTCAGGGTAAACTCAGTAAGTGTGGACTGTCTCATACTGAGTTGTCTCCAAGGGGTCCCGTGAGGTTGCAGGGCACCCGTTGCTGTGGAGTCCTAAAGAGGGCTTTCAGAGGCACAAAGAAGACAGACACAGCAACAATAACAAATGAATGAAGGAATCAGTTTTTCCCAAGAAAAGAGCCACTGTATCCCAATAGGCCTGTACCAATTCCAGGGAAAGAACAACATAGCGACAACATAAAGCAATCTGTGTGATTAGGATGCTGCACTCATCCCAGCCAGGTACATGTCCTTGAACTGGAGGTGCTGCGCACGGCACCTGTTTACAAATTAGGCAACCGGAGGTGCTGAAAAGTATTCATCTCTTCTGCTGCTTCCTTCAGTATGTATAATATTAGCAAAATGTCCCAGTGGCTGGTAAATCATCTTTAATTCCTTTGGAACTCATCATAGTAATGTTAACCATGATGGATTCTTGTGGTATTTAAAGAACTAGATTGTCAATTAGCTTTTATGAGATACATCACAGTCATCAGCCTCATATCAGACCTCCCTTTCCAAAGAAGCCAGTTATTAAAATGTACAATAATTTGCTTTTATTATAATCTAGCTAAAAGCCAAAGCTAGTCTCCAAAATAATTTAAAGTTTTAAGTTGCAATGTAAGAGACCTTTTCTTGGAAATGACTGTATAATATAGTGTCACCATTGTTGGTTAATTATTTTTCAGAGTGTGAATTTCAGCTAATCGTTTCCTGCAAGGACCAAATAACATAGGTGCTTCCTAACAGCCTCTCTGGGAATAACTACTGTCCTTTCAGAAGCTAATTAATCAAGCTGTGCTCGTAAAAACTTAAGTAACTACCCACCAGGGTGAGAGTCCCCCAAGACCTCCCTGCTCCTGGAAGTCTCTTGCCCACTGTATTGACCTTGGCCGAGAGAAGGGCAGTGAGTCAACTTGACTTGGCACAGCACCCACCAGGGACCTTCCATGCCATCCAGCATGGTCATCTGCCCAGGGCTATCTGGAACTTTAAAACCTCATCTTTACTGAGAGTGCCCTTCAGAACTTAGCCAGTGCTACCTGCAGCTTGAGGAGGCAAAGACAGATGAGCTCCCATGGAAACGTGGGAAGGTGAGGAAAAGCCTAGTTCTGTGTTTTGATTTCAGTAAATTATTGTGAGTTTAACTTAATCACCATTTGCCAGGCACTTGAGGAAAATCAAATCAGGGAATTAGCTCTGACCTCAGGAATATACAGCCCAGTGGTACAAACAGACACAAGCTACTGGTAAGAGGAAGCAGAGTTTGCAGTTCTTCCCTCTGCAGCCCCACAAAGGTGCATATCTCCACTATCAAATTTATCTCACGGGACTGCAATTCATAGACTCTTGTCATTGTGTGTGTCTTTCTCCCTAGTAGCCTGTAAATTCCTTCAAGGCGGAAAATTTCATCTCTGTATCTGTGGTACCTTGAACAGGGTCGGTCACATATTTGTTTAATGAATGAATGAATATAATAACAATAATAAGTAACATTTAATGGGCCTTTAATACACATCTATATAAGCAGGTCCTAGGTTAGATGCTTTACAAATATCTCATAAAATTCCTCCAACAATTCTAGAAGGGATTGTATAGGGAAGTATGGAGTTAATACTCCCCATTTTACTGATAAGAAACGATACTTGGAGAGACGGGAGTAACTTTTCCAAAGTCCCAGAGCTGTTAAGTGGCAGAGAACAATGGATCCTTGGTCTGGCTGACTCGTAGGTTCATATTCTTTTTTATCATTATGCATTACTATTTCAATAAAAACTCCAGAAAGGCCTACAAAGTTACACACAATCACATACATGCAATAGAGGGTGATCCATTCCAAACTAAGGCAGGAAAGCAAATACAACATGTGCCATAAGATTCTGGAAGCCTTCCTGCAGGCAGTGGTCCCTGAGCTGGTCTTTGAGGCACAGAAGGACTTTTATTAGCATTCCCATCAAAAAAAAAGGACCATGCAGAATGCAGGGAAAGGGAGGCTAAGTATTGATATGAGGGTGTAAGCGTGAAGAGTGGATAAATTGGCTACACCTTGGAATTTACTTCTATAGTCTCTGTCGACCTTGTAGAGCTTCAAATAAGCAGCCTCAATACCACGATCATGTCTCCAATCCCCAGCCCCTGATATTAACTCAAGAGCAGTACAAACTGAATCAATGCACCAAATGATTTTTCCCCACCGCTCCCCTGTGTGCATATAAACACACATATGCACACACACCATGGATACAGACACACACCATGACAGCTGTGAAAGGAAGGGGGAACAAGAGCTCAGTCGTCGCCGCTGGCCAGAGGAGATAACATTTCAGGCCTGATTTAAACTGCCCATTATGTCCATGATTCTTGCTGATGGGTGCCTCACAATAAATGTCCTAGGCTTGTCTTTATCAAGCCTCCTCCAGTCAAGGCTCAGAGTTATGAGTCACTGTTGGAGGGAGAAGGAATGGGCAGGGAAGGGGTTGTCAGAAAAGGTGTGTAAATGGGACAGGTCCAGTGGTCAGGGCATCCATACATTATTTCTCAGTCAGTTTGTTTACATAACCACAATTCATTCTCTTGGGTGCCCTAGAAAAACAAATGGCTAGAGAGCTGAATTCAAAATATATTATTTGAGCTAAACACAAATAAGTAACTCAGTTATGAGGGGAAGCCCCCTCTCACCCATCATTTTGCCAAAATGAACTCTTCATGGTTGAGTGGCCCTCCCCTCACCCCCATTCCTAAGATTAGTTTGAGCTTGCTCTGGAATATTTATTGAGGAGACCTTTCATTATAAAGCAGCCAAGTACCAGTTACCTGAAATATATGCAAGTTTTTAAAGTCTACATTCAAGGTTTAAAACCTTTTTGTGTATGAAAAATGTTCTACCTGGCCTCTCCCTGTCTCATTTGGGAGATTAAACGGTAGCTATATAGTTGAACTGCAATTTGCTTGACTCTGAAGAAGCCATTATCATTGAAATTCAAGACCCTTGATCTAAGATGTCTTGGAGAACTATAGCACACTATATACTTTATTTTAGAGTGCAGAGTACAATGCAGAATTAGGCCTTGTAAAAAGTTACAGGAGAAAGCCTTGTATGAAACAAAATATAGTTGTCATAACAACTGATCTGCATGGGTTGTACATCACCCAGAAAGTTTGAGGTGTGGGTTATCCCAATCAAGGGAACAGCTGGAGTACAGTCAACAGTAAAGCAAGCAGGCTATTTTCTTCTGCTATGAAAATGGATTTTTCCTCTTGAGTGAACAATGCAGGAATGTAACTGAAGCAAAGAGAGCCTCAGTCTGGGAGGGACAAGGATAGTAAAAGCCAAAGAAATATTCCAGCAGGGAGATGATCAGGATGGCAAGGATCCAAGAAAGACAGGATTTTGCAAAAGCAGACAGCCTAACTTACAAGGTCATTTAACACCAAACAGTAACAAAAAAGAGTTCTAAGTGAAAGACAGCAAAAGCACACACAAAAAAGAGAATCGAGGTTTTATCAGAGACATTTGTCAAATGAAGTTATAGTATCCTGATTACAAAAAATGTGGTAAGGTTTTCACTAAGGTTCTCATCTCTTTTGAGTTGCCATGATGTTGGTCAGATGCAGTCATTAGCCAACCTAGTAATCTGTCAATGCTATGTGATTAAAAATGTGCCAGTCACCATAGGTCATTTTTCAGCAGTCTGTATTCAGACTATATTCAGATCATCTGAACACAGTCACCAAAAACACTTGTTTGGAATACAAATTTCTAGGCTCTTCCACAGACCTACCTAATCCAAACTCCTAGGAACCAGGCATGGGAACATGAATTTTTAATAGAGCATTCCAAGTGGATCTTAAGTATACTAAGGTTTGCGAAGTACTACCATATTGGACAATAGAGAAAATATGAGATGTGGTCCCACCTGTCACAAAGCATGCAGTCTACTTGTAGAATTTAGACAGTGCTTAAGAGTCTTTTGGGTGCTATAGGACCCTAAAGACAATTAAAACTCAAAGAGTCCTTCAGGAAAACTTCCTTAATCTCACTGTACTTGCCAGACAAATGTGCCTTTCATTTTGTTTGTCAACTTTCAGATGACATTGCCTCTTTTCTACTTCTTATTTATTTATTTATTTAGTGTCTCCTCTCATGCAACTTAAGTTTCTTGAGAACAGGAGCTGTCTAATTCATCTTTCTGATTCATGAATGCTTGAATGGATGATACATAAATGGAGGAGGGAAGGCAAGAGCATAGCAATTAGAAAAGTCTTCCTAGAGTAGGAATGTGTTGGTGTAAAAACAGGGTTGTATTATACACAGAGCAGAGGAAAGAGCATGGGTAGGTATGAGATAACCATATAAGCAAGGTGACAGAGGCAGAGAAGGGGCATTGCGTATGCTAATGCCCAAATGTGTTAAATACTCAAAGCAATATTATAGTTTCAAAAACATTCCAATTTTTACATTTCATTTAAAATTGTATTAAAAATATAAACTACCTAGGAATAAATTTAACAAATGTGCACAAGACTTCTATACTAAAAATTATAAAACATTGCTAAGAGAAATTAAAGAAGTCCTAAGTAAATGGTGAGATATACTATCTTCATGGATTGAAAGACTCAATATCTCCCCAAAATTTATCTATAGATTTAGTACAATTCAGTTAAACATCAAGTAGGTTTTTTTTTTGAATGTTAAAAAACAACTTATTTTAAATTTTTTTTGTGGGGAGCTTGATAATATTATTAGCTTTATTTGTTCCAGAATGTGTAAGGGCAGCAAAAGCCAGTCTTGGAATTGTGTCTTTAAATATGCATATATATATATATATATACTATTTTAAATTTTATTTGGAAATTCAAAGGACCAAGAATATCCAGTCTGACCTTAACACTCATTATAAAGCTATTGTGACTAAGAAAATGTTTTTGTTGAAAGAACAGACAAATATGTCAGTGAAACACAATTAAGAGTTCACAAATAGACCCATACACATATAAAATCCAGTGATTTGTGATCAGAATGGCAAAGCAATTAAATGGGGAAAATTATATTCAATACTTTTTTTTGAGATGGAGTTTTGTTCTTTTCACCCAGGCTGGAGCACAATGGTGCAATCTCAGCTTGCTGCAGCCTCCATCTCCTGGGTTCAAGTGATTCTCCTGCCTCAGCCTCCTGAGTAGCTGGGATTACAGGTATCCACCATCAAGTCTGGCTAATTTTTTTTTGTATTTTTAGTAGAGATGGGATTTTGCCATGTTGGCCAGGCTGGTATCGAAACTCCTGGCCTCAGGTGATGCACCCACCTCGGCCTCCCAAGGTGCTGGGATTACAGGTGTGAGCCACTGTAGCCAGCTTTCAATATATTTTTATTAACAACTGAATATTCATACAAGAAAAAATCCATGAGTGTTACCCTACACCATACAGACAAGTAAATTAAAAAAATAAATGTTAGGCTTAAGAAAATAACATGATTCAAAGAGAAAAGATAGAGAAACGTCACCATGACCTTGATGTAGGCAAAGAGTCTTAGCACACAAAAAGCACTAACCATAAAAAAAATTGACAAATTATACTTCATCAAAATTAAAAAAGTATCCCATCATCAAAAAAATAATTAAGAAAATAAACAGGCAAGCTACAGATCAGAAAAATTATCCATATCTGACTATATATTTACTGCAATTCAATTACAAAAGAACAAATGGCCTACTTTTTTACAAAAGCAGAAAATATGAACAGATATGTCATAAATGAAGATGAGTAAATGGCCAATAAGCACATGAAAAACTTCTCAATATTATTAATCATCAGGGAAATAAAAATTAAAACAATGAAATACCACTACACACCCATTAGAATGGCTAAAATGAGAGAAAGCTTGACAATCCCAAATGTTGGCAAGAGCATGGAGCAACAGGAACTCTCATATATTGCTAGTAAAAGTTTAATGATACAGTTATTTTAAGAAATAGTTTAAGAGTTTCTTAACCTTCTAAGAATATTAAACATACATATTATGACTCAGAAATTCCACAGCAAGGTGTTTATCCAAGAGAAACAAAAATATGTGTCCACAAAAATCCTTATAAAGAATTGTTTCTTCATAATTATCCCAAACTATAAACATCTGGATGTCCACCATAAGAAGAATAAATCACTGTGGTAAATTTATATAATGGACCACTCCTTGGCAAGGGAAAAAAACTACTCATACATTCTATCAACATGGATAAATCTCAAAAATATTACGGTGAGTGAAAGAAGCCAGACACACATACAAAAGTACATACTGTATGATTCTATTTATACAAACTTCTAGAACTGGCAAAACTATCTATGGTAAAAGAAATAAGGTGAGTGATCTTCCTGGAGGGAAGAGATTGACTGGCAAGGGGCACACGAGAGCTTTCTGGGGTGACATATCTGACCATGTGTCTTAAAATGGGTCTGGGCTACACAAGTATAGGCATTTGTTAAGGCAGTTCAAATTGTGCACATAAGATCTAAGTATTTTACTGTTCATAGATTGTATCTCAATTTTGTTTAAGTCCACAATTTCTAGATGACTTAGAACAAGATAGGCTATGTTGTGGTTAACAATCCCCAAATCTTAATGGCTTAATACAACTAATTTTTATCTCTTCTTCAAAGTATACTGCAGGACTGGGCAACTGTCCAGGGTAGCCTTCCTTCACGTTGTGACTAAGATCCAGGTCCCTTCAGTGTTGCATCTCCGCATCTCATCTTGATGCCTCTGCCAGTTTTCTTAAAGAGGAAGAGAGACTGGTGAACCTGCAGGGGCTTTCAACTGCCTCTACCCAGACATGACATAAGTTACTTCCTCTCACATCCTATAGACCAGGAGCAGTCACATGGCCTACACTTAATGTAAAGGGTTGGAGAGTACAGACTCCTATATGCCCATGAAATAAAGGATAACTAGATACTGGTGAGCATTAGAAATGCCTGCTACAATACCTTCCTTCAGGCCCTTCCATTTTATCAAAGAAGAATAAAGTCTAACTTTCTATCAGATGATTATTACAATTTCATCCTTGTGTTCAGACATGGTCTTATTAATGACATGCCCTTCTTTCAACAAAGGGAGATGTTTCCCTTCTTCAAACATGGCTGAGCTAATGTTTTCTGGTAGACAGGAGTAAAGAATTCTATAAATGTAGAAAAACACAACAAAAAAACAATCTGTGAAATTAGCTGAAGAAGTCAGAGCAGATGCACATCCAAGTTCAGTGAGAAGGAGACACAGGATTGCTGAGGTAACTCTGAGGGGCACAGAGTGACAAGTGACTGACAGGCCAATCTGGTCCAGAATAAATTATGATTGGGGATAATGGCCATGCTAGATGCATGCTGCTGTGGAGAAAGTAGACATTATGAAAGAAAAAGGGGGTGTTTATCCGGTCCAGAGTGACAGTTTGCTGCTTGTCAAAAATCTTTATTTCCCTATAACTTTCTGAGTTTGTAGGTGCCCTGGAGAAAGGCCCACTGTAGCACACCACAGAAAAAAAAGGGGGAAAGACAATACCTGTTTTACAACTACCTTTTCTGTTTGAAATTTGCCCAAATGGTCTTGAACATCACAACAATTAAAAGAAAAAAAGAAAATGTTTCTGCAGATCCAATAGGTAAGATGTCAGGGACTCTATTTTGAAAATATCTGGGAGGCACTGCTGATTAATTTTGGCTTATATTTGAGAAGAGAAGCAGGCACATTTTCGAAACCAAAATGTGGAATTTTCTGATCATGTAGCACCTTTAAAGTTCAGTTATATCAGGAATAGTCAGAAATTGGACTGTATAACTGTTCCCACAAATTGTTCAAAGGTTACCTCTCATCCAGTAGACAGGGACTGAGGTTGCATAATCACCAAAGCCCAGCTCAGAGAGGAAACACACAGAATATTAATATCCTTGAAGAATTTCCATCCACTTGGGAAGAGAGATGTAGCTTGATTGCAGGATGGGTTAAGCATGTGTAGCACACAAACATATCATCAGTGTTGTTGATCTAGTGCCTGCCTCCACTTATTCCAGAAAATTGCAGGAGAATGATTGCAGGGTGCCAAAACAAGGCTGTCAGCTGTGAACCTGGTGATTGATGTGGCTTGTTTAAGTGTGTTCAGCCAAAAACAATTTGGGGTGGCCAGATCTACCTTTTCTTCTTTGGGTGCATAATTGACACACCCCATTTAGGTCCTTGACTGATGTGCCAGTCAAGAATATTTCTGTTCAAGAGAAAGAGAACCCAAATCAAATTGGCTTAAGGAAAAAACAAAGGTAACTTATGTGACTCATATACCTGAAAAAGTACAGTCACTGAGCTTCAGATACAGCTGTATCCAAACCCTCAGATGATTTGCACCTCACCTTTCTCCAAATGTTGGCTCTGCTCTCTTCCTTATGGTTTTACTTTCAGTTACTTGTGATTTCAAGACACAATTTCAAGTGTGATAGATAAGCAGGAGTTTATTTTCTAATAGATCTGTTCACATTCTCTAACTCACACTCTTTAGACCAACATCTTCATCTTGGTATAATGAAACAATTCCTGTGGTCAAGAGATGTAATTACACTGATTAAGTTTGACTCATATTGCAACTCCTTAGCCAATCTCCTCTGACTACTAGGGTTTGGTGTTCTGATTGGTCAAACCAGAGTCACATGCTCAACCTCTGAGAGTATCCCCACCTGAACCACCACGTAAGAGTGTGGGGAGAGAAACTGTTTCACAGGGGAAATTCTAGGTATTTATCAGAAGAAGCAGAAACAGAATCTGGGCAGACAGAAAAAATGACATCTACTATAACCAAAGCTAATGGTATATTTTAATATTATGTACTGGAAACACCTTCACAGAAATTTAGGGTAGGGTCCATACATAATTCATAAAATTGTAGATTCTGAGGGTTAGAAGGTACATCAGAGGTTATAAAATCAATTCCCAATTGTGATAAGTTGCAGCCAAATTTTAACTTGGTAAATGAAGTGGAATAGAGTATGTGGCACCCTTGGTAGATTCTTAAACATTTGAGGGTCCAAAAAATATTACTAAGTGAATTAAGGAAGGAAGGAAAGTCTTTACAGAGCTTCTTGGTTCAATTAAAGAAGCTCCTCTTACTCTCTTAAGGGTTTTAAAAAATGTATTTGGACAGGTCAGTTTCAGCTTAAGTACTGGCATCATAGACTATATCTGACTAACCCTCCTGCCGATAACAACTATAAAGTCTGCATAAATTTTTTTTAAAAAGGAAATTGTTGGAAGGCACTAGAGAACAACAAAAATCTGGAATAAAATGGAGGAGACATAACCCTCAAAAAGAAGGAAGCAGACTAGGTGGGATTTACATTACTTATTTTTCTCAAGGGTCCTACAAGTTTGCAGAGCACAGGGTATAGAGCTCAGGTATAAAATGACAGTCTTAATGGTTAAAGGCTGGAGGTTGGAGCTGCCAGAACACTGCTGAAATTAAGGGGGGAATTCTCAGAATGAGGAACCCACAAATGGTGGATCCCTCATATCTGTGTACGACTGCCTTCAAAACCTTGGATGACTCTTAAATGTCATGCATTGATGGCAGTGCTCCCGGGAGCCAAGCAGTTAGCAACAGCTGAATGGCTAAAATGCTGAGCAGAGAGTTTAGCAACCACTGGTTTCACTTTCAAATTCTACCAAGTTAGAGGAGTTTGTTCAATACCTTGAGCTATCTATTGAAACATCAGAAGAACCACACCTTAAGAATAAAGACTATACTAGAACTATGGACTATGACCTAAGAATAAAGAAAAAACAGAAATATATGTGCTTTAACAAAACCTAAAAGCAAGCCTCCACAACATCAAGATTATTCTTCAGTAATTTAACTGCCTATTGCAATAAAACCCAACAGTTTTCAGAAAAAGATAATGGAATCTAGAGTCTCTATTATCTACAATGTTCAGTATGCAATCAAAAATTACTAGACATGCAAACAAGCAGGAAAATGTGACCTATAATTTAAAAAATAAAACAATAGAAACAGACCTGTAAATGAACCAGATATTGAAAATATCAGACAAATATTGTCCAATAACTACTATAAATATCTTAAAATTTACAGGAAAGCACAGATATTATAAGGAAGAAATGGCATATTTTGGAACAGATACAGAAACACTAAAAATTGAAATATTTTAACTTGAAATACACAATACCTAAAGTGGAAAATTCAGTTGGGTGGTCTATAGACTGAATGTTTAGGCCATGCCCCTCACCGCCAATTTATATGTTGAAACCTAATTCCCAATGTGATGGTATTTGGAGATAGGGACTTTGAGAGGTAATTAGGTCATGAGGGCAGAGCCTTCATGTACAGGCTTAGTACCCTTATAAAAGAAACCACCAAAGACTCACTTCCCTTTTTGCCATGTGAGAACTGCTAAAAGAGAGGCATGTATGAACCAGGAAGCAGAACCTCATCAGACACCAAATCTGCCAGCACTCTGATCTTGAACTTCCCAGCATCCAGAACTGTGAGAAATAAATTTATGTTGTGTATAAGCCACCGTACTTGTATACTATTACACTGTATAAGACAAAGGTACTTTGTCATAGCAGCCTGAAAGGACAAAGACAGATGGGCTTAATAGCCAACTGAACAATGCAGAAGAAAAAAAATTAGTAAACTTAAAGAGAAACCAATAGAAATTGTCCAAAGTGAAGCCCAGAGAGAGGGGAAAAAAAGGATTCTGAAAAATATTATAATAGAGTCTCCATGAACTGTGAGACAATTTAAGTGGTCTAACAAATGTCCTTTGGACTCCACAAAGGCAAGGAGAGAGAAAAAACGAAAAAGATAGGTAACATATTTATAAGAATAATAGCTGAATTTTTGAAAATGATGAAAAACAATTTCTAGAACCAAAAAATTCAGGAACCCTTAAGAATAATTACAGGCTGGGTGCAGTGGCTCACGCCTGTAATCCCAGCACTTGGGAGACTGAGGTGGGTGGATCACCTGAGGTTAGGAGTTCAAGACCAGCCTGACCAACATGGAGAAACCCTGTCTAACAAAAATACAAAATTAGTCAGGCATGGTGGCACATGCCTGTAATCCCAGCTACTCAGAAGGTTGAGACAGGAAAATTGCTTGAAACCAGGAGGTGAAGGATGCAGTGAGCCAAGATAGTGCCATTGCACTCCAGTCTGGGCAACAAGAGAGAAACTCTGCCTAAAAAAAAAAAAAAAAAAAAAAAAGGAATAATTACAAAGAAAACCACAGTTTGGCACATCATAATCAAACTATTGACAAAGATAAGGAGAATATCTTCAAACCAGCCCAGGGGTGGAGTTGGGGCATACAATATGTTCAAGGAAACAATAACAGCTGACTTCCCATCAGAAATAATAAAGAACAGAGAGTGAAGCAAGATGGCAGAAGAGAAGCCTATAGCATTCATCTCCTCTGCTCCCCCAAACACCAAATTTTAACAACTACCTCCATGTAGGAAAGCACTGTCACAAGAACCAAAAATCAGGTACCAGCTTGGCCTTAGTGGGGTAGAGCAACAAGCAGGCTCTTAGGGTCCCTGAGTCCCGGCCTAGGGTCTTGGACAGCATCTCTGGACCTGCCCTGGGCCACAGGGGAGCTCACGGTCCTGATGTGTGGGTCTTAGGCTTGGCAGCATTCACCACCAGCTGACAGAAGAGCCCTAGGGTGGCCTAGCAGAACCCCCTTGTGGACTGGTGGAAGTGGAGGCTACAGGAAGAGGTTCCTCTGCCTGTGGAAAAGGAAGGGAAGGACGGAAAGGACTTTATATTGTGGTTTGTACGCCAATTTAGCTTCAGTCGAATAGAATATCAGGTAAATTGATAAGGTTTTTGTCTCCAATGTCTGGCTCCTAGACATCATCACTGGAGATGTCTGGGTCCTGAAGGAATTTGCTGCCCTGAAGGAAAGGGCCTTGGGTGAGGCCAGTGCTGTGCTGGCTTCCAGTCTCACTCAGCACTGGCCAAGTGGTGGTGGCCATAGGGGTGCTTGCATCACCATATCCTGAGTTCCAGGTGGCTCAGCAGAGATAGAATCCTTTTGTTTGTGAGAAAGTAAGGCAAAAGAACAAGAATCTGCCTGATAATCCAGAGAATTCTTTTTGATCTTATCCAAGACCACAAAGGTAGTACCTCTACAAGTCTGCAAAAACCACAGTATTATTGGGCTTAAGACCCAAGAACCTTCAAATTGCTGGAAAGCCTTCCCAAGCACAAGCACAAACAAGCCCAGACTGTGAAGACTACAATACATACCTAACTCTTCAATGCCCAGACATTGATGAAAATCTACAAGCATCAACCCCATCCAGGAAAACATGACCTCACCAACTAAATGAGGTACCAGGGACTAATACTGGAGAAACAGAGATATATGACCTTTTAGAAAGAGAATTCAAAATAGCTGTTTTAAAGAAACAGAGAAAAGCAAGATAACACAGGGAAGGAATTCAGAATTCTATCAGATAAATTTAACAAAGAGATTGAAATAATTAAAAAGAATCAAGCAGAAACTCTAGAATTGAAAAACTGCAATTCACATGCTGAAGAATGCATCAGAGTCTCTTAATAGCAGAATTGACAAAGCAGAAGAAAGTGAGCTTGAAGACAGGCTATTTGAAAATACATAGTCAGAGACAAAAGAAAGAATAAAAAACAATAAAGCATACCTACAAGATCTATGAAATAGCCTCAAAGGAGCAAATCTAAGATTTATCGGCCTTAAAGAGGAGGTAGAGAGAGAGAGAGAGAGAGAGAGAGAGACAGGGGTAGAAAGTTTACAAAGGGACAATATCAGAGAACTTCCCAAACCTAGGGAAAGATAACAACATTCAAGTACAAAAAGGTTATCAAACATCAAGCAAATTTAACCCAAAAGTTTTTAAATGACTCAAGGCATTTAATAATCAAACTCCCAAAGGTCAAGGACAAATAAAGGATCCTAAAAGCAGAAAGAGAAAAGAAAAAAATAACATACAATGGAGTTTCAATACTTCTGGCAGCAGACTTTTCAGTAGAAATCTTATAGGACAAGAGAGAGTGGAATGACATATGTAAAGTGCTGAAGAAAATAAACTTTCATCCTAGAAAGGTATATCCAGCAAAAAAAAAAAAAAAAAAAAAAAGTTATTTTGGCATGAAGGAGAAATGAAGACCTTTACAGAAAATCAAAAGGTGAGTGACTTCATCAACATCAGACCTGTCCTACCAGAAATGCTAAATGGAGTTCTTCAATCTGAAAGAAAAGAATGTTGATGGGCAAGAAGAAATCATATGAAGGTTCAAAACTCCGTGGTAATAGGAAGCACACAGAAAACCACAGAATGGTATAACACTGTCATTGTGTTATGTAAACTACTCTTGATTTAGATAGAAAAACTAAATGATGAATCAATCAAAAATAAAAACTACAACTTTTCAAGATATAGTACAGTAAGACAAAGAGAAACAACAGAAAGATAAAAATCCAGGAGATCAAGTTAAAGTGTAGAATTTTATTAGTTTTCTTATTTGTGTGTTTGTTTATGCAATCAGTGTTAGATTGTCATCAGTTTAAAATAACAGGTTATAAGATAGTATTTGAAAACGTCATAGTAATCTCAAATCAAAGAACATACAATGGATATGCAAAAAATAAAAAGCAAGAAATTAAATCATATCAGCAGAGAAAATCACCTTCACTAAAAGAAAGACAGGGAGAAAGGAAAGAAAAGAAGATTGCAAAACAACCAGAAAACAAATAACAAAATGGCTGGAGTAAGTCCCAATGGACTAAGCTCCCCAATCAAAAGACACAGATGGCTTAATGAATGAAAAAACAATACCCAATGATCTGTTGCCTACAAGAAATACACTCCACATATAAAGACACATATAGACTAAAAATAAAGGGATGGAAAAAATATTCCATGAGAAACCAATATACTTATATCAGACAGAATAGATTTTAAGACAAAAACTGTAGGAAGCAACAAAGAAGGTCATTACATAGTGATAAAGTGTCAATTCACCAGGAGGATATAATGATTGTAAATATACATGCACCCAACACTAGAGCAACCATATACAAAGTAAATACTATTAGCACTAAAGAGAGGTCGATCCCAACATATTAATAGCTGGAGACTTCAACACCCCCACTTTCAGCATTGGACAGATCTATCAGACAGAAAATCAACAAAGAAACAGTAGACTGAATCTGCATTATGAAACAAATGGACCTAATAGATACTAACAGAACATTTCATCCAATGGTTGCAGAATACACATTTTTCTCCTTAGCACAGGGATCATTCTCAAGCATAGACCATACATAAGATCACAAAACAAGTCTTAAAACATTTTTTAAAAATGAAATAATATCAAGCATCTTATCGGACCACAATGAAATAAAACTAGAAATCAATAACAAAAGGAATTTTGGAAACTATACAAACACACGGAAATTGAACAATATGCTCTTGAATGACCAGTAAGTCAATGAAAAAGTTAAGAAGAAGACTGAAAATTGTTTTGAAACAGATGATAAAAGAAATACAACATACCAAAAACATACGGATATATATAGCAAAAGCAGTACAAAGAGGAAAATGTATAGCTATAAGTGTCTATATAAAAAAAGAAAAACTTCAAATAAATAACCTCATAAAGCATCTTAAAGAACTAGAAAAGCAAGACCAAATTGAATCCAAAATTAGTATAATAAAAGAAATAATAAACATCAGAGCAGAAATAAATGAATTTGAAATAAAACTATTCAAAAGGTCAATGAAACAAAAAGCTGTTTTTTTGTAAAGATAAACAAAATTTACAAATCTTGGCCAAACTAAGAAAAAAGAAGAACAAAATAAATAAAATCAGAGATGAAAAAGGAGACATTACAATTGATCCTGCAAGAAATTCAAAGGAACATTAGTGGCTACTATGAGCAACTATATGCCAATAAATTAGAAAATCTAGAAGAAATGGATAAATTCCTAGACACGTACAAGCTACCAAGATTGAACCATAAAGAAATGCAAAAGCTGAACAGACTAATAGAAAGTAATGAGATTGACGTCATAATAAAAAGTCTCCCAGTAAAGAAAAGCCCAGGACCCAATGGCTTCACTGATGAATTCTACCAAACATTTAAAGAAGGACTAATATCAATTCTACTCAAACTGTTCTGAAAAATAGAGATGGAAAGAAAGAATACTTCAAAACTTATTCTACAAGGCCAGTGTTACCCTGATACCAGAACCAAACAAAGACACATTTTAAAAAGGAGAACTACAGCCCAATATCTCTGATGAATATTGATGCAAAAATGTTCAACAAAATACTTGCAAACTGAACTCAACAAGACATTAAAAAGATTGTTCATCATGACCAAGTAGGATTTATTCCAGGAATGCAAGGATGGTTCAACATACATAAATCAATCAATATGGTACATCATATCAACAGAATGAGTACAAAAACCATATGACCATTTCAATTGATGCTGAAAAAGCATTTGATAAAGTTCAGTATCACTTCATGATAAAAATCCTAAAAAAACTGGGCATAGAGGGAATATAACATATTAAAAGTCACATATGGCAGACCCACAGCTAGTACCATACCTAATAGGGAAAAACTAAAAGCCCTTTCCTCTTAGATCTGGAACACAGTATGGATGCCCACTTTCACTACTTGCTCTAGATGGGATTTCCAGTATTATGTTATTCATTATAATACTGGAAATCCTAGCTAGAGCAATCAGACAAGAGAAAGAAATAAGATCCAAATTGGAAAGGAAGAAGTCAAATTATACTTGTTTGCAGATGATATGATCTTATATTTGGAAAAAAACTAGACTCCACCAAAAAACTATTAGAACTGATAAACAAATTCAGTAAAGTTGGCTGAGCACAGTGGCTCATGCCTCTAATTCCAGCATTTTGGGAGGCCAAGGTGAGAGAGTCACTTGAGGCTAGAAGTTCAAGATCAGCCTGGACAACATAGTGAGACCCCATCTCTACAAAATATGGTTTTAAAAATTATCTGGGCATGGTAGCACACCCCTGTAGTCCCAGCTACTCAGGAGACTGAGGCAGGAGGAGCACCTGAGCCTGCACTCTAGCCTTGGCAACAGAGCAAGACCCTGTCCCAAAGAAAAGAAAAAAGAAAAACATTCAGTAAAGTTGCAGGATACAAAATCAACATACAAACATCAGTAGGAATTCTATATGCCAAAAGTGAATAATTTGAAAAGAAATTAAAAAATGTAATTCTATTTATAATGGCCACAAATAAAATAAAATACCTAGGAATTAATGGCAAAGAAGTCAAAGATCTCTACAACGCAAACTATAAAATGCTGATGAAAGAAACTGAAGAGGACACACACACCCACAAAAAAATGTTATTTCATATTCATGGATTGGAAAATCAATATTGTTAAAACAGTTATACCACCCAAAGAAATCTACAGATTCAATGCAATCCCTATCAAAATCCCAATGGCATTCTTCACAGAAACAATAAAACAATTGTAAAATTTATATGGAATCACAAAAGACCCAAAGTAGCCAAAACTATCCTGAGGGAAAAAAAAAAAAAAAAGAGGAATTACATTACCTGACTTCAAATTATACTGCAGAGCTACAGTAACCAAAACAGCATGGTACTGGCATAAAACAGACACATAGACCAATGGAACAGAATAAAGAACCCAGAAATAAATCCACACACCTACAGTGAACTCATTTTTTACAAAGGTGCCAAGAACATACATTGGGGAGAAGGCATTCTCTTTAATAAACTATGCTGGGAAAACTAGATATTCACATTCAGAAAAATGAAACTAGACCCCTATTTTTCACCATATACAAAAATCAAATAAAAATTGATTAAATACTTAAATCTAAGACCTGAAACTATGAAACTACTAAAAGAAAACATTGGGAAAACTCTCCAGGACATTGGTCTGGGCAAAATTTTTGAGTAATACCCCACAAGCACAGGCAACCAAAGCAAAAATGGACAAATGGGATTACATCAAGTTAAAAATCTTCTGCAGAGCAAAGAGGATACAATCAACAAAATGAAGAAACAACACCAAGAATAGTTTAAAATATTTGCCAACTACCCATATGACAAGTAATTAATAACTATAATATATAAGGAGTTCAAACAACTCTATAGGAAAAAAATCCTAATAATCCAATTAAAAAACAGAAAAAAGATCTGAATAGACCTTTCTCAAAAAAAAGACATACAAATGGCAAACAGGCATATGAAAAAGTGCTCAACATCATTGATCATCAGAGAAATGTAAATTAATGAGATATCATCTCACCCCAGTTAAAATGGCTTTTATCCAAAAGACAGGCAATAACAAATACTGGCAAGGATGTGAAGAAAAGGGGACAGACCCTTGTACACAGTTGGTGGAAATGTAAGTTAGTACAACTAAGGAGAAGAGTTTAGAAGTTCCTCAAAAAACTAAAAATAGAGCCACCATATGATCCAGCAATTTCACTGCTGGGTATATACCCCAGAGAAAAGAAATTAGTGCATCAGAGAGATACTCCCGTGTTTGTTGCAGCACTGCTCACAATAGCCAAGATTTGGAATCAACCTAAGAGACCATCCACAGATGAATGGATAATGAAACTGTGTTACTTCTACACAATGGCGTACCATTCAGCCATGAAAAGAATGAGATCCAGTCATTTGCAACAACATAGATGAACTGGAGATCATTATGTTAAGTGAAATAAGCCAGGTATGGAAAGACAAACATCATGTGTTCTCACTTATTTGTGGGATCTAAAAATCAAAACGATTGGAGTCATGGACATAGAGAGTAGAAGGATGGTTACCAGAAGGTGGGAAGGGTGGTGGGGATAGGGAGAGACAGGAATAGTTAATGGGTACAAAAATATAGAATAAGTAACAGCCAGTTTTATACTTGATAGCACAGAGGGATTATAGTCAATAATAACTTGATTGTATATTTTTAAACAACTAAAAGGGTATAATTGGATTGTCTACAACACAAAGGATAAATGTTTGAGGGGATGATACCCAATTTCCATAATGTGATTATTATTCATTGCATGCCTGTACCAAAATATCTCACATACCCAATAAGTATATACAGTATGTACCCACAACAATTAAAAATTATAAAATTTTAAAAAAAGAAATAATAGAGATCATAGGACATCTGAAACACTATGTTTAAAGTAACAAAAGGGAAAGAAAGTGTCAACATAAAATTCTATATCCAGTGAAAATATCCTTTAAAATTGAAGGTGAAATAAAGACATATGCAGCTAAGAGGAAGGGGAGAAAAATCTGTCACCTGTAAACAATAAATGCTGAAGAGAAATGATGCCAGATGGAAATTCAGATCTAAAGGAAGAAATTAAAAGCACTGGAAATGATAAACATGTTGGTAAATATAAAATTATTTTTTTCTTAATTTATTGAAAAAACCATATGGACAGATGTTATTTGACGGTGCTTCTCAAGGTGTTCATCCACCTGTGACTCAAGCTTCCTACTGTTGCTCCAAGTCTTGGAAATTGTTTTGGGTTTTTGTTGTCGTTGTTTTTGTTGAGGCAGTGTCTCGCTCTTTTGCCTAGGCTGGAGTGCAGTAGTATGATTTATGGCTCACTGCAGCCTTGACTTCCCAGGCTCAGGTGATCCTCCCACCTCAGCCTCCCAAGTAGCTGGGACTACAGGCACATGTCACCATGTCCAGATTTTGTTTTTAATATTTGGCAGAGATGGGGTTTTGCCACATTGCCCAAGCTAGTCTCAAACTCCTGAACTCAATCAATCTTCCCACCTTGGCCTCCCAAAGTGCTGGGATGACAGGCATGAGCCACTGCACCCAGCCTAAGTCTTGTACATTGTTATGTCTGCCTGCTGTTGATTGGATGAATATGTTGAATTGATAGGGACACAAACTGTGGGAATCTGTGTGAATGCCTCTTTTTCTGAGGAAATGAAAGTAAAAGCTGTTTGCAGATGCCAGTGCTAGGGTATATCACAGCTCCTCAAGGACATCTTGACAGGGCAGAGACCAAAGACAACACAGTGAGGGCTTGCTGGAGATGGCCACCTGCACCACACTGGCGGTGACTCCATGGCTAAGGGCCGGTAAACAGAGAAATCTCAGGAGTGGAGACAAGCTGCCTTCATCGAGGGTTTCTGGAATGGATTGTGCAGGGTTATTCATTCAGCACTCACTACACATGTACTGAATACCTACTATGTGGCAGGCATTGTGACGAGTGTTCTACAGGGGTGAAGATGTGAAACAGTCACAGTCCTGTCTTCATAGTATGTAGGGGAGATACAGCCACAAATGAATCTAATATGAGAAAATTCTAAAGTAAACACTCATAAAAATAAAAATGATAGCAATAGCTAACAGGAAGTAAATCCCTATCATGACCAGCACTGCGCTAAGCACTTTATATGCACGAAATCATTTGACATCCACAACCCCCTGAAAGGAGAAACTGCCAACCCCATTTGCACCAGGGAGGAAATTGATGCTCTTGAAGTTTCACCAGATAGAAAATAGTGGAGCTGGAATTCGAACCTAAGTGCTTGATTCTGAGGCCCAGTTTCTGATCACGACAGTGCAGGAGCAGGTAGGGTTTGGTGGGATCTGAGGATGGAGATTGCTTCTTCCCAGGAGGATCATGTAAGCCTGCATAGAGAAGGGGCACGTTAAACCTAAATTCTATCTTCTAACCTTGAAGATAGAATATGGACTTGTACAGACTAGCGCTCCATGAATAAGAAATAAGAGCTCAGGAGTGCCAGGGCCTCAAAGGAGGAGCAGGTAGAGTTTGGTGGGATCTGAAGACAGAGATTGCGTTTTCCCAGGAGGATCATGTAAGCCTCTGTGGAGAAGGGGCATGTGAACAGGCCTTGAAGGTAGAATATGGACTTGTACAGACTAACATCCCATAAATGAGAAATAAGAGCTCACGAGTGCCAGGGCACAAGGAGCAGTACTGTGTTAGTATGTGCTGCTGGGTGCTAGGGATATACTGCACCCAGTGTTGATGGCACAGGGTCTCAGGACTGGATCAGACATGATCCCAGCCCAGTAGTTTACATGGGGTCAGGTAGGTCCTAACTAAATCCACAAAGGAGAGAGTGGCAAATTAATCTTTTGCCTTGACTGTAGCCACTTGTAAATAAAAATACGAAGGTACCCTGTAGTCCCAGTTACTCAGGAGGAGGCTGAAGTGGGAGGATCACTTGAGCCCAGGAGGTCGAGGCTGCAGTGAGCTGTGATCATGCCACTGCACTCCAGCCTGGGCAACAGAGCGAGACCCTGTCTTTAAAAGGAATTGTTTTTTAAACTATGAAGACGTTTTTCTTCCCTGCTGTGAAAACAAGATTTGTGGAATTTGAATAAACTTGTCAAATATAAACCTAGTCTGGCAGGGCCTTTCTTCACCAAAAAAAAAAAAAAAAAATGACTCAGACAAAAACAGAAGAGGCGAGGACTGAGATAAAGAAAAAGACAGAAACCTGACCACCATTGTCACCTGTTACAAACACCAGCCACTTTGGTCATCGGTGCTAAGGCCAAGCCATGTGCTAATTTCTAATTCTGATGCTTTCATGTAGACAAATCTAGTCACCCAAGGCAGAAACGGGAAGCCATCTGAGACACTGGCCATTTCCACATCACGTTAAGCACCAAGTCTTATCACTATTGGCAAATTGAAAACAAAAAAGATTCCATTTTTTTCCTATGTATTCAGACTTCTCTGCCACTGTTCGGCCCCCGTATTTCTGAGTGACATGGCCTCCTTAGTAATTTTCTTGCTTCTAGTTTATTTCCCTCTTACTCCAACCTCTCTGCTTCTGCCGAGTAGGCTTCCACAAATGTAAAGCAATTTCCACCTCCTGTTGAAAGCCCTTCAGCAGCTTCTCACTGCACAGAAGGTAGATTTTATACATAACCTACGAGGCCCTTTGTGACCTCACTCCTGCCTGCTGTCCAAGCTCCTCTTCACCCACTACCCCTGGATTCCAGCACTCCTCTGGTGCCCATTGTGTGCCCTGCTGTTTCACAGCATCATACACCGTGTGACTCACTGTAAGCTTCCCAAGAAAGCCTTTTGTACAGTCAGGGTTCTCTAGAGGGACAGGACTAATAGCATAGAATATGAAAGCAAGTTTATTAAGGAGAATTGACTCACACGATCACAAGGTGAAGTCCCACAATAAGCTGTTTGCAAGCTGAAGAGCAAGGAAGCCAGTCCAAGTCCCAAAACCTCAAAAGTAGGGAAGCCGACAGTGCAGCCGTCTGTGGCCAAAGACCCGAGAGCCCCTGTCAAACCACTGGTGTAAGCCTGAGTTTGAAAGCTGAAGAACTTGGAGTCCCATGTTCAAAGGCAGGAAGCATCCAGCACAGGAGAAAGATGAAGGCCAGAAGACTCAGCCAGTCTAGTCCTTCCACGTTCCTCTGCCTGCTTTTATTCTAGCCTCGCTGGCAGCTGATGGTGCCCACCTGGATTGAGGGTGTGTCTGCCTCTCACAGTCCACTGACTCAAATGTTAATCTCCTTTGGCAACACCCTCACAGACACACCCAGGAACAATACTTTGCATCTTTCAATCCAATCAATTTGACACTCAATATTAACCATCACACCTTTCCTTCTTGTGTCCACCTGGAGGCCCCAGCTCTAGCCTCATCCTCCCTGGGAAGCTACCACTGGCATCCCCAGTCCCGGGGCTTCTGGACCTAATACCTCAGCCCACACCATGACCTGGCACAGCCACAATACAGCAGCTGGGCTGATGCTTCCTAGATAAATGAGCGCCTTTTGTCCTTTGCTTTTCTTTCCTGTGCCTACCCTCGTCTCCCCACCACTATCACCTATGGCCCCTCCCGGCATCACGATCATTTGCCCAGAGTTGCCTCCCATCTGACAGCCTCCGAGAAAGAAGTCCAGGCAAGCATGAAGCTCTGAAGGCACACACATTCCCTCCCTCTCATTGGGGGTCACCTTAATTTGCCAACACTGATTAGTGTCACCACCCACAAGTGATAGTAAGGGAGGCATTAGCAGGAGCACCAGTGACACTTCTTGGCATCAGCTGGGGATAACGCTACCTTGAAAAGTGAGCCTGTTGACACCCAGGAATTGAATTTCCAGATCCTGCTGGGGAACCATGCAGAGAGCTTCTCACAAATTCTGGAAGCCCCAGGTGAGATGTGCTACTCGTCCCATCAGCTGAAACCTATTCAACTCCGCAGATTCTCAATGTGCACCAGCAAGGTGCTAGGTGTCAGGTCCCCAGCTCCTGCTCTCTTGGAACTTCCACTCAGAGATGATGGGATGTCAACCAAGTAGTGTTGCCAAGAGGACTCAAAGGAAAACTCATGTGTGGGATGTTAATAACTACTAATGAAAGTGGGTCTTTATTTAAACATTTAGGAACTACTGCATAAAAAATGAATGGTTTTCTTTAATCTTGAGCTTCTTGGAACCTTGAAAATGACAGTGATTGCCATGAAGCTCAACAAGAAGGGTCCAGTTTGCAGCCTTCTCCTCCTAACATGCTGACACAGAACCCCTGTGCTGAGGCAGACCCACCCTCAATCCAGGTGGGCACCATCTGGATTCCAAAGAATCCACATCTTTGGATAGCATTTCACCAAATAGACTATAGCAAATGTTTTAGGCCAGGCACAGTGGCTCACGCCTGTAATTCCAGCACTTTGGGAGGCTGAGGCAGGCAGATCACCTGAAGTCAGGAGTTCATGACCAGCCTGGCCAATATGGTGAAACCCCATCTCTACTAAAAATATAAAAATTAGCGAGGCATGGAGGAAGGTGCCTGTAATCCCAGGTATTCGGGAGGCTGAAGCAAGAGAATCGCTGGAACCCAGGAGGCGGAGGTTGCAGTGAGCCGAGAGTGTGCCATTGCACTGCACACTGCAGCCTGTGCGGCAAGAATGAAATTCTGTCTAATAAAAAAAAAAAAAGAAAGAAAGAAGGAAATGTTACAGATTATTTCAATGCAGAATCCCAGTGCACCAATTACAGAGCGGGCCCAGAGAGGCTAAAGCTGGTGATAGGTGGATTTCTGAGACAGCCTCTCAGCAAATGGGTGCAGAAGTAGGGTGTTGGGAGGATATCATCTGAGCTCAGCCAAGAGGCGGAAAGCATTCCAGACCTGTGTAACAACTTGCACAAAAGCTTGGAGGTCTGAAACACTGCCACAGCACTGGAGAACTGCACATCATTCTGTATCGTTGGAGTGTGAAATATTAAGGGGTGCAGAGCAGAAGAGAAAATGAACACCCTGCAGGGGACAGACCAGAAAGACCTTTGAAACCACCTAAGGGGTTTGAGCTTAGCTGTTGCTTTGTTGTATCTGTTTGCTTAGTGGCTAATGACATTCTTTCATCTGTTCTTTCCTCCATTCACTCCAGCAGCATTTAGTGAGCATGTGTGCGGTGCCCAGCTCTACAGAAGGAAGGAGTGCAGGGAGGATTCAGGGGAGGCTGGAGACCCGGCAGGGGCCGGAATCTGTAAGCTCCGCAGATCCACACAGCTCCCTTGAAAGCCATTCTGTTCCTTGTGCCCACGGGGGAGGAAGTGACCCACGGTGTTCAGACATCTTTGGGCCTGGGATGGAGAGATGAGGCCACCACAGCCTGTCACCTCAGCCAGAGTCAAATTAATGACATGGATCATTGTCACTGAGGGCATGACCTTTTGAAATAATTGAAAGGAAACCTTGCCTGAGAGAGGAGTCCTAGGAAGACAGAAGTGAAAACAAAGCTGGAGATAGACAGTGCTGGCAGCACCCACCTCTGATGCCCTCAGCCCAGCCATGTGGGGATGACAGGAATACATAGCTGCTAAGGCGAGTGATTTACGGAGCACATACCAGGAGGGTCCAGGGTGGTGGCAAGATGCAAGCCATGAGCCAGGGCAGATCACCTACCCAGGCAGATGCTACCTGCAAACACAAATGTGGGCACAGAGAGGCCAGTGGAGGTGAAAAATCTCCTTCCCTGCTACCCAGGTGAGTGCCGGCAGAGCCACACGGCGGTCAGCCATGGCCTCTCCATCAGCTCCCTAATGAGCTTCCAGCCAGACAAGCTGAAAATAACAGGACCAGACCAAGTGAGAGCTGGGTCCCGTCAGGTCTTCAGCACATGCAGCCAACGTGCCCAGCCGAACAGCAGGCGCCACCAGTTCCTTTCTGTCAATGCAACAACCTCCAGGTGGGGGGGCCCTTCTCCCACCTCCCATGTGTGAACTGAGACCCCAGACCCTCACCCTGTGCCCAGCAACCCCAAGGCACAGAGAATTTTGTCTGTGTCTCCTGATTTCAAGGGAGAGGCAATAAGCTTTGATCCCTTAGTGCCTCTGGGATTTGAGGGTTACCTAACAGGCAGAAAGAAGTGAAAGACCCAGCAAGTAAGAGCGGGGCAGCTGGTGATTCCCAGAGTGGGTTCCAGGAGCACAGGCCTGGAGATGTTCCCTCCAAACAGGCTTCCCTGTTGACAGTAACACTGCGCATGTCACATTCATTCATGAGAAGAGTTCTGAGCCAAGGAAACAGGAGACACTCAGACCCTGAGGGGTGGAGGGATGCGGTACATCCAAGAAGTTCTGACCCATCAAAGAGTTGCTAGAAGGGCCCAAGAGTGTCTCACACCCTCCACTTGTCTAACTGGCTTCCACCCCTCCCACACCAGCAAGTACCCTTTTCCTGGTAGAAAAAAAAAAAGCAATTGAGACGATGCAGTTCACTGAGGCTTACTGGAAATGCATAACAAGGGTTTGTCCTCCTAGGTTGCTGATCAGGACTAAATGTTGCTGTCCCAAGAGCAATAGGTTCTCTATACTACAAGTTCTGCTTATGTGATGTCTCAGACTGGGGTTAACCACCTCAGCTAATTAGTAGAAAGGCTTCCAGCCACCTACACATGACCTGTGATCCTGGAAGGAGAAAAACGTCTGCTGCTGAACCAAAGCTCCTTCACCCTTCTCATTGCCAAAAAACAGCTTCGCAGTCACATGGGAAATGTCTCTTTGGACTTAGGAACAATGGCCTCCAGCAGCATTTTGGAATCTCACCCATCAGTAACTAGAGGAGCTTCTATAAATCTTTGTAGTGAGAAAAGTTATTGTAGCTTCAGAATTGGATAGCTAGGTTGGAAGCTGCAGTTTGGCCACAACTGGCTGTGTGACCTGGGGGCAAGTTCCTCTCCAAGCCTGTTTTCTCATCTGCACAGTAGGACCATAGCTGGAGTTTACTGATTCCTGTTCCATTGCTCTGTGCTTACCAGAGCTCATATATCTTCTCTTCCATTTTGCTCCTATGTTTACTATTTTTGCTCCTGCGATGTATTGATAACTGGCCACCACATACCGGTTCCAAAGAGAATATTTGTGTGAGGGTTACTGTTGGCCTCATCTGGCAAAGCTTTACAAGGCTCCCCACTAGGCTGCAGGTCTTGTCTCCTCCCTGGTCACCAATACAGGACATGGTCACCTGTGCATAAGACATTGGGCTGTGGGTGAGGCAGGCAGAGAAGCCATGTCCCAGAGGCTGTGCATGACGACTGGCCAGATGCTTCTGTCTGGTTTGGGTGGTTTTCTTCCTTCCCTCACAGGACAGCTGGGGTAGACCATAGATCCCAAACCTCCCTACGCAGATTTCATCCTGAAACATTTGCTTTCCAAGTAAAGCCTTAACATTCAAGAAGACAGCCCTCAGCTCAGAGCTGGCTCTCTGCCTGAATTTCCTGTTCTCTCCCTGTCGGTTTTCTGAGATCCACGGCAGTTATTCTCAAAAAACCTCTGATTGTTCATTCTTCTCTCCACGCAAGTTCTGTGGTTCTAAAAGGGGTTTGGGAATTGGCAGCACGGTGATACACTAATTCCTGATGGCCAGACCAAGTCACCTGCTAGGTTTGATCAGAAGAGCTCCACCTCCCATCCCAGCGCCCCAGGGTCTCCATGGCATCTGGGCATCTTTTTCCTCTTGTGCCCTAGTTTCACTCTTGGAAACCTCCTCTCCATAAGTTAGACCTAAGCCTGTCAGTGTATCCCTGCTTTGGACCACAGAAATTTGCTCAGCAGTGGACGTATCACGCAACCAGAGCCCGTGCGACATAATGACCTTGTGCTGATACATATGATGGAATTTTAATAAGGGGTAGCAGCTGCCCTGCCTTGCCCTTAGAGCATCTCCTTAAAAGCACAACAGGTAGGCCAGACCCTAGAGTCAGGAGTTAGATTTTACAATGCAAGGTCTCCAGTCTCCAGATTTCACAACACAAGGTCACAGGCCTTCTGACCCTGGGACTGTAGGCACAGGCCTCGGAAATTGACTCAGCGGTCTCTCGGGAGGTGTGCAGAAGGCTGTTACAAGGCACATCCATTCGTCTCTCAAGGAGGGAAGAGTGGGCTTCATTTTTCTTCTACTTTGCTGTAGAAAGTGTGTGAAATTCAGCCCAGATTGTGTAGAGTCTCCTGCAGGCTCCTCGCATGTGTGTATCTAATATGCATATTCAGGAATAAATCACGTTTCCTGCCTCATCTATATGGGTATGAGGGGAGAGGAGTCTTTTTGTTGGCAAGACTTTTTATTTCTCCAACAGCCCCGTTGCTGGAAATGCTGGCATTGAGTCTCTCACTCTCCTCCAGATTTAAAGCTGGAGAAACGTGCTGCAGCCATTTCTCTGCCCTTAGGGAAGAGGCTGCCTGAGAACAAGGCCAACTCCAAGGAACTGGGCCAACAACCTGGGAAGAAGGAAGAGGATCGGGATGACTTAACCCCAATCCCTGGGTCCAGCCGTGCCTGTCTCTGGATTTTGCCATTGTACAAGCTGAAATGTTCCCTTTTCACTTAAGTAAATTGGGTACAGTTTCCTAGCTCTTGCAAGAGAAAGCACCCTCACTGGCTTAATGCCCAAGTATAAGCATCTTAAATGCTTGTCTAAATCTTGAAACGCAGCTGTGGTGTAATATACTTCTGAGTCAGAAGGGCTATTTAGGCACAGCCTTTCGCTCTTGCCAGAGCCCCTTACATGACGCTGTCACTGGATAGTGGCTCAGCCCATGCGTGCTCACACCCAGTGTGGAAATTCGCTGCCGCTAAGGCAACCCACTCTCTCTCCACACAGCTCTACCTACCAAGAGGCCCTTACTCATCCCCCACTCCAATGCTTCTCCCTCAAGCCATTGGTTGGCCCCCCAGAGAACAAGTGTGGACCTTTTTTCCTTAAGGGCCCTCTCAATCAAAGTCAGCTGTCATGTCTCTGCAAGACAGTATGCTCCCCTCTAGGCTCAATTTCTTGTCACTTATGCGCCTGATACACAGTCATTTCCTACTTAAAATCAAATCAATAAGTGAGTAGTGCTTCCTTTAATGAGGGCTAAAGAACAGAAATCCAGTTTTACCTCATTATGGAGCTGATGGCCTCAGCATCCTACAAGCGCATCAGAACTCTGCCTGGCTTCTCGACAGGCAATTACCTGGAACACCAGGTTCAAGGATGGAGTGGAAGATGATGGAAGAGTGTGTTTTTGTGAGGAGGCCAGAAGACACTCATATTCGTTACAGCCCCAGGCACAGAGAGGTTCTCCGGTCCAGTCCTGCAGGTGAACTAAAGATGCCTCCAGGGGCTGTGCTGAAAATGGACCAGCTTGGGCCCAGCTTCTCTGTGCCTCTTCCTAGTAAAGAGGAAGAAGAAATCAAAAGGTGTTAACTGATGGAGAACACAAGCTTTGGAGTCAGGGAGGCTCTATTTACTTTCCAACTCTGCCTCTTCCTGTTTGAACTGGAGCGAGATACTTCCCTGTATCCTCTTCCTCAGCAGGGAAAATGACCACCTGTCTCAGGTGTGTAGATATCTAAGTCCTCAGACCCATATGTGAGGACATACTAGTGGCAGTTGTTACAATAATATGATTATGGCCAGGCATGCTGGCTCATGCCTGTAATCCCAGCACTTCGGCAGGCCAAGGCGGGCTGATCATTTGAGTCCAGGAGTTAGAGACCAGCCTGGCCAACATGGTGAAACCTCTGTCTCTACTGAAAATACAAAAATTAGCCAGGCATGGTGGTACATGCCTGTAATCCCAGCTACTAGGGAGGCTTGGGCGGAGAGTCTCTTGAACCCGGGAGGCAGAGCTTCCAGTGAGATCACGCCACTACACTCTGGCCTGGGTGACAGAGTGAGACTCCGTCTCAAAAAAAAATAATAATTTTTAAAAATTTACAATTATTTCTGACTTTTTGAAGCTTCTGGCCTAGTGGTGTCCCCCTTGTCGAGTGAGTCTGCTGGTTCCCCTGTGAATGAAGTGCTACTGGCAATTCAAACGGCTTGCCTGCCGAAGCTCTTTACGTCCCTCCAAAGTCACATGCTGATCAGATTATTTTATTAAAGAACAGAGTTATTGCAAAGGAGTGCAGCTATTCACAGAACACAGGAAAGCAAGCAGCCGGACCCCAGCTTCTCCCTTAGTTGGCTTGAAAGTTCGAGTGCCAGTCTTCCTCCCAGCGGGGTGCACTGTGTGGGGGCCCAAGAAGCGTCCTGCCAGGAAGTGAGAACTGCAGGTGAGTTCCTGGGAGCTGAGGCTTTGGGGAGCTCTGGCTCTTCCTGCCTCACTGTCCACAATCCTTGGGCTAATTCTGGATGGCAGAGTAGGGTCAAGAATGCTAGCATCAAACCTTCCCTAATGTGGGCAGTTGAAGGGAGGTCAGGAGTGACAGGAAGTGAAGTCAGCAATGCTGAGCATCACCTAGGCAAGAAACAGGGAGGCCTTGTAGAAACTGTTTGGTGCTGCAAACCTGTGCCCCACTGAGGCATTATGGCTCCTCCTCCACGTGGAGTGTCTTCTCTGAGAGTGCCTCAAGGTGCGAGGGGCAGTGGGAAGATTGCAGAGTCCCAGGTCTGCTGCTTATTAACCTCGAGACTTCAGCAGTCACCGCACAGCTTCCAGACCTCGGGTGCCCACTTGTGAAATGGGAAAGCTGGGCTAGGCCAGTCATTCACATTTTGTGGCTATCGGCCAGGTCCCTGGTGCCCAGGCATGCAGCCACCTGCCGAGGGTGAGCTGGCACACAGGCAGCACCTGTTTCTGTACCTGACAGGGAGTGTCTCAACAGCAGATGACTCCAAAGTCAAGGCCCGTAGAGTCAACTCAGATTTTGATATGACTGCTCGGTCCCCAGAGCACTTTAGAAGAGTGATTTGGATAGGTCTATGGATGGACAAATGAAAATATCTGAGAAAGATGCTACTTCATGGGGTCCTTTCCTTTGAAGTGATCAGAAATAGCATAGAAGGCTGGGTGCGGTGGCTCATGCCTATAATCCCAGCACTTTGGGAGGTCGAGGCAGGTGAATCACATGAGGTCAGGAGTTTGAGACCAGCCTGGCCAACATGGCTAAACCTTGTCTCTATTAAAAATACAAAAATTAGCTGGGTGTGGTGATGGGCACCTGTAGTTCCAGCTACTCGGGAGGCTGAGGCAGGAGAATTGCTTGAACCTGGGAGATGGCAGTTGCAGTGATCTGAGATCACACCATTGCACTCCAGCCTGGGTGACAGAGCAAGACTCTGTCTCAAGAAATAGCATAGAAGGCTTTAGCAGGACCATTGATAACAGCAATACCTCTGTTTTGAAGAGTATAACCATAATGGAGGCTTCCAGGACTGAAGCTGAAGAAGAGCTTTCCAACACCAGTTGATAGACTACTGGGTAATGTCATAGTTAATGTTGCTAGAGTGGCCATTAAAATAACATAATTATGCTAAGTAGTTTGAAAAAAAGGAGAGAGAGAGTACAATGGAACACACTTGTGACATGAACTCTGGGTAATTGTGCTGAGATAATTTATGCCAATAACTCCTCGCAAACCCCCGTCAAGTTGAATGACTGTCTGCTGAGGGTCTCGCCCATTAGGTAATTTGATGGCTGGTTTAAAAAGAAAAGTGATAGGATAGGATTGTGTCTGGGCTAAATACAAGGTGAGGCTGAAGGGGGCAAAGTGCAAAACACCAATCAGCTGTGTTCTCATGTCAGATCAGGCCTGGCTAACACATTTTGGAACTGTTATAGAACGAGGATCTACCCCTGCGGTTTTCTAGAACATAGCTTGGGTTTTCTCCTGGTCACCTCAAGTTCTTCCCTTCAAAATCAAATGCCTTAGAGGTGCCACAAGGGCTGACTGGTTCAATGAGTTGTGCAGACTGTTCCATGGGCAGCTTTTTCTCCCTTAGTATATCAAGAGAATTCTCACAGTGAACTATTTTGTACAGGGGATAACTTTCATTAAGAAAAGCACATAGTCCAGCATTTTGGGAGGCCAAAGTTAGAGAATTGCTTGAAGCTAGGAGTTTGAGACCAGCCTGAACAACATAGTGAGACCTCCATCTCTACAAAACTTTTTTTTTAAGCCAGGCATGCTGGTGTACCCCTGTAGTCCCAGCTACTTTGGAGGCTGAGTCAGGAAGATCCCTTAGGCCCAGGAGTTGAAGACTGCAATGAGCTATGATTGTGCCACTGCACTCCAGCCTGGGTGACAGAGCAAGACTGTATATATAGATTTATACATTTTTTTGAGATATGGTATATATATACACACATATATATATATATATATATACACACACACACACACACACAAAATATAAAGATTCGTTTGTATGAAAAAAATGCCAGAATAACATACAGGGAAATGGTAAGAATGTTTATCTTTGGGTAAGATTTTTGGTAGTTTTTCTGTGTACTTTTCTGTGCTTTCAAGGTTCATTATGTTTGAATTAGAAAAGCTATTTAAAATGTCATCTTTCTTGAAGTTTTCTACACTTAATCTCTATCATAACTCTATCTTCTCCCACAACTGTGAAGAGTTTAATTCTCAATAAAAGAAAAATATTAGATCTTAAATGATCTTCCCTTGTTCCACCCTCAAATCAATCACTGATCAATTTCCCAGCTCCTTCTCAAGTTCAGTAAATAAAAGGAAACTGTCCAAAGGTAAAGTGCCCGCCATCTGCATCAACAGCCTTTACTGCTGGAATGTTCCACCCTTTCACTAGTCTACCCTCTCATTGTGTTCCTTCCTCCCCCAGGAAGTGCCAGTTCCTCAGCACAGCCCTGCAGCATTTCCTGGCAGCTCTGCCAGCCTCCTTACCTCACACTGCTATGAGAGCCACACCATTTCTCATCGATACTGCTTTCTACCCACCCACTCAACTCAGCAGTGAGCTCTCTCTTCCAGGAAAAACCATCTCATCCAAGTAAGTAGTGAGGGCAAATGACAAATACACCCTTTTCCTTAAAGAATGTGATTCACACGGGTCATCACGCTGAGCATCATCGACTCCTGGAATGCAATAGTGATGGTGGTAGCTGGAAGGATGGTATTAAGACTTACCTTTGGCCCTCTGCCTCCTGGTTTTCTTACACTATAATCTTTATAATCCATAATATCCTGTCCATCAAACAACCTGCAACCCTTTTCTAAGAATCTGAAAGTCACTTCTCTGGCCGGGCGCGGTGTCTCACGCCTGTAATACTAGCACTTTGGGAGGCTGAGGTGGGCAGATCATTTGAGGTCGGAGTTCCAGACCAGCCTTGCCAATATGGTGAAACGCTGTCTCTACTAAAAATACAAAAATTAGCCAGGCATAGTGGTGGGCGCCTGTAATCCCAGCTACTCGGGGGACTAAGGCATGAGAATCGATTGAATCCGGGAGGCAGATGCTGCAGTGAGCCAAGATCGAGCCACTGTAATCCAGCCTGGGCAACAGAGTGAGACTCGGCCTCAAAAAATAAAAATAAAATAAAAAGTGACTTCTCTGCTTCTTCCAAAGCAAGAGAGAGTCCCCACTGGTCACTGGATAAACTTGTGTGTTTCCGAGCGTTTTGGATCAGATTTATTGGCACTTACTGGAAGCAAAAAAGAGCCTGGAGATAGCTCTATTTTATTTCCATGATACCTAGTCCCCAGTTATATGACAACTCTAGACTGAGCCCAGCATGTAGAAGCCAGAAACTCATTGAGGTTTTTTTATCCAAATTATTTGCTATAAACATGAGCTTCCTTTAGGCCAGAGATTCACAAATTTGGCTTCACATTAGAATTGGTTGGGGGCTATAAAAAATCTCCATGCCCAGGTTGTTTCCATCCCATTTAAATCGGTTTAAACAACGATTAATGCCTGGAGGTGGGTCCAGGCATAGTTTTTAAAGCTTAGCAGTTGATTGCAACGTCTACCAAGTTTGAAACACTGGCCCGAGGCTGTGGTTTTCAATGATGCCTGAACATTGGAATCACCTGGAGATGTTTTAAAAGTTCTGACTGGCAGGAATGCCTGAGACTAATTAAGTAGCAGGCTCTGGGAGTGGATCAGGTGTCAGTGGTTTTTGAAGATCCTCAGATGATGCTAATGAGCAAACAAATTTGAGAACCGCTCCCCTAGACAAATCCCTTCATGAAAAGCACAAGGAAACCTCTTGGTGGTGTCCCTCACTTCCTGAAAATAGTAAAATTGGCTCCTTCCCTCAGACTACCTTCCCTGCCTATTAGCAAATGTCCATTCTTCCCATTGAGCCCATTGAACTTACTTCCTCCAGAGCAATTCATATTCAATGTCGTCCACTCTCACCTTCTGCAAGTAAATAACTTCCCATCCCACATGGCTCTGCCTCTCTCTATGGCTCTGTAATTCCTGCAATCTTTCCTGGCAACTGGACTGTTTTTGGCAAACACACAGACAGATACACAGCCTAGAGAGAATGTCACACTTTGACACTTGAGACTTGTTCATCTTGGAAAGGTGCAATAAATATCTGACAATAATGTAAAGGAAGAACACGTGCTAAATATATATATCCTTACCTGGGCAGGCAGCAGAGTGAAGAAGGGGGCGGGGAAAGGGGGCTTCAATTGGATAGGTAATATTTTATTCTTGAAAATCTGAAGCAAAATTTAACAAACTGTTAGCATTTGTTAAATTTGAATGGTAGGTTCATGGGTGTTTATCATTCTTGTGCTTTTTTGTATGCTTGAAATATTTCATTAAAAATTTAAGAGTCTGGTCGGGCACAGTGGCTCACACCTATCATCCCAGCACTTTGGGAAGCTGAGGTGGGTGGATCACCTGAGGTCAGGAGTTCGAGACCAGCATGGCCAACATGGTGAAACCCCATCTCTACTAAAAAAACAAAAATTAGCCAGGCATGGTGGTGGGCACCTGTAATCCCAGCTACTCGGGAGGCTGAGGCAGGAGAATCACTTGAAACTGGGAGGCAGAAGTTGCAGTGAGCTGAGATCATGCCATTGCACTCCAGCCTGGGCAACAGAGCAAGATTCTGTCTCAAAAAAAAAAAATTAAGAATCATAAAAATGTTTTCTAAAAGCTGTTCTCTCTATACACAGAGGATATTTATCCTACACACCAGTTACAGACAATAGAAGCAAGTTTACTGTTTCAATTTTCAACAGCGTTGGGATTTGTTTTTGTTTTTAGTGAGTTGAGTGGTTCTAGATTGGCATTGAACAATGTGGTAGCCACTGTTCATGTGTGTGGCTGTTTGAATTAACACTAAAATAACATGTAAAATTCATTTATTCAGATGCACTAGCCATGTTTCAACTGCTCAATACTGGCACGGATTGTAGAACATTTCCTTCATTACAGACAGTTCTATTGGATAGCTCTGGTCTAGATAATACATAATTACGTAACAAGATGCAAATGACTTTTCTACAATTAGTCTCCTGCTTCCCTTTGTATTGGCTTGAACTAAAGCCATCTGTGACTTAGAAGTTATGAGTGACACAAGTAAATAAATGGTAAGTCTATTGTTTTTAGTCTTTCTGGAAAACATTTACTAAACTCAAAATCACTGAACCCACATATCAAGAACTGCACATTTATAGCACTTTTGTGTATAGATGGATATCTAGGGCTAATATACAAAGCCTTGACCACTGACAAATACTGGGAAGTAGCTGTCTAATATTAATTAATAGGCGGGACCAACTGATGTTCAAAGTTGTCAGTAGGTCAGTTCAAATAGTAGGTCAGGAAGAATGTCTGCCCAGATAGTCAGGACAATATAATTTCAAGCTTTTCAAATTACCAAACGAAACAGGTTGCTACAGCAGGTAAAATAACACTAAATCTGTGGAAAGAAAAGCCCTACTTCCCACCTGCCCCCAACCCTGCGCTCCTGCTCCATTCTAACAGCACAGCCACGCACGTTCACACTCTGCTCATGCCAACGTAGTAAAGCAGCAATATAGACATACAGGGCATTTTTGTTTTTTACCAAAGAGAACTATGTTACACACTTCGCCATTTGAGCTTTTTCACTTAGCAATATGTCATAGTAGACCTCCTTATGCGTCTGTAGATATGAATAGAACTTTTTCCCCAATCTCTTTCTGCATATGCATTGAAATTCATACACATATATTCCACATACATAGATATATATTTCTGAACATATACTTATATATGTACACATTATATAATTTTATAAAATTATACAGTATAGTTTTTTGTAATTTTTATAATTTTCTTGTAAAATTAGTCTGTATAAGCATATATTCATAAATATATTCATATATATATGAATATACCATTCATAAATATATTCATATATATACACATATATATACACACACATATATATACATATACATATATATATATATATACACACACACACATATATATATATATATACACACACCAATATACCATTCATGCCGGGCAGGGGCAGGAGGCAGGCAGCGGTGTTTTCATGCATTTTCTGTGATAGCTAGCTTGCGTCTTTTGTACCTACTCTCTTCCCTGGCCCTTCCCCCACCAGAACCATCTCAATCCCAGATCATTTACGTTAGCAAGATCTAGTTTCTTCCACATGTTTTCCATATAAATACGATCATATACCTATTCATATAATCACAAACAATGACTTTTTTTTTTTGAGACAGAGTCTCGCTCTGTTGCCCAGGCTGGAGTGCAATGCTGCGATCTCAGCTCACTGCAACCTCTGCCTCCCAGGTTCAAGCAATTCTCCTGCCTCAGCCTCCTGAGTAGCTGGGACTACAAGCATGCGCCACCAGCTAATTTTTGTATTTTTAGTAGAGATGAGGTTTCACCATGTTGGCCATGCTGGTCTCGAACTCCCGACTTCATGATCCACTCACCTCGGCCTCCCAAAGGGCTGGGATTACAGGCATGAGCCATTGCACCTGGCCTACAACAACTTCTTATTGTTCCCTTTATGTCATTGTCACTTAGTTTGGGACCACTGTAATTTCACCAAAGCAAACATCTTTTTTTTTTTTTTTTTTTTGAGATGGAGTCTCACTCTGTCGTCCAGGCTGGAGTGCAGTGGCACAATCTCTGCACACTGCAAGCTTCGCCTCCCAGGTTAACGCCATTCTCCTGCCTCAGCCTCCCAAGTAGCTGAGGCTACAGGTGCCCGCCACCACACCTGGCTAATTTTTTGTATTTTTAGTAGAGACGGGGTTTCGCTGTGTTAGCCAGGATGGTCTCGATCTCCTGACCTCGTGATCTGCCCGCCTCAGCCTCCCAAAGTGCTGGGATTACAGGCGTGAGCCACCACGCCCGGCCACAAACATCTTTTTACATTCATATTGGGGGAAATTTGGCCAGATATCAGGCAAAATTCACCCCCAATATTTCACGTAGTTTCTTTTCTATTTTCCCTAAGCATTGGATGGTTTGAGAAATAAAGAGACAGAGTACAAAAGAGAGAAATTTTAAAGCTGTGCATCCAGCTGAGACATCACATGTCGGTAGGTTCTGTGACGCCCCCTGAGCCGTAAAACCAGCAAGTTTTTATTAGGGATTTTCAAAAGGGGAGGGAGTGTATGAATAGGGTGTGGGTCACAGAGATCACGTGCTTCACAAGGTAATAGAATATCACAAGGCAAATGGAGGCAGGGCGAGATCACAGGACCACAGGACCACAGGACTGGGGCAAAATTAAAATTGCTAATGAAGTTTCAGGCACCATTGTCATTGATAACATCTTATCAGGAGACAGGGTCTGACCAAAAATTTATTAGGTGGGAATTTCCTTGTCCTAATAAGCCTGGGAGTGCTATGAGAGACTGGGGCTTATTTCATCCCTACAGTTTCGACCATAGAAGACGGCCACACCCAAGGGGGCCATTTTAGAGGCCCACCCTCAGAGGTGCATTCTCTTTCTCAGGGATGTTCCTTGCTGAGAAAAGGAATTCAGTGATATTTCTCCCATTTGCTTTTGAAAGAAGAGAAATATGGCTCTGTTCCACCCGGCTCACCGGCAGTCAGAGTTTATCTCTCTTGTTCCCTAAACATTGCTGTTATCCTGTTCTTTTTTCAAGGTGCCCATATTTCATATTGTTCAAACACACATGCTCTACAATTTGTGCAGTTAACGCGATCATCACGGGGTCCTGAGGTGACATACATCCTCCTCAGTTTACGAGATGACAGGATTAAGAGATTAAAGTAAAGACAGGCATAGGAAATCACAAGGGTATTGATTGGGGAAGTGATAAGTGTCCATGAAATCTTCACAATTTACGTTCAGAGACTGCAGTAAAGACAGGCATAAGAAATTATAAAAGTATTAATTCGGGGAAATGTCCATGAAATCTTCACAATCCATGTTCTTCTGCCATGGCTTCAGCCGGTCCCTCCGTTCGGGGTCCCTGACTTCCCACAACACATTCACTTTTCCAGACTTCTGTTTTTATTTCTATGGAGAGTGTCAGAAGAGGAACTGCTGGGCCAATGGGAGTTTATTTTTCTTTGTTTTTGGAAAACAGTCTGGAGAAGTGCATTAAAACTTTCTCCTATTTATGCCAGCAATGTGCAAGAGTATCATTCTCTCACACTTGTTCAACAGCAAAAGATGCTGTTACTCTTGGAAGTTCTGCCCATCTGATGGATGTAAAGTGACACCTCATTGCCATTGTGTTGACTTTGACAATGACAAGATCTCATACCTACTCATCTATTAGGCACTCAGATTCACTTTTTTCTAATGAGGGTATTTCACCTACATTTTTTCCTACAGTTTTGTCCTTTTCTTGTCAATTTATAAGATCTCTCTATGTATGTTATAGATACCAACTCTTCATTGGGCTTAGAATTTTTATTTTACAAATCTATTTTCATCTGATTTGACTAGTATCTTTTGAAATTCAAGATTTTAAAAAATACAAATAGGCCTATCTTTTCTGCTATAGGTTCTGTTTGTTTTGTTTTTTGTTTGTTTGGTTTTTTTGAGATGGAGTCTCACTCTGTCACCCAGGCTGGAGGGCAGTGGCGCCATCTCGGCTCACTACAACCTCCACCTCCTGGGTTCAAGCAATTCTCTGCCTCAGCCTCCCGAGTAGCTGGGATTACAGGCATCCTCTGCCACGCCCAGCTAATTTTTTTTTTATTTTATTTTTAGTAGAGATGAGGTTTCACCATGTTGGCCAGACTGGTCTTGAACTCCTGACTTCAGGTGATCCACTGGCCTCAGCCTCCCAAAGTGCTGGGATTACAGGTGTGAGCCACCATGCCTGGCCTCTGCTATAGGTTTTAAGTGTCCTTTCATGATTAAGAAGGTCCTCTCCCCATTTAAACTACATGTACAGTTCCTAAAATTTTTCCTTAAAAATTTTTTTTACATGCATCTTTAATCCCACTAGAGTTTATTTTTAAGCATGATAGGAGCTGGGGTCCATCTCTGTTTTCTTCCAAATGAATAGTAGGCGTTGCCAGCACTGTTTATTAAATAAACCAATCTTCTCCCACTGAATTGAATCCTGTCTTTCTTGTATTAAATTCTTGTAGCTTGAAATCTCATTCTTGATAGTCTATTTTGTCCACTGACCCATCTGTCCTCATGCCAATGTCATATTAACTACAATAATTACACTGTAGTTTCTCAAATCTTTATTCTTCTGTTTCATACTTTCCTTGGATATTTTTGGATATTTATTTTATATAAGCTTTATGATCATTTTATCCTAAACAAATTGGATCAAAACAAAATGCTGTATAGAGTCTAATTGGAAGTTTATTATTAATAAATGTATGTTAATTTGAGGAAAAGACTTTTTTTTTTAAGTGAAAGCAAAGCAAGCTTATTAGAACAACAGAATACAGAAAAATGTCTGCTCCATAGACAGGGCAGGGTACCCCACAGGCAGAGTACCTGGAAAATTTTTTTTTTTTTTGAGACAGAGTCTCGCTCTGTTGCCCAGGCTGGAGTGCAGTGGCATGATCTTGGCCCATTGCAACCTCTGTCTCCTGGGTTCAAGCAATTCTCCTGCCTTAGCCTCCTGTGTAGCTGAGATTACAGCCACCCACCACCAAGCCCAGCTAATTTTTGTATTTTTAGTAGAGACAGGGTTTCACCATGTTGCCCAGGCTGGTCTCGAACCTCTGACCTCAAGTGATCTGCCCTCCTCACCTGAGGTCAGGAGTTCAAGACCAGCCTGACCAACATGGTGAAACCCCATCTCTACAAAGAATACAAAAAATTAGCCAGGCGTGGTGGTGGGTGCCTGTAATCCGAACTACTAGGGAGGCTAAGGCAGGAGAATCGCTTGAACCTGGGAGACAGAGATTGTGGTGAGCCGAGATCATGCCACTGCACTCCAGCCTGGGCGACAGAGTAAGACTGCCTCTAAATAAATAAATAAATAAATAAATAAATAAATAAATAAATAAATAAAATATACTCCTCTATTTTAATTATTTCCTATTTATATTAGGGATAGCTTTTCCACATCTATTGTTGTCTTTATTTTTCCTTCTTTGTTCATTTAATAGACAGTGTTGATACCACCTTGCATTCCTAGAATAAATCTCAAAGTTTATTATTCTTTTGCAGCATTATTAGACTTCTTTTACTAGTATTTTATTTAGAAAATTTCATTAATTCAGTAAATGATACTGATTTTTTTGATATTTAATGTCAGGTTTTAATATTAAATTTACATTAAACTCACAAAATGAATTGTTGGAGCATTCTATAGAATGCTATGGATTGAATATTTGTCGCCTCCAAAATTTATGTTGAAAGTTAATCCCCAGTGTGGCAGTATTGACAGCTGGGGCCTTAAAGAGGTGATTAGGTCCATTCACAAAGTAATGAATTAATGGGTTATCACAGAAGTAGATTAAGTGGTTTTATAAGAGGATAGACGCCAGGGCTAGCATGCTCAGCCCCCTCATCAGGTGACCAGGTGATGCCCTGTACCACCTTGGGACTCTGCTGAGAGTCCCCAGCAGCAAGAAGGCCCTCACCAAATGCAGCCCCTTCACCCTTGAACTTCTTAGCCTGCCATGGACATCACCTGGGAAAGTGTTAGAACACAGAATCTCAGGCCCTATTCCAGACCTACAGAATCGGAATATGCATCATTAACAAGATCTCCAGGTAAATTGCACGCACAGTAAAATTGGAAAAGCTCTGACCTGAACGAGCTGGTAGTTTAAATTGGAATTATCTTTTCTTTAATGTGTCATATAGAACTCAGCTATGAAGTCATTCAGTCATGGTAACTTTTTATACTTAATCTATGCTAATTGGTATGTTTAAGTTTTCTACTTCTTGGGCTAATTTTGGCATTTTATATTTTCGCTAAGAAGTCATCTGTATCCCCTGGTTTTTACAACTTTGTTACTATGGAGTTGCATGTTTTTATTATTTTAATTTCTTCCATCAAGTGAGGATGGCTGGCTCTTCATTTTATATATTTTTGCTTTGCCTCATTTTTCTCGTTATCAAGCTTTACAAAAAGCCTTATATATTTTCTTGATCATTTCAAAGAACCAGCTTTTACAGCCAATTAGTAGTAATTCTTCAAAGCTAACAGGAGGGGGACACTACAATGTGAACCACTGTCATGGATGAATTCAGCTTTGCTTTCCATTAACATCAAAACTATGTACACATGCAAATCTGAACTTCCAGGGGCCAAAGTATTATGAGAATGCAGGATTAATACCAACCTTTGATTCAGAATCGCATTCTGAGTAGGGTCTACCTCCACCTAAGTGGCCTTTCTGTATACCTAATCACATTCTAAATGCCATTTACTGCCTCGTTAAATAATGCTTTGAGCATTTGTATCTTGTTTTACAGTTGATATACCTTTTCTACCCACTATTTCATTTGAAATTTATATTTAAAATGGTATAATAGATAATCCGTTACTAAGAGGAACACTGCCTCTAACCTGATTTTCATGTACTGAGATCAACTGGGGCCCCAGGAATGCCTTGTCTCTCCAAAGGGCTGAAAGGGACCACAGCAGAGTGTGTCTTGAGGAGAGAGCTAAGAAAGCAAGTATTCCCTCAGATAAAGCAAGAGGCACGAGTTAAAATTTTAGCCATGCCCCAATGCAGGAAATGGCAGATTTCAGATACTCAATCTAGACAGGCCTATTTTGTGAAATGCATTAGCTCTCCTCTCCCTTCCATTAAGAAACCAAGGTTTTGTTTGCCCTTTTAAAAATGTATGAAAACCTATTACTTAGATACTTTGATTTCTTACCTTTGCAAATATTCTAATAAAATAAGGATTTCAAAAGCCAGATGACGGTTAAGTTTTTGCACTCAAATTGATCCAAGTTTGGGATAATAGCTGCAAAAATATAAAGTGTAGTTTATTGAATTTAGGATTTTCACTTCACTGATAGACCAGTCTTAGGTTGATCATTATGGAAGAGTTATTACAGAGATATTGCTGAAGCCCTCCACAAAGTTAACTTTAATCTTGTGCCACAGACCAGAGATTTCCGATCTATAATAATCTATTTCATAAGCACTCACAGAAGCAAGCAATTGAATAGTCTTCCTTTTGTGGTGTATTTAGGTCTTCTTTAAGTATCTGGACTAAAAACCATCTTAACTTCATGTTCCTGGCAGTACTGTGTTTGGGACATTGTTAAACTCCAATAAATAGTGCTGAGTACTGAAAAGGAGAAAATCATCCTGAATCCTTCCTCAGAAGAGAATTGATCAGTTCACCTGCTTGATAATATTTTTCCTCTCTAATCAAAATGTTCCCCTCCTAAATCCCAGGATGGAAAATGAGTAAGACAGATAAAATGGTAAAATTAAATGAAATGACATCCATTGCATTTACAAGTTTTGAAAATAAAATACTAAAGGACAGACTTTTTGACACTGAAGTCTTACATAGGCAGAACATTCATTACGAAACAAACATAACTAAAGTAAAATCTCAGTTTTTAAGATCCTGAATTCATTATTTATGCTTTTCAACTTTTTCTTATGGGGATGGTTTAAATTTAAATCCAAAATATACTGTAATATCTCCTCTGACCTCAAGTCCTGGAAAGATAAAATACACTGATTTTTGTTGTTGTTGTTGTTAGACCTGATGTTTCCAAAATACTCTTTGGAAAATCTTCCTTTCAAATGCCACTCAGAAATTCATTTTTTTTTTTTTTTTTCATTTGGAGCATGCAACTCCATGGCTCAGTAGTTGCCATGGGCCTCAGCCTTCAGTCTGGCGGTGGAGGGGAGACAAACCAGGAACGTGAGCTTTACAAAAGAGGTTAATATAAATACCACAATGGATATTTCCTGGTTATTTTGGAAAAACTTACTGAGAAAGGGCCTGTGAGAAAAGGAAGGCTTCCTGCAGGGCACTGCACCTAAGCAGATAGGCAGGCAGTGGATGAAATAGCTAAAATAAAGATAAGAAGGGACAGCTTGGGAAAAGACTGAAAGAAAACTACAAAGAATATAGGTTACAAGAAAATTCTGTTACTAGAGCAAGGGGTTTACCGATGGGATGCAGGTGAGGACTTGTATAAGGAGTTTTGACATATACCTTGACACATACTAATGTGCTACTTCCTAAAACAACCCTGAGCGGGTATTATTTTTCAGATGAAGGAAGAGGAATGGATTGAGTAATTTATGTCAGGTCACACATCTAGGAAATGGCAGAGCCAGTACTGGAATCCAAAACCAATGTCATATTCTTAACCTCCACACTACTTGGCAGCTACATGGAGGACAAATTTTATGGGGACAGAATTGGGGGAAAGATCTATCTGGAATTTTACTGCAGTAGACTAGGCAAGACTTAACAAGGCCTCAATTAAAACACTACAGTATAAAATGGGGATCAGACTATAGGCTCTGGACTCGAGACTCCCTCAGCTAAAATAAAAGTTTTGGCTCAACAAACCTAACAGGTATGGTTGTAGAAAAGAAACTTTGGTGTGCCTCAGTTTCCCCATCTGTAAACTAGAAATAGCAACACTACCTGACATTAACCTCAGATTTTACAGATTAAGAGAGACCATATACCTAATGTACACTTAGCCTAGTGGTCAGTAATGGGTGCTCAAAAAGTTGGCCATTATTAGAATGCTACAGATGACAGATACAGTAATGGTCTTGTTAAGAGTAAATTAGCAGGCCGGACGCAGTGACTCAGGCCTGTAATCCCAGCATTTTGGGAGGCCGAGGCAGGTGGATTCCCTGAGCTCAGGAGTTTGAGACCAGCCTGGGCAACACGGTGACACCCCGTCTCTACAAAAATACAACATATTAACCAGGTGTGGCATCGTGTGCCTGCAATCCCAGCTACTTAGGAGGCTGACAGGAGAATCACTTGAACCTGGGAGGTGGAGGTTGCAGTGAGCCAAGATCTTGCCATTGCACTGCAGCCTGGGCAACACTGAGACTCCATCTCAAAAAAAAAGAAAAACAAAGAGTAGATTGGCAGAACTAGGGGACTGATTTGGGGCAAAGTGGAGAGGAGATAATGGATGGAAAGGAGGCAGGGAAAACTAACAGGTTTTTCGCCTGGCGGGTAGTTAACAAGGTCGATGGAGAGGCAACTGACTAAAATAGAGAAGCTGGTTCATTGGAAACAGAGATGACATCTTTTCCTTTCAGACAGTTTGAGTTTAAGGTGTCAACAGGACATCCAAACATATATGCCCAGTAAGCACATGAATATGAAACTCAGGGAAGTGGTTGTGGGGAGTCACCAGCAAATAGGTGGTGATAAAGTGTGTTAGAACAGTGGGCTAAGGATAACAGTCCATAAAATATAAACATTATTTTGGGTTAATATACAAAATGCAATGAAATTCAAACGACATGAAAATACAGAAAATGAAATTTAGTACTGTGAGAATGAAGAATTACTTCTGATATTTAAATAGTATGTTCCTACAGTTTAGAAAAATGAGGGTACTAAAGCACATTTTGATCCAGTCAGGACAAATGCCCTCTATACACTCAGATTGAGTCAAAGTTTTTACAAAGGTATGCTCAGAAAGACCAAAGAAAATTTGATGTTATCTTTAACAAATAATGCAACATTTTCAAAAAGGCCATTTTTATAACACTTTTTAAAGCATAATGAAAACACTTGGCTCTCAAGATTGTCCCAAGAATTATCCCCAATAAAATGCAGTAGGTTAATGATCTGATGTCAGGGTGCTAGCTGGTCAGGTTTATTCTGTAAGTAATTTTCTCCTACTATCTAGGATTTTGTTTTCACAGAATGGTAAAAATGTTAACACAGGTCTGCCGTATCCATTCAGCAAAACAGCATGAAGTGACTTGACTTGTCCTGTCACTTGTGGAACAAAGCCTTCTTTAAAAACTAAATGGTCTACTACAATTTAACAGCATCCCACCATCAAACTCTAAATATGAAAGATGAAGTAAGCAGCCACCAAATATAGCAATTCCGGCACTAAGTGAGTACCTAGAGACCTGCAAACTTCCTACTTCTGTCCTCCACTGCCATGTAGAATTTCAAGGTATCACTTCAGGGTGGGAGGTGATATAGGTTATCAGTATTTCTCTATAGGGAGGGGGTGCTGTTGACATTTTTGGCAGCACAGGTTTTTTAGTGTGTGGACCTGTGTTCCCCTCACAACTCAATGTTTCACATTCCAACTCTGCCACCAACCCTTCCTCCAACCCCCAATCCGAAGAGTGCCTCCACTATCTAGAGACACAGAATATAAAATACTTCTGTGTCCCACCAATTATCACACATGCTAATTTCATTTCTAGAATGGTAAAAATGAAGCAAAGACTAGTATCTACTCATAAGCATAGAAAGTTTGACATTTTCTTTTTTCTGTCAACACCTAGCTATTAACATCAAAGGCTGGAATCCTGGATGGTCAGTTCCCTTTGGGCAGACCCAACCTAACCATTTTTGCCATTTTAAAAAAGTGTACATGAGATTATCAGGTAGACTCAGTAAAGCACGACTGGTCCACCTCTAAACAGCAAAGACAAACACATCAAAAAGTGACTGTGATTCTCAAAGGACAAAGCCCACTCCCAACTCCCAGGGGAAAATGGACCTTAGTCTTGTTTCACCTGTGTAATTGGAGGCAGAATAGGATGTGAATTCCGATGTGCTCTGCGTCTGGTTCCACACCATCTTACAGTGAAAAGTGCTGAGTGACTGTAAACCCAACAGGAAAAAACATTCAAAGTGTCATCACTACAGAAACAAACCCAGCAGGACCACTTCTGCATGCAGGCAGTATTAGGTCTCAGATGCTCCCTTTCTGCCTCCTGATAGAGTGGATGCAGGAACTTTGGGGACATGATGAACCACACACAAAATGAACGAAATGGCAGAGCACTCTCATTTTGGAAAGTTTCTCTCAGGTAATATCCCATCACTGCCTATTAAGACTAAAGGATTAAGTACTAATTTACACTCATAAGGGACTAATAAAATTTCCTGGCCTGTCACTTAAGGAGAAAAACCAGCAGACCAGACGTGAAGATAAACCCTCAGAGCTACTAATGCCTCATTCAGGACTCTTTCCCACAGATTAGTGTTGAGATTATCACACGGCTTACACAGTAGGGAGGAAATGCATAGCCAGGACTCTTACCAAGTCCGGTAAATAAGGAATACCTAGATACTACTGTTTCTGTCAATGCCATAGACACTTAGATGACCCGTTAATTTTACTTCATCCCAACAATGACCGTGCAGAATCTGCGTCCCTGACGCAAAGCAGGAAGCAAATATTTGGGCAAGAAAATAAAGTCAGTTACAGATTTCACAAGTATCTTGTACACCAGTCTGTAATTTTTAATTAGAATTAGCTAAAAGACATTGTACCTTTCGCGTGTATGACTGAGCATAACAGTGCTTAACAGTGTCTTTATTAAGTGAATGCCTGAAAGTATTCAACATTAAATTCAATTTATTTCACATTAATGTTTGCAAATACATCATCAATTCTTACATATTTCAAATCAACTTCAAGTACAGAAGGCTTCCTCTCAAATAAGTCTCCTGAGGTGACATAAAGACTGAAAGAAGCCTATGACTTGAGTCCAAGTCTCTTAACCAACAATCACCATATCGTCACTGGTGAACTCATACGTGGGGACTTCAAGGTTGAGAGGAGCAGGACCCAATCTGATCCTGCCAGATGCATCATAGTGTGACCCATGGCAAGGGCAGTAATAACCACCAAAATCTCCTGCATTTGCAATGGGTACACAGCCAAGATGAGTGCAAACACCTATCAGGATAACCCATTCAGGTTTCTTTACTCGATCTAGATCATGCTGTGGGTCCCTCAACTGTGATAATTCAACTGCAGCTTCCTGCTCAATTTCCTTCTGGGTTCTATGACGCACAAACAGGGGTTTGCCTCTCCATTTGAAAGCCATGTTCTTGCCTTCTGGAATATCGGATAACTTGATTTCGATTTTCGCCAGGGCCAACACATCAGCAGAAGCACTCATGCTGGAAACGAACTGGGTGACGGCATTCTTGGCAGCATATGCGACACCCACAGTAGTTACTCCAGTTACCAAATAGGAGAAACCTTTCCTAGCCTCGCTGCTTTCTCTTGAAGACTTCGTACTATCTAAAACTTCAAGGCGGCGGTATTCAGAGAAGTCAGGCACCTTGATGTCTGTGTGGGAATAACAAACAGAAGCAGGGACTGCAAGACAAACAGAAGGTTAAAAAACACAATTAGATGAGTATCCCGAAGGGAGTATATATCAGGAAATAGCCCTTTATGGATTCACAGGTAAAAAATCAAATTCTAAAAATGTGAAATATGGCACTCACTGGGTCTCAGAAATAGTCAAATTGGCGGTGCTAGCATATAAAATCTTAAAAATGAAATGAAGTGAACCACCACCTATCATACTGGTATGAAATCACAAGATACTATTTGTAAATTGAGCTCCCCCTAGTTGGTTGAACATTGCTGATTCAGGATTCACAACACCTCAGTGCATCATGCTAAAAACGTTAAACAGCAAAATAAACAGTAATAACTCAAAGTTTCCGAAAATTCAACTGCCAAGACTTACTATATAAATCATGCTAAATACCTCCCATACTCTCTGGATTAGAAGGACACCCTAAAACTCATCTAGTCCACACAGTAAGTTGACGTGTGATCACCTTATTAAGGCAAATGTCTGCCCCTTATAGTCCAATCTATGTTCTCGGAAAAAACTGTTAATTCATAAAATAATAATGATATAATAAACATTCTGTGAACTGTATAACTCTGCTGCAGAAAAATTAGCGTTTCTATTTTATACTCTAGTGTATAAATTAGTATTACTTTAACTTAAAACCACTAATAGGCAGAGAAGGACATCCTTATCAGAGCTCTCAAAATAAAATGAAAACTGCAAAAGAACTAATTATTTCAATTTAGCAAGGGAAAAAAAGGGCAAAATTTTCATATCTCCCCCTCTTCAGTAAAGGGCAATAGTTACTGTAAAAGTAGGGGTATTATCTTCCCTTTTCACTGCTGTAGTTCTCTCAACTGGGGCACTTCTAGTCTAGGCCATAAAAGAGCTCAAATGAATGTTAAACAAATAATTACTATGTAGTACTTTGGGAGCAAGGAGTTTCTTTGGTAGTTTAAAAAACAAAAACAAGACACAGTTACATCCCTCTCTCCAATACTATTTTTAAATATCTGACCAAAAAAAAATTTTACCTAGTACCACTTTTAGGTATGTTTCAGGAAGCAAACCTCTTTGCAAATTGTATATTCATCTTAAGAAATTTGCCACAAAGTTTCCTTTTTAAAAAAGGGGACACTAAAAATTCCTCTTTTAGAAAATGTGTATCCAAAATAAAGATCTTTTATGATGCATTTTTATTGTAATAAACTGCAATTCTACCTTGCTCTACTAGGATATCATCCTAATATACTGTACTTCCTTGAGTAGTCAAACATTACAATATGGAATACCTGAACTGCTTTTCACATGATTCTCAAGGTCAATAACTTTATGGAAGCCAGAAGTATTCAAACAATAATGAAACCTACCAAAATCACTCTATGTGCTTTTCTGACTAAATCATTTCCTGGAGAAGACCAGGACACAGATAATGGCAACTTGAGACTCACATCCCAGAATCTGTGGAGTCAAAGTGACATTACATCCTATACTACTACTCTAACAAATAAATGCTAACCTGCCAGTATATACTGGCATTTGGAATTAAGCATAAATTACTTGCTCCTAGCACTACCTGGGATTACAGAAAAGATGAGCTTCCTCCCTAAAAGATAAAGGAATAAAAAGTTCATACTTCTACATTAAAAACAGTATCCACAACCCTTAACAGTATACAAGGAAATGTACAAGAAAACTCAATAAAATGGCTTTGCCCTTCTCATTCAGAGATTTGGTGGCAAAAGTCTCCTCCCACTCTATCTAGCTGGTTACACTTTAGTAGGCTACACCACCAAGAATCCTTTCGGAAATTAAACTGCCCTGTTGCAAAAATCATTCTCCAAATATTTACATGAGCTGCATTAGGTCTGACTTTCAGTAAGATGCTAGATTTAATTCTAACCTAAAGCAAAATCAAATACTTAAAGGAGAAAATTTAAGGAATTTTAACAAAACAAGTTTTATTTTAAGGTTGAGCTCCAATGCGCCTTGGAAATCTGCATGAAAATAGTACAACCTTCCTCTCCAATTCAAGAATCTTCTCCAGATCCAACCCCTCCACTCCCATAAGCCATCCTGCCATGAACCATCTAGACAGACTATAATGTGAACTTAAATTACAGGCTGAAATGATTACAGAAAAGGTTTTTGCCTTATGGTTCTACATTATTTGCCTGTTTCTAAAAATAGTTTCTCTAAGTCAGGTAAACCTCCAATTTTTTTTTTATTATACTTTAAGTTTTAGGGTACATGTGCACAATGTGCAGGTTAGTTACATATGTATACATGTGCCATGCTGGTGTGCTGCACCCATTGACTCATCATTTAGCATTAGGTATATCTCCCAATGCTATCCCTCCCCCTCCCCCCACCCCACAACAGTCCCCAGAGTGTGATGTTCCCCTTCCTGTGTCCATGTGTTCTCATTGTTCAATTCCCACCTATGAGTGAGAACATGCAGTGTTTGTTTTTTGTCCTTGCGACAGTTTACTTAGAATGATGATTTCCAATTTCATCCATGTCCCTACAAAGGACATGAACTCATCATTTTTTATGGCTGCATAGTATTCCACGGTGTATATGTGCCACATTTTCTTAATCCGGTCTATCATTGTTGGACATTTGGATTGGTTCCAAGTCTTTGCTATTGTGAATAGTGCCCCAATAAACATACATGTAAATGTGTCTTTATAGCAGCATGATTTATAGTCTTTTGGGTATATACCCAGTAATGGGATGGCTGGGTCAAATGGTATTTCTAGTTCTAGATCCCTGAGGAATCTCCACACTGACTTCCACAATGGTTGAACTAGTTTACAGTCCCACCAACAGTGTAAAAGTGTTCCTATTTCTCCACATCCTCTCCAGCACCTGTTGTTTCCTGACTTTTTAATGACTGCCATTCTAACTGGTGTGAGATGGTATCTCATTGTGGTTTACAGGCAACCTAAAAATTGGGAGAAAATTTTTGCAACCTACTCATCTGACAAAGGGCTAATATCCAGAATCTACAATGAACTCAAACAAATTTACAAGAAAAAAACAAACAACCCCATCAAAAAGTGGGCGAAGGACATGAACAGACACTTCTCAAAAGAAGACATTTATGCAGCCAAAAAACACATGAAAAAATGCTCAGCATCACTGGCCATCAGAGAAATGTAAGCCTCCAATTTTTTGAAGAAACTTTAGCAACACGACGAATTCCAAAGATGCTTTTCTTTTGCTATTGAAATGTTCTCCTTCCTTCCTTCTCACCTCCAGGTCCCAAGGATGGGCTAGGGTACTCTACACCTGCCATGGACAGTTTCTTCAAAACCCACTGATGCTCCTTAACAAATATTCATTCACAAATACTTTGCACTAACTGTATACAAAATCCGACGTTGTGAAAGATAGAAAAATAAAGAAGATATTACCTTCTCTATGCCCTTAAGCCCAAGGGTGGAGGAGTTACCAATAAACACAATACAGAGTGTAAAGTGTATGTGCTACAGAGACAGACAAATCAGCAAATAAAAACTTTATTCACCTGATCCTTAACTGAGATTGAAAAGATGGGTAAGGAAAACATATGGACATGTAGCAACTTAGTGGAAGGACCATGAAGAAAGTGCAGAGCCCAGGGTGAATGAAGACAGAGTAAAAAGAAAAGTGGCGGGCAATTTGGTTAGCGTGTAGGGGAAGAGTCACAAACAGCTATCAGTGGAGCCAGGCTGGTAACAGAATGAAACACGCAGACCTGGTAAAGACTGTGACAAACTGGAGAAGACCACTTGCTCCAACTGCGGGGGCGGCCACTACACAGCACACTATGGAATTTTCCCAAGTAGAAACTAGATCCCAGTATTACCGGCTTCCAGCATTTTAAGAGATGCCATTAGTCTTCCCAGTTTTTTTGAAAACTACACAGCCTGCAGACACACTGCCCACAGGCTGCCATTTCTCTATCTCCGATACAGGGCCAAGTAAAGATGGAAGGCGAGGCAAAGAAGATAAACGGGGATCTAAGGACAGAGGGTGTGGAATAGCCCCTGCGAAGAGCTCAGTGGCTACGACAATTCGTCTTGTCAAATCCCTGCTACCACATGTCCACACCACGGATCCTGGTGCGAGTCATTCTACCTCGTCTGTTTTCTCATCTGTAAAATGTAAATGTCGTCAATCTCTGCCCGTCCTTGACGACTGATTATGTTGTGACACTACACTGTAACTGACCTTGTGTATGTTTTTTTTGTTTTTTTTTTGGTGGGGGGGTGATGAAGGGGAAGGACATGAAGGGATCGGTAGTGGTGAGAAGACCAACTTCCCAAATATTAGTAAGTTTCCATTTCTTAAGCATGTAAGTGCCCAAACTGTGCTAACGGCTTTACGTAGAATTCCTCCACCTAAGCCTCACGACACCCCTACAAAATTGATAAAGATATGAATCCATTTCACAGGAAGTACGTTTAGAAACTCGCCCAAGGTCAAACGACCTGCAAGCAACAAAACCCCTCAGAGGTGGCTGGAACAGCGGGACTACAGAGCTCGTGAACTCGGCCGAGGAGGAACCAGGCGAAGCCGGCGGACGCGAGTCCAGGCCGGCCACCAGAAAGACGCCCCGAGCCCGGGGGCCAGGCCCAGAGTTGCGGAGGCCGCCCAGCCCGACCTGATTCAGGCTCCGCTCGCGCGCCCGCGGCCGCTCCCTGCTGGGGGCCGGAGGAGCGGGCACCGAGAGACCCCCAGCCCTGCTCGCGGCCCTCGCCCCGGCTCACCATTGAGGCCCACGGAGGCGACCAAAGGCCGGCGCACGGCCTGGCCGCTCAGCGACTCCCGGCTGAGGAAGGGCCGCTTCAGGTCCAACACAGGCTGCTCCGGGGTGGCGGGCACCGTGGCCTGCACCAAGGGCCGCAGCGCGCCCGCCACCCCGCGGGACGTGGCCGACAGGACGGGCGCGAACGGGCCTGAGCGGGATGCTACCGACAACATGGCGACAGCCGCTCCAACCGCCAAGCCGGTCACAGGGACGACCTTCCAACCACGGCGCAGGCGCGAGGAGGCGCGGGACGCGTGACGACAGCGCGCCGCCGGAAAGGAAATTCTGCAGTCCTGCAGGGCGGGGCAAACTTGGAGAGGCGCTGCGTCGGGGGACGGGGCTACAAGCCGTCGCTGGGGGCGGGGCTTGCGGCCCACCTGTAGGTCCCGGTGCCACCTCGTCAGTGTCCCGAGAGATCCCCAGAAGAACGAGAGGGCTGAACAGGGGACCCCACTGACGTCCGGTGGGCCGACTTTACGATCCTTTAGGGTAAAAATTTCATCTAGGAAGACCTAGAGATAACAATAAACGATTATAGTTTAACTTAGGATGGTAATATATCTCAACTACGACGAAGTCCAGCACATAGTAATCGCTATGTGTTTACTATGATGATTTTTATTATCTTCATCTAACAACAACAACAACAAAAAGGCCAGAGGCATCTGTGCAAAGCTCGATAATGCTAATGGATTATGTTTATTAAGTATTCACTGTGTATTTGGTTTTGCGTTTTATTATACCTACGTTCTTTCATTTGTTATCAAGGTCTCTATGAAGTCAGAGCTATTACTATCAGCATTTTACCCATGAAGAAACCGAGGTTTAGAGAGATTCTTTTCCAGGAACTGGATAGCCAGCAAGATGTGAAGCAGGGTAATCTGTCTCCTGAGTCTATGCTCTTCAGTGCCACCACTGTTTCCCAAAGTAGGATTTTAGAATTTTAGAGGATGCACAGAGCTCGCTCATTCATGTTCCATCACATAGTGAGAAAGTTTTGTTTTCTTTTGTTTTGTTTTTCAATCCTGATTGCACCAATGAGAAAGTCTCAGTTTGGTGCTAATACATCTTTAATTAAAAAAAAAAAAAAGTAGAGATGAGGTCTCACTATATTGCCCACTCCAGTCTCGAACTTCTGGCCTCAAGGAGTCCTGTCTCCCCCTCCCAAAGTACTGGGATTATAGGCATGAGCAAATTCACTTGGCCTCAGTTTGATCCTAATATATCTTTAATTCCTCTCTACACTTATCTCCCACTTTTAACAGAAAAGATCTTGAGTTAGAAGCTCTTAGCAGAGAACTGAGTCTAGAGTGATTTCATTATATGGTTCATAGTATTGATTTTCTATCCATACTGGTTTTCTATTCTGTACTATACTGAGATAAAGTTTTTCATTTAGGTCAAAAATAATTTAAATATTAAGTAAATGTTAATATAAGCAGTGCACAGAATTGGCTCTGTGCTGTGCATGGGCTCTGTGATCTGGGCAAGTTCCCTCACCTCTCTGTGCCTCAGTTTCCTCACCTGCCAAATGGGGGCAGTAATGATGCCATGTGTGTTGTAAAGTTACTGGGAGGAGTAAATGAACTAAAACGTGTAAAGCATCTACAAGCAGGCCCAGCACACAGGCAGCACCAAGTGAGGATTTGCTAGTGGTGTTTTTATCTGAGATGCCACCTCCTCTAAGAAGCCTTCCCTTGATCCTTGCTGACTCGTTGTTATTCCTCATGCCAGGTCCAAAGTGTACTGACAGGTTTCCCCTTTGACCTTCCTATGACTCCCCTTAGGGCCTAGGCTTTGACCAGCCTTATAGCCCAAGGGACTATATTGTACTCTCAAGATTGGAGGCTGCCTCCTCAGGGGCCACCCTAGCCAGGCTCATCACACAGCTGGCTCAGTGCTCTCCCTTGGCAACAACCTTAGGATAAAAGACATTTCCAGAGAAGTTGTCACACAGCATGCATGGTTTGAGTGCTTCACAAGAAATAATATCACAATTCCCTCTGAGTTGGTAAGGAAATGAAAAATGAATGAATGAATGAATGATCCTTCACAAAACCTTCACAATGTCCCAGTTGGGTGAACAGAATAGGAATTATCTCCAGACCTCCTGGGTTCAATTTTAGTTTCACCACTCACTAGCTGTGCCCTAGGGCAAGTTATTTAATCTCTGTGTGTGCCTCCGTCTTTCTCTTGTAAAACAGAGATAATAACAGGATCTACCCTAGAGAGTTATTTTAAGGATGAGATGGATTAATACATGTAAAATGCCTAGAACTGTGCCTGGCACACAGTATGTAAATATCTGCAATAATAATAACTTTCTATTTTCTAGATGAAGAAACTAAGACTCAGAGAAGACAAATGACATGCCCAAAGACACATTGATAAGAACGCATCTGGTAGTGGTGTTCGAGTCCAGCGTTGCAGCAGAGAGATGGGTAACTGTATGGCCGAACAGCTGTCTTCTCGTGGAAGAAGGAGGCCAATGTCCAGGAGTGGCAGGCATACTGGAACTTGGACTTCTGTAGGCCAACCTGGGTTCCACTTGGTAGATGGGGGTCTTGCTGTGTTGCCCAGGCTGGTCTCAAACTCCTGGCCTGAAGCAGTCCTCCTCCCTTAGCCTCCAGAGTAGCTGGGACTACAGGTACACACCACTGCAACCCCTCAGTGGTTGTTATTTAACTGAAGGGGGTTTTAGCTTTCATGTATCAGCTCACTCTGGAGCCAGACAGCCTGGCCTTCATGGCAGCTCTGCCCCTTACTACCTGTGTGACATCGGGCAACGTTACTGAGTGTCAGATTTCTTATTTGTAAAACAGGGATAAAAATGACATTGCTGTGCAAATTAAAAGAAAGAATCCATGTGAGATATTTAGCACACTGGCATACAATGAGAGCTTAATAAACATTGTTAGTTTTGTAAACTGAGGGAAAAAAATAGCCACAGGCCTGGGAACATAAATGCTTGGTAAGCTTCTCAGTTCCCTGGAAGTCTGACACGCAATGTGTATGTATGAACAAGGCAGGAGGAAGCATGACACCAAGCCTTCCTTTTAACAAACACTGTTTAAATCAGAGGTCGGAAGTCATGGACTGGAGATTCATTCTCTCCCCACTCATTTCTGCCCAGAGACACCTGGTGATCTGGCATACACAGTGCTATGAACCTCAGAATTATTTGCTAGCATTTACAAATTGTGAGTACTCCCACATACAAACTGTGGTAGATGGAATAATGCCTCCCCACAAAAATGTCCACAGCCTAATCCCTGGAACCTGGGAATATGTTACTTTACACAGCAAAGGAATGTTGCAGCTGTGATTGGAGATTGAGATAGGGAGAGTGTATTAGTCTGTTGTCATGCGGCTATGAAGAAATACCTGAGACTGGGTAATTTACAAAGAAAAGAGGTTTAATTCACTTACAGCTCAGCACGGCTGGTTGGGGGGGCGCCCTCAGGAAATTTACAATCATGGTAGGAGGCACCTCTTCACAGGGTGGCAGGAGAGAAAATAAGAGCAGAGCGAAGGGGGAACCCCTTATAAAACTGTCAGATCTCATGAGAACTCACTGTCATGAGAACAGCATGGGGGAAACCGCCCCCATGATCCATCACCTCCACCTGGTCCCCCCCTTGTTACAATTCAAGGGGATTGTAACAATTCAAGGTGAGATCTGGGTGGGGACACAGAGCCAAACCATATCAGAGAGTCTTCCTGCAGTGTCCGGGTGGGTGCGGCATGTTCATAGGGTCTTAGAAGAGGGAAGCAAGAGGTGAGAGGACAGAAATGCCACATTGCTGGCTTTGAGGGTGGGGCCAGAGGAGGGACCTGCAGGCAGAGATAGAGCTGGAAATGGAAAGGAAACCTTCTCCCTTAGAGTCTCCAGAAGAAGTGCAGCCCTACAGACCTGTGTTAGGCTTCAGACCTCCAGAATTGTAAAATAATAAAATTGCATTATTTTAAGCCACTCGAGGCCCATGTCCTCAACAAAGAGAAAGACGGTGGGGTGCTGTCAGCCAGGGTAGGTACCTGCTTGGTGGTCTGGGTCCTTTCCCACTGTGTCCATTCAGTTACATTACCTGCCCATCTGCTGAGGCCTCGAGTTTGGGACCTCAGGTTTATATAATTCCTTGCACAAGCATGATCGATTGATTCCGGAGAGTAGCAGAACACTGATATGCAGGGGAATCTCCTAGTTCCAAGTGTGAGTTGTAGTCTAGACACTTCCTGTTCCCTACAGTCTTTTTTTTTTTTTTTTTTTTTTTTGAGACAAAGTTTTGCTCTGTTGCCCAGGCTGGAGTGCAGTGGTGTGATCTCGGCTCACTGCAACCTCTGCCTCCTGGGTTCAAGCAATTCTGCCTCAGCCTCCCGAATAGCTGGGATCACAGGCACATGCCACCATGCCCAGCTAATTTTTGTATTTTTAGTAGAGTTAGGGTTTCGCCATGTTGGCCAGGGTGATCTCAAACTCTTGACCTCACATGATCCGCCCGCCACAGCCTCCCAAAGTGCTGGGATTACAGGCGCAAACCACCGCCCCCAGCCCTCTTCCCTACTGCCTTGATGTGTTCATCTGGGCAATGTGTGTTGAGGGGGCATAGGGAGGGGAGCTCTAAGGCAAATGTGCTGGGATTCTGCATTCGTCATCCTCAAAACAAAATTGGTCCCTAGGTAGTTCTGCCTGTGATCCTGCATAATGTGCAAAGCCAGTAAGATGCCTTTGCCTCATCCCCAGGGAACATGCCTCCCAGCCACTTTCATCTCACCTAGTGCCTACACAGAAAGGCAACCGCCTCCCTGCTGAAGGGACCCCACGCCTGTCTCCTGTTTCCACACAATTACCCCGGGAAATGCCTGGCTTCCCATTTCCAGTTGCAGCCATCTTGACAGTTTCAGCCTCTCCCCACAGCCCACGTCCCTCACTTGAGCAGCGAGATGTGAAGACAGACAGCCGCTTGAGAACTGCACAGACTGTCCTTAATCTAAGCCATTTAAAAGGCATTTGTGTTCCATAAAACCCGTTTCTGTAATTCTGTGCCCCTACTTCTTTGAAAGATGATAACCCTAGGGAGGAGATTAGCCAGGGAGGAGAAGTTCAGATGTGCTAATATTTTAATCGCTCATTCTTTCATCACATTAGTCACATTCATTAAGTATGATTAATTTCAGGCTTTGTTGAAAACCCTATCAGTTTCCCTATCAGCCACACATCCATCTCTTGCCAAGCAGGCTGGTGCAGTAGCACCAAAAGTCCCCCAGTGTTTTTTACACCTGGATTGTATTATGTGCCCCCTGAAAATGTGTGGAATTAATTGAGCTCATTTGTTTCAAATACTTTGCAAGAGCCTGGGCTCTTGAGTCAGGCGGCCTAAGTGTGATCCTAAGTCCTCCCATTGCTGGAGTCACCTGGGCAAGTGACTGACGCCCTCTGAGCCCTGGTGTCCTCGTCTGAGGATGGAGATAAGAATACCTAACTCGAAAGTTGGTTGTGAAGATGAAAGAAGGCTTTCAAATTGCTAAGTTAGTTGGTTATGATTGTAATTAAGGGCCCTTGGAGATGGATCATTCATCCATTCATTCATCCATTCAGAAGATTTGTGTACAGTGACTACTGTATGCAACCCTGTGTGTCCACTGCTGATGAGAGAGACAGCAGCAAACACAGCAGTCAAATGCGTGTGGCCCCCAGGACCTTATATTTTAGTGGTGGAAGCTAGACAACCACCAAACATGTAATATACCAGATGGTGGTACGTTCTATGGAGGAAAGAAAGGACGAGGGGCAGGGAGTCCTGGGCTGGTGGGACAGGGTGCTATGGCTCAGAGGGAACTCAGAGATCACCTAATTCAGGCCCTGACCTGGAGGGCTCATGCTTTGCACACTGTGCTAAGAATTTGGACTTTCTTTCTCCAAGAATAAGGACAATGAGAGCCAGCAAGCAGGGAAGTGGAGCAAGGATGGTGCCGTCCGGCTGCTCAGCTGCTGGCTGGAACTCCCGGAGGACTCTGTGAGGATGCAGGTAGAAGGTGTGTAAGCATGTGACTGCATGGAAGCCCTCGGCATGTGATCCACTCCGTGTTCCAAATTGCCATCCTTTCTGCGTGCTGTTAGGGACTTCCCCCAGCTCTCCCTGCAGAGTGAGGAGTACTCTGAGACAGACGGGTCTAGGATGAACTGTGTTGATGGAGAAATGAACATTTTTTGGAGGGAAGGAAGATTTCGGGGTGTGGGGCATAAGTTGAAGGAGTATGGCTCTGAAAGTCCTTGGGCAGTTTGTAGAGGACAGAGAAGGTGGTAATGTCAGTTTCTGCCCCTCTCCCACCTCCACCTCTGGCCTTCTCAGTGGTCCTATGGCTCCCTACCTTCAGTCATCTTGTTCTCAAGCCTGAAGTGCTGGATCCACTCAGCTGCAACCCAGCTCAACACCTCTGTGGAAGCTTTGCCCATCAATCAGGAGAAGCTGAGATCCAGAGACTGATGCCCACGTTCTGTCTTTGCAGAGGGAAGCCCACCAGAGCCCTCTTCTCTCTGGGGAGGAGCTGGCTCCCTGAATCTCCAAGACAAACCCAGACAGCCCTGGGGACCTTGAATGTGAGCAAGGGGAGCAGAAAGGAGGCTCCAGCCCACCCAGGGCCCCTGCAGGGTCTGCACACACAATTACAGGTCCTCATTTCCCTCTCCTAATGATGCCCCAAAACATTAAGGGAAGTTAAATCAAACCACCAGGTGTCCAGCATGAACAGCTGAAATAATAAATTCACGAGGTAAGTAAGACATTTTATTTGTACTATTTCAAAATTGGTAGATGCAGGAAAGCAAATTGTGATGTGCTTGGGATTTAATTTGTATTTCAAGGTACTAATGAAGGTAGCACCCATTTTCCCAAAGGCCTTTTCATCCCTGAATCTTGAGAGCACTTTTCTAAGCATATTGGGAATAAATTAAGTTGCAAAACCTCCATGAAAAAGATTACGGTTAAAACATAATTTTGAGGAACCACTTGAGTTTATCCATTTACCTGCTTTTAAGTACACACACCTATTTTTTTTGCAATTATTTTTCACAAAAGAAGGAACTTTGTGTGACGTATACAAGCAGGTAATGGCAAACCTCCAGCATCTTTAAAATAAAACTCAAATTGGGCTGGGCAGGATATTACATGCCTGTAATCCCAGAACTTTGGGAGGCCAAGGCTGGTGGATCACCTGAGGGAGCTCGAGACTAGCCTGAGCAACATGGTGAAACCTTGTCTCTACTAAAAACAAAAAAAATTAGCCAGACATGGTGGCGGGTGCCTGTAATCCCAGCTACTTGGGAGGCTGAGGCAGGAGAATCACTTGAACCCAGGAGGTGGAGGTAACAGTGAGCCAAGATCATGCCATTGCACTTCAGCCTGGGCAACAAGAGCCAAACTCTGTCTCAAAAAAATAAAATAAAATAAAAATAAAACTCAGGCTGAACTAAACCAGCCTTCTGAGTCAATGTGCAGATATTCCATAATGAAGTATGCTGATTAATAAATTATTTGATTACCAGGTAAGTATACCTGCAATCAATATAACTGCCGAAAAGCTCTGAATTAGAAATGGTGCAATAAAATTTAACTGAAAGGTATTAGGAATTGGTAGTTTTAATTACAGGGAATGATTAATTGATCATTTAGACAGTATTGATCTACAACTTATTTAATTCTTTGCAATTTAATTTGTCAGATTTGAATCCAAATAACTGATGATTTGTTCCATGAATGCCAGAGCTGGAAGGGATGGGGTTGGCAGAAGAGACAAGACTGGACCATGGACCTGGTGGTTCTGTGCAGAGGCCAAAGCTACTCTCCTTCCCACCTGGCCCTGTGCTGGGCCTAACCTGGAGCCCCCTCTATCCTCTGCCTCATTCTTCTCCGGGTCAAGGTCCAGCATGAACTCCATGTCCTCCAGGAAGCCCTGGTGGACTTGGGCAGACCTGGGGACACGTCCAGCCTCCTGGCAAGATGGGGGTAACAGGAGTGTGTATAAAGGGGAAGGCAAGAATGTGCCCTTGGTGGAGCAGTGAAAAGAAGCCCTCATGTGACAAGTGTTTTGCTCCTAACCCACCTCCTCTGGTGACATCTTCTGGGTTAACTGCTCTTGCTGATCTCTGCACATAAACCAAGCTAACTGTGAGAGGCCTTTCATTTCTAGTTTAAAGCAAGGAGACCACAGTTCCTTCTGAACACTCACCCCCAAGGAGATAAGGAGGGCGTCCCATGAGCAACACTGTGTGTTAAAGATGTACACGAGCACTGGGACCTGACCAAGGACAAACACGTCTCCAGCCCCCTCAGACCCTTGCTGCTGCTCAGATGTCCGCTGTCATCGGTCACATCCTAACCTCAACCCCCTCTCTCCTCCCACATAAAAGGAGGCTGAAATTCATAGTAACTTCAGATGGTTCTTTAGGACACTGGCCCACCACCTTCTCGGTTGCTGGCTCTCCAAAACAAAGCCCCCTCCCTTGACCCAATTCCTTGTTTCTTGACGTACTGGCTGTTGTGCAGTGCATGGTACCGGCTTGAACTCGGTTATGTTGGCATGGCCTCTGGCGGTGCTCAGTTTGTGTGGATGAGTATTTTACAGCTACTGTCCTATTTCCAGTCCCCTTCCTCTGGACGGCTATGGGATGTGCTGTGGATGCCCTCTCTTAGGCTGGAATAAACCACCCTACCTTCTCCTCTGCCTTGTCTCCACCAAATAAACTCCTTAAGGCAGGGATAGAGTCTTGCACTCCACGAAGAAGTATTGCTGCATCCTCAGCTGTGTAAGAGTGACCGGGCTTCTTCTATTCCACCTGTAATGGAACTTTAGGCACGCAGAGAGAGATGGCAAATTTGTGCTGGCTGAAGGGGTCAGCAAATGCATATAAGGCTTCTTGTGCTCCAGAGAGAGAATGGAGTGCAGTCAGTGAGACCCTGAGGGGAGAAGGAACCAAAAGCCTGGGCAGAAGGGATCGTGGAGGTGCCCAGGGTCAGGAGGGATGGGAAGGGTGAGGAACACAAGAGATCACCTGGAGGCATTAGAGGAGAAGGCAGGCACTGGGGATGGTGCCGCTGATCCAGGTGGAGCAACATCCTAGGACCCGAGTGCTGGGCAGGTGCATCCGTGGAGGGAAGCTTCTCTCCTCTCTCGGCTCCTGCTGAGAGAGGCAATCATTCCCCTGGCTTGCCCTGCAAGAGACAGGAGCTCTAGGTAGATCTCTGCTATCTAGGGAATAGAATGTGAATATTTGAAAGTTCTAGAGGTCAAGTCTTAGGTTCCCTCTCAGCTCAGATCCCAAATGGTACACTCTACCCTAACCCCCTTTTCTTGTAGCTTTGCTACATGGAGAGGAAAATACCTTGCCAGACACCAACAGTCCCTTCTCAGCACTTTTGTGTGAAGACAACTCAGACCCTAAGAGAATGGGGTCTAATTTGCAGGTGCCACTGGAAGGCAGAGGTCACGGGAGCCCTGGACTTCAGACAAGGTAGAGGGATCCTGGAGACAGCACATCTGGCCCTGGAGCCCTGCCCACCCGGGGAGTGAGGGCAGCTCTCCTGCTCTCCTAGGAGGCCTGCCCGAGGACCCCCATGTCCTCTATGTGTGGGATTCTGCAGTTTGCACTCACAACCCAGAGCCTTTTACCCAACTACCCTGTTTGTAGGAATGTGTCCAAAATAAGCATCAGACAAGTACATGAAGATGAATGTGCAAAGACGTTCATAACAGGATTGTTTATAATCATGAAAAATGATCTGCAGATTTCCTGTCTGCTGTGCAGGATGAGTTAGACGGGGATGCATCCATAAAATCACTTTGCCCTCATTTAAAATTATATCATAGATCTATGTTTAATGACATAGTAAACGGTACTCAATGCATTAAGTGAAAAAAGCATATACATATCAGGATGTATATGATCAAGTTTTTGTTAAATGGATGCATGTATGCATGTCAGTAACTGTCTGTGTTTGCAAACAAAACGTCTAGCAAGACGTGCATCAAATATTAACAATCATTATCTTTGGATTCTGGATTTATTGACTTCTATTTTTGACTTTGCCCTTTGTTTTTCTATGTTATCTGACACTTTTACACTGAGTTTATATTATTTTTACAATTAAAATATCAATCCATCAATCTACCTCCATTTGGGAAGTAGTAAAAAGTACACTGAGTTTATATTATTATTTTTACAATTAAAATATCAATCCATCAATCTACCTCCATTTGGGAGGTCCATTTCAACTACACAAGGAAGACAGGATAGGGAGGAATAGCACTAAGTATGAGTGCCTGTGATTCAGAGAGGGAAGCGACTTGGAATTCTAGCCCAGCTCCTCCACCTGCCCCCTCTCTAACTCTTCCACTCTCCCATACTTGCTCCCGGTGCCCCAGCACTCCTGGGTGCCTCCTGTCTTCCCAGCACGCACAACCCAGCTGAGCTTTCTATTAGTACCCACTTTACCCCTGATCTTCCCGCCCTCCACACCTCTTGTCACTCCCAGTCACTCCACTGATTTTTATTTTTTTATTTATTGATGTCATCACCATCTGAATCAACGATGTCTGTTTCTTTGCCTGCTCACTTACAGTTGGCCTTGTTTACTACTGTGGGAAGCTAATGGTGTCTACTGTAGCCAAATCAGCACATTTATTTATTTATTTATTTATTTATTTATTTATTTATTTGGAGACCAAGTCTCACTCTGTCGCCCAGGCTGGACTGCAGTGCCGTGATCTTGGCTCTCTGCAACCTCCGCCTCCCAGGTTCAAGTGATTCTCATGCCTCAGACTCCTGGTGGGACTGCAGGTGTGAGCCACCACACCCGGCTAATTTTTGTATTTTTAGTAATGACGGGCTTTCACCATGTTGGCCAGGCTGGTCTCGAACTCCTGATCTCAGGTGATCCACCTGCCTCGGCCTCCCAAAGTGTTGGGATTACAGACGTGAGCCACTGAGCCCAGCCTATTTATTATTTATTTTATTTTATTTTATTTTTTTGAGACGGGGTCTTGCTCTGTCTCCCAGGCCAGAGTGCAGTGGTGCAATCATAGCTCACTGCAGCCTTGAACTCCTGGGCTCAAGCACTCCTCCTGTCTCTGCCTCCCAAATAGCTGGGACTACAGATGTGTACCACCACACCTGGCTGTAATCAGCACCTTTAAAGAACCTAAAGATGGACTCCTGCCCATCCCACCCCATGAAATCTACATCTGAATATTAGAGAAACTCCAAGGGAGTTCTCAGTTTTCCCATATCTTCTCTGCTCACACCTGTGTCCCCACAACAGCATACATCTTGTCCACTGTATGTACTCGGTGAATAAGTAACAATCGAATTGATAGATAAGTGGATGCATGTCTCCTGAGCCTTGGGGAAGAAAAGAGAAGACAGAAGAGGGCTACATTAGAGAGGAAAGTTTTTAGGCCACTGGGCAGGTACAAACAAGGCCAGGCACGGTGGCTCACACCTGTAATCCCAGTACTTTGGTAGGCTGAGGTGGACAGATCACCTGAGGTCAGGAGTTTAAGACCAGCCTGGCCAACATGGTGAAACCCCATCTCTACCAAAAATACAAAAATTAGTCGGGGGTGGTGGCACGTGCCTGTAGTCCCAGCTACTCGGGAGGCTGAGGCAGGAGAATCACTTGAACCTGGGAGGCAGAGGTTGCAGAGAGCGAAGATCGCACCACTGAACTCCAGCCTGGGCAACAGAGTGAGACTCTGTTTCAAAAGAAAGCAACAACAACAAAAAACAAGAGCAGGTGAGTATCAATGAGAAGAAACCCCTATCCCCAGCAGTTGGTGAGTTGAGAATCATGCCAAGGAGGACACTCGGAACAGCCAGGTCAGAAAGCAGCAGCCCCTGGTGATGGCCTGGCCCGCCCAGACAGTGAATGCCGTTTTCTAAACCTGGTGAGATGATAAAATTTTAACCTGCTATGTAAAGCTATTTTTAAACATGGAGGGGAAAAAAATAACCTTTCCCTGGGTAAAACCGTAACAGTCACTTAGAGCACAATGGATCTTTATTTTTTATGACCAAGTTATAAATTGTTGAAAATAAGAGTTTCAAATGGAAATGTTGACATAATAATCTTATCTATAGCAGCATGAATAACCAACTATAACCGTTATTATTCTGTGTTCTATGAACGTTGGCTTTTTTGAAAGTTCAACTTGCTCAATATGTTTGCCTTTTAACATGAGTTAAGAGGTAATTTGCATGAACACAAATAAAGAAGTATCAATTCAGTGGCATTATGAATTAATTAGCTGCAGCCCACCATCATGAATTGGGAAATGCAACCGCACTTTCCATCTCTTTTATTTATAGCCCACTCTTGCTACGTTACACCTTTTCAGATATTAAGTACTGAACATGGTTGCTTCTTAAAAAGGTTAATTATCCAAGACAGGTTTATGGTACCTTATCTAAAGGCCAATATTCTACTTCTTTGGGATCTTGGATTTACATAATTACAATCAGTGGAAAGTTTATCAGTCAGATTTCCTTTCCCACCACTCCTCAGCAGGCACCTTTGTCCTCTTGAGATCTACCAGTACTGGGGGTCTCCACCAGCTGGTCTTTGTTTCTTACTCCGGCAAAGCAACATTGACAGCTTGCAACAGCCAACTTTCCTTGCCTTAAATGTGAGGCACATGGAATGACCACATGAGCAAGGCAGGCTGAATCCAGCCCAAAGCCTGCAGCACCTGGAGCAGAGCTCACCAGTGGAGGCTGTGCGCAAAATCAGGCCCAGAGCCATGGTTTCTTTGGCCTGTAAAGTGTTAAAAAATGAGATTGGTGGGGGAGGAGCCAAGATGGACGAATAGGAACAGCTCCGGTCTACAGCTCCCAGCGTGAGCGACGCAGAAGACGGGTGATTTCTGCATTTCCATCTGAGGTACCAGGTTCATCTCACTAGGGAGTGCCAGACAGTGGGTGCAGGTTGGTGGGTGCACGCACCGTGCGCGAGCCGAAGCAGGGCAAGGCATTGCCTCACTCGGGAAGCGCAGGGGGTCAGGGAGTTCCCTTTCCTAGTCAAAGAAAGGAGTGACAGACGGCACCTGGAAGATCGGGTCACTCCCACCCGAATACTGCACTTTTCCAACGGGCTTAAAAAACGGCGCATCAGGAGATTATATCCCGCACCTGGCTCAGAGGGTTCTACACCCACGGAGTCTCGCTGATTGCTAGCACAGCAGTCTGAGATCAAACTGCAAGGTGGCAGCGAGGCTGGGGGAGGGGTGCCCACCATTGCCCAGGCTTGCTTAGGTAAACAAAGCAGCCAGGAAGCTCCAACTGGGTGGAGCCCACCACAGCTCAAGGAGGCCTGCCTGCCTCTGTAGGCTCCACCTCTGGGGGCAGGGCACAGACAAAAAGACAGCAGTAACTTCTGCAGATTTAACTGTCCCTGTATGACAGCTTTGAAGAGAGCAGTGGTTCTCCCAGCATGCAGCTGGAGATCTGAGAACGGGCAGACTGCCTCCTCAAGTGGGTCCCTGACCCCTGACCCCCGAGCAGCCTAACTGGGAGGCACCCCCTAGCAGGGGCAGACTGACACCTCACACGGCCAGGTACCCCAACAGACCTGCAGCTGAGGGTCCTGTCTGTTAGAAGGAAAACTAACAAACAGAAAGGACATCCACACCAAATACCCATCTGTACATCACCATCATCAAAGACCAAAAGTAGATAAAACCACAAAATGGGGAAAAAACAGAGCAGAAAAACTGGAAACTCTAAAAAGCAGAGCACCTCTCCTCCTCCAAAGGAACACAGTTCCTCACCAGAAACGGAACAAAGCTGAACAGAGAATGACTTTGACGAGCTGAGAGAAGAAGGCTTCAGACGATCAAATTACTCCGAGCTACAGGAGGACATTCAAACCAAAGGCAAAGAAGTTGAAAACTTTGAAAAAAATTTAGAAGAATGTACAACTAGAATAACCAATACAGAGAAGTGCTTAAAGGAGCTAATGGAGCTGAAAACCAAGGCTCGAGAACTACGTGAAGAATGAAGAAGCCTCAGGAGCCGATGCGATCAACTGGAAGAAAGGGTATCAGCGATGGAAGATGAAATGAATGAAATGAAGCGAGAAGGGAAGTTCAGAGAAAAAAGAATAAAAAGAAACGAGCAAAGCCTCCAAGAAATATGGGACTATGTGTAAAGACCAAATCTACGTCTGATTGGTGTACCTGAAAGTGATGGGGAGAATGGAACCAAGTTGGAAAACACTCTGCAGGATATTATCCAGGAGAACTTCCCCAATCTAGCAAGGCAGGCCAACATTCAGATTCAGGAAATACAGAGAACGCCACAAAGATACTCCTAGAGAAGAGCAACTCCAAGACACATAATTGTCAGATTCACCAAGTTGAAATGAAGGAAAAAATGTTAAGGGCAGCCAGAGAGAAAGGTCGGGTTACCCTCAAAGGGAAGCCCATCAGACTAACAGCAGCTCTCTCGGCAGAAACTCTACAAGCCAGAAGAGAGTGGGGGCCAATATTCAACATTCTTGAAGAAAAGAATTTTCAACCCAGAATTTCATATCCAGCCAAACTAAGCTTCATAAGTGAAGGAGAAATAAAATACTTTACAGACAAGCAAATGCGGAGAGATTTTGTCACCACCAGGCCTGCCCTAAAAGAGCTCCTGAAGGAAGCGCTAAACATGGAAAGGAACAACCGGTACCAGCCACTGCAAAATCATGCCAAAATGTAAAGACCATCGAGACTAGGAAGAAACTGTATCAACTAACGAGCAAAATAACCAGCTAACATCATAATGACAGGATCAAATTCACACATAACCATATTAACTTTAAATGTAAATGGACTAAATGCTCCAATTAAAAGACACCAACTGGCAAATTGGATAAAGAGTCAAGACCCATCAGTGTGCTGTATTCAGGAAACCCATCTCACGTGCAGAGACACACATAGGCTCAAAATAAAGGGATGGAGGAAGATCTACCAAGCAAATGGAAAACAAAAAAAGGCAGGGGTTGCAATCCTAGTCTCTGATAAAATAGACTTTAAACCAACAAAGATCAAAAGAGACAAAGAAGGCCATTACATAATGGTAAAGGGATCAATTCAACAAGAAGAACTAACTATCCTAAATATATATGCACCCAATACAGGAGCACTGAGATTCATAAAACAAGTCCTGAGTGACCTACAAAGAGACTCAGACTCCTACACAATAATAATGGGAGACTTTAACACCCCACTGTCAACATTAGACAGATCAACGAGACAGAAAGTCAACAAGGATACCCAGGAATTGAACTCAGCTCTGCACCAAGCAGACCTAATAGACATCTACAGAACTCTCCACCCCAAATCAACAGAATATACATTTTTTTCAGCACCACAACACACCTATTCCAAAATTGACCACATACTTGGAAGTAAAGCTCTCCTCAGCAAATGTAAAAGAACAGAAATTATAACAAACTATCTCTCAGACCACAGTGCAATAAAATTAGAACTCAGGATTAAGAATCTCACTCAAAACCGCTCAACTACATGGAAACTGAACAACTTGCTCCTGAATGACTACTGGGTACATAACGAAATGAAGGCAGAAATAAAGATGTTCTTTGAAACCAATGAGAACAAAGACACAACATACCAGAATCTCTGGGACACATTCAAAGCAGTGTGCAGAGGGAAATTTATAGCACTAAATGCCCACAAGAGAAAGCAGGAAAGATCTAAAATTGACACCCTAACATCACAATTAAAAGAACTAGAAAAGCAAGAGCAAACACATTCAAAAGCTAGCAGAAGGCAAGAAATAACTAAAATCAGAGCAGAACTGAAGGAAATAGAGACACAAAAAACCCTTCAAAAAATTAATGAATCCAGGAGCTGGTTCTTTGAAAGGATCAACAAAATTGATAGACCACTAGCAAGACTAATGAAGAAAAAAAGAGAGAAGAATCAAATAGATGCAATAAAAAATGATAAAGGGGATATCACCACCAATCCCACAGAAATACAAACTACCATCAGAGAATACTATAAACACCTCTACGCAAATAAACTAGAACATCTAGAAGAAATGGATAAATTCCTCAACACATACACTCTCCCAAGACAAAACCAGGAAGAAGTTGAATCTCTGAATAGACCAATAACAGGATCTGAAATTGTGGCAATAATCAATAGCTTACTGACCAAAAAGAGTCCAGGACCAGATGGATTCACAGCCGAATTCTACCAGAGGTACAAGGAGGAACTGGTACCATTCCTTCTGAAACTATTCCAATCAATAGAAAAAGAGGGAATCCTCCCTAACTCATTTTATGAGGCCAGCATCATCCTGATACCAAAGCCAGGCACAGACACAACCAAAAAAGAGAATTTTAGACAAATATCCTTGATGAACATTGATGTAAAAATCCTCAATAAAATACTGGCAAACAGAATCCAGCAGCACATCAAAAAGCTTATCCACCATGATCAAGTGGGCTTCATCCCTGGGATGCAAGGCTGGTTCAATATACGCAAATCAATAAATGTAATCCAGCATATAAACAGAGCCAAAGACAAAAACCACATGATTATCTCAATAGATGCAGAAAAAGCCTTTGACAAAATTCAACAACCCTTCATGCTAAAAACTCTCAATAAATTAGGTATTGATGGTACGTATTTCAAAATAATAAGAGCTATCTATGACAAACCCACAGCCAATATCATACTGAATGGGCAAAAACTGGAAGCATTCCCTTTGAAAACTGGCACAAGACAGGGATGCCCTCTCTCACCGCTCCTATTCAACATAGTGTTGGAAGTTCTGGCCAGGGCAATCAGGCAGGAGAAGGAAATAAAGGGTATTCAATTAGGAAAAGAGGAAGTCAAATTGTCCCTGTTTGCAGACGACATGATTGTTTATCTAGAAAACCCCATTGTCTCAGCCCAAAATCTCCTTAAGCTGATAAGCAACTTCAGCAAAGTCTCAGGATACAAAATCAATGTACAAAAATCACAAGCATTCTTATACACCAACAACAGACAAACAGAGAGCCAAATCATGGGTGAACTCCCATTCACAATTGCTTCAAAGAGAATAAAATACCTAGGAATCCAACTTACAAGGGATGTGAAGGACCTCTTCAAGGAGAACTACAAACCACTGCTCAAGGAAATAAAAGAGGACACAAACAAATGGAAGAACATTCCATGCTCATGGGTAGGAAGAATCAATATCGTGAAAATGGCCATACTGCCCAAGGTAATTTACAGATTCAATGCCATCCCCATCAAGCTACCAATGACTTTCTTCACAGAATTGGAAAAAACTACTTTAAAGTTCATATGGAACCAAAAAAGAGCCCGCATCACCAAGTCAATCCTAAGCCAAAAGAACAAAGCTGGAGGCATCACACTACCTGACTTCAAACTATACTACAAGGCTACAGTAACCAAAACAGCATGGTACTGGTACCAAAACAGAGATATAGATCAATGGAACAGAACAGAGCCCTCAGAAATAATGCCGCATATCTACAACTATCTGATCTTTGACAAACCTGAGAAAAACAAGCAATGGGGAAAGGATTCCCTATTTAATAAATGGTGCTGGGAAAACTGGCTAGCCATATGTAGAAAGCTGAAACTGGATCCCTTCCTTACACCTTATACAAAAATCAATTCAAGATGGATTAAAGATTTAAACGTTAGACCTAAAACCATAAAAACCCTAGAAGAAAACCTAGGCATTACCATTCAGGACATAGGCGTGGGCAAGGACTTCATGTCCAAAACACCAAAAGCAATGGCAACAAAAGACAAAATTGACAAATGGGATCTAATTAAGCTAAAGAGCTTCTGCACAGCAAAAGAAACTACCATCAGAGTGAACAGGCAACCTACAACATGGGAGAAAATTTTCGCAACCTACTCATCTGACAAAGGGCTAATATCCAGAATCTACAATGAACTCAAACAAATTTACAAGAAAAAAACAAACAACCCCATCAGAAAGTGGGCGAAGGACATGAACAGACACTTCTCAAAAGAAGACATTTATGCAGCCAAAAAACACATGAAGAAATGCTCATCATCACTGGCCATCAGAGAAATGCAAATCAAAACCACTATGAGATATCATCTCACACCAGTTAGAATGGCAATCATTAAAAAGTCAGGAAACAACAGGTGCTGGAGAGGATGCGGAGAAATAGGAACACTTTTACACTGTTGGTGGGACTGTAAACTGGTTCATCCATTGTGGAAGTCAGTGTGGCGATTCCTCAGGGATCTAGAACTAGAAATACCATTTGATCCAGCCATCCCATTACTGGGTATATACCCAAATGAGTATAAATCATGCTGCTATAAAGACACATGCACACGTATGTTTATTGCGGCACTATTCACAATAGCAAAGACTTGGAACCAACCCAAATGTCCAACAATGATAGACTGGATTAAGAAAATGTGGCACATATACACCATGGAATACTATGCAGCCATAAAAAATGATGAGTTCATGTCCTTTGTAGGGACATGGATGAAATTGGAAATCATCATTCTCAGTAAACTATCGCAAAGACAAGAAACCAAACACCGCATATTCTCACTCATAGGTGGGAATTGAACAATGAGAACACATGGACACAGGAAGGGGAACATCACACTCTGGGGACTGCTGTCGCTTGAGGGGATGGGGGAGGGATAGCATTGGGAGTTATACCTAATGCTAGATGACGAGTTAGTGGGTGCAGCACACCAGTATGGCACATGTATACATATGTAACTAACCTGCACATTGTGCACATGTACCCTAAAACTTAAAGTATAAAAATAAATAAATAAATAAATAAAATGGGATTGTATGCCTATAATCCTAGCTATTCAGGATGTTGAGGCAGGAGGATCTCTTGAGGTCAGGAGTCTGGCTATGTTGCCCAGGCTGGTCTACATAGCCAGACTCCATCTCTACAAAAAAATTTTTTTAAAAAATTAGCTGGGTGTGGTGGCATGGATCTGTAATCCCAGCTACTTGGGAGGCTGAGGCAGGGGAATCGATTGAGCCTGGGAGATCAAGGCTGCAGTGAGCTATAATTGCACCACTGCACTCCAGCCTGGGTGACAGAGCAAGACTCTGTCTCAAAAAAAAAAAAAAACACAAACAAAAACGGAATTGTCAACCAGTATTTGAAAATTTGGAGGTTACACACACACACATGCACACACCACACAGACAATCAGATTGTCAGACCATAACAGCTGCACTCCTAGGCAGCAACCATGAGGAGTGATGTGGAGACCCCGGTTTAGACAGGGCCTGAGTTCTGCAGCTTCTCCGTGGTTGCTCCCAGCTCCCATTGTCTTCTAGAACACGAAGCTGAGGACTGGTTGTGATTTATCCCTCAATATTGGGTGCATTGAAAACTGTATGGTACCTGCCTGGCCCTTGTAACTGGAGGAGACATTTACACAAGGGCAGGGCTGCACCTGGGGTAGGGAGGGACAGGGAGGGAGAGGAGTACAAGACACCACATGGGGGCATGGAAGAAGGCAGGCTCCGGGGTTGGTGCCCCCAATCCAGGTAGAGTGAGTACGCCTGGCACCTAAGTGCTAGGCAGATGCATCTGTGGAGGGAGACTTTGCTCCCCTCTTGGCTACTGCAGGGAGAGAGGTAGGAGGAGACCTCCCTGGAAGGTGCTCCAGGGGACCAGTTTGCAAATCCAAGCCCTGCAAAGCCAAGAAGGCAGGCCTCCAGCACTCTATTCAACCACCTGCAGACAGTGTGCAAGGTGAGCAAGACAGAAGGCAGGACTGCAGGAAGTAAGCAAGGAGGTGACACAGACAGTGCCTGGAGCTGAGAGTGAGAGCTGCTCATGTGCATGATCAGTGAGGGCCTCTCTGTGATGACAGCAGGGGAGCAGAGACCAGAACAAGATGGCCCAGGAAGAGCTGGGGTAGATGTTCAAAGGCCCTCATATGGGCTTAAAGGCGGTACCACCTAGGCTCTGCGGAGACGCTGGGGTGATGGGTATGAGTGAGCTAGCCTAAGGTGAGAGGGGAAAGCCTGCAAGAGCTTGATCAGCTAGTGTTTTTCTCTTTCTCTTTTTCTTTTCTTTTCTTTTTTTTTTAGAGACAGGTTCTCGCTGTATTGTCCAGGCTGGAGTGCAGTGGCTGTTCCCAGGAACCATCCCACTGCTGATCAGCATGGGAATTTTGAACTTCTCTGTTTCCAACCTGGGCAGTTTCATCCCTCCTTAGGCAACCTGAGGGTTCTGCACTCCTGAGAGGTCATTATTTGGGGGCTAAACTTAGTGCAGACACCCGACTGGCACAGCGCATTATAGCCCCAAACTTCTGGGCTCAAGCCATCCTCCCACCTTGCCTCCCGAGTAGCTGGACTACAGTGTGCACCACTGCACCCAGCAAGGGCAATGTTTTTTGCACTGTGAAGACCCATTATTAGATCGTAAGATCCATTCATTGGATCTTAACCAGTATTTAAAAAATAAAAATAAAAATAATACATCATAAAACAGCATAGAATAGTGGAGAAAATACAAATGCATTGCCCGTAGGAAGGGTGAGCTTGCTTTGTGAGCCTTTATTTCAGTTTTACGTATGCACATGCACACACACTGGGTCTGGACTTCGAGTGCCAGGCTGCAGATGCCTTTACCTTGCTGAGGCCCCCCAGCTGCCCACCTGAAGGAAATCAGATAAGTGAAGCTGATGCGATGTGATCCCTTAAAAGTCAGGTGGAACATTCAGGAGGCCCTGAGCTAAACATTGCCAGCAGCAAGGTCACAACTGCCAGAACAGCCAAGGCCACTCCTGCTCAGCACAGAGAAGGCAGCCAAGCAGATTTCTTGGAGCAGCTGCCAAGAGAGTCTGCCCAGTGTGATGGAGAAAGAGCCCCACGTGTGGAGCACCTGCCAGGTGCCAGGCACTGCGCATCCCGATCTCTGGGTGAGCTGTGCTCCAAGGGCCAAGTCCATGTCAGTGTTGCCATAAGAGATGCCCCAGGCCCAGCAGGCAGTGCATGCTCCCCACCCCCACCATGAGCTGAGTGTTTCTGGTCCTCACATCAGCCCTGCAAGGTAGATCTTATGATCTTTGTGTCAGGGGTGAAAAACTCAGGCACAGTGTTCAGTGACTAGCTGAAGGGGCAGAGCCAGAATTCGAACCCAAGTGAGCCTGACACCAGGGCCTAGGTTTTCTCTTCCATGACACAGTTCTCACCACACTGAGAGTCAGAGGAGGCACAGGTCCTCTCCTGGGGCTTCCAGAAGAATACTGCTTACAAGAAAAAACAATTATAGGAAAAATAAGGTGTGAGGGATACTACGGACACAGCTCTGCATTGGCTGGGAGAGGGACAGATCAAAAGCCTTCTAGCAAATATCAACTCCATGAGGACAGGCACTGTGTCTGCCCTGCCTTCCACCAATCCCCAGCTTTCAATACAGCACCTAGAACATGGTAGCTCAGTAAGTATCTGGTGGATGGGTAGATGGATAGATGGATGGATAAATGGATAGATGAATGGATGGATGAATGAATAGATGGATAGGTGAGTGGATACATGGACGGATGGATGAATGATCACTGTATGGATAGGTGAATGGATACATGGATGGATGAATTGATGGATGCATGGGTGTATGGTGGACGGATGGATAACAGCGGACTGGATAGATGGATGAATTGATGAATACATACATGGATGGATGGATGGATGCATGGAAAGAGATCTGTGTTGTTGGTCTATACCTTCCAATGGCTCATTTGTTAGCAGGCCACATTCTCTTTATTGGCCTCAATTCTGCACCTGTAGCCTGAGGGCCTGAGTTCAGACTGTATTCAGGGAGCTTTCATGGGTGCCATCAGAGGTCTCCCGGACAATCCTGCTAGACTGGCTCCTCCCTCCATTCCCACCCCTATCCCTAGAAAAGCACAGAATGCCAAGGCTGCCCAGTTGTGCACCTGAGGCAGCCCAGTTGGGCATCTCTAAGAATGTATGTAGATTATGAATGTGACTGACCCCATCCTGGGTGCTGCAGCTTTGAACTAACACTTAAAAAACAAAAAAAAGAACACACACACACAAACACACAAACACACACATTCTGGAGTGAGCTTGGCAAACTGCTTCTGAGCCCTTCCTGTGTGGGTAGAGAGCACAGTAATTAAATGGACTGGTTCTGGAGCCAGACTTCCTGGGCTCATCTCCTTCGTGGCAGTGAGACCAGGCACTGGATTCTCTGAGGTTTCACTTATCCTCTGTTAAATGGGATAGCACCTGCCTCTCCAGGTCACTGTGAGGGTCAGACGCTCCCCTTAGCGGGGACTTTCCATATCACTGGGGTTTACCAACAGGTCGGTAAACTCTGTCACAGTGGCAGGGCTTCTCAAGTCCAAGTTCAGCACTACCCCCCAGAAACAGGTGAGATATCCTTTTCCTGGGTTTACAGTGTCCTGGAGCTTTGTGAAGGGGCTGGTGTATCACATGAGGTAATGATCTGGGACTGGATGGACTCCCAGGACAGGTGTGAGTGTCACCTCTGCTGGGTGGCCAAGGGGCACAGTGCTGGACACTGACAACATGAAGTACTCACCTCTATGCAATGCTGACTCTCAAACCCAAGCAAATAGAGTCTGCAGGTGTGAGTGGGGCATAGAGCTGGGTGGCCTGCTGAAGAATTCACTGCCTTGCCATCCCTGAACACACACACATGTGGTTTCTCCCAGACCTTCGACAGGCTATAGCCCCTGGCTTTCCCCAGTACGTTTCCTCCTTACATAGTTTTCCCAGGAGCCTGACACCTCACTCCCACCTAACTCTTCTTCCTCCCTGCTTTCCTGAGAGATATTTTAGCCATTTCTACTACCACCATTGCCTCAAACCCTGTTCTCTTCCTTTCACAGGGAACCTTGCCTTCTTATCCTAGGAGCCTAAATTATTATCAATGGAAAAAAATGCTTGCTAGAAGGCAAGGCTGGCTTACTTATTACACTCTACTGAAAAATGGGAGAACAATCACCCAGTCCGACAAAGGAAGGGGGACAATGACACTTGTATGGCACTCACTAGATAGGCTCCATAGCATATTTTCTTTTTACTTTTTTGAGACAAGGTCTCACTCTGTTGCCCAGGCTGGAGTGCAGTGGTGCAACCTGGGCTCACTGCAACCTCCATCTCAAGACTCAAGTGATCCTCCCATCTCAGCCTCCTGAGAAGCTGGGACCACAGGCATGTGCCACCATGCCTGGCTAATTTCTTGCATTTTTTGTAGAGATGGGGTGTTGCCATTTTTCCCAAGCTGGCCTTGAACTCCTTGGCTCAAGCAATCCATCCTCTTTGGCCTCCTAAAGTGCTGAGATTACAGGCATGAGCCACTGTGCTCAGCCTAGCATATTTTAAGTGAAAGAAAATAGTAGTAAACTTGAAGACAGATCAATAGAAATTAATTCAGTCTTAGGTACATACACAAAAAAGGTTTTAAAAATAAAAATACTTTCAGAGATGTGTGAGACTATAGTGTGTGGTCTGAAATGCAGGTCATTAGAATCCCAGAATGAGAGGAGCAACAGAAAAGGAAAGAAAAAAATATTTAGAGAAAGAATAGCCTCAAAAGCTCCAATTTCTGTTGAAAAAATTAACTTACAGATGCAAGAACTCGATAAACCCCAAGTATAATAAAACTAAAGAAAATTCTACTGGATATATAATACTCAACATTCAGAAAGCCAAAGAAAGATAAAATTTTGAAAACATTCAGCCAAAGTGACTCCAGAAGAAAACCAGTAAGAATAATCACTGATTTCTTATCATGAGCTATGGATGCCAAAAGAAATAGAAACAATATAATTCAAGTACTGTAGGGTGGAAAAGAACAGTCAACCAAGAATACTATATTCAGATAAAATATGCCTCAAAAATGAAGGTTAAATAGAGACACTTTTAGAAAACAAATACTGTGATAATTTGTTACCACCAACAGACCTGCACTACAAAAAAAGTAAAGGAGGTCCTTTAAGCTGAAGAAATAAAGAGCTCTGAAAATAGTGGATATGTTCATAAATACAAAGGACCATTTGTTTAATTTTCTTCTTTTAAAAATATGATTGTTTAAAGCAAAAATTGTAATACTGCACAAATGGGTTTATAATGTGTGTGTGTGTATATATATATATAAAAATAACACTAAAAATAGGGTGGCAAATGGAAACATACTATTTCAAGTTTCCTATATTTTGTGTAAAGTAAGTTGATATTAACCATAAGTAGAATGGGTTAAGTTAAAGGTAGCTATAGTAATCCTATTAGGAACCACTAAAAACATAAGGCAAATATGTATATTTTGGAGACAGGGTCTCACTCTGTTGCCCAGGCTACAGATGTGTGCCACCATGCCTGGAGGTTTTTTTTTTTTTTTTTTGTAGAGATGAGGCCTTGCTGTGTTGCTAGGCTGGTCTAAAGCAGTCCTTCTGCTTCCACCTCCCAAAATACTGGGCTTACAGGTATGAATGCCTCTCCTGCAAAATATATAGATAGAAAGCCAATAAGGAATTTAGATGAAATACTAAAATATTTTAACAAAAAAGAAGACCAGAAAGTAAGAACAAGGGGAGAACAACACCAAATAGATTAGGCAAATAGAAAATAAATAGAAAAATGGCAAACTTTGATACACCATGTCAATAATTACATTAAATGTATAAAGAATATTCACTTCAATCAAAAGGCAGAGATTTTTAAGGGTTGGATAAAAAGCAAGAATTGGCCAGACACAGTGGCTTATGTCTGTAATTCCAGCATTTTGGAGGTTGAGGCAGGAGGACTGCTTAAGCCCCAAAATGTCAGACCAGCCTGGGGAACATGGTGATACCGCAACTATACCAAAAAAAAAAAAAAAAAAAAAAAAGGTGGAGGTATCGCTTGAGCCTGGAAGTTTGAGGCTACAGTGAGCCATGTTCACGTCATTGCACTCCAGACTGGGTGACAGAGAAAGAATCCTGTCTCAAAAAGAAAAAAAAGAAAAAGAAAAAGCAAGAATCAAGTATATGCTCTTTACAATAGACACAATTTAAATTCAAATACAAGAAAAATATATTGAAAGAAAAATATGCAAAAAAAATGCAAAATGTAAACATACAAAAGCTGAAGTGGTCATAATAATATTAGTCAAAATAGATTTCAAAACAAGTGCTATTATTACTAGAGGGGAAGAAGAACTTTGCATTACTACAAAAGAGTCAGGCCAGGCGTGGTGACTCTTGCCTGCAATCCCAGCACTTTGGGAGGCTGAGGTGGGCAGATCACCAGGTCAGGAGATCGAGACCATCCTGGCTAACATGGTGAAACCGCGTCTCTACTAAAAATACAAAAAATTAGCCGGGCGTGGTGGCGGGCGCCTGTGGTCCCAGCTACTCGGGAGGCTGAGACAGGAGAATGGTGTGAACCCAGGGGCAGAGCTGGCCGTGAGCTGATGTCGTGCCACTGCACTCCAGCCTGGGCGACAGAGTGAGACTCTATCTCAAAAATAAAAATAAATTAAAAAATTTAAAAAAGAGTCAATACAATCAGGAAGATATGGCATTTATAAAGGTGTAGGTGCCTAATAACAGATCTTCCAAATACATGCATAAAAATTGACAAAATTAAAAAGCAAAATAGACAAAGCCACAGTCATAGTAAGAGACGTTAGTGCACCTCTCTCAGGGGGCAAAGAGAACTACTAGACAAGAAACCAGTAAAAGTATGGAATGTCTGAAGAACATTATCAACCACCTTCACCTACTTGACATTGATAGAACCCTACACCAAACAACTGCAGAACACATTCATTTCAAGTGCAAATGGATGTGCATCTAGTAGATCATACACTATGTCATCAAACAAATTCAATAGATTTCTAAAGAATGAAATCTTACAAAGTATGTCCTCTGACCACAAAGAAAGTAAATTATAAATCCTAGCAGAATTCAGTCAGTAGCAGAAATCTCACCCCGTCTAGTATCCTGAGAAACTTTTGAGGAAAATCTCCTCTCTGCAGCTTTTCAGTAAGCACTGAACTGGGGAAGTTCAAAAATAAATTTTTCTTTTAAAAATAACTATCCTGTTTCCACTCTGATAAGCACATGAGCAACCATTCCTCACTTTGAGCTGATGGCAGAAAATGCAACTCCAGCTGGAGTTAGCAAAAAATAAATGCATTAGCTCATGTGAACAGAAAACCCCAGCATGAGGATATGGTCTCACCCTCAGCCTCCCCTCAGCCTCCCAGCTCTACTTTATTCTGTGTGGACTCCCTCTTGAGCAATGTCTTCTATGGCAGGATGGCCACGTTCATCTTCATGTCTGGCAGAAACAGAGCTAGTGTTTTCCAAGAGGCACAGCTTTTCGTTATCACTGTTTCTGATTGGCTAAGTCTAGATCACATGACCACTCTTGACTCTGAGGTTGGCATCAATCATTCCACTCACTGCAAGGGTTGATAGTGAGTTGGTGGTTTCCCAGAGGGACACTGAGGTTGAGAAGAGAGAATGAACTGAGCAGGCAATGACAGCAGATGTGCACTCCCTGCACCCACTGGGTTTAAAGATGGTGGAGCAGGAGGTAGGGAGAAATGTGGAGGGATCTGATGGGCAGATGAAATCCCAGCAGGTCAGAACTTACCCCAGAACCTAGCTTAACCCCCCTGTCTTTCCAGACAATGGTCACTTCCAGGTGGGGGGCTGATTAGTGCATGTGTACACACACACACACACACACACACACAACACAAACACTCATTGTTTTCATTTTCTTTCCATTTTTTCACAATGAATACAACTTATATTATTTCTGTATTGTGTTTTGAAAACACAAATATTTAAGGCAAAAACATCCTTTGGGGGTTGGAATCTTTTTTCTTTTTGAGGGGACATAGAGTAGAATTATGAAAAGATGCTTATCTTCAAGGTCAAAACTGTACACTCCACAGGTGCTATTACAAACATTTAGCGAGTTTCTACTTTTACCCTCAAAATAGGAATAACCTCTCATTTAATTACCTCATAAGTTGTGGGGAAAGCCCTCACCAAAACGTGGAGCATTTGAGATAGTGCATGTAAACCAGCTTTCTATACCGAAGGTGTTTTACAGAGGAGAGAAAAGGTTATCTGTATTTCAATTCTGGAAGCCACAGGAAAGTAACTTGTGTTACTTTCAGAAACACAAGTTTCTGAAGCTCCTATTCAGAAAGGATCTTTTTCCACCCTTCAGAGTCACAGCCTTCTTTCCCCCAAAGGGAGAAGCCTTTACCTGTTGTATCTCTAGGCTTTAACCACCACACAAATAGAAATAACAATTGTAGCGTGGAACAAACCCAAGGGACAGAGGCAATTAAAAATAAATCAGACATCTTGGAAAAAGTCATTTGCAGAAACAGTTGTGTCCACAGCATGAAATATGGAGGAAATACATTAAAGCAAAAATTAATTTAATAAACACTCACCCTCATTCTTTTTAAAGGATCGAATAGTATAAAATACTTCATTAGGCAAAGTCTCAGCAGGGGAACATGGACTTTTTTAAAAAATGACTTTGTAAGTTAGAGATGGAAGATAAAAAAGAAGAGAGAGATGGGGAGAACATGGCTTTTGTCTGAGTGTGCAACTTTAGAATAGGGCAGGGAAGTTCAACTATGGGGAGAAGATGGTCAGGGTGCTTAGGACCCCCTCATATCCCAGGGGTCCCATCATGCTAGAAACACACAAAGCCAGTGAGACAATGGCAGCCTCCACCCAGATAATCCACACACACAGAAACACATCTGATTTAAGACCCAGAAATGGCTTCAACAGTGCCATCTCCTGCCCTAAGCTGCTCTGCACTTGCTCTGGGAGGTGAGTAGAAATGCTACTGAGGAAGGTAAATCATCTGATCTCCCCCAAGTTGATCCCAAGGCCTTGCGCGGTGCTGGGGGATCAGCTGATGCCCCCAAATGCGTGCCGATTGATGTAATGAGCATTTGGGGGTGCCAACCCAGGGTCCTTTTTCTGTTCACTTCCTACTGATACCCAGCTTTTTCTTCAGGAATCCACCTCAGCTCATGGCCCGACCCAGAATTCCAGATTGGGGCTTTTAGTGGCTGAAATAAATTCAGGTATTCCATTTCCCAGACCTGGTCATTAGTTTAGAGGTGACCCTTCTGCAATGTTGAGACAGGAACACTCACCAACTGGATTCTGTGATGTGCAGGCAGGAAACCTAAAATTGTGGGAACAACTATGGCTGCAAAAAGGGAAGTCAGCCCAGGGCCAAAGCCAGCACACACAGAAGGACCCAGAGGGAGATCAAGCAAAATAGGGCACCCTGATCATGCCATTCCTGAAGCTGTGCTTTCCTTGATTTCCAACAGTTTATTCCAGTAGGAATAAATCTTGCTTGTTTTATAGGCTGGTTGGAATTTGGCAGCAGTTTGATGTTTGCATGTTAAGAGTTCTGACACTGAGCAGGTTGGAGAATGAGAAAGAGCAAGACAAGAGAAAGGAAGGGAGAGGGAAATTAAGAAAGGGAAGCAAGGAGAAAAGAGAGGGAAGAAAGGAGGAAAGAAAGGAAAAGAAAGGAGAAAAGGAGAGGGAAATTAAGAAAGAGAATAAATGAGAAGAGGCAAATCATAATAATAATAATCCAGAAGAATAAAAGATTTTTAGGGCAGTATGGGGTTGTGTAGACTGATATGTCCAGCTCTCATATTATGGATGAGAAAATAGAGGTCCCAAGAAGCAACGTGACTCTGCCAGGGCCACACCATCAGTGTGACCCAGCATGAGGACCCAAGCGTCCCGGCACCCAGCCTCCTTCTTTCTTCCCCCAAGTCACAAATATAGAGAAGCAGTTTTTATAGCTAAAGTAGTTCTTGCTTATTACAGAGAATTTGAGATGTGCACAGAAGTAGAAAAAAGAAAAAAGCCATAATGTTACCATGCAGATATAACCATTATTAACATTTAACCAATTTTCCTGTCAGTATTCTTCTGTATTTAAGGATCATTTTTACAGAGTTTTAAACCCTCAGTTTACATAATTGTATTCCCTGCTTTTTTCTCTTATGTCGTAAGCATTCCCCATGTTACTGCATATTCTTCAGGAACAAAAATGTTTGACTCTATAATATTCAATCAGGCAGATAGACCCTCATTTATTTAACCGTTTTCCTACCAGTTTTCCTACCAGTGGATATATTTTTCAAATTTTCAACACTTACTTTCAAAACGCTTGAAGATCCTCACATAAAACTTTTTTGTATGTAAGATTATTTACTTATAATTGATTCACAGAAGTGAAATCTTAGGGTTGAAGGGCAGGAATTAGGGTTGCCACATTTAGCAGCTAAAAATGTAGGATTTAAATTTTTCATTTCAAATTATTTATCTGCAATTGAAATTTAACTGGGAGTTCTGTATTTTATCTGGCAACCTTAGCAGGAATATTTTTAAAGGTTTCCATACATATTTCCAATGCCCTCAGATTAGAAAAGAGAGAGAATGAGGGAATAACATCTAACATTCTATTTTGTGCCATGCACTCATTTAAATATTTTATGGCCATTTAAGTGCATTTAAGCTTTGTGTTGACCTCTAAGTTAAGGAATTATTGTGAGCCCTACTTTGCAGATGAAAAAGCAGAGGTCGACGAGGTTAAGTAAAATGTTCAAGACTACACAACTAGGACTCCGGGGGAACTAGAATTGAACCCGGGCAGCCTGACTGCTACAGTGTCCCCAGAAAGCCAAGGAAAGAGTGAAACAGGCCGAGAGAGGAGATTCAGGCTGTGACTCTTGAGAGAAGCAGACATCCACGGTCCGTCTTGCCCGGGTCCCCCTCGAAGTCAAAATCAGCCATGTGAGCAGTCTTTCCCGACTCAGAGACCCCAAATCCTCACCACACATTAGCAGGATATTGATCATTCACTGAACACATTGGGGCAAGACAGGGATCCACGCATAATGGAAATAATTTCATAAAATCCATTTTAAAACTGGTCAATCCCGTCTCGAGTTCCTCTCCAGCTGCCAGGCTGGTCCTTCCCATCTTTCAGCCTCCACACCCATCACTCCACTCAGCTAAAACACCCCCTCTACCACCTAGACCTGCCCTCCCTGGAAAGGAGAGGTTATACTTAATGAATCTCCCTGTTTTTCAAAATATCAGACAGTAAGGGACTTTATTCCTTCCTTCTTCCCTGTCTCCCATACATTTCCTTCCTTTCACTTCCTCCCTTCCCCATGTGACACTCACCAAGCACCAAGAAGATCTTCCTCCACCCAGAGGCAATGAAGACATCCCAGGCAACAGCCCTAGGCAGACCACAGAGGGTAGCCAGGCTCGAAGGCTTCAGACAAAGAGCCGGGAGGGCCCAGAGGGGACACAGCGCTCCCACCTGGGTAGCGTGTAAGACTTCATGGCACAGGTGCCGCTGAGCTGCGCACTGAAGGGCTGATAGATTTTGTACAGGTAGAGATGGATTGGAATTAGGCCAGGGGTGAAAGGGAAGCAGGGGGCTGCCCCTTCCCAGTGAGAACATTTTGAGGACGCAGTCTAGGGAAAGAGAGAGCAGGGCTTGAGCCTGAAGCAGACTGAGTTCTCCAGAATCCCCACGCATACTTATCAGCAACTCCTCGTGGCTGATGCCGAAAGAGTCCTGGGTGACGCCAGAGCTGGCTTCTGGGATCTTGTTGTGGGGAGCATCCCCACGTGGCCAGGACCCCCACCCATTGCTGGGACAATATACAGTTGATATGCATGGCTTCACCCAGGCCATCTTTTAAATGACTCACAAAATGCATCTAGGATTTTAAAACTGCTCATAAAAATGGATCAATCAGCACAAGGCTGAAATAACTAGTTCCTTTTGCTAGGAAAAAGAAAATGTGCTTCTTAATTATTGTACTGATTGCGTGAAAGTTTTTTTTTAAATGCAACAAAGAGGCCTCTGAAGGCCCTGTCCTTCTACCTGCCTATAGGGTAAAGAATCTAATTAAAACAAAGAAAATAGATGAATATTTAATGATATGATTTTCCCCCACTACTTTTTACTTCTCAACTTAACCCAGTGACAGCTCCAAAAATTCCTCCAACAAAGAACACGCAAAATCCCACGAGCGTGATCTATCAGAGCAGAGTTTGCATAAACAGCTCTGTGCTTCAGAGCTGACGCCACAACTCCTCCCTCAAGCCAGCCATGGCTGCTGCTTCCACAGCCCTCTGAGGGTGCCCTGGCCTCCTGTCCTAAACATCCCGGGCCTTCAGAGCTGCCTGCCCCTGAGGTCGGTCCTGACACTGCCCCTTTGTTATGAGGACCTTGGGAAAGTGGCCCAAGCACAGCGGCACTGCCTACGGGTTGCCAGAAGGATGCCACTGGACCAGGTAAGGAAGCACTTAGCGGAGTGCCTGACACAGAGCAGCCACTCAGCCAATGACTGGACGGCATCTGTGACTGTAACACACTTGGAGACTAAGGTCCAGGGGTGAGGGAGGGTGATTTTTCAGAAGTCACAGACAGATTGGTGGTAGAGCCATTGTGAATTACTCCTCCCTGTATTCTGAGTTACCTCCCATGTGTTGGCCTCCAGTGCTGGCTGTATTCTCTGCCACTAGTAGAATGGTCCTTCTTGCCTGGACTTCTGCGCTGGTCACTTTGGGCTACACAAATGCCTGTAGCTCTCCTCGGGACCTACCTTCATCCTATTCTAGAATGGGTAGGTATCCTTTTATATCTGCTAAATTACTTTTGATTCTAAGAGACAGAAAGTTTAAGCACACTGACTTAAGCCTAAAGGGGACTTCATCACTGAAATACCCTAGGGTAGAACTTCAGTTTCATAGCTGGATCCAGGGGCTGGACTGATGTCCCCAGAGCTTGGCTTCTCCCTCTGGCTTCTCTCTCCTGCAGCCTCCATTTTCAGATAAGCTGTCCTCTAGGGGTTGCAGGATGGTTCTTGAAGCTCTCACCTCTCATCTAAGCAAGTAAGCAAGCCCCACCCCCCCGCATAGGACTCCCAAAAAAAGTTTCATCATAGCTTATTGACTCAGGTAAAGTGGGCAACATGCCCATTCCTGAACCAATCTCCATGTCCAGAGACATGTGATGGAAGACTGGCAGGGCTATTTCCTCTGAGTTCCTGTGAGTATCATTAGTGCCTCTACTCATGAGTCTCCCAGGAGGAGGAAAGGGTGGGTTGTTCAGTAGTTTTCTTAGCCAGAACAAATTTTCACTAATAAATCTGTACTTCTGCGCTGGAGAACAGTGAAATGTGAGTGCAGGCAGTGATCACACAAGGAGACTAACACATCAAATTCAGCCCTCCGATGGACGGAGAGTAACTGCACTGGATCTTCGAATGTGGATTCATTGTCAGCATGAAATATTGGCAGAGTTCCCATAGACATTCTGGTTCCCAGCTTCCTTGGTAAAATTGGGTTGCGGCCAGAGAGGCATGTCCCTAGCTTTGCCCTGCTAGTCTTTACAGCAGGCTACAGAACCTGCCTTCACTGCTCTCAGTTACTGCCTGGGTGCTGTGGCCGGCTAAGTTTGCAACCCCTGGTGGAAGTCCACTCAGTGTTCATAAGAATTCCCCTCAATCTAGAGCACTGTTCAGAGTGAGTGCCTCCTTGCAGCTGAGCCCTCACACCAGGAATGCCACTTCTCCCATCTCCAAAGAGTGTCACAGCAGGCCTGGGAGGCAGATGGGCTGTTTGGGGGAAGGAAGCTGAAGACTGATGAGGTCGAAGGATACCGAGGTAGAAACAAGTGTTAACCTGTGTAGCCCAGGCAGTGGGAGGTAGAAGAGGAGGGCTTTCCTCAGACCCTATCCCTGGGCCTAAAATGGAAGAAACTCAGATATAGGGCCCTATGAAGTCCAAACGGGGAGCAATTAAAAGGTGCACGGGGCCAGGAGCAGTGGCTCACGCCTGTAATCCCAACACTTTGGGAGGCTGAGGTAGGCAGATCACTTGAGGTCAGGAGTTCAAGACCAGCCTGGCGAACGTGGTGAAACCCCTTCTCTACAAAAATACAAAAATTAGCTGGGTGTGGTGGTGGGCGCCTGTAATTCCAGCTACTTGGGAGACTGAGGCAGAGAATTGCTTGAACCTGGGAGGCGGAGGTTGCAGTGGGCTGAGATCGTGCCACTGCATTCCAGCCTGGGCAACAGAGCAAGACAGTCTCAAAAAAAAAAAAAAAAAAAGACCGTGGTCAGCATCTTCTGTCTCTCCACCTTCCCCATCTCCCTGCCTAGCGGGAGGACAGGAGCAGCACCAGGATGGCAGACATGACACCTAGGCTGCTGGGCAGTTTCACCTTCCCTCCATCCACACCTTTCCCCACAACCCTGGGGGTCCCCTGAAAATCCGTTTCTCAGGCTGACAGCTGTTCTGTAGGTGTGGGATGGGGGCTGGTGTTCAGGTAAGCCAACCCAGATGACAGCAAGACAGACAACTTTCTCAAAAGTAAAATACAGCCAGGCGTGATGGCTCACACCTGTAATCCCAGCACTTCAGTAGGCCAAGGCAGGAGGATTGCTTGAGGCCAGGAGTTCTAAGCCTGGGCAAATAGCAAGACCACCAAATTTTTAAAAAATTAGCTGGACATGGTGGCATGTGCCTGTTCCAGCTATTTGGGAGGCTGAGCAGGAGGATCACTTGAGTCCAGGAGTGGGTTATGGTCGCACCACTGCACTCCAGCCCGGGTAACAAGGGAAGACTGTCTCTAAATTAAAAAAAAAAAAAAAAGTAATCAATTTCCCTCTTGTGGTGGCATCTCACTCCCACATACACCCTAAATCTGCCCCTTCCTCTCCACCTGTTTTGCCTTCAGCCTAGACCTAGCCCCATCATTCTTACCTGGACAGCTGCTCCTTCTTTTTAACTATTATGGTTATTTTTAGAGACAGAGTCTCATGCTGTCACTCAGGCTGGAGCACAGTGGTGCAATCACGGCTCATTGCTAGCTCAATCTCCTGGGCTCAAGCAATCCTCCCACCTCGGCCTCCCAAGTAACTGGGACCACAGGCACGAACCACTGTGCCTGGCCAGCTCCTTTCTTTCTCCTGGACTCCCGCCAGCCACTCTTGCCCTGCCACACACCCACAACCTGCTTAAAATCTGCAAATGGCTTCTGATTTCACAGGGATAAAATCCTTACTATTTGCAGAGGCCTAAGAGGCCTTTAGTGATGCATCTCCCTTCATTTTTGCCGCTCCTGCCCCATGTCAGATGCTGGGGGTGCCTCACCCCTTCCACCTGTCCTTTGCTGAGGGGCAGTGCCCTGCTCCACGCTCCACCCTGTGGCCTAGAACTGCACCTGTCACAGAGTGGGTGCCAAATGAAGGAATAAATGCATGAATGCATGAATGAATGAACATGGTTTGGAAACAATTTGAGCAGTCTGAACTTCTGTTTATCAGTAAAGACAAGTATTTTTGAATCCCTATAGACCTCATTTAAAAATTTAGCTTGGGTACAAGGATGGTGCGGAGAAACGGGAAAGTTGGCATTATTTTACAGTTTATTTAATTCTCTCCTCCTGCTGGCACTAATTTAATTCATCTCCATAGCTAACGGAAGGACGGAACTGAAATATTAACCTCAAAGGCGGTGCGGAAGCAGATAATGGGGCTGTGCCTGCAAGCACAGAGTAGAAAGATAAAAGAGAGGGACGGCTGCTTCCAGGGGAGAATTATGCGGGGAGAGAAGTATAGAAGCCTTTTTTCTAATGGTTCATTTCCTTTCTCTTTAGTCCAAAGTGATAAAAGCAAATAAATTTGTGTTTAGAATCACAGACATAGTACAGGACCATTATAAAAAGACATCTTCCCAGTGAAACTTTGTCAGAAGTTCTTAATGTCAAAAGCGTGCAAAGTGGATTAAAATATCACAGGCAAGCAGCAGAGATTGTCAAAATGACAGAAGATTATTAAACCTGTATATTTATCCCTTCATTTTCATCTCCACATGAGACCCCAGCGTGGTGCTGTTTCTGTGTGAAGCCCTCGGCCACGTGGCCAGCTGAATGTGGGCGGGGACCCGCCTGGGCAGAGCCCAAGATGCCGTCCCAGCTCCCCGGCCTCTGGCTTGAACAGAGTCCAATCTAAGAGTCAGAATACACAGAGAAAGTGGCCCTTCTGCCTGGCTGACATTTAGCTGTCATTCCTTCCCTCCTGAGGGAACTCGTGGGCAGTGACAGCAGAAAACACTGCAGGGAGAAGGAGCGGGAGTGCAGGGCCAGCTGTGAGATTGGCATGGGGTGACTCCTTCTGTCTGCAGGGTCCCTGGGGAAAGAAGAGCAGGTGGGCGCCTCGAGGCTCCTTTCTCTCTGGGTGAGTTCTAGCAGCTACCACCGATGGGGAGTATCCTCTGTGCCTGGCTGTGTACCTGGGCTTTGGACGCATTCTCTCATTTATCCTCATCACAGCCCCTGAGGAGGGGGCTGTTGTCCTCCCCATTTGACAGATGAGAAAACCATGGATTAGAGGCCAAGAACTTGGCCAGGGTCTGCAGCTGACACCTGATGGCGCTAGGTTACAGCCCAGCTCTGCCCGATTCCAAAACAAAGCAATCCCTCCGTGGTGCCCCCTCTAAGGCAGCTCCAGGGGTAAAAAGCATGTAGTCACTGTGGACGCATAGATAGGGATACAGAAAGCTCTTCAGGACAGCATGTCCAGGGCACAGGCAGCTGCAGAGCAGTGGCTCCAGGCTGGAAGAGCTCAATACGTCTGCATTGGCTTATAACAGCTCTGGAAAGGTGCTCGGTGGGAACAGGTGGGCCAGCAGTTGGGAGCTGGGGGATGGAGGCAGGAAGGGAAGCGAGACCTTCATTTCACTGTTGACCCTATTGTGCTGTTTGAATTTGTCTTTCTGTGTGCATGGATTTGAAAACACATATGGTAAAACAACATGAAAAGTAGCTTGGCTAGATGGAAAAAGAAGCCTGGGAGTTCGCCTCCTCACCTGACCTCTCCCTATTGCACACACACCTTGCTTCCATCTGCCAGGCTGGGGTTGCCCAGGCCCCTGCCTCATTTCTGAGCCAGGATCTCCTCAGGGCTCTTTCCCTCTTCACTCGACTGCCTGCTCTCCTCTCCCTTTCAGCACAAGTCTTGCTCCTCTTCAGCCTCAGCTCTATTTCTGCCTCCTCCAGGCAGTCTTTCCTGACTACCCAAAGCCCTCTGTCCTCTCTCAAGATGGTGCCCAGCAAAGAAAACTTTCCTGTCCATAGCCCAGACTCACAGCCTCACTGGTATGGTTTGGATCTGTGTCCCCATCTAAATCTGATGTTCACTTGTGATCCCCAGAGTTGGAGGTGGGGCCTGGTGGGAGGTGATTAGATCATGAGGGTGGTTTCTAATGGATTAGCACCATCCCCCTAGTGCTGCTCTCATGATAGAGTTCTCACGAGATCTGGTCATTTAAAAGTGTAGCTCCTTTCCCCTCTCTCTCTCCCTCCTGCTCTGGCCAGGTAAGACGTGCCTGCTTCCCTTTTACCTTCAGCTGTGCGCCATGATTGAAAGCTTCCCAACGCCTCCCAAGAAGCCGTCACACTTCTTATACAGCCTGTGGAACTCTGAGTCAGTTAAACATCTCTTCTTTATTAATTGCTTGTCTCAGATGTTTTTTCTTCCTGTTTTTCTTTATTATTATTATTATTATTATACTTTAAGTTCTAGGGTACATGTGCACAACTTGCAGATTTGATACATAGGTATACATGTGCCATGTTGGTTTGCTGCACCCATCAACTCACCATTTACATTAGGTATTTCTCCTAATGCTATCCCTCCCGCTCTGCCCACCCCACGACAGGCCCTGGTATGTGATGTTACCCGCCCTGTGTCCAAGTGATCTCATTCTTCAATTTCCACTTGTGAGTGAGAACATGTGGTGTTTGGTTTTCTGTCCTTGTGATACTTTGCTGAGAATGATGGTTTCCAGCTTCATCCATGTCCCTGCAAAGGACATGAATTCATCCTTTTTTATGGCTGCATAGTATTCCTGGTGTATATGTGCCACATTTTCTTAATCCAGTCCATCATTGATGGACATTTGGGTTGGTTCCAAGTCTTTGCTATTGTGAATAGTGCTGCAATAAACACATGTATGCACGTGTCTTTATAGTAGCATGATTTATAATCCTTTGGGTACATACCCAGTAATGGGATTGCTGGATCAAATGGTAATTCTAGTTCTAGATCCTGGAGGAATCGCCCCACTGTCTTCCACAATGGTTGAACTAATTTACACTCCCACCAACAGTGTAAAAGTGTTCCTATTTCTTCACATCCTCTCCAGCGTCTGTTGTTTCCTGACTTTTTAATGATTGTCATTCTAAGTGGCATGAGATGGTATCTCATTGTGGTTTTGATTTGCATTTCTCTGATGTCCAGTGATGATGAGCATTTTTTCATGTGTCTGTTGGGCTGCATAGATGTCTTCTTTTTAGAAGTGTCTGTTCATATCCTTTGCCCACTTTTTGATGGGGTTGTTTGTTTTTTCTTGTAAATTTGTTTGCATTCTTTGTAGATTCTTGATATTAGCCCTTTGTCAGATGGGTAGATTACAAAAATTTTCTCCCATTCTGTAGGTTTCCTGTTCACTCTGATGGTAGTTTCTTTTGCCATGCAGAAGCTCTTTAGTCTAATTAGATCCCGTTTGTCAATTTTGGCTTTTGTTGCCATTGCTTTTGGTGTTTTAGTCATGAAGTCCTTGCCCATGCCTATGTCCTGAATGGTATTGCCTAGGTCTTCTTCTAGGGTTTTTATGGTTTTAGGTCTAACATTTAAGTCTTTAATCCATCTTGAATTAATTTTTGTATAAGGTGTAAGGAAGGGATCCAGTTTCAGCTTTCTACATATGGCTAGCCAGTTTTCCCAGCACCATTTATTATATAGGGAATCTTTTCCCCATTTCTTGTTTTTGTCAGGTTTGCCAAAGATCAGATGGTTGTAGATGTGTGGTATTATTTCTGAGGCCTCTGTTCTGTTCCATTGGTTTATATCTCTGTTTTGGTACCAGTACCATGCTGTTTTGGTTACTGTAGTATAGTTTGAAGTCAGGTAGCGTGATGCCTCAAGCTTTGCTCTTTTGGCTTAGGATTGTCTTGACAATGCAGGCTCTTTTTTGGTTCCATATGAACTTTAAAGTAGTTTTTTCCAATTCTGTGAAGAAAGTCATTGGTAGCTTGATAGTGATGGCATTGAATCTATAAACTACCTTCGGCAGTATGGCCATTTTCACAATATTGATTCTTCCTATCCATGAGCATGGAATATTCTTCCATTTGTTTGTGTCCTCTTTTATTTTATTGAGCAGTGGTTTGTAGTTCTCCTTGAAGAGGTCCTTCACATCCCTTCTAAGTTGTATTCGTAGGTATTTTATTCTCTTTGTAGCAATTGTGAATGGGAATTCACTCATGATTTGGCTCTCTATTATTGGTGTATAGGAATGCTTGTGATTTTTGCACATTGATTTTGTATCCTGAGACTTTGCTGAAGTTGCTTATCAGCTTAAGGAGATTTGGGGCTGAGGCAATGAGGTTTTCTAAATATACAATCATATCATCTGCAAACGGGGACAATTTGACTTCCTCATTTCCTAATTGAATACCCTTTATTTCTTTCTCTCACCTGATTGCCCTGGCCAGAACTTCCAACACTATGTTGAATAGGAGTGGTGAGAGGGGGCATCCTTATCTTGTGCCAGTTTTCAAAGGGAAATGCTTCCAATTTTTGCCCATTCAGTATGATACTGGCCATGGGATTGTCATAAATAGCTCTTGTTATTTTGAGATATGTTCTATCAATACCTAGTTTATTGAGAGTTTTTAGCATGAAGCGCTGTTGAATTTTGTCAAAGGACTTTTTTGCATCTATTGAGATAATCATGTGGTTTTTGTCATTGGTTCTGTTTATGTGATGGATTACATTTATTGATTTGTGTATGTTGAACCAGCCTTGCATCCCAGGGATGAAGCCAACTTGATCGTGGTGGATAAGCTTTTTGATGTGCTGCTGGATTCTGTTTGCCAGTATTTTATTGAGGATTTTTGCATTGATGTCCATCAGGGATATTGGTCTAAAATTCTCTTTTTTTGTTGTGTCTCTGCCAGGCTTTGGTATCAGGATGATGTTAGCCTCATAAAATGAGTTAGGGAGGATTCCCTCTTTTTCTATTGATTGGAATAGTTTCAGGAGGAATGGTACCAGCTCCTCTTTGTACCTCTGGTAGAATTTGGCTGTGAATCCATCTGGTCCTGGACTTACTTTTGTTGATAAGCTATTAATTATTGCCTCAATTTCAGAGCTTGTTATTGGTCTATTCAGAGATTCAACTTCTTCCTGGTTTTGTCTTGGGAGGGTGTATGTGTCCAGGAATTTATCCATTTCTTCTAGATATTCTAGTTTATTTGCTTAGAGGTGTTTATAGTATTCTCTGATGGTAGTTTGCATTTCTGTGGGGTCGGTGGTGATATCCCCTTTATCATTTTTTATTGTGTCTATTTGATTCTTCCCTCTTTTCTTCTTCATTAGTCTTGCTAGCGGCCTATCAATTTTGTTGATCTTTTCAAAAAAACAGCTCCTGGATTCATTGATTTTATGAAGGGTATTTTGTGTCTCTATCTCTTTCAGTTCTACTCTGATCTTAGTTATTTCTTGCTTTCTGCTAGCTTTTGAATTTGTTTGCTCTTGCTTCTCTAGTTCTTTTAATTGTGATGTTAGGGGGTTGATTTTAGGTCTTTCCTGCTTTCTTTTGTGAGCACTTAGTGCTATAAATTTCCCTCTACACACTGCTTTAAATGTGTCCCAGAGATTCTGGTGCGTTGTGTCTTTGTTCTCATTGGTTTCAAAGAACCTCTTTATTTCTGCCTTCATTTCGTTATTTACCCAGTAGTCATTCAGGAGCAAGTTGTTCAGTTTCCATGTAGTTGTGCAATTTTGAATGAGTTTCTTAATCCTGAGTTCTAATTTGATTGCACTGTGGTCTGAGAGACAGTTTGTTGTGATTTCTGTTCTTTTACATTTGCTGAGGAGTGCTTTACTTCCAATTATGTGGTCAATTTTAGAATAAGTGCGATGTGGTGCTGAGAAGAATATATATTCTGTTGATTTGCAGTGGAGAGTTCTGTAGGTGTTTATTAGGTCTGCTTGTTGCAGAGCTGAGTTCAAGTCCTGGATATCTGTGTTAACCTTCTGTCTCATTGATCTGTCTAATATTGACAGTGGGATGTTAAAGTCTCCCATTATTATTGTGTGGCAGTCTAAGTCTCTTGTAGGTCTATAAGTACTTGTTTTATGAATCCGGGTGCTCCTGTATTGGGTGCATATATATTTAGGATAGTTAGCTCTTCTTGTTGAATTTGTAATGGCCTTCTTTGTTTCTTTTGATCTTTGTTGGTTTAAAGTCTGTTTTATCGGAGACTAGGATTGCAACCCCTGCTTTTTTTTGCTTTCCATTTGCTTGGTAGATCTTCCTCCATTCCTTTATTTTAAGCCTATGTGAGTCTTTGCATGTGAGATGGGTCTCCTGAATACAGCACAGTGAGGGGTCTTGACTCTTTATCCAATTTGCCAGTCTGTGTCTTTTAACTGGGGCATTTAGCCCATTTACATTTAAGGTTAATATTGTTATGTGTGAATTTGATCCTGTCATTGTGATGTTCGCTGGTTATTTTGCTCATTAGTTGATGTAGTTTCTTCATAGCATCAATGGTCTTTACAATTTGGCATGTTTTTGCAGTGGCTGGTACTGGTTGATTCTTTCCAGGTTTAGTGCCTCCTTCAGGAGCTCTTGTAAGGCAGGCCTGGTGGTGACAAAATCTCTCAGCATTTGCTTGTCTGTATAAGATTTTATTTCTCCTTCACTTATGAAGCTTAGTTTGGCTGGATGTGAAATTCTGGGTTGAAAATTCTCTTCTTTAAGAATGTTGAATATTGGTCCCCACTCTCTTCTGGCTTGTAGGGTTTCTGCTGAGAGATCCCCTGTTAGTCTGATGGGCTTCCCTTTGTGGGTAACTCGACCTTTCTCTCTAGCTGCCCTTAACAATTTTTCCTTCATTTCAGCCTTGGTGTATCTGACAATTACGTGTCTTGAGGTTACTCTTCTTGAGGAGTATCTTTGTGGTGTTCTCTGTATTTCCTGAATTTGAATGTTGGCTTGCCTTGCTAGGTTGAGGAAGTTCTCCTGGATAGTATCCTGAAGAGTGTTTTCCAGCTTAGTTCCATTCTCCCCATCACTTTCAGGTACACCAATCAAACATAGATTCGGTCTTTTCACATAATCCCATATTTTTTGGAGGCTTTGTTTGTTTCTTTTTACTCTTTTTTCTCTAACCTTGTCTTCTCACTTTATTTCATTAATTTGATCTTCAATCACTGATACCCTTTCTTCCACTTGATCGAATTGGGTATTGAAGCTTGTGCATGTGTCATGAAGTTCTTGTGCCATGGTTTTCAGCTCCATCAGGTCATTTAAGTTCTTCTCTACACTGTTTATTCTAGTTAGCCATTCGTCTAATCTTTTTTCAAGGTTTTTGGCTTCCTTGCAATGGGTTTGAACATCCTCCTTTAGCTTGGAGAAGTTTGTTATTACTGACCTTCTGAAGCCTACTTTTGTCAACTCATCAAAGTCATTCTCCGTCCAGCTTTGTTCCATTGCTGGTGAGGAGCTGTGATCCTTTGCAGGAGAAGAGGTGCTCTGATTTTTAGAATTTTCAGCTTTTCTGCTCTGGTTTCTCTCCATCTTTGTGTTTTTATCTACCTTTGGTCTTTGATGTTGGTGACCTACAGATGGGGTTTTGGTGTAGATGACCTTTTGTTGATGTTGATGCTTCCTTCTAACAGTCAAGTTTCTCAGCTGCAGGTCTGTTGGAGTTTGCTGGAGGTACACTCCAGACCCTGTTTGCCTGGGTATCTGTCGGCCCCTACTGGGAGGTGTCTCCCAGTTAGGCTACATGGGGGTCAGGGACCCACTTGAGGAGGCAGTCTGTCTGTTCTCAGAAATCAAATGCTGTGCTGGAAGAACCACTACTCTCTTCAGAGCTGTCAGACAGGGATGTTTAAGTCTGCAGAAGTTGTCTGTCTTCTTTTGTTCAGCTATGCCCTTCCCACAGAGGTAGCATCTAGAGGCAGTAGGCCTTGTTGAGCTGCGGTGGGCTCCTCCCAGTTTGAGCTTCCCAGCCACTTTGTTTACCTACTCAAGTCTCAGCAATGGCAGATGCCCCTCCCCAACCAGGCTGCCGCCTTGCAGTTCGATCTCAGACTGCCAGGCTAGCAGTGAGGAAGGCTCTATGGGCGTGGGACTTCCCGAGATAATCTCCTTGTCTGCCGGTTGCTAAGACCTTGGGAAAAGTGCAGTATTTGGGCGGGCGTGTCGTGTTTTTCAAGGTAGTCTGTCACAGCTTCCCTTGGCTAGGAAAGGGAAATCCACCAACCCCTTGTGCTTCCTGGGTGAGGTGACACCCCAGCATGCTTCAGCTCACCCTCCATGGGCTGCACCCACTGTCCAACCAGTCCCAATGAGAAGAACAAGGTACCTCAGTTGGAAATGCAGAAATCACCCATCTTCTGCATCGATCACACTAGGAACTGCAGACCGGAGCTGTTCCTATTCAGCCATCTTGGAACGCCCCTCCCCACCCCCACCCTTTTTTTTTTTTTTTTTTTTTTTGAGATACATTTTCATTCTGTTGCGCAGGCTGGAGTGCAGTGACAAGATCTCGGCTCACTGCAACCTCTGCCTCCCGGGTTCAAACGATTCTTCTGCCTCAGCCTCCCCAGTAGCTGGGATTACAAGTGCCCATCACCATGCCTGGCTAATTTTTTTGTATTTTTAGTGGAGATTGGGTTTCACCATGTTGGCCAGGCTGGTTTTGAACTCTTGACCTCAAGTGATTCACCTGCCTTGGCCTTCCAAAGTGCTAGGATTATAGGCCTGAGCCACTGCGCCCGGCATCAGATATTTCTTGATAGCAATGCAAGAACAGACTAATACACTCACCATCCTTGGGTCAGCTCATAAGGGCAGGCCACGTTCTATCCTTCCTTCATCCCCTCCTCAGTTAATTGGGAAGTTCAGAAGAAACATCTGTGTTAAGGTTAACTGAGCACCTGCTACCCACAGAACTGAATACGCTGAGCTCGCTGTGAAGCTAAGGGCTGGGCCTGGGGCTGCGGGCTATTCAGGTTAGGCAAAGGGAGGAGGACGGGAAGGGCCATTTTGAGGGCTGGCTCTCTGTTTAGCAAGGGTGACCTAAGTAGAGTCAGCGCAGGGAGATCCAGGTTTGCAAGGCATGAATCTTATACAATCTGGGGATCCAGTTTAAGAAAAAGAGTATAATATTATAAATACTAAATTTTGTATGAAAATGAATTTCTATTATGAGAACATAAATCACAACAAATATTAGAGGCTTAGACATTCAGGCCCCTTTTCAGATTTCTTTAGGCAATTTGCCAGAAATACTTTTGCAGACACATTTTATGATAGCGCCCTGGCCCTCCTCCCCACCCAAAGCTCTGCTGAAGTCCCAAGCTGCCAGCAGATGAGAGGGTCTGATGCTTCATTAACTTCATAATCAATTCATCTCTTTGGAGAAGATCCACCATGCCAGGCTGCCTTCGTGAAGAATGAAAATGACAAATCAACAGAAACCAGCTGTGATCCAGTGAACCCAGCTCCTATGATCCCACCCAGTGCCCTCCTGGCCCTGGGAGGGGCAGAGCAGCTCACAGCAAGCCTCAGCCTTGAAAAGCAGGGTTAGAATCCTTGGCACCCAGGCCAGGGCCTGGTGCATAGGAGAGACTCAGCAAAAGGTATGTGAATGGGTAGATGATAGAGAGTAGCTATAGGGAGAAACCAGCTGCCAGGGCTTTACAGGAGAGGGGGCTCAGAGCCTGATGGCTCTACGTGTGCATTTAATCAAACATTTAAGAAGAAATAATGCCAACTGTACACCTCTATGCTCACTCTTCTAGAAAACAGAAGAGTAGAAATGGCACTCTGACCCAGCTTCATGAAACTAGAGTCAGATATTTGGTATCACGTTTTTTTTTTTTTTTTTTTTTTTTTTTGAAATGGAGTCTCAGTCTGTCACCCAGGCTGGAGTGCAGTGGCACGATCTCGGCTCACTGCAAACTTCACCTCCCAGGTTCTAGCAATTCTCCTGCTGCAGCCTTCCGAGTAGCTGGGCTCACAGGTGTGCACCACCACGCCCAGCTAATTTTTGTATTTTTAGTAGAGACGGGGTTTCACCATGTTGGCCAGGCTGGTCTCAAACTCCTGACCTCAAGCGATCTGCCCACCTCTGCCTCCCAAAGTGCTGGGATTACAGGTGTGAGCCACCATGCCTGACCGGTATCACATATTTCTGATACCAAAGCCAGACAGAGAAACTTCAGGGAAAGACCAATATTACTCATTAAATAACTATATATGCTAGAATGTCTGAAATGTGAAAGTATTCACTGTCTGGAGAATGTGGAGCAACTGGAAATCTAAGCCACAGCTGGTGGGATGTAAAACAGTGCAATCACTTTGGAAAACAGATGGACAGTTTCTTTAAAAATTAAACACACATGAAAAAGACATACACGTTTCATGTAAACCCATGATTTCACTGTTAAATATTTATCCAATAGAAATGAAAACATAGGGCCGGGCGTGGTGAAACCTGGCCGGCATGGTGAAACCCTGTCTCTACTAAAAATACAAAAATTAGCCGGGCGTGGTGGCAGGTGCCTGTAATCCCAGCTAATTTGGAAGCTGAGGCAGGAGAATGGCTTGAACCTGGGAGGTGGAAGTTACAGTGAGCCGAGATCGTGCTATTGCACTCCAGCCTGGGCAACAGAGTGAGACTCCATCTTAAAAAAAAAAAAAAGAAATGAAAACATAGATGTTTTCATACAAACACTTGTGTGTGAATGTTCCTAACACTTTCATTTCTGCGAAACTTGACACTGAAGTGAGCATCCATCAGTGTGAACAGATGAAGAAGCTGTGGCATGGCCATATAATGGAGTGTTATCCAGCAATAAAAAGTCTCAAAATAATTGTGCTCAGTGAAAAAAGCCAGACACAAGGAGTGCAGACTAATTGATGCCATTTACATGAAATTCTGGAGCAGGCACGCTAATCTGCAGTGACTCCAAGCATCCCAGTGTTTGCTTGAGGCCAAGAATGGAGGGTGAGATTGTCTGCAAAAAAAGAGAATTTTGGGGGTGATTAAAATATGCTACATCTCAGTTGGGGGGAAGTGGTCACAGGGGAGTGTTTGTTAAAACTTAAAATGTACAATAAAGTTTATTTTAAACTTGAATAAATATAAATGAATAAAAACACACAGTTTCAAACTCTACTCCTAAATATTTTGATTTAATATTTAATGTCTGGGTAGATAAAGCCTAGGTATTTTTTATAATGCTCCCCTGGTGCTTCTGGGGTAAGACCCAGGTTGGTGAAGGAATTGGACATAACTTTTGAAAAGGTCAATGGAGTCAGGTCACTTCTCTGCTCAAATCTTCACAAACACATCCCATTTCCATCTTTGCAGGTTCGTCTCAGAATACTCTGTGTCTCTCTCACTGTGACTCTGCCACCTGGACTCTCACCCATTCCTTTATTGTCCCCAGTGGTTCTGCTGGTTCAGGCTGCACGTTGCCCTTTGGCCTGCGATGCTCTTCCCTGCACAGGGCCGCATGATTTCTGACATTCATGGCACCTTCCTCAGCAAGGCCTCCCCTGACCTCTCCATCTGTGGTCACCCTCCATCCCCAGGCTCTCTCTTCATTTCTTTGTTTCATTTTCTTCACAGTGCTTATTGCTTTGTAAAATAATCTAGCTGTTTCATTACTTGTGATTCACCCTCTCCGTAGTTTATAAGCTCAATGAGAGCAGGAGCTTTGTCTGTCTTGTTCTCTGCAGTATCTTGTCCCCCAAATGGTGCACAGTAAGTGCTTAAGAAAATCCAGCTGGATAAATAAGCTCACAGAGTTGTTGTGAGGTAGTGAAACTGAAAGATTCACCATTGACCACTGAAGAAAAATTACAGAAAAGGTTGAATAAATCTTAGAACGTGACTACAAGCAGTGAAGGAAATGCAGTGCTTCATTTTCTTCTTTCACTTTCTGATATTTTCCTAAATCCTTGCAAAGAGCAAAAATTGTCATGAACTCCTATGAGTACATCTGTCCAGCCAATCAGCCACCATCCGCCTCTCCAGAAACCACCATACGGATTCACAGGGAGGAGTCCCTCCAAGGCAGCCCTTTTATACCCCATCCTCCCTGGACACAGCTAACTGGAGAAGCAGCAGACACCTTGCCCTTCCTGGGCAAATCAGATCCTCTGCAGGTGGCTAGCTAAGGTGGGAAGTTAGCTGGCTCCTCCTAGTGGAGGGAGAAGGGGCTAAGAAAGTGGAATGTCTTGCACCAGTGGGAGGGGAGCAGGGCAAATGCAGAAAGCAGCAGGCTAGACCACAGGGCTCTCCTGTTCCAAGGCCTGCTTAGCTCAAACACGTCCTCACCTTAGAATTCCCTCTCCTAGAAACCATCCATTCTGTTTTGTTTTGTTTTGTTTTGTTTGTTATCTTTTTTGCTTGGGCTCACTTGAGTGCTTCTATTAGTTGATACAAGAAGAATTGTAACTAATCAAACCTCCATTACTGTAATAATAAGAAAAATAGTGCTATAAGAATTCAATTTACATACAAACATTTTTAATATGAGTACGTATTTACAACCGGAACATAAAGAGAGGTCCCCTTGTAGTTTCTATTGTGCCATTCTTGACTTGCAGGTTCTCTCTCCCCTAGTCCAGGATGCCCTTGGAAATGTCTGATTTCCAAACCAAAGCCAGGGCTGTGGGAATGCTGATGGCGATGTGGGTGACTGGGTCCCAGGTTGTCTCAGCCTTGCGTGGGAGCAGCCGTCCCTGAAGACACCAGTGCCCCATGCCTGCTCAGCACTAATTTGAGCTGTGACACCATTTTCCAAGCTGTCACCACCTCCAGCAACAACAGAACCTCTCTGGGGGGAGCAGGGAGGGTTGGTATTCAATTTCCCTCCTCTGCTTCTCAAGAGTTGAGTTCCCAAGTTCAAAGACATCTATCATGGTGAGTGATGGATTGTATTTCAGAGCAGGTTGGCAGCAGGAGGGAATTGGATTTAGAAACAACCATCTGGCTTTTGCAACTGTGTGCCCTTTGGCCTGCTCAGCGTCAAGCCTGCTGTCACACAATCTGAGTAGCCCTGGGAGCAGACCCGACCCTCGTGTCCAGCCCAGACAGGTCTCTGTGCTGGAGAAGTAGACAGCACTCAGGAAGCTAGTGAGGACCCCATGGGGCTGCTCATGGAGGGAGTTGGGGCTGAGCACAGAGATCTTTTTGAGAGCCAACTATATGCTGGGCACTGGGGAGACAGACTGAAGAAGACAAAATGCCTGCCCACCAGCAACACTCATTCATTCATTCATTCAAAATCATTTAGTTTTTGTGTGTGTGTGTGCCTACTAGGCCCAGGCATTGGCAAGTTTGCTTCCCACTGGACAATGGGCAGCTCTTTGTCTCTGAAATCGCACTGTTGGGGCTCAGATGCCAACTCCATTGCCTTGTTTGTTGTGCAACACAGGCAAGTGGTGCTGATTGGCGGTTGAACATCAGCACCTTCCCTCTCTACAGCACTGTGTCCCCCCCTGCTGGTTGGGGGTAATAATAACACCCATCTATCTATGGTCTCTGAAACAGTGTCGACAGGGCACCTGTGAGTAGTAAATGTTCACTAATATTAGCTGGTAATACTTTTTAAATTTGCTTATTAGTTTTTGTTTTTGCTGTTACCACTTTTATTGTGTCCATGCATTCTTTACTCAGACACAATTCTTTGACCACCTTTTTAACTGACTTATCAATTGGTGTGATATCCTTACACCATCCATTTTAGTAGCCACAGCAATGGCAGATTTTAATGCAATAACTCACACTAATAAGGGGTGTCCCTCTTCGCATGTAATCTCCCTTGGGTCCCCATAAGCTGGGGCTCTGGGTGGTTCCAGAGTCTCACAAATGCAACATCTCAATGCCATCTGTGTGGTCAGCAGCTTGACACTCCGGCTGCATTTTCCATTCTGTGAGCAGATTGGGAGGCAGCCAAGGTGAGTATCAGCTTTTAGGATACCTGGGGAGAGACTGTGTCTCCTCACTGCTTAGCAAAGAGTGGAAGAACAACCAATCAGTAGGCAGTAGGCCATGACAGCACTTGCAGCTGACAAGCAGTGTCACTCTCTGTCATGTTTTCAAAAACTCTTTAGGGGTAGCAAGCTCTAGAAGACACCAGGTTATACACGTTTAGCAGAGGCTGCATGCAGGGGCAAAGAACTTGCAGTGTGTATGCTTTGGCCTTTCATTGAGATGAATCCTAAAAGTAGAAAAAACGCCAGGCATGGTGGCTCATGCCTGTAATCCCAGCACTTTGGAGGCCGAGGCAGGCAGATAATCTGATCACCTGAGGTCCGGAGCTCGAGACCAGCCTGACCAACATGGAGAAAGCCCGTCTCTACTAAAAATACAAAATTAGCCAGGCGTGGTGGCGCATACCTATAATCCCAGCTACTTGGGAGGGTGAGGCAGGAGAATCGCTTGAACCCGGGAGGCAGAGGTTGCAGTGAGCCGAGATCATGCCATTGCACTTCAGCCTGGGCAACAAGAGTGAAACTCTGTCTCAAAAAAAAAAAAAAAAAAAAAAAAAGTAGAGAAAAATAAGAAAAAGACTGGGTGCAGTGGCTCACACCTGTAATCCTAGCACTTTGGGTGGCCGAGGAGGGCAGATCACCTGAGCTCAACAGTTCGAGACCAGCCTGACCAACATGGTGAAATGCTGTCTCTGCTAAAAATATAAAAGTTAGCTGGCCGTTATGGTGCATGCCTGTAGTCTCAGTTACTCGGGAGGCTGAGGCAGGAGAATCGCTTGAACCTGGGAGGTGGAGGTTGAAGTGAGCCGAGATTGTGCCACTGCACTCCAGCCTGGACAACAGAGAGAGACTCTGTTTCAAAACAACAAGAAGAAGCAAAAACACTTTGGGAGGTTATTTATCCTTTACCCTCAAGGGACTCTCATCTGGGTAGTAAAAGAATAAAATCGTTTGATAAAACAGTATAAAAAGATGTTTAAACCCTAGTGGTGTGTAGTTGTGTGTGTACATTAGTGTGTGTCTAACAGAGGCCAAGAATGAGACACCAGCCAATGACATCATCCACACTGAATACAGAAATCACCACATTAGCTAACATTTATGGAGTGTTTATTGTGTTCCAGACACTGTACTAAGTACTTCTATGTGCATTACCTCATTTAATTATCACAACATAATAATGTATGTAAAACACTTAATACCTGGTGCTGAGAAGGTGCTGAATATGAAACTGTCACCATTACTATTATTAATTATTATTGTTTAGATTATCATCCCCAGTTTCCCGATGAGGAAATTGAGGCTCAGGGATGCAAAATGGCCTTCCCTTGTTTTTTAATTGCAAAACGATCTCAAACTTGGTGTGTGTGAATGTGTGTACGTGCACAAATCTAAGGATAGAAAGAATGGAAAGTGACCTTTCTCCTGCACCTTTCTAGCACTGAGAATGTAGTAGCCACTGCCATTCATTCACTCACTAAGTCCTATTTCGTTTTCTTAGCTGACAGATCAGGACACAGGAGGATGGAATATAACTCAAATAACTTTTCCAGAGTCACGGAGTGAGACAGGCGTGGAGTTAAATTCTTCCAAGGTGGGTGAGCATGAACCCAAAGTTCTCCTCCACTCAGACAATTCATCCTGTAAGACTCAAGATGCTCAACTGCAGAGTGGTCATGACATGACTCCTGCATGCTCAAAGCCACAGGAGGGCCAGAAGAAGCTATGCATGTGGACACCTCAGTGGGAAATCCTGTCCACTGCGTAAGCACCCAAGAAACAGTTGGGTCTCCTCTTTTAGTGTGAAAGTGCAGCATCTGTTCACACTGTGGGGTGAGCAGTCCACAGAGCAGAGCCCACGGTTCTGCAATCCGGGGCTCTGCCCCGTGCCCCTCTCTGGACACACTTTGGCAAGGACATGGTTCCAGTCCACTGCTCTGTGCCCAGAGGATATCTCAAGCCCCACAATCACCCAGGAAAATGGCTTTAGTTCCAGAACCAGAGAGAAAAGGGAGGCTTCCTGGGGAAAGACAAGGACAGCTAGAGGTTCATTTCTGCCCTTGGTTCTCCTTTCTGCACGTCATGTGTAATCCTGTCTCTAAATACCTCCCTGGCTCAGCTGGGCATTCTCATGCCAACTGGGATGAAGAGCAGCTGGTTCAGGCTGTGATTGGTTCCTGGGACCTCTTCTTCCCCTACTGCCAAGGCTGCAGTTGCCACCAAATGATGGTTTCCCCTCCCCCTGACACTGCCTGGAGCCCAGCTGACTTCACACTTCACTCCTCCCTCCTGCTCACCAGTGATAAGAATAGCAACCACAGCATCACCCCAAACCCCTCCAGGGTGAAGGAAGGGGCAGCTGTCACCTTAAGTGTCAACTCCAGGTCCTTGTGAGCTATAGAATCAGGTTTGAGAAACACCCTTTGGTTGGGGAAGTAAGCACCAGACACCCCCTGCTGGCTGAAAGTGGAATTCAGGTTCGTGGTCCCGCTGCAGCCTGGGAGAGCTCCCTAATCTTCATGGACATCATTATCCCCATTTTCCAGATGAGGAAACAGACAAAGAATTTGCCCAAGGCACCACTGCTAGTCAATGATGCCCTCCAGGCTAATCCCATTCCAAATCTCCTTTTTCTTTCCGAGGGACTGCCTAAATATCTAGATGTTCCACACCCAACCTTTCAACTCTCCCTTCCTATGCCTTTTGATTCAGTAAATGCACCGTTTGTATTCCCTTGGAAATTCCACTCTGGAAGGAGAATCTTTTGACAGAGGCGTGCTGCATCCTGAGACGCTGAGCCGATGCAATCACTCATTATCTCATTGATGCAGGGCAGAAGGTCCCCTCCCTTCCAGCAGGCCACAGAGGAATTCCTCGGAGGATGCAGATGCTGCATGTCTTGACTTCCAAGCCAGGGAATTTCTGCCTTTGTGCCTGCACCTGTATTAATTAATCATTCTTCTAACACTGGCTGTGTCTACATGCATTATTCTAAAAGACAATTCTATTCTTAAAAATAAGCTAATTTAAGCCAGTGATCTGCTGCTTTTTCTTTTTTCTTTTTTTTTTTTTTTTTGCTAAATTTTGGTTTTAAAATAAAATCAATCTTAAGAATAGAGAATTCAATAAGGCAAAATTCTTGAAAGAAGCTTATCATTTATTCATTTATGTAGCATGTATGTGACAAGACCAGGCTAGCAATGTAGGGAGTGGATCAAATAGAACTGACAGCAAAGGCCCCCAGTCTAATATGCGGAAGAAAGAAAAGACAAGCTCACTGCAGAATGCAGAGAAACACATCACACAGGCAAATAAAATGTTCCTTGTTCCCATTTTCACCCCTTAACAGCAAAAAAAATAAATATGCATTCATCTTACAGGGCATAAAAGAGAGGTCTGTTCAATTGTCAAATCTAGAGAAACTTGGTGGTGGAGGCAGAATTCATGCCTATGAGTTTACCATCAATTGCTGAGATTATTAGAACAACACGGACATGCTTGGGAGTGGAGAGGGGACTGAGATTAGCATCACCAGGGAAGTGCAACGGTGGGTGGGTTCCTTCTTGTAGGGGAGTGAGCAGGTGTTAATTGCCATTGCTTGTGCAATGGCATGGATAAGGTTAGGCTAGCATTTGGCATCCACTATCTGTAAAGAAAGGGTTTTTTAATAGTCCTCACATGTCTACAGGGTGTGACAGATTTAAATTAGATAAGAGATAAATTGTTTTCAGGGACAAATTAAACAAAGCAGTTAATGATATTACAAATCACTCTCAGCTGTCATTGAAGCAGTCCTCTGATGTTGTCCATGAGGCCCAGTTCTGTCCATCTGCAAGCTGCTGTGGGGCCCTGAGCACAGACCTTGCAGCTAGACCATGTGGGCCTTTCCCAGGCTCTGCGCTTCCCAGGCTGTGAGCCTGTGATCACCTCACCTCACATCCCGGAACCTCAGCGCTGCATCTGTGAAATGGGGCTAGCTCCCCCATCTCCTCAGATTGAGGTCAACAATGTGATGTCATAAAAAGTGTTCGCTAAACACGGTCACCACTATTTAAAAAACAATCACGCAAGCTTGGGGTGGATGTGATTTGTCTGTGCAAAGGGTCGACAGTGGTGGCGTGCAATGATCGCCTCACATTACCGAGTAAGGTGGCTCTGCCACCATCATTCTTGTTGACTTCTGGGGGAGGGATGGAGTCCCAAAGAAAAGAAAAGAAGGTCCCAGGGCCTCTGGGAAAGACCACATTACATGGTGTGGGTTGTGTTCCTGAATGTGTCCATACTGGAATGTGGGTCTCTGGAGGACGGATGTTCCCAGTTTCTCTCTGCACCACTCCCACCCCACTCCTAACGCTTCTCCTTGACTGGAAGGAAACATGGCCTCCTCTCTCCTCGGGGTTCATCTCCTATGGGGGCTTCCTTCCTCCTGGAGCCTGGAGAGAGATGCGGGGGGCAAGGGTTGCTCCCACTTTTGAGCAAGTCCTGAATTTTATCTCCCACCTTGGCCTGCGTGCAAAGGACAGGGTACCTCTCATCTTAGTGTTCTGCCTCCTGGATGTGCGTTGGACATTCCAGGCTGTCTCTCTGTCCACATTCATGTAAGGCCCCAACACACAGCTGCTTATTCTGCAGGGTGACTCCTGATCAAGGCCAGACTCAGCACCACTCCAGATTGTGCACTGTCTGGGGCAGGGCCCTCCGTGTCGCCTTTCTGAGCCCCTAACAGATCTCGTTCAAAGCCGGACCCATAATCAATGCTCAGAGAAAGTGTTGAACAGACACATGCCCCAAAGAGTCTGAGCTTCTTCACTTAAAGTTTCCTGGGCTCTGCCTCCATCCTCAGAAATGACCCATCCATTTCAAAAAGAGGCTCTCCAATGTCAATACTGCACCTCCCCAGGATCCAAATCCATTTCCCTGCTCCTCCAGCACAGCACAATTAATAAACGTCCCACTGGCTTGCCATTCCAGGTTGGGAGCTCACAGCATCCCTTGAAACCATGCTGGCAGAGAATTTGTCACCGTCAACTCGCTGCTCCTCCCGTGGTGCCACACCCCAGATGACACAGAGCATGGCCTATGCCTGTCAGCAGACCCTCCACTGCTGCTGTTGCCAGCCCCCAGGTCTCATCCTCCTTCCAGGGTCACCTTTGGAAATGCTGCCCACTGAGTAAGTGCCCAAGAAACAATCAGGTCTCCTGTTTTAGTGTGAAAATGCAGGTCTGTTCACACCCTGGGGTGAGCAGTTCACAAAGCAGAGCCCATGGTTCTGCAATCCAGGGCTGGCTGTGCCCTGCATCCCTCTCTGGGTTGTGAGGTTGTGTGGGCTGTGGATCCATATCACATGCCAAATACTCTTCCTGGTGAGAGGGATGCAGAGATCAGCAGACACACGCCAAGACACCAATAAACTGGCAGCCACCTACAATCCAGAGCATGTCAGCTGGTGACAAGGGCTGAGAAGAACACCCAGAGTGGCTGCGTGGCCAGGGCGGCATCCTGAAGAGGAGATTGCCAAGCAGTGCTGGAATTGTATGAGTAAGTCAGCCAGGGACAGTCTGAAGAGTGTGAGCCAAGTAAAGGGAACAGCACACGCAAAGGCCCTGTGGCAGGAATGTGGTTGGCTTGGTCTGGAGGCAGAGGAAGCTGAGTGACAAGAGTGGAGTGACAAGGGGGAAGAGAGAGGCAGAGGCTAGAACAGGTAGGGCCTGTGAGCCATGGGATGAGCTTCTCTAAAATTCAGCCCCCTGAATTTTAGATTCAGGGGGTCCAAATGCAGGTGCGTTCCATGGGTGTATTGCCTGATGCTGAGATTTGGGCTTCTGTTGAACCCGTCACCCAAATAGGGAACACAGTACCTGACAGGTGGTTTTTCAACCCTGTTCCCTCCCTCCTTCCCCACTCTAGCAGCCCCCAGTGTCTAATGTTCTTATCTTTATGTCCATGAGTACCCAGTGTTAGCTCCCACTTACAAGTGAGAACATGTGGTATTTGGTTTTCTGCTACTGTGTTAATTCACTTTGGAGAATGACCTCCAGCTGCATTCATGTTGCTACAAAGGACATGATTTCATTATTATTATTATTATTATTTGAGACAGAGTCTCACTCTGTCGCCCAGGCTGGAGTGCAGTGGTGCAATCTTGGCTCACTGCAAGCTCTGCCTCCCAGGTTCAAGCCGTTCTCCTGCCTCAGCCTCCCAAGTAGCTGGGACTACAGGTGCCCGCCACCACGCTTGGCTAATTTTTTATATTTTTAGTAGAGACGGGGTTTCACTGTGTTAGCCAGGATGGTCTCGATCTCCTGACCTCGTGATCCACCCCCCTCGGACTCCCAAAGTGCTGGGATTACAGGCATGAGCCACCGCGCCTGGCCCTCATTATTTTTTAGAGTTGCATAGTATTACATGGTGTAGATGTACCATACTTTTCTTAGCCCACCATTGGTGGGCACCTAGATTGATTCCGCGTCTTTGCTATTTTGAAAAGTGCTGCCATGAACGTACAGGTACAGGCGTCTTTTTGGTAGAATGATTTATTTTCCTTGGGGTACAGACGCAGCAATTGTATTGCTGAGTAGGATGGTAGCTCGGTTTTTCATTCTTCGAGAAATCTTCAAACTGCTTTCCACAGGGGCTGAACTAATTTACATTCTCACCAACAGTGTATAAGCACTCCCTTTGTTCCACAGCCTCGCTAGCATCTGTGATGTTTTGACTTTTTAATAATAGCCATTCTGATGGGTGTGAGATGGTGTCTCATTGTGGTTTTGATTTGCATTTCTCTGACGATTCGTGCTGATGAGCATTTTTTCCTATGTTTCTTGGCCGCATGTATGTCTTCTTTTGAGAAATCTCTGTTCATGTCCTTCGCCCACCTTTTAATGGGATTATTTCTGGTTTTTGTTGTTGTTGATGTGTAAGTTCACAGAAGGAGTTTCCATCTGAGGCTGAGAGTGGGCAGCAGAGGGGCGCCGTCTGATACAGAATATCCAGAATGTCTGCAGTTCCCTTGGCTACCCACACCGCGGGGCTTGAGGGACAGGAGCCGGCACAGGAGAGCTTGGCTGCAGTGTGGACAGTGGTGGGAGGCTGGTGGGTGCAGAAACGGGGAGGTCATTCAGGAAACGGTGGCAGGCGTCATGAAGCAAGTACGGAGGCTAGGCCCGCGGGGGAGGCTATGGGGAAGGAGAGACTGTGGGCAGCTCCAGGGAGGGCGGCCCAGACCCCGAGACAGACTGATGGGACCCGTGGAGAGAGAGGGCGAGAGAGGGATGGAGGGGCTGCGAGGCGTCCAGCCTGCATAACAGGTGAACAAATCTGCCTCTCTAAACACGAGATCTGCCTGCAGGGAGGCGACTTCCCTGGTTCAGTCCCCTCTGATAGAGACCGGAGAAAAGGCCACCTGGGCAAAGCTTCCCAGGTGGGGCGAGCAGCTGTGGGAAACGGTGCGCACTGGAGCACCCTGGCCAGCCAGTTTTTCTCTGTGTTTGCAGAAAATAGTCATTTCCTCCTCTTTCTTCTTTTTATTGCCAGGAGAGAAGCATTTCCGCGAAGCCCCAGTGCACGTGATGGGAACGTGCTCCCACTTCCTATGAGTTGCTAGAATGCCGAACAGTCTTTGTGAACGCAAATGGATGGCCTTGTCAGCAGCGAGAATATGTGCAGAATATACAGTGGCATTAGACAGGGAGGTGGCCGGCATCCATGGAGCAGATCTGCATGGGTACAGCCCGAGGGTCCGGAGGCGGGCTGGAGACCTACTCTGCCTCCGCCCAGCTTCCTCATGCTCGAGCCTGCTAGGGCAGGACTCAGCCCAGAGAGCCTGCTGGATTTGGGGCTCTGTGTGGAAGGGCGAGGAGACATCGCAGTGCCACTCTGACACTGCATACATTTTCCTAAAGCACAGGAAAGGAAACAGAAGGCTCCAGGGAGCCCCAGGACTTGACCTCTGGGATTGGGCCATTCTAAGGGCAGGCTCAGCAGTCTCTCTGCTCTCCAGGAAAGGCGTTCCCTCTACGGGAGACAGCTCTGGGCTTGCTTTGAGGGCTCCAGACTGGATTCAGCATACGCGGGAGCTGGGGGAGGGCGGCTTGCAAGGCGGTGAGCTCCCCGCCACTGGAAGCTGGAAGCTACAGGGAAGCTTCCGCGGAGGACTGGCGATGGCTTCTTTGCTCCAACAGCTGCTCCTTGTGCCAGGCTCAGGCTGAGTTACAGCTAGAGGTGCAGTGGCTACAAGAGTTTCTGCTCACGGTCATGGAAGAGAAAGAAAATGAACAAGGTAAGTGCCATGAAAAAAAAAAAAAAGAGGCATGGGGGAGAGGTGGGGGATTTTGCAGCTTGGTCCCCAGCAGAGAAGAGCCATTTGCTGAAAAGGAGTAGCACTGGGTGCATCTGGAGCAGCGGCAGCCCACGCAGAGGGAACAGCCACTGCCGAGGCCCAGAAATGGACATTCGTTGTGACATTCGATGCTGCTGAGATGACATCTAGCAGTTGGTGCCTTCCCCTCCAAGTCCAGAGAAGGAGGTGAGGCCTCACCGGGGGGGCCTATGGCCTGGAAAAAACCTGTGTAGGTGTGATCTTGTTCTGGGGTCCACTGGGACGGGGGTGACAACCAGGCGGCCAAAGTGGAGCGTGGGAAGGGGCGTGTCAAAGCTGAGCTCTGTCCTGCAGGCCTATGGGCCAGCGGCTCCCTCTGTCAGGCTGGTGGGAGGGGGCTCCGTCTGCCATCTCCCTCACCCGCCCCCCCTTCCCCCCCCCCCCCGCTGTGGCTGCCAGCTCTCACACCCGGCATACGCTGGATTCTTATTTTAGCTACTGTGACAATTCTCAAAATAGGCACCAAAGAGGAAAAGGTGAGCCTTCCCCCACAGGTGCTGGAGGGAGGGCCACTGTGGGGCACACAGGCAGCCCCTCCCGACATGGGGTCTTATTGTGTTTCCCTCACACTTGCAACGGGAACAGAGTTTCAAGGCTGAAAGTTTAAAAACTGCTTCAGGACTTCACGAAAACCCTGAATGAAAGTGCTTTAAAAAGTGGCAAAAAAAAGAAAGAAAAAGTAAAAACACCCAGAAAGTGCCAAAGAAAAACTGCAACAAAGTAGAGAAGTTAAAAATACCTTAAAGTAATGGAGAATGAGAGAGTTTAACATTCTCTTAGGAGGAAGATTTAATCCAGCAGCTGACACAAAGTGTTTGCAGTCGTGGCCCGGGAATCACGGGAGTTGAATCGGAGCCCCTGAAGATCACGTTCCCAATGAACAAGTGCAGGAACAGAGGCCACAGCACATACCCAGGGACATCAGAACTTCTCACATACAGGTTGGGTTTGCGTGCATAGAAATTCCTTCCTCTTACTAGGTACAAGCAAACCCTCCTGAAGGAACCAGAGATCCTAGAATTTCTAGGCCATGTGGACATCATCAGGATCCTCGTTGCTGTCTCAGTTGTGCTTACCCTTGGGGGACTTTCCTACTGGCTGAGAGAGCAGAAACAAGACATTAAACCAAGCTGGGGGTGTGCCTTCCAGCTTTGATGCTGAGCCAGAAAGATGGGGGTGGAGACGCCACTTCTGCAGAGCCCAGGGATGCCACTTGAGGATGCTGTATTCGTTTTTTTATTGCTACATGACAGATTGCCACAAATTTAGCATTCAAAATAATATGTTTATTAACTCACATTTTCCATGGTCCAGGAATCCAGGCCCCAGGTTCTGCTCAGGGTCTCACGAGCCTGAAGTTGAGGGGCCCCCGGGCCTGCATTCTCATCTGGAACTTGAGGTCCTCTTTTAAGTTCATTCAGTTTGTTGTGAGAATTCAGTTCCCTGAGGTTGTAGGGCTGAGGCCCCTAGTTGTTTTTTTTTTTGTTTTTTTTTTTTTTTTGCTAGTTGCTTGCTGGGCCCATGCTCAGCTCTTAGGACCACCCTCTGTTCCCTGACTCAGGCTCCTGTCGTTGGTTTACAGTATTGATGTCTGGCCTCTTCCAGCATTGCAGGAACATGCCTCATGCTTTGAATCTCTCTGAATTCCCTGTCTGTGACCTCTAGACCCAGATTTAAAGGGCTCATGTGATTAGGTCAGGCCCACTCTGAGAAGCTCCCTTTTGTTGACTCAACTGATTAGTGACCTTAATCACATCTGTTAGTCATTCAACACAGTGATCATGAGAATGATACCCCACCAAGTTCACATATTCACAGTTCCTGCCACGCTTGAGGGGAGGGAGTCACAGAAGCTGTGCATACCTGGGGCAGGAGTCTTGGGGCCACCCTAGAATTCTGCCACCACAGGCATCCCTGTGGGACCAAGCCACAGCCATCCAGTGGTGCCCTGACCCCTCCATGTCCCTTGGTGACCTCTCACCCGCTGTGCTGTCACTGACAGAATCCCAGAGACACGGGGCTGTGGAAACTTCTTCTAGTCATCTTGTCAGTGACAGGAAGGGTGCTTTGCCTTGCCCTAAGAGTGATGCTTAATGATCTCTCAGTTAACTGGCTTTTCCTCAAGGATCTGAAAGCCAAAGTCCTCCAAGGTTGATCACTGAGCCCCCACAGCCTATTTTATCATCAAGAAGGCATAAGTGTACAGGTTCCAAAGTCAGACAGCTGAGCTGCCTACCAGCTGTGCAGCTTTGGGCAAGTTGCCTGGCTTCTCTGAGGCTCAGTTTTCTCATTATAAAATCGAGACAAGATTGGCCCTACTTCTAGAATCATTGTGAAGATTAGAGTCTATTTAAAACACTTGGCACAGTGTGTGGCACACACAGTAAGCAGCTGGCACTTGTGATATGGTGGCATTATCTCTCATGCTTCTAGAGAGGTTGGGGTGAAGATGTGTGCATGAGTGTGCATATGTGCATGTGGTCATGTAGGTACATGTGCTCGCATGAGCATGTGTGAAAGCATGTGCGACCATGCATGCATGTATCACGTGTGTGTGCATTGTGCCTGCATAAATGTGTGAAAGTTTACATGTACATGTGTGAGTGCAAGCAGGCGGATGCACACAAGGTTCAAATTCAGGAGGTGTGATGCTAGTCACAGCTCAGTTTTCAAGAAGGTGCCTGGCATGGGCAGGAAGGTACCTGGCATTCCACTTTCTGCACCTCAGTTTCTCCATTTGCAAAGCAAAAGATGGACTAGATTTTCTCTAAGTACTCATGCATCTCTAAGGTGGCACCATCCTACATGGAGGCCTTCCAGAACTTTCTTTGGCTCTTATTTGATTTGATCATTTGTTTTTACATACTTTGTATATACATACTGTATCAGTCAGAATTTTCCAGAGAAACAGAATCAAAAGGATGTATAGATAGATAGATAGATAGATAGATAGATAGATAGATAGATATTTAGAAAGCTATTTATCATAAGGTATTGGCTCAAGCAATTATGGAGGCTGAGAAGTACAGACACAGGAGAGCTGATACTACGAATTCCAGTGCAAGTCTGTGCTTGAAGGCAGGAGAAAACCGATGTCCCAGCTTGCAGACAGTCAGGCAAAGAGAAAGAATTTTCTTACTCAGCTTTTTGTTCTACTCAGGCCTTCAACTGATTGGACAAGCTCCACCCACACCAGAGAGGGCCACCTGCTTTCTTCAGTCCACTGATTCAAACGTTAATGACATCTAGAAACACCCTTATGGACACACCCAGAAATAATGTTTAGCCAAGTATCTGGGCACTCCATGGCTCAGTCAAGTTAGCACATAAAATTAGCCATCACAGTTACTTTACGTACATTTGCGTACACCAACGTACAACTTTTAAAGGTTAAAAATGTAGGAAAGATGCACTCGGTCACATTTGTGGAAGCTACGCTTGACAAGATAGCAATGCTTAATGTGGAAGGCCACCATCACACCCTTTGTATCACTCTCCCCCAGGCCTTTTCTCCATTCTCCTGAATTGCACACTTTTCAAGTCTTCTGATCTGAAACATTTCTCCCCAATTGAGGCGATCGGACGTGATCTCAGACCGTAATGTATTGTAGCTTTTAACTGTTGAGCCAGACTTTCTGACTCAGCACATTTTAATCAATTTTCTTTGCTAAGATCAGGGAGATGTCATCTATAATAATCCCATCTGACCTCCCAAAGTCAGGCTGATAAAAATATTAATGTCAGCTTCTTGCAGCCTGGCAGAGAGCAACACCCAGCTTGACAAGCAAACAAATGGCTCAGAGCTGTCTGCAGGACACCGATGAACCCGTATTAATGAATAGCTTCATCAGCAAGCATTGCCCTCCAGGCAGAGCTGCCACAGGCTGGAGACTCATAAGAGGCTCAGCAGCCTTCCTGGCGAGGTCTTATTGCCCATCATTGGGGCCATGGAACGTCAATTAGACATGTCTGCTAAGATGATTCACCCTCCTCCATAATGTGCTCCAGTTGGGCAGCTGGGATCACCCAACATGGCTCTTTACTTCTTTTATTCTCCCTGCCTAGGAACCCTCCCATTGTCACCTGTGTCAGGTATTTCCAGCTGTGACATCAGAGACATTAGGCCCTCTGAGAACACTTAGCAATCCTAAATAGGAATAAAGGATTATTCCCAAGGGTCACAACTTTATGAACCTTGACCTGATTCAGCAAGGAGTATGTTTATTTGATCATCTTGTTTGTTCATGCAGTTTCTCAAGAAACGATTACCAGGTAGGGTTTGAGTGACTCACAATACAAGCAGTTCAGCATCTCCCTAACTCTTGTCCCTCTGTGAATATCTATGCTTCTTGTCTGGACGCTGCAGGTTCTGAGTTTCTCACTCCTGATTTTACTGGGGCCATGGTAGAGCGAGGCAAATGTTAACGTGCTCACATCACAGATGCAATCACTTGTCCAGGCTGTGAGTCGGTGCTGGGGCAGCTGCACTGCTGGCCTCTGGACTCTGACTCCAGTGTTCATTGCATTAGCCCTCTCTCAAGTCCATCTTTCTGTCTCTAGTCTTCAGAGCCTGGGACCTTTCATTGTGAAAGAGGAGAGGACAAGCTTTTCCCATGCGGGTGAGCAGCGAATCCAAGTTGCCTGTCTCCACTCTTCAAAGGCAGGAAATTGTTTCACCATGTTCCACAAAAGGAATATGGTCTGCAAATGGAAGAATCATTTGGGAAAGCAGCTTATGCAGGAGCCCCAGGAGGGTGGCTGCAGTTGATTCAATGGTCTCATGACGGTGTGATGTGTGATGCAGTAGCCTCCTGGCAAAGAAGTGCCCCCAAGCAGACCCGCTGTATCCTTGGACCCTGCAGCAGCCAAACTACAATACATAGCCACAGGCATTGGCTTTGCCCATCCAGTCCCCTCTATACAGCCCATTCATATGACCTGAGCACTAAATAAAGACCTCAGAATGGCAGAGATACAGCCAGGGAGCCGCTGCTTACTAAATTACTAAAATGTAATGCCTCACTGGGTTGGATGCCGGCATTGGCAGGGCTTTTGTTTGTTGGTTTGTCTATTTGTTTAGCAAAATTAGCAAGCAAAATTAAACCCTTGTCACCTTCTTCAGCCGGAATGTGAGCTGGAAGACCATTCTCCAGAGCAGAGCCTTCATTTGCAGGCTTTTCTATAACTGGGGAGCAGTGGAGGGACAGGAGGTGGAAGGGCACTGCTGTAACCACCACAGGGCATCTTACTCAGCCCCAGGAGTGAAAGTGGAAAGAAAAGCACAGGCAGAGAGACCTGCACACTTTCCCTGCTCCCTAGAGGACCCTGCCAATCCCGGGCTGTCTGGGTACTGCCTCCCAGGAGCTCTGTAGGAAACTGGAAAGGGAGTGGTTGGAAACACAGTCTCTGCAGTCGGAGCTGGAACAAGTCACTGAATCCCTCTGTGTCTCCACTTCCTTGTTTTATCTCAAGGATGATAATACTAGCATATATCTCCCAGGGTGGTTGTGAAGGTTCAATAAGGTGCATATGCAATATGCTTAGCACCAAAACTGGCTCGTAATTACATGCACAATAAATGCTAGCTTTCATTAATGCTGTCTGTCACGTGTGAGATAAAGCTACTGGTCCCAGGAGGCCTCTACTCCTGCTAGGATGCAGTTCCCTTGGGCAAATGGTACTCCCAGGGCTGGTGCGCAGCGCCTCTGAGCAGCTGACAGCCAAGATTAGATGAGTTAAGACTGTGTCTCCTACCTCCATTTGCAAAATCCTCTATAAAAAGGTAGAGTAGGTAAGGTGGAAGGAGAGAGTGAGTCACCCTTCCTGGAGCACAAGCCAGCGGCGCCCTGACCCCCACCTGTGCTGTGTCCCATCAAGCTCCCGTAAGAGGCCTGTGTACATCCTGCTGTCTTTCCCCAGCACAGCCTGCTTTGCACCTCCTCCAAGATCCTGCTATATGGAGGTGATTTGGGAGGAAGACAGGACCATGGGTTTCCCTGACCTGCCTATTTCTTTGTCCTAAATAGTGTTACCGAGCCCCAGGTCTTCAGGCATAAAGGGACCTCTCAGGCTGGGACAACACAGTGCATCTTAGAGGGAGCCACCATGAACTCTGGAACCTTGGTGCCACGTGACATCCAAGGACATTTGTGTAACTCAGCAGAGTAAATGAGGACAAGGAGGACTAAATTGCTATCTGAGATCGCCTTTCCCATCAGCAAGATGGTGGAACTGGGGTTCTCAGTGTCCAGTTTAAGTTGATTTAAAGAAACTTGAGAATTGTAATATGTATTGCATGCTGCAATCATGAACTATCGCTCATACCTGCTGCACATCTAGCCCCCCTCCCTTCCTCCGCTGCCACTTTTGGTCCAGCATGAAAAGACCTCCTAGCTGGTCTCCCCACATCCTCTTGTTCTCCTTCTGCCTACTCTGCACATGGCAGCCACAATGACATTTGTAAAATGGATATCTGGTCATGCTTCTCCTTTGCTAAGACCCTAGGAGGACCACCACTGCTGCTCAGCAACCCACCCCCCACTGGCTCTCAGCCACCCACTCCACCCCATCCTCTTTGGCGCCAGGCTCCAGCTGTCTCCATCATTGCCAGCTTTCACTGAGCTCTCACAGTAGGCCTGAAGCTCTTCCACTTATTGTATGACCTCATTTAGTCTCAACTCCTTGGGAGATATCTTCACAGAGGCACAGTGAAGTTAAATTATTTGGCTAGGATTGCCAAGCCAGGGCCCCAAACCTAGTCCCAGCCCATCTCTTCTATCTTAATAAATATCATCAGCTGCCCAGCATGTCATGCCAGATGCCCAGGAGCCACCTTCCATCCTCTTCCTCCATCACCCCCTATATTTACTGCAGCAGCAAGGCCTGTGGATTTTCATTCACCTGCCTCCCGTGCACACATTTGTCCCTTCCACTGCCGTCTCGCTGGTCCAGTCACCACCATCCCTCACTGGAACAACTCCAGCAGCCTCCTCGCTGGATGGCCTGCTCTAATCATGCCCTCTGTTTGTTTCTCTTCCTCTCTCCTTTCCTCCCTCCTTTCCTTCTTTGCTCTCTTCCTCTCTCCTTCCATCCTTTCTCCTTTTTCTTTCCTTTTTTTTTTTTTTTTGACAGAGTCTCACCCAGGCTGGAGTGCAGTGGCATGATCTTGGCTCACTGCAACCTCTGCCTCCTGGCCTCAAGCGATTCTCCTGCCTCAGCCTCCTGAGTAGCTGAGATTACAGGCATGAGTCACCATGCCCGGCTAATTTTTGTATTTTTAGTAGAGACGGGGTTTCACCATGTTGGCCACACTGGTCTCAAATTCCTGACCTCAAATGATCCACCCACCTCTCTTTCCTTTTATTTTATTTTATATTTTATTTTGCTTTCCTTTTATTTTGAAATGTAGGTTTTCTTTCTATTGAGGTATGATGGATTGAGCAGAGCAGGAGACACTTGCTATTAAAGAGAGAGCTTGTTACGCACAGTTCCCAAGAGGAGGAGACACCATGCCATGAGGGGGCCACAGGGGGAAGAGGGAGGGAGGGGAAAGGGTGGACAAGAGCCTTTATGTGATTTCCATGGGAAGAAACAGACGAGGCAAACATGTAGGCTTAGGATCCACTAGTTTGTCCAATTTCAGCAGCCCCAGCATGCAGAGGCTGTCACTAGTTGTCTGATACCTGGCCCCGGGGTGATTAGGGCAAGGCCTGGCGTGATTGGTGGCTAAAAGTGAAAGAACCTACGAGAGCCCAGGAAAGGAAGTGGTCGGGGTGTGGGCTCTGGATTGATTGGTTTGTCGACCAAAGGGGAACTCGCAGGGGAGTTGCTTATTTTCTCTAGGAACTGCCTGTCCCTGGGAGGGGCAGTCCCTCCAGGGTGAAGTCCCCAGCATCTCAAAACATCAGAAATACAGAAAATAAAAAGGCATGGTTAGTATTCTTTCCTTCCTTCTTTCCTTCCTTCCTTCCTTTCTTCCTTCCTTCGGAGAATCTCTAAAGGAAATAGCATACCCTAAATACAGTTGAAACCCCCTTCCCCTACAAAAATCATACATATGATTACATATGCATAATCTCTAAGTTAGATATGATATCTATGCATTTCTATAAATTTTCTAAAGGTATTTTGTCTCTTTGCCTTATGTGCCCCCTTCCCCTACAGCACTTCTCTCATTCTCCATCAAATGCCTGAATGTTTCTAAACTTTGCATGAATTATATCTTGAGTATATGATGTGTGTGTGTTTGTGCATGTGTATGAAGAGAAAGTTTCCAAGATACATTCAAGAAGAGTAACAAAAGGCAAAAATAGACAGAATTCGATGTGAAAGTGCCTCCTAAAGAAACAAGCAGCATGAACAAGAATAAACCTATCCCCTACACCTCACAGTCAACCGCAGGGCGCCACGGACAGGGAGAAACACAGGAAAGGCCATCGGAAGGGAAACGACCAACCACCAAGGGGTGCCCATTGACTGGGTGGAGAACAGACTTCCCAACCATAAGCGGCGCAATAATATCTTCAGAGGCCAAAATAAAATGAAAAGCCAACTTGGAACTCTATGGCCAATTAAGCTTTTCGGACATAAAAAGTTTACTACCCACATATCCTTGCTCTAAAAAAAGAAAAATCTGTGACAAGAAACAACTCAAAATACACACATACATGAACCAAAGGGAAGGAGGGGAAAGGAAAGACAACAATTGATAGACTATGTTTTATTTATCATGGACAGTTTCAGAAAAAAATCTATTTTCCCTAAATTACGGAGGATGGAACTAAAACAGAGAAAAAAGGAAGGGTGTTCCCTGAAGGGTTAAAGCATATTAGGGTCTTACCTTAAGACCCTAAGAAAAGGAAACAAACACACGAAATACCTTTAACAAATTTATAGAACTGCATATATTATACCTAATTTGGAGATTATACATTTATAATCATATATACGATTAAAAATCTAGGAGTACAAACACGCTTTGTCGTTGCTCTTACAAAACCTGAGATCACAGCAAACATTGTTCTTCAACTTAACTTTTTCCCTTGGTACATGTTGTCATCTCTCCAGCTCCGTGTTCTGGCGCTTACACACCAGTCCTTTGTTGAAGAACAGGTGATTCTGTTCCAATTTGCACTACTGCAAACCATGTTTTAGAGAAAGTCCTTGTATGCATAGTTTACACATTTTAGAGACCCAGATTAGAACCACGTTCACAGCAAGGTTTGCTCAAGGAACAACGAATAGCTGATAAGCATATCTGCATAAAACTCAAGAGGTTCTACATAAGATTCAGACTGCCACCTGCCCTGGGAAAGCTGCAATGTGCTCAGTAGCACCTCAGCCCTGGCATTCCCCAAGCACCACCAGCAGCGGGCTGACAAGAGCTGTCTTGGAGCAGGACCTGCACACTCTGGTCTGCCTCAAGCTATTTCTTCACTGATTTCTCACTGGCCAGACCCAGCAGGCTTCTAAGTGTGTCAATGCCTTGAGGTTGATTACATTCATAACTATTTTTTTATTTCTTTTTAAATTCTTTTTTAAGAGAGTCTTACTTTGTTCCCCAGGCTGGAGTGCTCACTCCAACTTCTGCCTCACAGGTTCAAGCGATTCTCGTGCCTGAGCAACTCAAGTAGCTGGGATTACAGGTGCAGGCCACCATGCCCAGCTAATTTTTATATTTTTAGTAGAGACAGGGTTGCGCTATATTGGCCAGGCTGGTCTCAAACTCCTGACCTCAGGTGATCTGCCCACTTCAGCCTCCCAAAGTGCTAGGATTATAGGTGTGAGCCACCGTGCCCGACCCTTTTAAAACTTTTGTAGATTCACGGGATACACATGCAGATTTGTTACATGGATATATTGCACAAGGGTGAGGTTTGTGCTTCTAGTGTGCTTTGACATCACTCAAATAGTGAACGTTGTACCCAGTAGGTAATTTCAACCATCACCCCTCCCACCTCGGCTTTTGGAGTCTCCAGAGTCTATTATTCCCTTTGTGTGTCCATGTGTACCCATTGATTAGCTCCTGCAGATAAGTGAGAACATGCGGTGTTTGGTTTTCTGTTTCTGAGTTACTTCACTTGGGATTTTATTTGAATATTTTCAAGCCTAGCCTTTGGAAGTCGTTACCGTAAAATTGTGTGCTAACTTCCCTCAGTCTCTCGCTCTCTCTTCTTTGGGAAGGAGCTCTCCAGCTTCTTGGTCTTTGTGAATACCCTCATTCCAGAATGACTTGTGTTCCTTCCTGACCCAGTCACTATGTCCTGTGGAAGTAGAGGGCCCTACACATTTCCCTCAGGATGAAGAGAACTATTTCACTTTTTTGCAATCACTGAACACTTTTTCAACCTTTTCTTTGATGGGGAGTCAAATTGTTTAATTATTTGACTAGGTCATGCATTCACCTGGTTAAAATTTATTAGACAAAATTATTATGAAATTATAAAAGTTATTCAAATAACTTTCTTTCCCCCATTCTTTCTTCCATTCATCTAAGTCCTACTCCCCCGCAGCAAATAAACGCATAGTTATTAGATTCCGGTGTATCCTTCCATAGTTTTTTAAATAATGATTTTCTAAATTTTTAATTACTTTTTATTTCAATAGCTTTAGGGGTACAAGTGGTTTTTGGTCACATGGATGAATTGTACAGTGGTGAAGCCTGAGATTTTAGTGAACCCATCACCCGAGTAGTGTACATTGTACCCAATAGGTAGTTTTTATCCCTCACCTCCTCCCACCTTTCCCCTCCTCCATTATACCATTCTGTATCCCTTTGTGTACCTATGACTTGGCTCCCACTTATAAGTGAGAACATGCAGTATTTGGTTTTCCATTCTTGAGTTACTTCACTGAGAATAATGGCCTCCAGTTCATGTGAGTTGCTGCAAAAGACATTACTTTGTTCTTTTTTATGGCTGAGTAGTATTCCATGGTGTGTATGTACCACGTTTTCTTTATCTACTCATTAGTCGATGGGCACTTAGGTTGCTTCCATATCTTTCTAATTATGAATTGGGTTGCAATAAACATATGCATGCACGTGTATTTTGATATAACGACTTATTTTCCTTTGGGTACATACCCGGTAGTGGGATTGCTGGATTAAATTGTAGATCTACTTTCAGTTATTTAAGAAATCTCCATACTGTGTTCCATAGAGGTTGAACTAATTTACATTCCCTCCAGCAGTGTATAAGCATGTCCTTTTTACCACATCCACTCCAACATCTATTGTTTTTTGACTTTTTAGTAATGACCTTTCTTGCAGGAGTAAGGTAGTATTTCATTGAGGTCTTAATTTGCATTTCCCTGATGATTAGTGATGTTGAGCATTTTTTCACGTTTGTTGGTCATTTGTACATCTTCTTTTGAGGAACGTCTGATAATTTCATTTGTCCACTTTTTGATGGGATTCTTTGCATTTTTCTTGCTGATTTGTTTGAAGTCCTTGTAGATTCTAGATATTAACCTCTCGGGGAATTTTTAATACACATACATACAAAAGCAAGATACAATCTTTCCCCTGTCTTTAATTCAAATGGCAGCATGTTCTATTATTTTCATGTTTACTTAAAATTTACATATTGAAGAATTTCTCATGTGGCTACATGGAGGGCTGTCTCATTCTTTTTCATAAAGTCCTAGAAGATTCTTGCATGGATGTTCAAATTTATTCAACCCAATCCCACTGACAAACTTTTAGGTTGCTTCCAGGTGTTTGCTATTACAAACATTGCCACAGCAAATAACCTTGAACATACTGACCAATCTAGACATCTCATCAACCAGCAGACCCTCCTGCAGAATCTAAACCAGCACAAGCTCCCCGTCCTTGTACAATAAATAGACTCCATCTTCTCTATTGATCATCTGCTTCTCCCCATTCAAAGAAACAACACCATGGAATACCTAGATGCTTGAAGTCTAAGCAACGTGGAGACCTATTGACTTTTATGTTCTCCAATGACTCCTGCAGATTAAAGAAAGAAAGCTGATTTTATCTCTATCTCTCCCTATGCAGTGTTATAAAATGTGGGTCTAGGAGAGCTTGGCAAATTAGATGACGGCTTTTTAAAATGTTGGTTATACTTTGAATTATTAGCAGCACGAATATAGCGCAATATGCACATAATTAGCAAGATTTCTGAATTTATTATATATACTTATTCTTGTTTCTTTTAATTAGCCAGCACTCTACTTGAAGGTAGTATGGTGATTCAAATGATGGTTAAATGTGTCAGATGGTGACAAAATGCACTAACCCGCCAGAGTGGAAAGAAGAAAAGTCTAGAAATGCCATGAGATCGTTTTCATCCTATTAAATGCATAAAAGTTTCTTCATGTATTGGTCATGTTATAACCATGGCACAATCAAAACATGATTTATTGAGTATTTTAATACAGCCTGTTAATGTTATGCAATAAAGTGTATTTTAATATTTAATGTAATCAGTGAATTTCAAACTTTTTTCAGGAGATCTTGTGGTTTTAAACTAAATTAAATACAGTAGGTGACAAATGAGGTCCCAAGAGCATCCCTAAAGGCTGATTGGGCCTGTTTAGAGCAACTAGAATTCAAAAGCTGGTTTTGGGCCAGGTGCGGTGGTTCAGGCCTGTAATCCAGCACTTTGGGAGGCCGAGGCAGGTGGCTCACCTGAGGTCAGGAGTTCGAGATTAGACTGACCAACATGATGAAACCCTATCTCTACTAAAATTACAAAATTAGCCAGGCATGGTGGCTCATGCCAGTAATCCCAGCTATTCAGGAAACTGAGGCAGGAAAATCACTTGAACTTGGTAGGTGGAGGTTACAGTGAGCCAAGATCATGCCGTTGAACTCCAGCCTGGGCATCTCAATAAAAAATAAATAAATAAATAAAGCTAGGTCAGAAGCTGGTTTTGGTTTTGGTGTTGAGATTGCTGTGGAGTAGGGGGAAATGTGCCATTGCTTGAGAAGTGAGCTGATAAGGGAAGTTCATCTGCTCACATGGAACAGGCATTCTTGAGGTCAAGGTCATTGGTTAGTTCCTGGATGAATTGTATGACCATGATAGTGAGCAGCTATCTTTCTGTAGCCTAGCATGCATTCTTTGTTCTCCTGATAATAGTGTACCCATTTCCTATGAGGTAATTAATGCCTCCATTGGATAGAGCTTAGTGAGAGTACAGGTGTACTGCTCTCCTCCAGGTGTGAGCATTCAACCCACACCAAGTAAGGAGAGTTCTCCTCTATCAGTCTGGTTTGGTTTGGTAATGCTGCATAACCAGCAACCCCAAATTCTCAGTGTCTTAGTGTAAAGAAGGTTTCTTTCTTTCTTGAGCCCATCCCAAGTCAAAAGAGGGGCTTTGATAATTGTAGTTTCTCAACCCAGGTTGATTCAGGCTGCATTTCAGTCCATGCTTTCATGAAGAGGAAGGCAATAAAAAGAAAATTTTGCAGGGTCTTGTCCCTCAGCATATTGCTCCAGGCTGTCACATGTCACCTTTGCTCTAAATACATTGGCCAGAGGCAACACATACAGCCCCATCCAACCACAAAGAGTCAATAAGTTCATAGTCACTCAAGGGGACAGAAGAGGACAATCTGGACGAAGGCACTGATGTCCCATTGACACATTTCCTTTCTGTATTTTGAATTGTCAGCAGAATGGTCTTCCAAAAGAATACCTCTCTTTGGAATCCATTTATGCCATGGGAAATACTTGGACCTCCTCCAGAGCATCCTTTGCTATTGAAACTCTCTAATCCCGCCTTTCCCAACAAACCCTCACATCCTTCCATGTCCTTCCAGTGGGTCCCCTTGCACCTCCATGAGTAAGCAAGATCCAGCCTCCAGTTCTCACAATCAAAGAGCCCAAGACACTCAGCTGCACTGCCCTGTGACATCAGCCAGGCACTTTGTCAACATGGCTCAGTTTAGTGCTTCCCTGAATTCTGCAACCCTAAGGCTGGTGCCACAGTCACACAAGAGCTGCATCCACAGAACTAACTGAGAAACGGAGCCCCAGAGACGGCAGGGTTTGCCCATGGGACAGGGATTAGGATCTGTCCAAATCCCCCATAAACCTCCCGCAAGGCAGAGGGAATATCAGCAGGGAGGGTGAGGTCCCTGCACAGAACCTGCCATGGAAATGGAAGAATACTTGAGCCAAAAGAGACCTCAGAGAGGATCTTGCCTAATCCTTGCCTGGTGGATGAAGAGGGGAAGACACTTGCCCAAGACCACATGATTGCTTACTTGCAGAATCCCTAACTCACACCTAGGTGGACGTATCTAAGAGGAAAGTAAAAAACAAGGAAGGTGCACATCTGAGCATACCTGGGTTGCTAAGACTCAGGCTGGGGACCACAACAGCCCCTTTCACTCCACTCTGGCTTGAGCTGGTCCTACTTTACCCCTTCCTTTCCCCAGGAAAGAACCTGCAGGCAGCCAAGAAGCTCAGCCTCTGTCTGAATCTCCCAGGGACCAGCTGCTTTCTGTAGAAGCCCATAGGAATAGTTTAGAAAATTGCCAACTATTATCCATCAGCTCTAGGAATGGGAGGTCAATGGGAGGTATAACTTGGCAGTTAAACCTCCATTTAAGTCAAAGTTTACAACTTAGTCCCAAGGCACAAGAAGAATCTTCTCCCTCAAGGACTAAAGCTTGAATATCAACCAAAAAAAATTTTAGGTTACAGGATGGAAAACTAATTCACATATACACCTGTGCACAAATTTCTACACATCAATCAACAAAAGCAATGCATTAGTCCTGAATAATCACAAATAATTAAAAATATATATTTTTCTCTGCATCTCCTGAGGCTAAAGCAGTGAGGATCTTCTACTGCAAAATTATCACTCATATTAACCCTTATGACTGCTTTTGAAAGCATAAATCCCATTTCAGGCCCCTCCACAGGAGGGCAAGCTTCACATAGACCATGACATCTTTTTGGTTTGCCTACAAATGGACACAATTTTGCAAAGATTTATTTTTATTGTTTGAATTAAGAAAACACTGGGTTTTCTTCCATTTAAGAAACATAGAATTTTGTTATAATGTTAAATATGCTTTTAAAAACTTATTCTTCGAGGATTTCTGTGCCTCTCAATTTCAGAAAAAAGAAAAATTCCCGAATGTGTTTGGTGGTAAACCAACTTCCAAACGGTGAAGTAAAATAGCCTGAAATTAGGAAAGTTAAAAACGTAAAGTTTTAAGTTAAAAAAAGTAATAAAGACTCCATTGAGAAAGTGAAACGAAAATATTTGCAAATCATGTATCTAATAGGGGACTCATGTCCAGAATATATAAAGAATTCCTGCAACTCAATAATATTAATAAAAACACAAACAGTCCATTTAAAAATGGGAAAAATATTTGAATAGATATTTCTTCAAAGAAGTTTAAATGGCCATAATAAACACAAAAAAGATGCTCTATATAATTCATCATCAGGGAAATAAAAGACAAAACCACAATGAGAATCCATTTTGCACCCACCAGGATGGCTAAAATTAAAAAGACAGATCATAGCAAGTGTTGGTGAGGATGTGAAGAAGATAGAACCCTCATACACTGCCAGTAGGAATGAAAAATGGTACAGCCACTTTGGAAAACAGAAGACCCTCAGAAAGTTAAACATTGATTTAACTTTAAATAAACATAGAGTTCTTCAAAAAGGGCGTTGATGTGACTTAGCATTTCCACTCTGAGGTATATACCCAAGAGAATTAACAACATGCATCCACAAAAAACATGTATGTGAATAGTCACAGCAGCGTCATTCATAATCACCAAAAAGTGGCAAGAACTCAAATGCCCTTCAACTGATGAATGGATGAACAAACTATGGTACATTCGTGTGATGGATTCAGCCATAGAAAGGAACAAAGCACGAATATGTATTACAACATAAACGAACTTCAAAAACATTAAGCTAAGTGAAAGAAGGAAGATGCAATAGGCCACATAGTTTATGATGCAATTTATAGGAAATGTCCAGAATAGGCAAATCCGTAGAGACAGAAAGCAGATGAGTTAGGGAGAACAGAATGATTGCTAGTGGATATGGGGTTTCTTTAGGGAATGATTAAATGTTCTGGAATTAAATAGTGGCAATAATGGTGCAACCTTGGAATTATACTAAAACCCATGAACTGTACACTCTGTAAGAGTTAATTTTGTGGTACATGAATTATTACTCAACAAATCTGCAATTTACAAAAAAATAATTACCTTCAAAACAAGATGAAGAAGAAAAAGGAGAATAAGGAAAGAAGAAGAGAGGAGAGAAGAAGGAAGAAGAAAAAGAAGAGAAAAGGAAGCAGAAACAATGCTCCTGTTGGTTTGCATTTCAGAGGGAGGTGCTGATGCCAGCATGTTCCAGCAGGTCTTGCAGAGCTGTAGCCTGAGGCTTCCTGCCCACACCCCACAAAAGTCAGCTTCCTGTGTAGAAGGAGGGTCAAGAGCTGCCCACTGGGTCTCCTCATGGTTTTGCAATGCTGGCTGACAAGCGCTCCTCTGACCACCCACTCCAGGCAGGACCACTCCACTAGGGGACACTCCTGCTCCTCGAGAAGAGACCCAGTGGCCACCAGGACAGTGCAGTAACTCTCCAGCCCCTCTCTATGCCCCGCGCAGATCAACGGGCTTTCTTCCAGGGGAGTTTGCCCATCTCCTCTCCTCCCTTTTATTTGTAAAAATTGCACCTCCTCCGGGAAGCCTTATTACCCCTATCTAACTTATATTAACTCTAAAATTCCATGTTTTCCAACGTGCACTTCTTTAAGTATTCCTCAGAAAAGGCGACCCCGTGTAGGATTGCAAGATAAAACGTAGATGTCCAGGAAAATCTGATTTTTCAGATAGACAACTGTGAGTATGAGTATTTTTATTTCCTCGAGGACTTAGAGACATTAGATACCCCTGCAGGGTGCACTGCAAATTCCTGGGGAGGGTTGTGGCCTGCAGCATTCTCTCGATTTACTGAACCACAAAACTAGAATTGCTGGATTAGGCAAATAAAAACACAAATAACATTTTGAGTTTCAGGTAAATGATATTTTATGTAAGTACACCGCAAATATTGCATGGATATACTTGTACTTCAAGATTATGGTTTATCTGAAATGGAAATTTCACTGGGTGTCTTGAGTTTTAACTGGCAGCCCTACTGAGGTGGCTTATTCATCATATAGACTCTGGGCATCATTTTCATAAGTGTGCGGTAGAAGCTCAGGAAACTGAATTTGTGAGAAAGGCCTCAAATAGGCAGGTATGATTTGTCTAAGGGTCATGAAATGGGAGAGCAGTGTGTGTGTGTGTGTGTGTGTGTGTGTGCACACGTGCACATGTGCGTGAATTGGGGCCGGGAGCGGGTGGTGTTTGGGTTAAAAGGCTTCCCAGAAATCCCGAACTCTGATCCATATCTTCCGGCTACTTTAAAATGACTGAAACCTCAGGTTCCTTTTTCAGTGCTTTATTCCACACAAACTCATCTTTTAGGAGGCTATTTGACAGTGCTTAACTGCGACCCACATTGTACATGCTCATAACAAAGACAAGTCCCCATCTACCATGCTGTAACTTAGAAAGGCACAAGTTATACAACATCTGGAATCTACCCAAGGGAAAAAAAATGCCAGTCTACAAATCTAGCATGCTGGAGGCAGAAACCATGTGCTCAGAATCATTAAAATCACATTTCACTTTGCCACAGTGCAGCTCTGTCCCTGGCTGATGGCCAGATAAGCTTGCTGGCAGAGATCTGCTCTTGTGGTGCTGAGCGAAAGGTCCACACACCTCTCGGTTAATACCTGCCCAGGCTTAATACCTAATCACCATCCTCGGATTGCCTCTCAACACTCATTACCAGCACTCAGCAGTTGCAGCCAAGGTGATGGGATTTAAGATTAGGACAAAAGAGTAGTCACTTTTGTTCTCAAGTGCAGGTCTCCTCAGAACATCATCGTTCAGCAAATTCGGGAGACAGCATTTCCACTTTCTACTGAAGCATCCTGTAAGAATCAGAAAAGCATGACACCGTTAAAGATAAACAAAATGGCCCTATTTGAGCAAGAGGGGCTCATGCTGTTTGGTCTTTGTTTTACGCCCATGATGAGTTTAACTGTTTGTTCATCTCCAGCACCCCAGCCTGAAACTCACCCCTTGACAAGCACCCTGCAAGCTACAGTGATTCTGAATCCCAGAAGTGATGGGCTGTCTTGGAGAATCCCAGGGGCTGTCCTGTGCTCCAGGCCTGTCTCAGGACTCCTTGGGTGGACGCAATCTCCTCTAGTCCCCTCTAAAGACTTCTTCATCATTACGATGGTGAGTGTGGGCAAACCAGGTGGGATAGTTTCCCCTGTCGGCCTACCAGATTAGTTGCTTCCCAGGAGGCAGGTAGAAAGGGAAGGAGGGAGGAGAGTGGGAGGAGCCAAGGAGAAAGGAAAGAGAGGGAGGACAAGAAGAAAGCAAGAGAGAGAGCTCTTAGGGAAAGCAGGGAAACAGTGACGAAGGGAAGACCAGCTGTACCATATTAGGTAAGTGATCATTTAAAGTCATTATCAACTTACTGTGAATTTCAGATGGAGTTTCTGGAAGCTACAGTCTTATTTCCTGTTAGGAATTCATTCATGTAACAAATGTTCTATGGGCCGGGACACTGTGCTTGGGGATGCAGATACACCCCTGAATGTAGCCATTTGCATTTTAATAAGGCAAAGCAAACAATGGACAAGTACACTCACAGATAAGACAATTTCAGACAATGGTCATGCTGGAAGGAAATGGCATGGTCATGGGATAGAGAGCCAGAAGCAGGAGGAGATGTTAGACAGGGAGCAATGGACAGGGAGGAGATTTAGAAGGGGCCTCAAGGAGAGAGCGCAGTGAGAGAAGGAGCCCCCTGTGTGTGGACCTGGGAACCAACTGGCTTGGCGGGTGGTGCCATGCCACAGAGGTCAACGTGGCTGGAGTGCTGAGCAAGGGGACAAGTTGCAGGGCAGGAGTCTAAGGGCATGCAGACTGGCAGGTGCTGATAAGGAGTTGGATTGCATTAATTCAGGACTGTAGGAAAAATGCCTCTGTGATCAGACAAATGGTCAACGTCTCTTGACAGGAAAACATTGGCTGTGACGTGGGTTGTGCAATGAAGCTTCCAACCCAGGATCTGTTTCTGAATGGCTGTCATGGAGCAGAGAGCAGAGGCTCTGCATGGCCCCAACACTTGTCCCTCCTCCAAGCTCCGACATTAAGAAACATGCCTGCTTCCTCGTGGAGGAGGGAAGCCTGGTCTAAGGTGTGTGCTACAGGAGAGGAAATTCACACCTTCAGTTGCCTAGGTGACAGCTTCCAAAGTATGTTGCGGGTCTAACTGGCAGCCTGGCAAGGCCTCTGAGATGGGAAAAAGGGAGCCCCTTTCCATTGGAGTCACCATGATTGGACCAAATTCTGGTCCTCAGCTCAGGGGCCCTTGTTTCTGGTGAAATCTTTCAGCTATATGCCACCAGACCCCAAATATGTGTCTCTCCCAGGGCTAACCCTGGAGGCTGAAAGAAACCAGAATACTCACCCAGCACGGTGACTCATGCCTGTCATCCCAGCACTTTGGGAGGCTGAGGGAGGAGGATCACTTGAGCCCAAAAGTTGGAGGCCAGCCTGGGCAACATAGCAAGACCCCATCTCTCCAAAATTTTTGAAAATGGCTGGGCATGGTAGCATGTAGCTGTAGTCCCAGCTACTTGAGAGGGTGAGACAAGAGGATCACTTGCCTCTCAACCCGGGAGGTTGAGGCTGTAGGGAACTATTATTGCATCACTGCACTCTAGCCTGGGCAACCCTGTCTCTAAAACAATAACAACAACAACAACAAAACAAAAAACAACCAAAACACTATTGTCTAGTGTCCAGGACACTAGGGCCCAGGATGTGGCACAGAGCATGAGAGCCATCTGCAGCAGCACCTGTGCCCAGCTGCTCATGGGAAGCCATGTGGGGTAGGAGGCTGACGGACAGCCCAGGGCAGGGCCAAGGCACTGAAACCTCATACATTCTAGTCAGTCCCAAACGAGCAAGAACCTTCAGCCCAGGTGAGTTTGTGTCTCGGTGGATATACAGTGTCTCTACCCATGAGCAGTACTTAAATGCCTGCACATCCATGTCACCCACTTCATCTTCTATCAGTCACTACAAGCACCATCTCCTCCAAGAAAATATGTTCTGATGGAGGAAACACTGGATGTGGAGTCAGTGGCCTGGGACTGCCTAGAAGCTTCACTGAGTACTGGCTGTGTAACCTCAGACAAACCACTCACCCCCTCTGAGTCTCATTTTCCCCACTTATACATTGAGTCTAGCAATGCACACCTCCCAGGACTGGGTATAAGGATTAGAGTCGACGAATGCAGGGTACGCAGTGGCTGATATTTGCTAAGGAACTGCGATGTTCTGATTCAATGTGGTGGCCAGATCTGGAGATCCTGAGACCATCTAGTCATGGTTGCTCTAGGGTGTGAGAGATGAAATTCAGGGAAGGTAGAGGAAGGTTCCCAGATGTGACAGCTTCTGCAGGGAGTGGGATTGCCATGGGAATCTCCAGAGACTGGACAAAGAGGAGCTTCACTGTTTTAAAGGCATCAGATGGACAGATGCAGAGCCACTTTCCTGGTAGGATTTATGACTCCAGCAGGCCCCCGGCTCCAACAGACAGCTCATTCTGGAGGAAATTAGGTGTCAAATGCAGTGTTCTGGAATTCTTAGGGCACCCATTGGCAGAGTTTTACAGCCATTCTGGCTCTAGGCCTTCGTCAACTTGTCAAAACATTGACTTTCCTCTGCAGCTCCTAACCAGGCAAGCACCAGGCAATAGCAATGAGTAATGCAGCTCTTAACACCTCAGTCTGAAAAGATGAGACACCTCAGACCCTGGTTCTTCTGGAGTTTGGGGCAGTTATATGACACTGAAGTCATTTGCTCCTTGTCACACGGGGAGGACTTTCTGGCTTTTCAGGCTGGCAAAAGACTTTCCCCAGGTGAGTAGAGCTTTCTGGAGTTGAGACATCTAACATCACATCCCAGATGAGAAAGAGCAGATCCATCCCACTGGCCACTTGCCCCCACAAAAATGGGGGTAAGGAAGGCAGAGGATTGTCAGCAAAGCTCTGAAGAGCGGCTCTGCACCAACAGGCAGCCGGCAGGCCCCAGCCTGGTCCCACGACTTGTCACTGAAGATACTAAACCCGCAGCCGCTGAATTCCTGTCCTAGTTAGGGTGTCTCTTAAAGCAGACCCTGAACAATGACTTGGGTGCAAGTAGTTGATTTGAGAGGTGACCTCAGGGAACAGGAGCAACGGAGCAGGAGGAAGCCAGTGACAGGGTGCAGCCCTGTGGGAAATGGGGGCCCAATCTGCAGGGCCAACGCAGTGTTGTGAAATTCTTCGAGCAGTCTCTGGAGAGCAGGGGAGCATGGAGCTCAGAACTGCCCCTCTGAAGGACTAGAGATTGGGCGTGGATCCCCACAGCATCCCCTGCTGGTAGAGGGTTCATCCTTGAGTGTGTTAACCCTTCTGCTCTTCCAGACTGTGCCTCTGCATGGCTGATTAGACTCCCACAGCTCAAAGAAAGCTCCGAATCAAAAAAGCAGAGGTTGCAGGCTGCCTGCCAGAAGTGAGACCCTGGTGATGGGCCTGGCACTGCTCACTGCAGTGCTGATGTCAGGAGGGCCCAGGATGTGGCACAGAGCATGAGAGCCATCTGCAGCAGCACCTGTGCCCAGCAGTGTGCTAAGCACCAAATGAGAGCAGAAGTCATTGTGAAAAACAGTGCCCAGCCTCAATGACTCCTAGGAAAGTTTGGAATAGACAAGTGACCCCCGGGGCCCCAGCCCAGAAGCCTAAGTTAGAATTGAGTAACAAGAAGAAAAGATGCTGTTATTTAAAACAAAATTTGACTGCAGTGGCTGCAGCACTCTCAGGCAGAGGCCAAGTTCTTCGTAGGGGTAGGTGGCCTTTTTGTTTAGAAACATACTTCAGAGGATCTCTTTGTGTGTGTGAAAATATAGGCCCCAGGGCACAGTGGGAAGGAGAAAGGCAGAGCGCTCTGCTCTGTAGTGATTGGAGTTTTTGTCTTGTTTGTTTGGAGGGGGCTTGTGATGCGAAGAAGAAAATTGACGGAGCTTGGGACACAAAGGTCAACTGGCAGGAGTGGATTGGACCTTGGAAGGAAGGCAGTCAGGAGTTACTCCCTGTAGAGGGATGGTCAGGGGGCCACAAGGCAAGGATTGCTCACAAAACAGCCACATCAAGTCGGTGCATTCTGTGATATGCTGATATTAACTATCTGGTGTCCCTGACCCTTCGGTATGAAACATCTTAGCCTCTCATTAGTTATGCTTTGGGAAACAAAGAAAGAGGAACATTGGGGGTGAATTAAGATAGAGAGAAGAGAGCAGCCATGGAAAGAGAGTGGGGGACAAGAACTCAGCAGGGCAGATGCAGGTAGGTGAGCTCCAAAACTGGGTCTCAGCCCAGGAGGACTCTTGGCTTCACCCAGGAAAGCATTCAAGGGTGAGCTGGTGGTATCAGACACGTTTTATGGAAGCTGCAGTGCACAGCAGCAGTAGAAGGACTGCTCCTTGCAGAGCAGGGATACCCCACAGGCAGTGGGCCCAGAGTAGCAGTTCAGAGGCAGTGCTGCACTCATATTTATACCCACTTTTAATGACATGCAAATTAAGGGGAGGGTTATGCAGAAATTTCTAAGAAAAGGGTGGTAACTCCCAGGTGTTGCCATGGCAATGGTAACTGACATGGTACACTGGTGGGTGTGTCTTACGGGAAGCTGCTTCTGCCTTGTACCTGTTTTAGCTAGTCCGCAATTTGGTCCGGTGTCTGAGCCCTGCCTCCAAAGTCAAGTCCCGCCTCCTATCTCAGGGCTGAGTATCCAGGGATATGTGCTCCCTTAGGAATCCTCGGAGAAGTTGAGAAGACACTAGACATCTCACAGCATGCAGAGTAGGGGCTTGAGTCTGCATATTTGAAGTTGGAGGAAAGTGTGGCCCCCTTAAGCCTGAAGAACACAGGACTCTGGGCTGTAATTCAGATCTATTTGGTACCCAGTTATCACTACCAAAAACGCAGCTCAGCCGGGTCCCATGCCAGAGAGGGAAGCCCAGGGATGACAAATGTGGCCCCTGCCCTCGGATTATGCCAATGTCCTAGGGCGTTCCAGTTGTCAGCAACCAACCTGGCTAAGCAATGCCTGAGATGGCCTGGTGGGAGGCTCCATAAGCTGACCAGAGACATCCTGGAAGACCCCCAGGAGAAGGGACATCAGAACATCAGCTTGAATGATGAGAAAAAAATAGCAATAGGTAGAAAGCGAGAGAGAAGAAACTGTGGGCAAAGAAAAGAGAAGAGTTTCTGGAGGGAGAGACCCTCATGGGGTCTTCCCTAGGCCACCAGGAACACACAGGTGTCACCTTCTGTATCTGTCAGGGGTCTTGGGGAAACTGAGGCACACTCAGAGTCATTGAGAAGAGTTTAGTGAAGGGACTGCTCACATGGGATAGAGAGGACTAGAGGGATGCAGTAAACCCAAGGCCACGGCTGTGCACATCACTACTGCCTGACCCACAGGGGACAGTGCCACTGTGGAAGAGGCCACAGGAAGGAGCTGGGGATTTCAGAGAGGAGCCCAACCCCTGCCACTTTTAGCCTAGCAGGGAGGGAGCAGGGCAGATGAATATCCCGATCTCTTTCTTCCATCCAACCAGTCCCGCCCCCATTGACTAACCGAGCTGGAAACAGAGGTCACGGGAGCCTGGTCAGTGCAGCCCTGCAGACCTAGACCCACCTAGCGTGGGTGTGGAGAGGCTTCCGGAGAGCATCCTGTGTACTTGCTGACAAATCAGCCACCTGTCCCTTGCAAGCTGTCCAGCATGAGCTGGCCTCATGCGCTGAAGCTCAGCCCTGCTTTTAGAGAGGTGATCAGCAGAGTCGTAGATTCAGGAAAAACGTGTGGGCTGCGGCATGCCACCGTACCCTCCCTTTGCCTGATACCTACAGGAGTCTGTGTTACTCAGGAGGACTCAGGAATCTGGAGATTGTGCTCTTAGATGGAAAATTGGAACTAGGAGGAGAAAGTAAGTGTGATGTGCACAGATCCCAGGTGGCCTCGCATTTTAGAAGTAAATGGCAATATTTTCAAATCAACTGGACGTAATATTGGAAGCCAGCAGAGCAACTCTCCAGCTAGGAGTCTATGCTTGAGGACCTGGCATTGTCAGCAACCTGGGGGGCCACACTGCACCCACACGAGCACAAGGCTTACCTTCGGTCAGGGTCTCCCAGACGTTGCCCCTGGGGTGGTGATTTGTGGGCAGGTGATTTATCAAGACAGGAGAACCCAGTAGGGAAAAGAGGGCAGGAGAGGGGAAGAAGCCCTGCAAGATGCTATTTCAGGTAGGTCTCCAGCCTCAGCCAGACCCCATTGAGGGGGGGCGGGGTCTGGAATATCAGCTGCATCTCACAGTCTGCCCAGCTTTGAGTCAGAGGAACTGGTTTTTCACACCCCCACAGGATGAAGGGCAAGCTGCCAGGCACCCGAGGCTCCTTCATGCTTGCAGCTCAAGCCTCCAGGGGCCAAAGAGAAGTCCTCAGGAGGCTGTTGGTGCAGTCCACTTAGAGCAAAGCACATGGCCGCTGGAGGATGGGGGCACAGAGCTGGCAAGAGTGATCCACATGAACCTGGACAGGACCTTAACAGTGTCTGCTGAGGCCCTTGCCCCAGCTGGCCCTGAAGTCGAAGTCTGGTTTGCTCTGTTTTGTTGGTCTGTGCAGTGGAGAGGAAGGTGCCACCCCAGCTCTAGTTCTCCACGTCACTTAAGAGGTATGGGATTTCAGCAAGGACTGAACAATGCTGGGCCTCAGCTTTCTCCTTCATCCTGTGAAGACCTTCAATCTTATCTACCTTGGGGGATGATACTGTGGTTATCAAATGTCAGAGGACCTTGAAGGATGGAAAACACGTGTATGTGACTCATCAGGCTGTGCCATTGCAAGGTGATGCTGATGTCAGGATATTTTTGTCTGCAGGAGAATCCACTACTGTATGGAGCTTGTCCTGGAAAGCCATTGCACCCCACCCCACCACCCCCACCATCTCTCAGAAGAGGTCACAAAGAGCATTTTGTTACAACATAACCTTACTCAAGAAATCACTCAAAAAATGCACATAGGAACCACTGAAACATTTCCTGAATTTAAAAGAATGACTCAGCAGAGCATTCGTTTGTGATAGAACTGCTTCTTGAATTTCTCAAAACTGGTGATGTTCACAAAGGCCAAAATGTGTGAGCATTCTGCCAAAACCAGGCCAAAGTTTGCTGCTGTGCTTTGTATTTAAAAAGAATAAGAAAATGTATAGTTCAAAAAATAAAATTCTAAGCCCACCAACTGACTAAACAGATCCCCTCTTGGCCAAGGGGACCCCAGAGTAATCAGGAACATTGAGTTCTCGGCCATGATGGGATGGGGAGCATCAGACAAGTCTCGTTATTCCCTTCCCTTGCTAACCACCACTAGGCTTTCTTTCCTAAGGGCTAAACACAAACCTACCCTTCCAACACAGTCCACTGCTGTGATCAACCCACTGCTTGACGCTGCTCCTCGTTTTTGCCTGATAAGAGACCACTGACCATGGGGTGGCTCTGCCTAGTCCACGGAGGATGCACAGTGAGGGTTTTGGTGTCCTCTGCTTTACCTTTTGACATCAGAGGGCCAAAAGTTCTACCCTTGGGTCATGCTAAAACCACCATTTTTGGTACAGGGGGCCCATGAAGGGGCATGCAGCTCACTTGTGCATGTGCATGTTTCACCTCTCATAAATATTCATGACTCCTCCTGCAGCTTATTGAATATGTATATTCAGCCATCCAACTCAGCACAAATTCCTGTTCCCTTTGCCCCTCCCTGAAAGTGTCTGTTTCTGGCTTCTCATCAGAGGCTACGCTTCCCAGCCGGTCAGAGTGGCCACCCTGCAGGGTGCAACCCTTTATGAAAAACAAAGTTCTTCTTTCCAAAAGGAAAAAATAAAGAAAGAAAATTTGTAGTTTAACAAAGACAATTAGATAAAGTTAACCCACTGGAGATCCCCGTCCTGCAGGCCTTGGTGCTGATTGATCTCCTGCCCAGGACATGGCCACACGGGGGCTAGTGGGTTGGTGACCTGAGGAGCACTCCTGAGTGACCTCGGAGTTCAGGGCTGCCTCCAAGAATGGCTGGTGCATAAAGACTACTCAGACCAAAGCTGAGCACTCCAAAGTATGAATAATGAAGGACATTTGCTGGCTCAGTGGTGAGAACCTGGGGTGTTTAGGCTGTCACTGCCAATAGTCCACTATTGGCTGGGATCAGAAGAGCAGAAGGCCACCATTTTACTGATGGGACCAAGTGAATCCCAGGGTCTGGTGCAACCTGGAGTGGAAGGTGCAGAGATGGGCAGCAGGTCCCCCCGATGCAACCCTTCTGCATGTTGACAACAATATAAAAAGGGAATACCTGCATTTCTATTTTGCTCTTCAGATTGGAGACCTGGTTGTATTACACTGCAGATTTACTCTAGCCAGTCCTCAGATATTGCCTACTACTTAAAGTGAATTGTTACCAAAATGTTCAGAGAAAACCTTAGATTAAGCGTATTGACTATGTTTCTTCTTTAAGTCATAGTTAAGGGCAATAACAACAACAGAGCAGCTGAGTAGATATTTTCTGCTCATCATTAATAATAACCCTTCGGCTGATGGATGGATGGCCCTCCCGGTGATGAAGAGCTGGCAGCACTCACTCTGTGGCGGGATCTGTTCCTGGGAGGGCCTGTAAGATATTTGATTTGAGAGATGCCTGGCTGCTGATGGATTAGGAGGGCCTGGTAGAAACACAGTGGCATGAACACCAGGACCATAAAAAGAGAAGAAGAGTACAATTATCTTGTATGTTCCCTTCCTTCTCTCACTCCCGGTAGAACCAGAGAAGGGCAAGCCGAGAAGCATGGAGGTCATTCCACCAGCCTGTGGACTCCTGGCCCATCCAGTCACTAAAGCTATGGAGGAGAAGGCAGAGAGACATGGACCTGGGGGAAAGAGGAGGCTCCCTGTACCTATCAGCTGTAGGGAAGAAGACTCTGCTCCACACAGTCACTTGGGATTGAAGCTGATGGAGGCTCCACCATCTCATAGCTACTTCATCTGGAACCAGCAGCCTCCTCAGCAGAAGGAGGGAGCAGGAAGGGTGTCCAGGGTGTTTTCACTCGATCAACCCGGAATGAGAGGTAGCACTTTGCTCACATTTCACTGGCCAGAATTAGGAATGTGACCTCATCTAACTGCAAGGGAACTGGGAAGCAATGTGCCCAGAACGAGTGGTCTGCACACATTGCCCTGCTTCCTTACCTTTCATTCAATCTTCAATTGCCCAGTCTAGGCTGTTCCCCACCACTTATACCAGCACAGCCTCCTGTTTCCAAACCCAGTGGTCATTCTCATGTTTCCCAATCTATGGGCAGCACTAACCCCAGCTACTGCCCCCACCTCGATCTAGCCTGGCCTCAGCTTCTGCAATACCTCATTCTGCTGGGCTTCCTTCCCTCTCTCTCTGCTCTGTGAGTTTCTCCTCACCCAACCTTCTCTAAATGTTGGTGTCTTCTCAGAACAGATCTTGGCCCTATTGTTTTTTCTCTGTATATTCTCTTGCTAAATAATTACATCAGTTCCATAGCTTTAAATGGCATCTATTTGCCAATACATCTTAAACACAGATCGCAGGGCAGAGTTCTATCCCTAGGAGACTCACACTTTTCTTCTCCACTGCTTGCTTGAGAGCCCACAGTGCATCATATAAGGAACTTGAGTCTCCCACACTTGAGTCAATCACGGCTTCTTGTCGTAATTGGAAATCTAGGAGTGGCACATCCTTGACAGCTCCCTTTTGCTCAGCCCTGAATATAAACCATCCATATGTCCTGTAGATTTAACCTCCAAAATACATCAAAGGAGGTCTGGAATCAACAAACCTCAGGCTGTCTCCACTGCCACTCGCTCAGTGCCAATCTTGTCCTGGGCGGCACTCGGGGTTCCCCCACTCGCTCCTTGTCAAGTCATTCTCCCAGCAGCACCAGATTTGTCTATAAAATGCAAACCAAATCATGGTACTTCCTGCTTCAGTCCCTGAGCTGGCTTCTCACTCCTCGGGAATCAAGTTCAAGTTCCCCTCCATGGCCCACATGACCATGCAACCCAGGCCCTCCTCGGCCTCATACATGCTACCCTCCCCTCCACAGTGTGTTCCAGCCACACAGAGCTCCTTGTCCTGCTCTGCACCACTTGCCCCCTTTCCACACCGAGGCCTTGTCACACTCAGTGCTGTATCGTTCACTAAAACGTCACCGCCTTGATGAGCTGGATGCACAGAGGCATTGAGGAGAAGTGCATCTGGCATCTCCCCAAAACAAAAGACATCACTGTATCAAAAGAATACCTGCCCTCATATGTTCTTCCCAGCACCATTCACAATAGCAAAGGCATGAAATCAGCCCGGGTGTCCACCAACCGAAGACGGGACGAAGAAAATGTAGTGCATATGCACCAAGGAATACTACTTGGCCATAAAGATGAATGAAATCATGTCTTCTGCAGCAATAAGGATGGAACTGGAGGCCATTCTCCTACGTGAAATAACTCAGACACAAAAAGATAAATACCACACGTTCTCACTTAACAGTGGGAGCTAAATAATGTGTACACATGGATGTAGAGTGTGGAATGATAGACTCTGGAGACACCCAAGGGTGGGGAGGATGGAGGGGGTGAGGCAGGAGAAGTTACTTCATGGGTACCACATACGTTAGTCCAGCAATGGCTACACTAAAGGCTCAGATGACACCACTACGTATTATATCCATGTAACAAAATTACACTTGTGCCTCATAAATGTATACAAGTTTGAATAAAGGACAACTGTGAGTGTCTTCTGCACAGTTTGCAAAGCACACGTTCCCAGCAGCATCTACCTTCCTACCCAGATAGGATCTCATCACATGGAGGTCCCATAGCCATCCTCTTGCACCCAAGGGTGGTGCAGTGGACCAGTGGCCCCTTGGCAGCCTTTCTGACATGAAAAGAGGGTCTCAGCTGCCCTCCTGTGATCCATCTGCCAAGTCACACAATGTCCCGTGGCCCTGATTCCTCCTAGGATGTGCCTGCCCTATGTTAGGTCCTGAACACGTGTTCTTGTTTCTTGGTTTGTCTCAGGACAGCAAGGACACTTGGCTGAGGAAGCCTGAATTTGAAAATTAGGGTTAAAAACAAATTTCACCTTTTGCTCAGCATTCTTCTCTTATGGACCCAAGGAAAACCTCTGTGTTGGTTAAACACTCTGTTTGTCAGCAGTGAGAAAACCTTTGGCATTTAGGGTGTATTTTGAGTGTATAAATCATGTGTTTACAGTGAAAGATGCCTGTAGCAGTTCCCGAGACATCCTGGGTTCCTCCCTGCACCTGCAGAAGTGCAGCAGAGGCCCCTGTGGTCACAGAAACACACCCACCTCCTGCCAGCCCACCTGCACACCTAATGCCAGTTCCCAGTGTCAGAGGAGGGCTTTTCAGAAACTCAGACCTGGACAGGTCATCAGGGGCTAGAGAGCCATTCCCAGGCCCTCAGGCCAGCTGGCGTGCCCAGGAGTCAGTCCCCAGGGGCAGCTCATCTCCAGAGCTAGAAAAGGTACTGTCAGCAGGCCACCTCTTCTCAGAGCTGAGCACAGATTACTCCTATTTTTCCTCCTGCACACGGAGAAGCAGAGAATGCCAGACCAGCCGGATCCCGAGTGCAGGGCACTGGGGGCAGAGCATCGCGGGGGTCCAGCCTCGGGGGTGTCAGTGCCTGCCAGCACCCAGCTCCTATCTTTCCATTCTTGGAAACAGTGGATGGTTTCCCTTTGGGACCCTGCTCTGCCCCATCCTCAGGCCCTGTGGTTTGGGTGTCTTGCCCCATGCCCCACCCCTACTCCCTTCCCACGGCCAGACGCACGCGCCATGACAGGCCATTGCAGCAACTCAGCCCACAGCCAGGAGCATGCAGGAGGCAGGCACTCTTGCTTGAGTGGGCAGAGGCTGCTCTGGGAGGGAATGGGAAGTGGAAACACTGTCGGAGTCTGTCCAGGAGGGAGCTGTTGGTGCTCCCCATGCAGAGGAAAGGAAGAGGTCTTGGCTCTTTCTTCTCTCTGTCAGCATGGAGAGCCAACAGAGAGAAGAAAGAGCCAAGAGATGGGGAGAGCCAAGCCCTGACACCAGTCTTGGTGTCCCAGGAGCCAGCAGTACCTGGCAGTAGCATCTCTGTGACATGTGCCAACACCTTCCTCCCTTGTGCTGGCCTCACGCTGAGGCAGACAGTTTGCCGGGAGATTCCAGGTGTGAGGCATTGGGCTTGGCTTTAAGAAAATTGCTCAGAGAGTGAGGCCTAGGGAAGGCGGGCAGGAGCTGGGGCCCAGGCCACAGGCATGTGTCCAAAGCCTCCACTCCTTGGCGGGGGCTGGGGTGTAACAGGCTGCTCAGTCCACCCCATCCTCTGGCCTTTAAACCATAGGCACAGACTACAGCAGCAAGTCTTTCAGCCGCTGAGCCCCCCAGCAAGTGGCACAGGCAGGGTTGTCCCTCCATCCTCTAGCACAATCTCCCTCCTCTCCCCGCAGCCCTAAATGCATGTTCTTTCCTCCACCCCTCTGCTTACACTGGACCCTTAGCCTGATGTGCTCTTCATTCCCTTTCCACCCCTTCCCCAGAATCTGCCATCCCTCCAGACCTGGCTGGAGTGCCTCCTCCTCCAAGAAGCCTTCCCTGACTAGCACAGCTCATGATTTGAGGCACTGGGTCACTGCAATCATCACCCAAAAGTGCACAGTCCACACCGGGTTAGATTCTGTCCTAAGCAACTTTAGGCTGGCTGCCCTCTCACCAGAGCCAGTGACCTCAGCTAGCAGCCAGCAACAGAGAGATTATTTAACGTTTTCAGGAGGAACCATTCTGGCCATTCAGGGAGAAGTCTTCAAGAAGACCTAGGACCATTCCCAGGACCTTTCCCATAAGATATATACTAACATGGACAGAATGCCATGTGCTAGAGGCAAGCAGAGTGAGTGAGGCAAGGAAGAGAGGAGAGACCTCAGGCTCCAGGGCCAGGCAGGCCTGAGTTTGAATCCTGGCTCTGCCGCCGGCTGCCTGTGTGGCCTGGTCTAGTCGCTTGAAATCTCTGAGCCCAGTTTCTCATCTGTGGAATGAGGATGATTGTGACTCTATCATAGGCTTAAGTGAGAAGCCATGGCTTGAACAGGGTGGATGCTGCGTAAATACTCCCTGTCGATTCCTGGGGGACAGTAGAGCACCGTGGTTGAAAGAATAACCTAAGCATCTCTGAATCTGCTCCATGCACCTCTCAGTTTTTTACACTGTGATCCCATTTAATCCTCACTGCAACCTTATAAAGTAGCAATGCATATAATCCCCAGTGTACAGTTGAGGAACCCGAGGTTTAGGGTCATACCCAAATTCAAACTCCTGAAGATGGCAGAGCCGTTTTCAACCCTTAGCCTACCCGTCCTCTACTTGGTGGCCCAGCATGGTCACAGGGCCACCCTGCAGTGGTGTGGTGCCTAAGAGCTCAGGAAAGAGTCAGACTGCTAGATCCCTAGCTCAGCTGTGACACTTGCTATTCGAATCCCCATCTCTCTGTGCCTCAGAGGTCTTCATTCTCTATCTGTAAACTGAAGATAAATACACTATGTTTTGTTGAATTCAACATGCCATCACTTGTCAAATGTGATATCATTTTAAATGCCACTAAAACAGAAAAAATGCCCAACATAACGTATTTAATAGAAGTTCTCCACATAAAGCCAGGACACAAAGGCCGAGGCCCCTGTGTATCAGTAAATGAGAAATATAAACCCACCATGTAAACAAAGTGACAAGGAAATTGGCATGTCTCAACCTAGGCGCCAAGTGAAGGGAGAAAATATTCTTCTTTGACCTGAGTACCAGTTTGATCCCAGAACTGGTACTCAGGCAGATTTGATGTCTGAGTTCACACGGACCAGTGTAGTCCGAAAAACCCAAAGTAGACAATTTCACTTTGACCTCATGTTGGTAGTAGCTCTGTGAAACAGAAGAAATAAACACAAATCCATTCTCTTGAAATTAGATCTCAGTTCAGGCCCACAGCGAGGCTAAGATGCTAAGGACTGTAAAACCCACGCCAGTAATTTCAGAAATTTGCAAAGATGGAAAAAACGTGTTGTATGATCATTGAGATATGGTAGCATCTAGCTATGAGCTACTGTAACCAAATACTCCCAAGTCTCAGCAGATTCACACAACCAACATTCATCTCTTTCTCAAGTAAAGTCCGAGTCCCTGAATAGTGGATGAGTCAGAGAACTGGGCTCTGTCCATCCTGTGGCCCCACAATTTTCAGCACACAACTTCCATGGTCTCCAAGGAAGGGAAAGGTGTAGGATTGTGTCTGGGAGGTTTCCACAGGCCAGGCATGGGTGTGAAATCTGTGACTTTTACCCACAATGGGTTGGGTAGAACACAGTCATATGGTCATGCCTGGGGGTGCTGGGAGCTGTGGGCTACACCTGTGCCTGGGAGGAAGCAGAAAGAATCTTGGTGGACAGGCAGACAACCCCGGCCACAACACCCCATGGGACCAGAGTGAAACTCTTGGAAAATAATTGTTAGCAGCAGTAGATTAAAATGGGGCCTGACACCACACAGAGACTCAGTCAATGAGTGCTCCAGCTATGATTAATAATGAGAACATCTTTCATTTGTCAAAGCGATGTATTTTTGAGGATGGTGCTCACTTAACAAAAGCAGCTTCTCCTGGTGTTTCCTAGTGACTTCCCATAGTGGATTTCAAATAGGGATTTGAATTTCAAAAAAGGTAATCTGTGTGCAGGAGGGCCTGGGTGGTAGGAGGCTAATATTCGCGTTCACAAATATTGCATTCTTTTAAACCAGTCATCCTCACATTCAGTTTCCACAGGAAAGCTTAAAAGTGTGAGTTCTAGAATTAGTCGGCCTGGCTTTGAACCACAGCTCTGTGGTTTACTAGCTCCATGACCTCGAGCTAAGCCCTTGGCTTCTCACTAAGCTTTGGTTTCTGCAGCGTGAACTAGTAATGAAACAACTGCCTCAGAGGCTGTTGTGAGAGTGAACACAGATAATGAAGGTAAAGCGCACAGCACAGAGAGGGCACACAGGGGCTCTCAGCGCGTGGGGTCATTGTTTTTCTTGTAATTTTTATTAATGCCCTGGAAGCCATTTTTCCTAAACCTCATGTTAGCAACCTTGGGTTTGAGCCATGTAAAGTCCTGTGCGCTCCCCTATGCCATCTCAGGTTTCAGAAACTCTACCTTCTGTGCGGACTGATTGTCTGAGCAAATGCTAGATGCTGGGTACATATGAAGCTCTCATGTGGACAGCCTTACCAACTGGTGGTCTGAACATTTATTTCCAATTTTAACAACCCTATTAATAGTTTTATCCTGCGAAACAACTCAAAGCATTATAGAAACTCTAGTGTAAAACCTCACATCACTCCCAGTTCCCACCGTCGGCTGAGCGGAGGCGTCGGTCACATCCATCCGGTTTCTTTTCTTAATGTCTAGCCAAGGCCCACAGAGATGAGCAAATGCCTCCGATTTATAACCAAATGTAAAGGGCAGCTCTGTCCTCTCTGCAATGCAAAACCAACAGCTCAATAGTTGGACAACCACACCTTTCCAATAGTGTCAAGAACGACTTCTGAACTCTGAAAATTCAGTGTTTGGTTTATGACTCCTTAAAATGTTTTACCCATAGCTCCTGGGACAGGAGCCAGAAACTCTGCCCCTGTAGAACCCAGCAGAGAAGAAGAGCTGAGGGCTGGTAGCTGACTCACAGCCAGCTTTCTGATGTGCATGGTCAGGGAGGAGGTGCTAGGGTCTCAGCCTTCCCTTGCCCCACACTTCAGCTGAGAACCTCTGAAGAGGCGAGGTGATGTCAGGAACTCAGCAGCACGCCCTTGCTCCTCCATTCCAGATGTAAGTCAACTCAGTCCCTCTGCAGGCAGCAAGCATTGGCTTTCTGTCAATATCCATTCATCCAAAGTGTCCCCCAAAACCACCCTCTTACCCCTAATCTCAGTGCCTTGTTGAGGATGGGGCTGATCCCACCCCTAGTTCTAGATCTAGGCTCAAACCACCATCAACTCCCACCTCTGCGAGGGCTGGTTAAGGGATGGACTCGGGACACATCAGAGACAAGCCATGCTAACCCCAGGACCTCGCTGGAGCAGCCGGGAGAGAGAGGACCTTGCTTTGTCCTCCTGGACAGAAGCGGGCTGTGTCTACCACACTCACCTCTGTTCTCTATCCAGGGCAGAAACTGAGAATGGCTCCCACACACAGGAAAGGAAATCCAGAGGTGGAGGAAGGGAGAAAAGGAGAGACAAGGAGAGGGAAATAAACCTGGTCCAGATGACAATTGAGCCTCTTATACAGATGAGCCTGAGGCCAGATAGACTTTGCAGTTTAGGGACCTGATATATTCCCTTGGAGGCACTGGTTAAGTTTTCTATCCTGTAGCCAGGAAGGAGTCTTGTGTGATGCCCCCATAGACTGTTTGCTTATTGCAATGGCTTTGCGCCTTCAGCTGTCCTGAACCCAAACCTACCCAAACTCCTACCCATCTCTATTCACACCACCCAAACCAGCTATGTTGTGAGCCTGGCATTGTGCAAAGTCTGGAGGATGCAGAGCTCCCATCCCTCCACTTTAAGAGATGTCAGTACAGCAGTGCAGTGCAGGAAAGGCAGAGCTAGAGCTGCGCACAGGGGTCCAAGAAGGCTTCCTAGAGGAGGTGACACTGATTTCCACTGAAGGACACATGGGAGTTTGGGAGGTGGGAGTGAGGAGAGTCATGGGCCAGAGGCACATAGAGGACACACAGCCCACAGAGGACCCCTTTCCTCACTCCTATGGACCCTCGTGCCTGGTTTCCTCCTTGTTTTCTGAAGTCAACCTGGTCTCCCCAGATATTTTCTTCAAGTTTCCTAAAGTTAGCTGCAGTGTGGTATATTTCAGAGACAGGAAAGGTGGCCACGTGCACAAGTGGCATCCAAGCTCCAGCCTCTCCCAAACTCCATGGGTGCCAGGTCTGAGAGCTGGGAGTTCAGGCCCCATGAGGGACTATGCCTCTCCTGCCTGCATCATGGTTCTCTTCCTTTTTGCTAATTTCAGAAATCCACAACATAATGGAATAAACATCTATGTGCCCGGCATCCATGATTAGCAAATGAAAATACGTTCTTAATTGTGCCGAAATTCATTTTTCATAAAAGAAACAGAATTTCACAGATTTAATTGAAATGCCTCTCCCCACAAACATTCTTATATTTTCATAAATATTTTAATTTTCTTTTGGTGAAGAGATATATCTAGTCCCAACTTTATACAGACTGATGGATAGATAGGTAGATTGAAATGACTGATGATAAAGATAGATAGATTGATTGAATTACTGATGATAAAGATAGAATAGACAGAAAGATGATAGATAGATAAAAATAGATAGATTAGATAGAATAAACAGACAGAAAGTGATAGATAAAAAATACATAAATATATATAGATGGATAATAGATAAATAGAAAGGACAGATAAACAGAAAGATGATAGATAAAAAGATAGATGCATAGATAGATGATAGATAAATAGATAGATAAATAGACAATAGATAAATAGAAAGGATAGATAAACAGAAAGATGATAATTAGATAAAAGATAGGTGGATGGATAGATGGGTGATAGATAGAAAGGATAAACAGGCAGAAAGATGATAGATAAAAAAGATAGATGATAGATGATAGATAAATAGAAAGGATAGATAAACGGACAGAAAGATGATAGATAAAAAGATAGATAAATAGATAGATAGAAAGGATAAACAGGCAGAAAGATGATAGTTAGATAAAAAGATATAGATAGATACAGACAGAAAGAAAGATTAGATTGATGAAAAGATAATAGAAAGATTGATAGATAAACAGAAAGACAGATGATAGATAAGGTGAATAGAAAGAGATAGGACAGATACACAGATAGAGAGATAGATTAGTCATAGATATAGATATACAACAGACACATTGCTTTGTGAGTTGTAATTTACATAAATGCCATCACAGCTTATTTCTCAACTTGCTTCTTCCATCAGCATTAATTTTTCGAGATAGATCCATGTTGCCATAACTGCTGCGTAGTAGTCCAATACCTGACTATATTGGAATTTATGAGTCCAGTCTCATGCTCAGGGCTATTTGGTCGTTTCTTATTCTTCATACCACTAACAACGCTGCTGGCAATGCCCTTGTGCACATCTCTGAGAAATGCTCTGGGGCACGTGATAAAAACACAGGTCTGGGTCACAGACCATGCACATCTTTGATTTTATCTCATGTTGCCATAAGGAGAGCAGTGACCATGCTCATTCACTCTCCTGCCAGCTGAGCGTGAGTTTTCCAGCTGCTTCACTTCCCAACACTCAGGATAAACCATCTGACTTTCTGAGTTTTGTCAGTTGGGTACCTGTGAAGCAGGTTAGCACCTTTGTTTGACTTTATAAGCATTTTTCATTTATTTTTGTTCATTGATGGTCTCTCTTCTCTGAAACTCCTGGTCTTCACCTTTTCTCCATTTGGTTTATTTGTCCTTTGCCAAGAAAATTCACATGTAGGACTTCTTGACATGTTCTGGGCACCGCTTCCTCACCTGTCTTCTTCCACTCTGGCCTTATTTGTTAACTTGGTTTATGATGTCTCTTGCAAGGTAGATCGTGTGTGTGTGTGTGTGTGTGTGTGTGTGTGTGTGTGTGTGTGTGTGCTTGTATGCATGTAGTAGTCATCACAGAACCATCTTTTCCTTTATGAGCTGTGTTTTGTGCCTTGTCTAAGAAGTCTTTCTCTACCCCAAGATGATAAAGACGTGATTATCAATGACCTTTTCAAGGTTATAAAGTTCTGCTTTTCAGATTTAGATCTTGTATCCATGTGGAAATTTGTTTCTTTACAGGATGAGGTTAGCAACTGATTTTAATTTTCTTCCCATAGGAAAACTAATATTTGAGTCTCCTAGTGTGTACTACCATCTCCATCCATCACCAAGTTCCCATAAATGTGTGGGTCTACGTGTAGGCCAGTGCTTAGCAGACATTTTTGTTAAAAGTCAAATAGTAAAATTTTGGGCTTTGCCAGCCACATAGTCTCAATCACAAAGACTCAACTCTGCTGGTGCAGGGGCAAGCAGCTCATAAGGGAATGAGGACAGCCATCTCATCTGTTCTGCTAATATATTTATCTTCAAGGCAATGCCAAACTTTTAACACTTATTATGACTTCCTAATATGGCTTGATATCTGATAGAGGAAATACCAACCCTTTCTCTTCCTTTTTTAGAATTATCATAACTAATCTTGGCCTTAAGTCTTCCACGTAAATTTTAGAATGATTCTGACAAATTCCACAATTTTATTTTTTTTGAGACAGAGCCTCGCTGTTTTGCCCAGGCTGGAGTGCAGTGGCACGATCTCAGCTCACTGCAACCTCCACCTCCTGGGTTCAAGCAATTCTTGTGCCTCAGCCTCCTGAGTAGCTGGGATTACAGATGCACACCACCACACCCAGCTAATTTGGGTATTTTTAGTAGAGACGGGGTTTCACCATGTTGGCCAGGCTGGTCTCAAACTCCTGAACTCAGGTGATCCACCCACCTCAGCCTCCCAAAGTGCTGGGATTACAGGCATGAGCCGCCATGCCCGGCAATTCCACAGAATTTTGTATTGGGTTTTTAAAATGGAATTGCATTGAATTTTTAGGTTAATTGGGAGTGGGGGGAACACATAATTATAATATGTGTTCACATCATCAACATGTTTGTTTGGTTTATCCTAAGGACACATACACAGGGCCCCTCTACCTGGTGTCTGATTCACATGGTGACACCACCTTTCCCATCACCTATACCAGAAAGCTGCCAGTTTCATCCCCACCTTCCCTCTTCTTCCTCCTACGCAGCCAGGTACAGCATTGCCTTTCCCCTCTTTCTGGGGTCTCCTCTGTCTCTCTCATCATTGCTGGCCTCAGGGGTCTCCCTCCCTCCAATCTTCTTCCTCCCATTTCATCTCCATGGCGCACCAAAGAGCCCTCTCTTGTCACCCACGTACCATTTGGCTGAAGCAGAGCTCAATATCCTTAGCACAACTTGCCAGACCTTGTTTGGCTCCTAACCTACTTCTACCCCTCACCACCTGACCCGCTGCCCCCTCAAGGCACCTGACGCCCCAGCTGCACAGACACTGGCAGCTCCTCCCATTCCCATCCTTCCTCAAGCCTCAGTGCCCCCCACCCAGAGCACCCCCCATTTTTACCCAGCCACTTTCTTTCTTTTATTTTTTAAGGAGTCTTGCTCTGTCGCCCAGGCTGGAGTGCAGTGGAATGAGCTTGGCTAGCTGCAACCTCCGCCTCCCAGGTTCAACTGATTCTCTTGTCTCAGCCTTCTGAGTAGCTGGGACTACAGGCACCCACCACCGCACCTGGCTGATTTTTGTATATTTTTTTAGTAGAGACAGGGTTTCACCATGTTGGCCAGGCTAGTCTCAAACTCCTGACCTCAAATGATCTGCCTGCCTGGGCCTCCCAAAGTGCTGGGGTTACAGGTGTGGGCCACCATGCCTGCTCTACTCAGCCACTTTCTATTCAAGACCCAGCTGGGCCATCTCTGGCTCTGGGGCTCACGCCTCACTGCCACTGTTCCCAGTGCCACTGACCTCAGTCACTGCACATGTCACTTGGAAGAGGCTGGCTCCACGAGGATGGGGCACCCCAGGACCTGGCATGTGGAAGGCACTATCAGTATGGGTTCCTTAAAGGAGTGAAAGAGCAGATGTTGTGCACAGTCAGGAACAGAAATGGGGCAGAGAGAGGCAGGTATCCTCATCTCAAATACACGCTTCTCACAGGGACAGGGCTGAGGGCACAGAGAGGCAGGTGTCCTCATCTCAGGTACAAACCCTTCTCTCAAGGAGGGGTCAGAGAGTGCAGAGAGGCAGGTGTCCTCATCTTAGATACACACACTTCTCCCAGGAAGGGGCTGAAGGCACAGAGAGGTATGTGTCCTCCTCTCAGATACATGCTTCCCCCAGGGAGGGGGCTGAGAATGCAGAGAGGCATGTGTCCTCCTCTCAGATACATGCTTCTCCTAGGGAGGGGGCTGAGAGTGAAGAGAGGCAGGTGTCCTCATCTTCGGTGCACATGCTTCTCCCTGGGAGGGGCTGAGGGCTCAGAGAGGCAAGTGTCCTCATCTCAGATACACACGCTTCTCCCAGGGACGGGCTGAGGGCACAAAGAGGCAGGTGTCCTGGTCTCAAGTATACACACTTCTCCCAGGGAGGGGCTGAGGGCGCAGAAAGGCAGGTGTCCTCATCTCAAGTACATGTTTCTCCCAGAGAGGGACTGAGGGCACAGAGAGGCAGGTGTCCTGGTCTCAAGTACACACGCTTCTCCCAGGGAGGGGCTGAGGGCACAGAGAGGCAGGTGTCCTCATCTCAGGTACACGCGCTTCTCCCAGGGAGGGGCTGAGGGAGGAGCCAGCCCCACCATCTCTGTGCCTTGCTGACCCCCAGCGTCCTGCCCTGAATGAGCAGGCTGGAGCTGACAGGGCTGAAGGGGATGTCTGCCTGCGGGAGCAGAAGGCATGCATAAAAATGCAAATGCCAGGCTCCTTTCCTCCCTGCGCTCTGCTCGTTTATCCCTCTCAGACAGATAAAAAGGAAACTGTGCCACTGAGGACAGAGCCCCTCTGGGTAAAAAAGCAATAGCAAAGTGACAAATGTCATGTGGGTTTAAGCTAAGTCCCCCATCGTTACAAACCCACAGGGAAATAAGCCTGACAAATGCGCAGCCCCGCTCGCTGCACCCTCTTCCTTTGAAATAACTTGAGCCCTGAAAAGGGAGAAAGAAGGAAATAACTCAAAAATGTTAAAAGCAAAGTTTCTGTCTGCAAACCAAATGGGCTGAATTTTTATAGGCTCGTTTGGAAGAGCATGAAAAATCCAGTTGTCAGAGGAGCCTCTCTCTGCCAGACAGCCTCGGGGAGAGACACAAAGGGACTACCTAAAACCTAAGCTGCTCTGCTCCCCTGCTCCCATCCCAGGGCTCAGCCCGCTCTCCCCAGCCCCTACCCTTGTCCTGAGGGCTGCTGAGCCAAAAGGGAGGGCTCCTGTGCAGGGCCAAGGTGACCTGGAGCCGCTCTGATCCCAGGCTCGCGGAGGGCACTGTGGAGGACCGTGCAGGAAGACAGGTTGCTCCTGCCAGTTCAATGCACTAAGACCACACGGCTCCCCTCCGCACAGCCCTCGCTGAGTGCCAGGCACTGCTCTAAGCCCTTGGCATGTCCTTTCTCCTTCAATCCTCACAGCAACTCTATGAGGGAGGCATTATGATTATCCCACTTCCCAGATATGGAAACTGAGGCAGGGAAAGGTTCAGGTGCGCAAATGGAAGTGGAGGATTTGAACAAACACAGGCTCTAAAGCTCCCTGCCACAGATGCTGGCAGGGTCCCACCCGGTGCTCCTCTTTACTGGACAGTCCACAGCACAGCACAACTGCTAACAGATCACAGCTACCCCTTCCGAGAGAATCCACTTTATCCAGAGATGCCTGGGAGATCGGGACCACACGCCAGGGGGCTTACAGCCAAGCACTGACTGACTGGTATACAAAAGCCCCACCCCTGCACCTCAAAGGGAAGAGAACGCTGGTGCTGTCCCCTCCCGAGTCCCCATCTTAGCCTGGCCTTCTTTCCCCACAGGCTTCTCCTGAGAGCACACCCTCGACAAAACACTTGCACAAGAGTCCATATCACAGGCCCTGTTTCTCCAGAACCTGGTTACACACCAGCCCACAGACTTAAATTAGTCCATACATTCTTTTTTCTCTCTGTCCCTTAAGAGATAGGGTTTTGCTCTGTTGCCCAGGCAGGAGTGCAGTGGTGCAATCTCAGCTCACTGTAGCCTTGAACTTCTGGGCTCAAGCAATCCTCCCACGGCAGCCTCCCAAGTAGCTGGGACCACAGGCGTGCCCCACAATGCCCAGATCATTTTTTTATTTTTATTTTTACTTTGTAGCAGAGATGGGTCTCACTGTGTTGTCCAGGCTGGTCTCAAACTCCCGGCCTCAGGTGATTCTTCTTCCTCAGCCTCCCAAAGTGCTGGAAGTACAGGTGTGAGCCACCTTGCGCAGCCCATACATTCCCATCTAAAGTGCTAAATGCTGTGCCTGGCACACACAGCTGCTCAGAAGTGATATTCACATCAATGATGAGGGCCCCCTTCATTGTTCTCACTCCCTCATTCATCCACAGGCCATCTTCGGGGCATCTGTGGCTTGTTTAGTAACTTAGTAACTTACACTAGGAGTTGAGAATGAAGAGTCATGGGGAAAAGTAACAATCAATAAATCTACTTTTTTTCCTACAAATCCTTCCAAATTAAGAGGTATATTCATGCTTCCTGGAGCCAGGAGTGCAATGATTTTCCTCCTCCCTCCCCCAGATGAAGGGCCCCTCCTCAGTGGAGACGTTAGCCTCATTACCAGCCCAGACTCCACTTAAGGGTTTGCAGTTGGCAGGGGTTCACCCCCCTTGACAGCGAGGCATTGTGCTGATTGGGGAATGAAAACAGAATGTCAGAGACCTGCCGTGCTTTCCTTTTTGATCAAGTCTGTGCAGCAGAAATGAGAGAGCATCCGGCATCAGCATCCAGACTCAGCGCGCTCATCCCACCGCCCTGCAGTGCACCTAATGAATCTCATTTACTGGCAAAGACAATGAAGTCGCCCACATGGCACCTGCCGGTCTCATAATGAATGTCCTCCCCCAGCCGTTGGGAGTGAGCCATCTGGGAGCGGGGCGCCATAATTGGGCCAGCACTTGCATGAGAACAGCCTCCAGTGGGGAATGTTGTAAGACACTTGTCCCAGAGATGTCGTAAGAGGGCAGGAAGGAGCTGTTTTCAAGGGAAGTTAATGGTCCTTAGCAGAGGGATGTGAAGGGATCATCTCCCTAAGCAAAGCCCCGGCACAGCTCTGCCTATTGTGAGAGGTACAGCAGCACTGGCTTGGGACAAACTGTCCCCATGGCCTCCTGGGAATAGAGCTGCTTTCCTGGGGAGGCCCACGGCCATGTGGCAGAAGGCAGCAGGTGTCTCCCACCACCATCCACAGAGGCCTGGAATTGCGATGTGAAGTGAGCCATCTCTTTGCAAGGGAATCTTTGGAGGGGCAACATCTTTGCTTGGCTTAGCGTGGATGATGCTGGCCTGGGAGTTGGAAGACCTGATGGGATGCTAGTTCAGCCCTTATCTGGGAGGTGGGCTTGGGTGAGCTCTCCCTCCTCCTAGGGTTTTTCAGGGTGTGCACCCACAGAGAGAAATAAAGCATGGGGCACATCTGTTGTATCTAAAACCAACCTAATGCAATGGCTTACATGAAAGAAAAGGCGAGTGGGATGGGGCGTGGGATCTGTTAGCAAACAACACTAAAATATCCGGGAGTACATTCTGGCATGGCAGTGGTCTAGGGACTCTGATAATGCCATTGGGGTTTCATTTGGCTCTGTGTCTCAGTTCTATGCTCCCCTGTTGGACTTCTTCCCTGGTTGGCTCTTCCTCCCTGGTAGAAGGGATGTGCAGGTTCTGGTCTTACACATGGAAAGGGACACTCTCCTTCACTTGAGCCCAAGGCTTGCCTGGACCCCATGGGAAATATATAACCATCCTCCAATCACTCACTGCATCTAGGGGAACTTGGCATCCCGGTATCTAGGCTGGGTTTAAGGCAAGGAGAGAAACCAGCCCCTCCCAGCTGCCTGGATGGAGAATGAAGGAGGGATGACTCCAGAAGAAAAGTCACCGAAAGGGGGAGTGGGTGTGGAGCAGGGGGAGGTGGGAGGCCTTCTGCTGGGCTTGAAGCAGAAGCTGCTTCAGAGAATGCACAAAGGGGCAGGGTGGAGGCTGAGGGCATTTCAGACCCGCTCCACCACCTTCCATTTGGACATTGGATAGCCTTTTTCCAAAGTCACTTCTGATCTTTCTGCAATCACCCATCACCGAGCTGCCAAGCCACAAGCTTCCTTATGGTAGAACTGATTGGCTGAATGTGCTTATCTCAGCTGAAATGTGTGGAAGGGAACCTTACTCTCCAATCAACTGTATCTCTCTTGGTTCGGCAAACATGGGTACTGTGCCACTACGTTCTAAGCAAGGGGCAGAGGAGACAAAGCTCTGTGGCTTTTAGGAGATGGAGTCACGAAGACATAAAAGAGAGTTTTTTACTTCAGAGGGCCTAGGACTGGGAGAGGGGAGTGGAGAACAGGGATGTTCCTGGAGAGAGGGGGCATGATTTATTCTGGTGAAATTGAGACACGGATGGGAAGCAGACAGGTGAGATGCAACTCTAGCTGGAAAAATGAGGCATTTTGTAAAAGATTGCCAGCTGCAGAGCCTAGACTTGATCCTGTAGGCATAGGGAGTCCTTGAAGGTTGTAGAGTGAGAGAAGGGCTTGATCACAACTCTGCTTTAAGAATGTGAGTTTGACAGTGACTTATAGGATGAAGTTTTGTGTGCTTGTGTGTTTTGTGGAGTGGGGATGGAGGGCACAGGAGAAAGAATTGAGAAGCAAAAAATGCTGTTTGGAAGCTGTTTCAATACCCAGGAGAAATAACGTCTGTTTTAGAGCATTTGGGGCATTAGAGGAGGGGAAGGAAAACAAGCATCTTTAATATGACCTCAGCATTCCAAAAATGCGTTCATATCCATCCTTATCCCTAGGATACAAACGTGCTGGGAGGTAAGCAGAATGAGTAGCAGAAATTCCATTTTACAGATGAAAATTGAAATCAAAAGGGCAAGAGTTACACCCATCAGCAAGGGACAGAACTGAAGCAAAACCAGGGCCACCAACCTCCCACCACCCCCTGAGCCTCTGTGCAGGGGCACCTGAACCCTGATAGATCACTGCTGTTCCCACCTCAGGCAGGTGACGGGAGCCCACCTCGACACTCCTAACAGCTACCAAATAAAGCAATCTGTGCTGCTAATACTAATATAAGGTATTGATTATCTTACTGCAGGAGTCCTGAGATGGTCAGCTCTGGCTGCCGAGGCTGGCGGCAGCAGCTACTAAATTGTGTTTATGGGAAGCTTTTTACCTGAAGGGGTCATAATTCACTCTCGATCAATAACCGATCAATCCACCTGCTTTGCACATTGCAAATCCTCCAGATCCGTCCGCAGAGAGAAAGAGAGAGGAAGACAATCTGTTTATTGGAAAAAGATGGCAGAATTACAGGCTAATGCAGCCACTTAGGCTGGTGATTACATAAGCTTTAATTTTTTTTTTAATTTAAGTGAAGTATTTTGAGTGATATGCTGAGTCCACTGAATTTAAAAAAGAAGGATCTTGGTTGGTCTGAAAGGATCAGATAAGAAGGATCTGGTATTCATTGAGCACCTACGATGTCCCTTGCCCTGTACAGAACTCTCTCATTTATCCTAACAGCCAGCAAAGGAGGTATTATTCCCACTTCCACTGGGAAACCTGGGACTCAGCGATGGGAAATGACTAGCTCAAGGTTAGTGATTGAGCTGAAAATCAAAAACATCGTCTCCCAACAGGGAAATAAGTTAAGTCAAGGGCAGCTGAACTTGAAGAGCCTGAGTCCCATTTCGGGGCTGGGATAAGGTGGAGTTATGGCAGGAACTGCAGAGGGATGGTTGGGAGAGGGAGGGGCCTGGGAGGCTTGCCTGGGCCCCTACTGCCAGCACACATCCCCCCACTATTTGCTGGTGGAGTTGCAGTCCTCAGACGTGCAGGATGCATTAGAGAGCCATCCAGGGCCACCAGATTCCCTCTAGCTGCTGCTCTGCTCTCCAGCCCCCAGTGGCCTCCCAGGGCCCAGAGGAGGAGGCCATTGAGAACCTCAAGCTGCTTCCCCACTCTCTAGGAAACTCCCTGCACAAACCCACCTGACTCAACCCAGCCAGATCCCTCCCCAGCAGCCCTTCCCTGGTCTCTAAGCCTGAGCCCTCTGAAAATGCTTTCTCCCTCCTCCTGCCAATGACCAAGGTCCCCAACTCCAAGCAATTTTCAGAGCGACCCACTTGGGGAGTGTCTGCACTCCAAGTTCCTCCTTCCTCTGAGCTCTAGTCCCTGCTCTCTTGGGTCCCTCCTGGCAGGGTGGAGAGGAGGAGGCTGGGTTGGGGCCACTCGGCTCCAAGGGGGCCTGCATCCTTGTCCCTGCGGCTCCTATATGCAGGCCCAACAAGCTCCTGGAGTCCAGCAGCCATAGATCTAAAGGCACATCAGCCTCTGGTTCATTCTCTTTCAAACTAGTTCAGATGTGGAGTTCTCCCCCGATGTGGCTCTGTCTCCCTTCTTACTGCAGTCACCATGGGCAGAACAGAACTTGAGTCCTCAGAGACACCATGATGAGGTTGAGGACCGAACCTACGATCTTGTAACACGAGGAGTTTCACTCACTATGATGGGGTCTTGCATCTCAGCTAGTGCCCCACTCGGAAGAACAGCATCCTGATAGGCCTTAGGCGGTGCACTGGCACCAGGGCTCAGGGACCTCACCATGGTCAGAATCAGATGAAGGAAAACAGTTTTCCGTTAACAACTCATTCTTCCTGCTTTTTTTGCTGATTTGTTGAAAATTATTTTCCCCCTACCGTTTCACAGCTAATTCATTGTCCCTATTGAGGCCACTACCCTGATTTTGGAGACTGTGACTAGAGGCAACCGTTCAGCCTTCCTGGAAAATGTCTCTGTTTGGGTCTCTCTGTAATAAGGAATTGCACGTGGCATTGATCATCAAGAACTCCCACAGCATTGGCTCAATTAGCAAACAGTTAAATGTGGCAGATTGCATCCAGATAGCCTCCCTCGGAGTGACAGATGTCTGCAGTCAACATAGGGAATAACTCCCAGAGATTGGCTGAGGCCAGGCCCAACCCCTCCCTGGTGGTCAGAGCAAACTCCAGTGGCCTCAGGCCCCACACTTCTGCACAGGGAGGGGCCAGCTGTTCAGTTTCTCCCCTGGAGCCCCTTACCTCCCCAGGGAGAGTCTTGGGGATCAGCAAACCTGGACTATTTGCCCTGAATAGTCCCAGTCCCCTTGGAGGGAACCCTTCTCTGCAGAAGGCAAGGGCTGAGTGTGCCCCCAGATGTCAGCCCAGTGGTCTTTGTCTCGGCTGTGCCTACCTTCCTGTGACAGCTGTAGAGACAGCTGTAAGGTGACACCATCAATGCTTTTCTGGTTAATTAACTAAATACGCATTGCCTAGGGCCTCAGTGTGAGTAAGTTTCAGGATGAAAAGTGCCAATTTTCCTGCATGTATGTGTCCAAACTATTTTCCTTAGCAGTTCTTACTCCCTTTTTCTCATCCGTTAAGTCAAGTAGATGTGTAGCTCAGCTGAAAGGCTCAGAATGACAGGCACATGGAACCACTAATTTAGATAAATGATGCTGTTCCTGCTTCCTGGAGACACACCTCTCAGCACATTCCAGGGCCTGAGGAACTCAGAGGGGGCCAGCGGGAGGGTGTTACGGCTGTTTCTTGTGTAGGAATTAATTAAGTGTTTTTATCGGCTACATATTCCCCCTGAGCCTGTTTTATTCTAGATGATGTTATGATCTTAATGCTTATGTCTCTCCAAAATTCCCACATTGAAGTCTACTCCCCAGTGTGTTGGTATGAAGAGATGGGGCCTTTGGCAGGTGACGAGGGCATGAGGGAAAAGGAGGCCCGTCTGTCCCTCCCACTGCACAAGGACATCTAGATGGTACCAATGGTAGAAATGGGTCCTTGCCAGACACCAGATCTGCCTGTGCCTTGATCTTGGACTTTCCAGCCTCCAGAGCTGTGAGAAATAGGTTCCTGTTCTTTCTGAATCACTCAGTCTAAGGTATTTTGTTATTGCAACCCAAACGCACTAAGACAGATGTTGAGAGGGCCTGTTTTACAGGAAGAGTCCACGTGGCCTAACGGCTTCCTCCAAGAGAAATGTGGTGGTCAACTGCTTGCCCCCACCTCTCCTCTGGGTTCTGAGCCTTGCCTCATGAGGCTGGCCTCCAAGGACTCCATCCCCAGGGCCCTTGTGCTGGCTGGCCTCGACTTCTTCAGAGGTCTAAAGGCTGAAGGCCCCAGTGGTGGCCAAAGGCAGGAAGGCTATGGTCATGAAAGCCACCTGTGTGGATGAGAAGGCATTATGTCCAGGCTCCCATGGCTCAGATGGGGACACCAGGTCCTGAGAAAGAAAAGGAGTCCCAACAGTGGTTGGAAGGAAGATGGCAATGAGGACTAAGATGGCCACACCTCGGAAGGAAGATCATCCTGGCCTCTCTCTCTAGTGCCCCTTCAGCAGCTCCTCCCCAAGGAGTCGTGATGTCCTGGAGAGTCAGCACATTGGAAGGTTTTCTGTTTTAATTTCCCTCCCACTCAAACTATGATTTTCCGCATATCTGGAGCAAGGGAGGCCCAAGCCCGGGTTCTCTTGGGCAGCAGATGTGGGAAATGCTGAGTACAGGAGCTCAGATGTCCTCCTAGGGTCAAAAATTACATACTGGGGAGAACTTGCCCAGCTTGGAAGAAGCAGAAAATATCAGCAAGAACAGAGAGGATAACTTTTTAAGAGTAAAAATTAAGTGTATTTATGTCCTACACATTCCCCAGAGCCTATTTAACATTCAGATACTTAGAAGATCTACCTGGATTTTGTGCAACTCTCCTTTTAGCTTTGCTGTTTTTGTTTTGTTTTGAGACTGACTCTCGCTCTGTTGCCCAGGCTGGAGTGCAGTGGTGAGATCTCAGCTCACTGCAACCTCTGCCCCCAGGTTCAAGTGATTCTCCTGCCTCAGCCTCCCAAGTAGCTGGGATTATGGGTGCCTGCCACCACACTCAGCTAACTTGTGTATTTTTAGTAGAGACGGGGTTTCACCATCTTGGCCAGGCTGGTCTCCAACTCCTAACTTCAGGTGATCTGCCCTCCTCGGCCTCCCAAAGTGCTGGGATTATAGGCGTGAGCCACCATGCCCCACCTAGCTTTGTAATTAAATGTAAAAACAAATAAACAAACAAGCCCCTCCAAGCTGCTGTATAAAAAGCCCTCTTAAAAACCATCCCTTGTAGGGTCTCTCTAAACACAGACACCAGGACACATGCAGGCTCCCAACCTGTAACCAGCAGAGAGGCTTTCAGAGATGAAGATGAATGCTGCAAATCCAGCCACAGGTCATGCAAGGGAATCTGGACTGCACAGGGAAGGGGTACTGTGTTCATGTTGGGGGCTCTCAGGATGTGGCTGCTGGTCAGGAGAGGGCTGACAAACAGTAGTTTGTATTTCATGCATCTGCAGAAAACAGTTAAAGAGAAGGGATACTGGGCCTGGTTCAGCAACCGGTCCAGGCCGGTCAGCCTTGTACAAACTCCAGATCCAGTGCCCTGGAAAGTGACTGTGGGAGGCTCAGCGTGCTTCCAAGATTGGGCTAAGAGATGCCAGCCCTTCCTCAGAAGGCCGAGTGGGATTGCAGCAAGGGTTCTCTTCAGCCAAGGGGAAATAACTCTTGCTTCAAGAATCCAGACAAGCACATCACAAAAGCCCAACTGTGGGCTCAGAGAACCAGGTCTCTGCATCTAACCTGACATGTGACCCTAAGCAAGCAACGGTCCTGCGTAGACCCTTATTTCATCCACCTGTGAGTGCAGAGGAATAACACACAACCCTCACTGCATCTTGAATCCCATCTGCACCCTGGAATCCCAAGCCCTAGCCCACCCTCCCATGAGTGTCTCAACCTGGAATTCCTCATTAGAGCATCTGGCTGCCAGCTCTAAAGGACATCTGTGTAGAGACCTCTGAGTTAGGGAACCCCCCGCCCGATTTTCCCAATGCTTCAGCACCATATCTTCTCTAGGAAATGCCCATCTATAGAAAATGAACGACAGGGGCAGCCCAAACAGGGTCCCTTGCCAGAGTTCCCAGCAGAAATCTGGCTTCCCTCCCTGCCCCCGCAGCTCACCCGAGATGACCCAACAACATGCTCAGCCTTACCCCATGCCACCTCCTGCCACCTTTGCAAGCCCTGGAAGGAAGGCAGGATTGTTCTTGATTTATGTACAAAGAAACTGAAAGATAGAGAAGTTAAATATTTTGCCTCAGGTTCTGCAAAGGGAGAGAAGAAACTGGGAGTCAACCGAGGACCATCAGGCTCCAAGCTACACACACCCAGCTTCCAGTCACCAGGTGTATATATTTTTAGAGACAAAGTCTCACTGTGTTGCTCAGGCTGGAGTGTAGGGGTGCAATCATAGCTCACTGTAACCTCCACCTCCTGGGCTCAAGTGATCCTCCTGTCTTGGCCTCCCAAAGCACTGGAATTACAGGGATGAGCCATTATGCCCACACTGACCACACACCAGGCACGTGAAGATGGAGGGATGGACGAATGTCAGAAGGAGCCCCTGTCTCTAGGGAGCTGACAGCCTAGATGAGCAGACGACATGCAAAACCTTTTAAGAGGCAGGGAGAGCAGCTGGTGGGAGTCCTTGACTTCCCATATGGGCACAAACATTCCAAAGAGGTCCCTGCCATGGTGAAAAGGCATGGCGCCCACCACCAGCAATCCAGCCCCTCGCCCTGCCTTTCAGATGTGCATTGGTCACAGAAGCTTTACTCCCAAGGCTTTCAGAGGACAGAAGGCTAGACTCCAGCATGAGTTGGGCATCATTCCCAAAAGAAAACTGCAGTCAACCTAAGGGGCTTATTTACAGACAACACTCAAAGCCATGACACTTTACTTGAGGCCTGAATTTGCTTCCTCGTGTGAAGAAAGTGACCCCTATTTCAGCCCATGCAAACTCATTTCTTTCTGATGCACTTTGAAGATTTGGCTCTATGGAAAAGTGCTTGGTGAGGGGACAGAGGTGAGGGTGAACAAGGAGATCTCATCTGAACTTGTTCCCCAGGTCCGCATCACAGCGGCTTGATTCTGGCTCCTTGAAATCCTGTCCACACACAACAAGATAAATCAGAGAATGGAATGAAATACAACCCCTGGAAATTTTCAAATAATGAAAACCAAAGGTCGGCAGTAAGAATCTTTTCTACTGGGGTCAAAACTCAGTTCCTCTTCCCCCCTCTTCCTGCCCAATTTCACATAATTAGTCTCTACTACATTGTCTTTGGGGGTTCCAAGGACCGGACATTCCATCATAGACCTCAAATCATGAGCATTTTGCTTCCACGCAAGTTACAGTTTTATTGCCTTGGCTGGTTGTATTGAAAATTAAGCAGTCATTTCAGGGGGCTTTCTAGAAATCAGTTACACCCATGTCTCAATGTTGAGAGAGACCAAAAGAGAAGAAACGGCACAAATGTCTATATGTGATGTCATCAGCACCCCCAGTGTGCCATCCCCATCCCACACACACATACACACACAGCTGTAGACTCACAGTTCTCTTTTTATTGTAAAGATGATTTCCCTGAAGTATTTTTAAGCTGGAAAGATTTTCTACAAGCTGGTGAAAAATCGCTCACTGCAGGAGATCCTATGCATTGGCAGAAATCCAGCAACCCCATGTATTGGTAACTGGCTTGGTAATGAGTCTCTTCCATGTAAATTGGCTCATTATTATCAATTTTTGTCAGCTCTTGAGTGAGTCTTGATCTGCTCCCCCGTCTCGGCCCAGGTGTCAGCATGAGGCGAACAGGAGTGTCCAGATCTGCTTTCCATGCCAGGCACCTAAGACCTCACATCTCAGGGAGGACGGAGAGAGTGAGGATGACAGACTCCATGCCATTAGAGCTTTGAATTTAACGTCCAGAACAGAGAGATGTTAAGGAGACTTGCAATGAGGTGTTATAAAAACCAAGTTTGACTGAAAGAGCTGGCAGGCGATGCAGATGAACACTTTGTCCTGTGATTCATTGCTATCAGGAGAACTAAATTTGTACAGCCCAGAGGAGAGATGACTAATGGGAGGCATAATAATTGTCGATTTATACCTGCGAAGAATTAATCAAGAGGCCCAGAGGAGAGAGTGTTCGGCGGCCACTCCAGGTGCAAGTGCTGGGGGTGGGCAGAGCCAGGAGGAGCCAGAGAAATTAGGCTAAATAGCAGGAATGACTGTAATAACACTGAGGTCCATTAGGCAGAGACATTGCATGGCCTCCACCATGGGATGCTACGGGATTGCCATCAGACAGACCTGCACAAGGCAACTTGGGGAATAGATCTCTGCAATGATCGGTGGATTTGACAATGCGTCTGGAAGATTTTAGGGTGAGATTTCCTCATCCCGGGGCCACTTCTCAGGGAACTGAAAAGCTGCCTTTGTTTTGTAGACAAAACTTCCTTCACTATTTCAATTAAATGTGTCTTAGAGCACGAACTGCAGAAAAATCCCTGTCCAGTGCAATGTGGGAGGCAGAGGGAGTTTGTCATCCTTAGAGTCCATGAATACCTACTAAACACCTACTGTGTGCCAGGTGGTGCAGGGGCAGCCTCCTAGCTGTGGGGAGCTTGTGTCCCAACCCAGGGAGGCAAAGACAGCAGGAGAGGCAGGCAGGCCCCCAGGAGAGTGATGCTAGCTCAGCCAGGCTGCAGATGATGCCCAAAGAGAACCAGGTCAACAGCCAACACCTCTATGCAGGTTTTTTCACAGATTGGGCCCTTCACAAGTCAGTCTCTTTTCCTATAAAGGACAGGCAATTACCCAAATGTGATTGGAGAATTTTGAAGGCTTAAGAGACCTCTCCCTCCTTCCCAGGCCTCCTCATGCTCTCAGCTTGATCACCCCGCACTGTTGGCTCATAAGCAAGTAGGCTGAAGCATGCAGCAATGTTGGGAATGTTTTGTTTTGTTTTGTAGAGATGGGGTCTTGCTCTGTCACCCAGGCTGGAGTGCAGTGGCACTACTATGGCTCACTGCAGCCTCCGGGGTTCAAGAGGTCTTCCCACCTCAGCCTCCCTAGTAGCTGGGACTACAGGCATGCACCACCATGCCCAGGTATTTATTTTTATTTTTTGTAGAGATGGCATCTCACTATGTTGCCCAGGCTGGCCCTGTACTCCTGGGCTCAAGCGCTCCACCTGCCTTGGCTTCTCGAAGCACTGGGATTACAGGTGTGAGCCATGGCATCCAGCCTTAGTAAAGTTTTAAATTAGGATTGCCAATGTTTAAAAAATGGGAGCTGCCATACAAATTCGGGTTTCTAACATGTTTGGCAAACTGAACTGATGATGCCAGAACTGCGTCCTCCACGGGCAGCATCAGCCATGGCCGGGAACGTGCTGCACTTTAAGCTCTTTCATTTGCTGCAGTCCCCATTGCTCCTGTTTGTGTTACAGCTGGCCTGTCTCATTCTCTCATTTTCCTGGCTCAGCTTCTGTGGGAATTTCAGTTTGTTGCCACCCTGAGCTAAATGACCAGAAATGCAAGGTGGCTGGCCTGTATTAACTTTAGAGTCTTGCAGAAAGGCTCCTAATCAGTTATAAAATTCAGTGCTTGAATTTGATGAACATCCTCAGCAGTCACTTGGAAAACATTTCTGTGTTTTGCAAAACTGCAAGCAAATACACAATTACCCTGTATTCTTTCCTCTAGAGCCCACGCTCTGAATCCTTCCTTCTGCTCACTGGTAGCATGAAGCTTATAACTTTAGACAAGCTCGTTTGCTCCCTTTTATTTGCAAAGGAAATGTATAACCTCACTGAGCTTTTTTTTTTTTTTTTTTTTTGCCTTGGCTGCCAGGAGCCTCGTCTAGCAATGCTGAGTTGCGGTTCATGGTTCAGCTCAAGAGTTTGTTGCATTAATCCCTCACCTTCCCCGAACTGATTTTTCTTTTTTTTTCTTTCTTTTTTTTTTTTTTTTTTTTGAGACACAGTCTCACTGTGTCACCCAGGCTGGAGTTCAGTGGTGCTATCTCAGCTCACTGCAACCTTTGCCTCCCAGGTTCAAGCAATTCTTATGCCTCAGCCTCCCGAGTAGCTGGGATTACAGGCATCCACCACCACACCCAGCTAATTTTTGTATTTTTACAAGAAACAGGGTTTCACCATGTCAGCCCAGCTGGTCTCGAACTCCTGACCTCAAGTGATCTGCCCGCCTTCGCCTCCCAAAATGTTGGGATTACAGGCAAGAGCCACCACGCCCTACTCCCTAATTGATTTTTTTACCTGTATTTCTAACCAGTGAGTTTTACATGTTTTCTTTGTAATATTACAAGCTGCACTTGATGCTTTTTGAAAGAAACAAAAGGAACACCTGGAACAGCAATAAACTGCAGGAATGTCCCAGAAGAAAACTGGGATGGACCCTGCCCTGGAGCTGGGAGGCAATTAGAGGGCGGGCTGAGGCAGAATGATGATGCATGCAGCAATGTTGGCGGCTGCTCCCAGCCACAGCTGACACTGTCAGTGGAGGATGCAGTTCTGACATAGTTAGTTCAGTTTGCCTGGGTGACAGAGCAAGACCCCATCTCTAAAAAGCAAAACAAAACAAAAAACCCCGACATTAGTGAGCTGGAAATGTGCAGCGAGGCAGCTTGGAAGCAAAGCTCGGGATCGTGTGGAGAAACGTGTGTCCGATATTATTCCTCCGATGCACCAGCACCATGATTCCTACCACAGGCCTGCATGGTGGGGGTGCTGGAGTATGCAGGGAGGAGTCAGACAGGCCTCCAGCCTCCAGGGGTCCAGTAGAAGAAAAATAGCAGCTTATAGCTGCTGCTGGAATGCACCATGCATCCCTTGGCCCCCAGATTTCAGCCCAGCTGCAGCAGATGGGACCCTGTGTTTGCCAGGGTCCTGCCTCAAGCATGGACCGAGGCTTCCTCAATGCCACAAAACACTGCTCAGCCACACGCAGGCTCCCCCAGGATGTTTGGGGGAATCCACACCAGGGCAGCCTCAGTCACTGGGAAATAGAGCCTCGCCCTCCTGGGCCTCCGGTGGGAAGCTCCGGTGGGGAGCACATTCTTCACGGCTCCACAGGAGGTCCTAGAAGGCTAAGGCCAGGGTGCCCACAGTGGCCACCTGCCGAGTAGCACACCCTTCATGGCTGCTCTCCCTCTCCTTCTCCCCGCCCCCATGTCCCCATTCCTGCCTCCTGGGATTGCCCCCGACATAGATGACCTGCAACCAGGTTCTTACTCCAGGATCTGCTTGTCGAGGTACTCAAAGACAGTGCCAGAGGAGTGTAACTGAGGCTGGAGTATGAGCTGAGTGATTAGAAACGGCTTCAAGGACCAGGAGACGTTTGAACCAGCAAAGGCTTTGCTGGACAAGCAGAGAGGGAAGTGAGGAGAGACACATTCCAAGGGGAGGCCCAGCGCAAGCGGCAGAGAGAAGGCACCCAGCCGGTAAAAGGATTGGTAAGTTGTTCCCTTTGTCCAGATCATGGGCTGCATGATCAACCCTGGAAAATGAGATGGGAAAATAGGGTGAGCTGGGACTCCCATGGGCTCAGATGTGCCACTGTGGAGTATGAGCTTCATTCTGTCAGTGGTGAGGATGGTGTGATTTGGAGAAGCAGTTGAGCGGGGAATAAGGGATTGGATGACAGATTCGGACGAAGACTGTCTGGGGAAGGTGGGCCGCCCCGGCTGCCACCTCTGGAGTGGGCATTTTCACCATGTGATCCAACAGTGCTGTGGTGACCTGTGTCCTCTCCATGCTAGGCTCCAGGCTGGGTGCTCACAGAGTGCCTGTATGGCTGGCAGGTATGGCGCAGCTCCTGGGCTCATGGACGAAGAGTCAGAATTGGTGGATACAAAGTTGCTACCCCCAGGCAGGCCAGAGATGCTGATCAAAAGTGCTCAGGTGGATGGGAGGTCATTTGAACTGACCCTGGAGGGGCATATCCCACTCTCCCCACAGCCAGGTGGGCTCCAGGTGGCTCCTGAGTGGCGTGCCATGAGCTTATTATAGGGTTGGAGTCACCCTCCTTGTCTGGGGGTGGCTGAGACCAGCATGGACAACCCCAAAACACAGCTTAAGAGTAAAATAACTAACAGAACTTTAGAATTAAATTACATTTACTCTCACATTTCATTTGCCCACATGACATCAAATGACCACGCTGTCTCTTTTCTCTCCATGTAAAGTGGCCCCCTGTGGGGATAGCCCAGATGTGTGGCTATGGTGAGGACAAGTTGTGGAAAGGCAGCCTAGGCTCTGAGTCCCAGGTCGGCCTCCTCACTGTGCCCGAATCCCCTGTCCCCCTCACCCGGACTGCCAGGCGGCACTGGTTTCCACAGCATCCATGCTCCCAGAAGAACTGGAGGTTGACTTTAGGAACTTCAAACTCAAGCTTCCCATATTCACACATCCCCGTTTCTGAGCTGCTTTCTCTTCAAAAACATATTTCTTACTTTGAGGTGTGAGGTCTTTGTAAAGTGTATTCTGAGAAATATGAATTCCACAGGTCATTAATAGGTGTTCCTTTAAAATAATGATTCACATTTGCTATAAACTGAATGCTTCCATCTCCTCAAAATTCATATGCTGAAATGTTAACCTCCCAGGTAATGGTATTAGGGGGTAGGTGTTTTGTGAGGTGATTAGGTTACGAGGGTGGAACCTTCATAAAAGGATCAGTGCCTTAGGAGAAGAGACATGAAAGAGATCACTTCCTGTCTCTGCCCTCTGCCATGCGAGGAAACAGGAAGATGGCTGTCTGCAAACCCGGAAGCGGCTCCTCACTGGACACCTTGAATCTTGGACTTCTTTACCTCCAGAAACATGAGAAATCACTGTTTGTTGTTTAAGCCAACTTGTCTATGGTATCTTGTTACAGCAGCTCGAACTAAGATAAAATTTAGACAGCTTTAAGAAATGATGTGTGGAGCAAAATCAAATGGGTTTCTTTACTACTGGACATGTCAGAGCCTTCCATGTGGGGCCTGGCACCAAGTGAAAACACAGGACCTGTGTTCAGAAAGTATAAAGAATTGCAAGACCACAGAACGTGACACTAGGCGCAGAGCCCTCCTGAGTTGGAGCCCGAGAGCCCACACACATCTCACCCCTGTGCAGCCAGCCCTGCAGGATAAGCCAAAGTTGCCGTGCACACCTGCATGTGCAGTGCATGCTCCAAGAATAGAAAAGAGGCACCAGACCGAGGTCACAACGTGTTCCTAACATATTCAACCACTGATTGACAGCTCTGCAGAACACACTTAGGGAAATCCTGCTTACAACTGAGTTCTCATTTTCCTCTAATTTCCAAGCTCCAATACTCAGACATACAGGGAAAATGAGTAGTTTCCAAGAACCCCACGGGACAGTTGTACATAGAAAGGGAAGACCCTTTTCATCTGCTAGATCTTTTTTGTCTCATAACTGGGTTAGTGTTTTTTATTTGGGGATTTTTCTGGAAAGTGAGGTCCACTGATAATTTCTGCTCATTCCTTATTTTCTTCCATTCTTTTAAATAAAGCCCAGCATCTCTGAACTACGAAAACAAATTCCAGGCAACAGTAGCAGGCAATTTACAGTGATAGATGAATATAACAAAAAATAGCACGCTTCAGCTGGGGATGGTGGGCAGTGTTTGTTCTTAGAATGCCAGCTCTGTTAAAGAGCTGTCGGGCCTCTCCACCTTACTCTGCCCATGCAAGAGGCCCCGTGACACCCCTAGGCCACTGGCTTCCCTGATTCTCTTTTCTCTGGTTATTTATGCCTGGGGAGGGAGTGGGGGTAGGAGATGAGGGACACAAGCCTTAGCACTGAGTCACTTAAAAGTGGGTGGAGTCAAGGCTGTTCCATTAACTCCCACTTTCCTCAGTGCCCTGCTTGGCTGGAGGGACCCCACCCACACTATCTCCAGCTGCTCTGACTCAGAACTGCCAGGTCCGTGCCACTGTCATTTCTGGCCTCCCACTCTGTGCTCCTCCAGGCCTCAGAGTTAGCTCGTGCTCCGCTCCTTTCTACCCCATCCTCCTTCCCCACTGTCTTTGTTAGGGTGCCCACCTCCTGAAAGAAGCCTACTGGTTTGTTTTGTTCTTTGAGACAGAGTCTTGCTCTGTCACCCATGTTGGAGTGCAGTGGCACAATCATAGCTCACTGTAGCCTTCAACTCCTGGGCTCACGCGATCCTCCTACCTCAGCCTCCCAAATAGCTGGGACTACACTACTACCACCTTCATGCCCACCTAAGTTTTTATTTTATGTAGAAACAGGGTCTCGCTATGTTGCCTAGGCCTGTCTGGAACACCTGGCCTCAAGTGATCCTCCTGCCTCAGCCTCCCAACGTGCTGGGATCACAAGCCTGAGCCAGCACACCTGGCCAGGAAGTCTACTGTTTAGCTGGGAGCAGGCCGCATGCTGGTCTGGGCAGGCCAGCTCTTTGCATCTGGAGCTCACAACTCTGTTTACCACAGACACGCACTGTGCACCTACTGAATGTACGTGCTGTACACTTATTGAGGGCCCCTGCATGCAAGGGCCCTGAGGACAATTTCTCACGAGGCTTGCAGCTCCTGCCCTTGAAAAGCCCAACTCTGGTAGGAGACAGGAGGCTAAAACTAACATGCGGAGCATCCCACACCCTACTCTGGCTTAGCCCCTCCCAGGAATGTCCGTCATCTGCTGTTTACAACTTCAACTCCTCAGGGGGCCCTTTTAAGGCCCCTCAGCATCTGGCCTGATCTCTACCTCGCCTGTCCCTGCCCCTCCTTACCCCTAAGCTTGCAAGTTCCACCCTTCATGTGGGCACTCAGCAGAGCATCCCGCCTCCCCAGCCTCTCCCTGGGTGTTCTTCCCTCTCCTCCTGCCTGGAGGACACCCTCTCCCCTTCCAAGGTGCACTTCAAGCATTCACTTCTCTAGGCAGCTTTTCACCGTCCCCACCTCCCCACCAGGTGAGGGTAACAGCTCCTCCCACCTCAGTGCCTCTGCTGGACCGACACAGGTCTCTAACACAGACCCAGCCAATGCCTCCCTGGCAGAAGTCTGTCTCTCCCGCCAGGCCACGAGCAACTGAAGGCAAGAGGGGTCTGTTCATGTTTCTTTCCCAAAGCCAGGGCCTGGTGGTGGCTACTCAATACATCAGTGATGCTCTGCATTAATAGCACAGATCCAGAGGAAGAAGAGAAGTGGGTTAAAGGGTGCAAACATACGGTAAGACAAAAGGAATAAGTTCAGTGTCTGATAGCAGGGTGGGGTGATGATACTTAACCAAAATGTATTGTACTCAGGCGATGAATATCCTGAATACCCCAATTCTATCACCACACACTATATACATGTAACCCATTTTCTCATGGGTTTTTCATAAATCTGCACTTTTTAAAAAAGGAAATAAGCAGTGTATTAATCTGTTCTCATGCTGCTAATAAAGACATTCCAGAGACTGGGTAATGTATAAAGAAAGAGTTTCAACAGACTTACAGTTCCACATGGCTGGGGAGGCCTCACAATCATGGCAGAAGGTGAATGAGGAGCAAAGGCACATCTTACATGGTGGCAGGCAAGAGAGCATGTGCAGGGGAACTCCCCTTTATAAAACCATCAGATCTCATGAGACTTATTCACTACCACAAGAACAGAATGGGGGAAACTGTCCCCATGATTCAGTTATCTCCACCTGGCCCCGCTCTTGACATATGGGGATTATTACAATTCAAGGTAAGATTTGGGTGGGGACACAGCCAAACCATACCAAGCAGGTATGTGCAAAAAAAAAAAATAGCGCAGATCCAAGCACCTCGGTCACAAGCCCTGGTCCCAAGGGGCAGGAGTGACTTTTCCAAGCTGGACCCCACCAAGGCAAGTGGCAGCTATGACCCTCTTTTTCCTCACTCTCATGCCCTCTACACTCTCAACTCTGCCTCTCCCTTCCTAGCTCAGCTTTCATGATGATAATCTCAGAGTCCACAGCACTGTGTTAGAAGACAGAGAAGAGAAAAAGAAGCTCACAGTCTTAAGGGTGACAGCCCTAAAATATTGAGTTAGAAATTGCCTGGGGACTCGACTTCACAGTCATGGCAAAGTAGATGCAAATACATATTCAAATTCAATGCAAATTCACTGGCAAATTTCCTCCCTCCTCCCCAGGACCCAGTGAGGCTGGCAGGGCTTGGATGGGCGATGCTTGCATGGCAGGGCCTCCCTCCTCCTCTTAGTGCCCTCCATGGTACCCAGAGCTGAGTTCCAGGCAGTAAGAGGCTGCAAAGAACCAGTCCCAGAGGAGGGCTTCTTCTCAGGGACATCCTTCTGGAGGCATTGCCATTGTGAGGCCTTTTGGGATGGGCCCATGAGGGACAAGCTTCCTGCAGGAAGGAGATAGGCCCTGTGTGCATTCTGTATGGGAAGAGAGGAGCCAGGAGAGCAACCGGAAGGAAGCCCTGTCACCATGCAGCCTGAGTGCTCACTGCAGGGAGGAGAAGCTGCAGGGCACATCTCAGGGGACAGAAGAGAGGCTGGTGGTGCAGAAACTCAGGAGTCTGAGAAAGCCAGACTGGTTGTAGGTGGTGGAGAGGAAGGAAGGGAGGCAGAGCAAGTTCAGGTTTACTTAGGGCTCCTCCTGAGCTCTCTGGGGACGTCCAAGAGGCCTGGAGCTCACTGAGGCTGGGAGAGGCTAACCTTAGCCTTGGGTCACGCACAGGCATAGATGACATTACTCCAGGTGGTCCTTCCTGTCCTGGAGGCCACATGTCCCAGAGCCACAGACTTCTTGTTTGGGAAGAGGTGGACATGAAATTTCTGCTTTGGCAGAGAGCCCAAGATGAGGAGATGCCATCATTCCGACAGCCTGGCAGGCACCTTGTCCTTTCCTGCTGACTTGGCATGGCAGGGTTGCTCCTCCAGCCACAGCAGAGCCTGGCCACCAGCAACAGGGCTCCCTAGGGAGGCACATGCTTGACTCACTTCTGTGACCTCTGCACCAGTGGATTGCATGGGGACAGGCTTGCTTCAGCACCTGGGAGAGCTCCCTGCGTAGGTTAGTGGCAGTGAGGGTGAGAGCATGCTAAATCCAAGATGGCCCTGGGGAAACAGAGCCAAGCTGGACCACAGAGGGAACTCCCTGATTAAGAGTGCAGCCTCCACCCAGCGTTCTTAACAGTGTAAGATACACGTAATCATGACTTACTGAGCACCGGCTACATGCTGGGCATTGTGCACACATCATCTCTAACCATTGCTACAGCCCTCAACTTGTTCCCATTTCAAAAGCAAAGAAACCAAAGCTCAGAGTGGTTAAGTGACCTGCCTAAGGTCACACAGCAAACATTCCACAGAACTACCCAAAGGTGGTTGTTGGGAAATATGGGGGTCCTCCTTGTCCTTCCTCTCACAATGGTTTATAGATCTGCCCTGAGTGTGGTTTTGGTGCCTTCTTTGGAAATCCATGGGAAAGAAAAGTTTCTCCATGGGGACAAAAAGTTTCCCACAGCTGGGCATGATGACCATGACTTTAGAAGATTACTGCAGGGACTCATTAAAGGACAATATTCTTGTCAGGATGCAATTAAAGTCCTTCCCCCTTCCATGTTTATGGAAAGAAGGAATGGGCAGAATGGCATCTGGTGAATTCGGAGCCTTGTCGGAATGCATCACTAAGCTCACGGTGGCACCTCGGCCCTCTGCTGGCCTCACACCCCCTCCAGGTGCCTGCCCATCATACAGTCCAGCCTGTCTTTGAGGCTAAGAGAAGATGATTGTCATCTCCAGCTGCCCCACAAATCCAGCTCTTCTGGAAACAGGTTTTCTGATGAAGAATGCCCCTCCCAATTCCCAGCCCACACGGCTCAAGAAGTCTGACTTCACTGTGGACTCCACAGCAGGCACCTGGCCAGGCATGACATCCCCTGCTGAAGGTCACTGGCTTGGCATGGACAGGCAGCCCAAGCAGGCAGTCAGAGCCACTGGGCTTCAGCTCTTAGACCACCGTTAGGAGCGGGAGCCAGTTTTCCCTGAGGCTCCTGGCTGAGGACCACTGAGGGATGCCTGAGGAGCAGACAGCATGAAGGAGGGCAGAACCGTCGTGGGATCCTGGTGACACTGTTCGCATCTGCATCTGGCCATCCCAAGCCACAAATCCTGGACTTTCCCATTGATGTAAACCAATAAAATCTCCTTGCCTGAGCTACAGGAGGTTCTGTTTCTTTCAAATGCAGACAAAATATTTTGACAAATTACCTCTCCAGGCAATTGCTTCTGGTGTTTTTTTTTTCCACTCTAAATTCAACTTTCTAGGCTACCTAAGTCCTGCTGCCCCATAGCAGATCTCCTAACGTCTCCATTATCTGACCTGTTACCAGGACATCTGGGTCTCCTTCTGTAGGACTTGTTCCCCAGCCTGAGACTTGATGCCTGTCTCCCCATGTTAAGCCCAGTGCCCGTCATAGCAGGTGCACAAAAGTGGTTTAAACTTGTGCCTCCTAAACCTGCACCCCCCACCTCAACATCTAAAGCAGCATATGAAGGTCAATAATTGTGTACTCATCTTTGGAGGAATGAGACCCCCTCCAGCCCCAGCTGGTCTCACCTTCACACCTCCACATGACCTCAGAAAAAGATGCTGGCATCTAAGCATGTTACACAGGGCACCTGGCTTGACCTCTCTTTGTCAACAGAATCAGGGTGCATCTCAGAAGACCTGTAGAGGAAGACTCCCTTCAAAAGCCCAGAGCATATGGGCTGAAGGTCACTTATCTTCCATCTGTGATGCCCCACATTTCCCCTGGGGCTTTGCCATCCATTGGCATTGTCATTCTCTCTAATTAGGTAAGTCGAGAGAGTTGGGGAAGGGGGAGAGGAGGAAAGAGAGGAGAGAGAACTGGAGAATGCGCATTCCTAAAGATCCATGCACAACACATTTGGAGTTGCCAATTCATGGCACATTTTGTAAATTTCCATTACAAAGGACAGAATTGTATCCCATTCCAATAGAATGCAAATGAATTCCTTTGTGTGTATATTCAATTTAAAGAAAAATATATAAATAACTGTACAGGTGGTGGAATGATTATGATGAATAGAGGAGCCTGGATCCTGAGATCCACAAACAACCATCATTATCTTCTTGAGTGACCTGAGGTGAGTAACTTAACCTCTGTGAACCTCGGTTTATTTGTCTGTAAAGCAAGAATGATGCACCTGCCCCACCCTTCTGAACTAACAGAATGACCGAGGCTCTGAGCAGCCAGGGGTGCTGTGAGATGATTTATGAGCCTTGACCTTGGGCTGCTACTGGAAAATCAAGGCTCCACCACTGCAGTGGGGCTCTTACTAACAAGGCTTGGTAGCCTATTTTGGAGTCTGTCCCAAAAGACTGAAATAAATTAACTTCATGAGGGATTTTTTCCCCCAAAATAGCTATAATCTATACCATCAGTCATGACAGAGCACAAAAATTCAACTGCCTACAGGGCTCAGTGGTCCCATAAGTTATGGAAAAAGGCAAGGTATAAAGCAATAGGGAAGGGTGAAGACTGTGGCAAACTGTTGAATCCATGCCCTTGCCCCATCTTAGGGGCCACCAAGCTCTACTAGCAGGCTGTCGCATGGGGCTAAGACTCAAGATTGACAGAAATTCCCATTTTTTTAGTAGAAACCAGAAGGGTTGATTTTTACATGAAATCTCCTCTGGTTAATTTTTTTTTAATTTGACGACTCAATGTTAAAACTTTTGTAACACTTTGTGAGAGCCAAAACAATGTATCTAGGAGCTAGATTTCACCCACAGCCCACCAAACTCTGTTTAGCAATATTGCAATCTTCCTGTTTTGATTCCATTTTTCAAGTGTGTAGGTTATGTTGACTTTATGTCAAAAATAAAAGCAAGTAACCCAGCAAATGCCCTCAATTTGAACAGGGGTTTCTTCTGTCACCCTGCACCTGCACACAATGAATCCACATGGGGAAGGCAGTGGCGTTCACTCTCTTCTAGCCCAGTCATCATGGCAGGCTGTGCTGTTCCTGCACCTCACTCTCTCCACCCAACTCTGCTGGACCACTTGGGCCTCCCAGCAGAGATCCCTGAAGATGAGAAGGAGCCCTGGAATATAGTTTATATGTTGTCCCAAGGTAAAACTGGATGTTTCTGTCCATTTTTGTTTCCTGAATTTTACAAGCTCTGCAAATTAAGTGCATACACACACCGTTGCTGACTGCCTTGTTCCGTGACAAGGAAGTCAGACTGCTGGACCCCAATGTGCCCATGGGAAGAAAATGTCTTAATTGCAGCCCAAACACACACGCATACATTCACTCAACCAAGGCATTCTGCCAGCATGCTGTCACCACCTTTGACGTCCCTTCTTGTGGGTTTGTCCCTTTAATTTCTTTTTTTTTTTTTTTTTTTTTTTTTTTTGAGATGGAGTCTCCCTCTGTCGCCCAGGCTGTAGTGCAGTGGCATGAACTCGGCTCACTGCAAGCTCCGCCTCCCGGGTTCATGCCATTCTCCTTTCTTAGCCTCCCGTGTAGCTGGGACTACAGGCGCCCGCCACCAAGCCTGGCAAATTTTTGGTATTTTTAGTAGAGACGGGGTTTCACCATGTTAGCCAGGATGGTCTCAATCTCCTGACCTCGTGATCCGCCTGCCTCTGCCTCCCAAAGTGCTGGGATTACAGGCATGAGCCACTGTGCCCGGCTGTCCCTTTCATTTCAAAGGGGTGGGTCCCTTCTCTCTTTTTCCTGGACTCTTTATTGTACTCTGGCCACAAACACTATTTGCTCAGCATCTCTGGAGGGCAGGAAAGCCTCTTTAGAAGTTAATTGGGTGAACATTCAGATTGAGGGGCATGCTAATAATCAGAGCATAGTAAGGGGATTATGTGTTAGATTTCTAGATAACAGTGTTTTACCCCCCTTTTTATGTGTCAGCAACAATAAATCGTCTTTGGAAACAAAATAAAAACCAAACCCTTGACAAACATGCAAACACCTGGATGCAGAACTACTAAAGCTGATGACTCTTCGTGAAGTCCATAGCACTAGGTAGCCAGTTTCCTGAGGGCAGCATCGCACACCTGCCTTGACAGGGCCAGTGTGCTCACTGCCCAGCACAGTCCAGACCCTGCCCACCAAGGACAGGGACTCAGCGCCAGAGAAACAAATGATTCGATGGAGTTGTAGGAGGATTTCCAAGACCACCATGCCCAGCTTACCTGTATCCCTACAGATTAATGACCATTTTAGGGAAGTGTTTGAATGAAGGAAGAAGGAATATAATTAAATAAACGTCTGTGAAATTAGATTTTTATTTAATAAAATAAGGCATCAGAGATATATGAGATGTCTCATATATCTATAAAATATATATGTAAGCTTTATATAACATATTATGTATTTACACAAAAAGTAAAATAAAACATACACACACACACACACACACACACACACATATATATAGGCAAGATTTTTTTCATCTGTCAGATAGGCCACAATTAAGGGGTCTGCCGAGACCCTGTGTTGGAGAGGGTGGGGGACCCAGGCGTGGTCTCTGCAGAGGACAGCAGTCACCAGGATTGCTCACTCATCCTTGGGACACGTGGCAGGATGGCACAGATCCATTCCATGTGATTCCTTTCACCAATCAAATACAAAGGTGTCACTTCCAAGCAAAAAGTGGGAGACACAGTCCATGATTCAGTACATTCCCTTTTAGGGTCCCTGTGCTGTGAATCTCATAATTGCTCCAGATTGTGGCTGTGCTGTCCTCCTGGGTCTCAGAGGGGGGACGATGCAGAATTGAGTCCCTCCCCAGGATCCAAGACAGATACGAATGTTAGAAAGAAATAACCCTTTGTTATTTTGAACCAGGACGATGTGGTGCTGCTTATGACCCACTGCGTCAACAAGCTTATTCTGACTGGCAGGAAGAGCTATTTGGCAACATCTACAGGAATTTAGAATGTTAATACCTAAGACTATGTAATTGCATTTTTATGATTTTTACACAATTTCTTTTTTTTTAATTTTACTTTAAGTTCTGGGATACATGTGCAGAACGTGCAGGTTTGTTATATGGGTATACATGTGCCATTGTGGTTTGCTGCACCTATCAACCCATCATCTAGGTTTTAAGCCCCGCATGCATTAGGTATTTGTCCTAATGCTCTCCCTCCCCTTGCCCCCGAACTCCCAACAGACCCCGGTGTGTGATGTTCCTCTCCCTGTGTCCATGTGTTATTGTTCAACCCCGACTTATGAGTGAGAACACGTGGTGTCTGGTTTTCTGCTCCTGTGTTAGCTTACTGAGAATGATGACTTCCAGATTCATCCATGTCCCTACAGAGGACATGAATTCATTCTTTTTTATTGCTGCATAGTATTCCATGATGCGTATGTGCCATTTACACCATGGTGTATGTGTGCCATTTACACATTTTCTTTATCCAGTCCATCACTGGTGGGCATTTGGGTTGGTTCCAAGTTGCAATTTATTTTACACAACTTTACTTTTACACACGTGCAAAGTAGTACATGAGTGAGCACGTTCATGTTGTGTAGCAAACACTGGAAAGAACCAAGAATATATCAACCAGATTCTCTGTCTGTTTTATGCTTTAATGATTAATAAATCATAAACCATCCAGACTGAGGAAGAGTAGACAGCCCATAAAGAGAATAGAGCACATTCCTGTAAACTGAGAGGAAATGTTTCTCAAAACATTGCAAAGTAGAAAAGCAAGATGCAAAATAAGAATGTACCATAATTTATGTGTGTCATCTTCAATTTCTTTTATTAATGCTTTATAGTTTCCAGCATACAGATTTTTCAACTCCTCAAATTCACTCCTAAGTGTTTTTTATGCTATTGTAACTGGATTTTTAAAATTTCTTTTTTTGAATAGTTCATTGTTAGTGTGCAGAAACACTACTTTTTAAATATTAATTTTGTGGTGAGAGTGATCTTCTTTGTCTTGTCTCTGGTCTTAGAGAAAAAGCTTTCAGCTTTTCACCATTGAATATGATGTTAGCTGTGGGCTTGTCACATATGGCCTTTATTGTGTTGACATACAATCCTTCTAAACCTATTAGAGAGTTTTTATCATGAAAGAACCTTGAATTTTGTCAAATGCTTTCTCTGCATCCGTTAAGATGGTCATGTGTTTTGTGCCCTTCATTCTGTTAATATAGTGTATTACACTTATTGATTTGTATGTGTTGAGACTTCCTTGCACCCAGGGGTAAATCCCACTTGATCTTTTGCAACATAGGTGAACCTGGAAGACACTATGCCAAGTGAAATAAGTCAGGCACAGAAAGACAAATACTGCATGACCTGACTTATATGTGGAATCTAAAAAACTTGAACTCATAGAAGTACAGAGTAAAAATGGTGGCTACCAGAGACTGGGGTGGGAGAAATAGAAAAAGGGAAGATGTTGGTCATAGGATACAAGGTCTCAGAGAGACAGGAGGAAAGAGTTTTAGTGATCTATAGCACAGCAAGTGATGATAGTTAATAATAATGTACTGCATATTTCAAAATTGCTAAAAGAGTAGAATTTAAATGTTCACACCACAGAAAATAAGTATGCGAGGTGATGAATGTGTTAAGTGACTTGATTTAATCATTCAATAATGCATACATATATCAAAACATCAGGTTGTACTCCATAAATATATTCAATTATTATTTGCCAATTAAAAATAAAATAATTTTTAAGAGGGAAATATTTGGAAAAAAGAAATTGCCCTGAAGTACTTCTTGCTCATTGACTGTTTTCAAGTCACAACGGAAGTTAAGCCACTTCATGCACTCATGAATCTGTTTGTCCATTCGTCCATCCATCCATTTGTCTGTCCATCTGTCTGTCCGTTCATCCATCTATTTTTCTGTCCATCTGTCTCTCCGTTCATCCATCCACTTGTCTGTCCATCTGTCCATCCATCCATTCATCCAACCATCCATCCGTCTCTCCATCTGTCTGTCCATTTGTCTGTCCATCTGTCTGTCCATTCATTTGTCCACCCATCTGTCCATTCATCCATCCATCCATCCATCCTCCTTTCTTCCCTTCCTCCATTCAACCATGTCTCCATCTCTCTATTCATCCATTAAACATAATGAGATAAGTGTTGGATAGGTTACCAAAAAAGTGAACCCCATTCTGTGTTGGTTGTCTTCGAAGGTTGGCTGAGGGATGTCACCCAGAAACCAAGAGATACTTGGAGTAGGAGGTAAAAGTGTATGTGTTTGAGAGTCAGCCAGAGCTGTGATACAGCTGTGCTGCTTTCACAAAGAAGCTTGAGACCTTGGACAAGTTTCTTAACCTCTCTGAGCCTCCAATTCCTCATCTGTAAAATGTGCTTAACTAATCAGTGTAGTACAAAGACTCACATAGCCCACAACTGAAGTGAGGTTGCTTTTTGACGAAGTAAAGCCTTTGCTCCCGTCTTTCCCAGGCATTTCAAGGCCTGGCTTCCACCCAAGGGGCAGTCCCTACAGGAGACTGGAGGAAGAAGGGAAAGGCCTCGGCTCTCTCCCTATTGGCCACCATGGCCTGGCTGCTGCCCAGACGGTCTCAGCTCCTGCTGGTTGCACTCTCCACACCATCGTCCCTGCCTCTACTCCAGATATGGTGCCAGGAATCATGGAGTGTTTGCTCTTCCTGGAAGCAGACTCCTGTCCTATTCCTTGTGAGTCCTCTACACCAGGCTAACAGTCTCTAGCAGAATCTCTCGAGGCTACCCTGATTTGAGTGTTCCAGGTATGTTCAGCTGAACCCTGATTGAGAGAACTCATATGTCAGTCCCAGTGCTGTGACTTGGAGTTACAGAGTTGAGAAACAAACAGACTGCCACTTCACCCTGTTCAAGGTTCTCTAGCTCACAGGAGAAACATAAATACAAAAGAAAACTGCACCCAAAACTCCCAGGTGCCACGACAGAAATATGGATTCAGATCTGTGGCACCATAGAATGAACAGGTACCTTGCAGGCATGAATGTGGGTGAGAGTCATCAGGGAAGGCTTCCGAGAGAAGGTGACACTCTATGTGAGTCTTGGAGGGTGAATACAAACTCCCTTGTAGGACAAGGTGAGAACATTCATCTCCCGGAAAATACACCATTCAAACACATGAAAGTACATGAGTTTGCTACAGGAATGGTAGTTTGCTCAGATGCTTGGGACCCATATTGGAGATAAGAGCAGCAGGGGAGAGGACTGAAGTGATTTAATGACTGGTATCAAATTGCTCACTTTTAAATTTTGTCAATCAAAGGCATGTCTTTTAAGTGGCCATCTGTTATCACTCACCACCAGGATATAATCATATAATCTTGGAATAAAGAAAAGTCCTTTGTAGCAAATAAATTTAGGAGGGTGTGTGTGTCCGTGTGCATACGCTACCTGCGTGTGTGTGTGTATATACACACATATATATACACACACGCATGTATGTGTATATATATGCATATATGTGTATACACACACACACACACACACACACACACACACACACACTACCTGTCCTTGTTTTTCTTTTCTCATTTTGCAGCAGTCTAGGAACAAGTCCATTGGCTGACATTTGAAAACCACTGATCTCACCTGATCCTCTTATTCTACCCACAGGGAAGCATGTCATTTTTTAAAAATTCATTTTTTAAAATGAGTTCAATTCTCTTAAGTGTTTATTGCTAGCCCTTTGACTGCTCCTCACAAACAGACCCCTGACCAGCCTTAGGCACTTCCAGGTACTTGGGTTCAGACAACACTTGGTCCTAACACCACAGGGAAAAGCATTAAAGTTCTCGGATTACTTTTTCTGCAGGTCATTTGATAATACTTTCCACTCCTAGTGAATGCTACAACAAGCAATATATATTGGTAATTGCAGCCATCTAAGAATAGACATATTTGCAGGAATAATGACCTCCTCCTCCCCCTAAAAAAAAGTTAGATTTAAGTAATACTGCCAGTTGGTGGCCATTTGTGCACTCATGTCTGGTTGCATTTGCCTCCAGGGACAGATAAATAGTAAAGGAGAAAACTGAAGTGGGGAGGGTCTGAGTAAATCAGTCTCTCTGCCTCTGGCTCTCTCTCTCTCTCTCTTTCACACACATACACACACACACACACACACACATCTGTTATTTTAAATGTGTTATGAGTACTTTCTTGGTCTGGGAACCCACGGACTGGTTCCTAGGATGCTGCAAAATGAGAAAAACATGGACAGGTAGTGCATAGATAGGTAGATTAAAAAGGTGGGGGGCTGTTCAGGGACCAAGGTTAAGTGTGAACAAAGCAACTTCCGTGGAGTTCTATTATCCATGGCAGGGAGGTGCTAGTGTCATCACAGAAGGTGAAAATTCCTGTCTGAATGACCTTTGGAAGCTTCCAGCAGATGTTGGAAAAGATTTTGCTTCTTCACTAAATTGCCAGAATGTTAGTTTGTATTTAGAAGTCACTTTGTACAGAAAATACAAAGATTCAAATATAAGAGTCACCCTCACCTAAGCCAAGGGCTCACACTCTGAGAGGGCTGTGCTGATTGAGACTGAAAGAGGGAAAGGGAGGGTTGCCCTTCATCCTGCACTAGTTTTGGGGTGCCTGGGCTGAGTGGAGTCATGGGTGAAATTGCTCTTTCTTTAAGCTGCTTTCATTCCACCTCTCTCCCCCTGTTTCTTCTCCCATGCCCCCATGCCAAAGAAGAGGGAGTTACCTTCTATCCTGACAGCATCTCCTTCAGAGAGGGTTGCCTTGATGAGAAAGGCAAAGTAATCTGATAGAGCCAGAAATACCCAAGGACAAGACCTCAACCAAGAGAAGGAAGAGGAGGAAGAAGGGGAAGTGGAGGAGGAGGAGGAGGAGGAGGAAGGAGAAGGGGAAGAAGGGGGAAAGAAGGAGAAATAGGAGGAGGAGTAGGAAGAAGGGGGAGTGAAGGAGGAAGAGCTACTGCCTAGTCAGTAGAAGCCTGGCTGTTGGGGCCGCAGGGCAATAGTGACTGCCTCCTCACCCACCCAGCCCAATTATAGCTGCAGTGCCTGACAGGGAAAGTCTAACCCATGCTGTCCTTGAGAACTGAACCCTGAAACATGGCTGCATGTTTGAAACTTATCACAAGTCTTGGGATGCTTGCAGCTTCGAGCCACATTATTTTTAATAAATTCATTTTTGAAGATTTCCCTGCCATGGCAAGGAGGGCACATCTTTGAAAGCCAGAGGATCTAAATTCAAGCCTAAATTGTATTCTGGTCTGCCATAAGGCCTTGTCCAAGCCTGTGCCTTGCCCAGGCCACGGTTTCATGCTGCTGTATTGCCTTAATCAGGGAGCTTTCTCTTGCCCTATGCAGCTCCAACCACTGTGAATTCTTCTGGAAGGTTCTTGTTGGTTAGTGTTAGTGTAATGCCAGGCCCTGACCGTCACCCAGGGTATGGCCAGAACATTGAGAATGTTTGCAATGTGCATGTATAGAGGCAGAAGGACAAACATTACAACCTTTTGGGGAAAACTTTGAGATGCCAGAGATCAACAAAGGGCCAGAGACTGGATCATGATATAGTTCTTCAGAATTAAGGCTCAGCTGGGCATGGTGGCTCATGCCTATAATCCCAGTACTCTGGGAGGCCAAGGAGGGCAGATCACACGAAGCCAGGAGTTCAAGATCAGCCTGGGCAACATAGTAAGATTCCATCTCTACTAAAAACAGAAAAATTAGCTGGGTGTGGTGGTGTGTGCCCATAGTCCCAGCTATTTGGGAGGCTGGGGCATGAGAATCACTTGAACCTGGGAGATGGAGTTTGCAGTGAGCTGAGATCATGCCACTGGACTCCAGTCTGGATGACAGAGCAAGACAAAGAAAAAGAAGAAGAAGAAGAAGAGGAAGAAGAGAAGAAGAAGGAGGAGGAGGAGGAGGAGAAAAATAAAGCTTAGGCTGGGGAAGTGCCTTAGCTGTCTACACTAGAAATTAGACTATCCGGAAAACTGAACATTTATTCTTCCCTTCTGTAGATGCTACATGGATGAAGCCCATGACTTGAAGAATGAGCCTAGGACTATAGTCTTGCACCCTCCAGGAAGCCTTCATTCCTGCTTTCAGTCTGCCCCAGGATTCCTGCATAGGTTTCTAAGCCATTTATATCCAAGTTTGCATTGGCCAAATCTCATGACTGAGTCTCACCTCTCAGTGTGTCAGAGTCACCAGCCTCTTTACTTGAGCTTCTGACATCCCAGACAGGCCCTTTTCTTGCAGTCTTGGCACATGTCCAAACCACTCCCCCAGAGGTGTCTGCTTGGTTTATACTTCACCACCTTCAGGCCTTTCTTAAATTTTTCTTCTCCATAAAAGATTTGAAATCATTCTGACACTCTCTATCCCTATCTATTTTCCTCACAGTTTCCCTTCATTTTCTCCTTAAAATCTAACACTAGAGTGATGTCAGCAACAATGGTAGAGTAAGAACCTCTGAAAATTCTCTCCTTCATAAAAGGAATAAGAAAGCTTACAAAAATTGTCAGTGTCCATTTTTTTCAGAACTCTTAGAATTAACCAAGGGCTTGCAACAACCTAGGGAGCATTTATTCAATAAAAATGGCTGTATGTCAGTAAAAACAGTGAGCTTTATGGCATGTTAACTTGCCTTATTCCCATGCCCTGCTTTCCAACCCAGTGATAACCTTGAAAAATCACAGCCCACACTCCCAGTGCAGTCTGGCAGTCACAGGAAGAAGAAAAAGAGATCTGGAGCTCTTTCAAGGTCTGGTTCCGAAAATTTACCAATATCTGACCTGTCTGAAAGTTGACCTGAAGACCACATTTGCAAAGCTGTTTGTACTTAACCTGACTTGAAGCTTGATCAGACTAAAAAGTTTCCTCTTCAGGGGATGTTTGTTGAAAACAATTTAGAGGCAAATGTCTTAACTTTACAGCTAGCTGAAGTGCTTGCTTCAAAGGTGGATAAGAACTGGTAAACAATAGACTAAACAAAAGTTTTATAAGGACAAACTGAGGAATAAGGTGTTCATAGGGGCTTTGAAAACCTCTGACATATTCCTGGCAAACTAGAAGACCACACAAATGCCCAGGGCTGTGCACATGCTTAGGAAGGAGTTGAAAAGACCCTAATAACTTACCTTTAGTGATTAAGAGGTGCTGAACAAGCAGGAAGTGAAGGAAGGAAGGCAGAGTTGCTAAATGCCTAACTATATGTTTAAGACATACATCAACACACAGAGCTCCTTGCAACAGACTGGAAGGCTTACTAGTTCCAGATATTTAAGTTAATCTCTGTCCAGTAATTAGCTAACCACTACTTCAGTGGTCACACACAACAGAGAACGCAGACTTTACAGAATTTGTTCAGAAAGTCACTAAACAAATAACAAATTCAACAAGCAGCAACCACAACAAATCCTGAAGAAGGGGGAAATCTGATTGACAGAGTTGTCATGTTATTTTATCCAGTTTTCAACAACAACAACAAAATTACAAGACATGTGAAGAAATAAGAATTTCGGTCCATATACAGGAAAAAAAAAACAATCAACAGAAACTGTCCCAGGACATCAGACTTAAGATAAACACTTAAGACAAAGACAAAGTCACCTATTTTAAGTATTTAAATTTTTTAAAAAGCCAAGAAAATCATGTCTAAACAATTAAAAGAAAGTCTGAGAATAATGTCTCACCAAATAGAGAATATCAATTTATAGAAAGTATTTAAAAATGAACCGAATGTAAAATTTAAAAGAACTATAACTGGAGCTTAAAAGTATAACTAAATAAAAAATAACACAGCAGATTTGAGCAGGCTGAAAGAATAGTCAGCAAACTTGAAGATAGATCAATTGAGATCACCTAGTCTGAGGAATAGAAAGCAAAAACAATTAGGAATGAACACATCCTTAGAGGCCTGTGTGGCATCCTCAAGAGTATCAACATATGCATAATGAGAATCCCAGAAGGAGAGAAGAAAGAAAAAGGGAAAAAATAAATATTTAAAGAAATAAGAACAAAAACTTCCTAAATTTGATGGAACTTTTAATGTACACATCCAAGAAACTGAACAAACTCCAAACAGAATAAATTCAAATGGACTCACACCTAAGCACAGCCTCATGAACTTGTCAAAAGACAAAGAAAAAAATATTGAAAGTGAGAGAAAAGTTACTTTGAACAAAGAACAAAGAATTCTCAATAAAATTTACAGCTAATTTCTCATCAGAAACCAAGGAGGCCAGAAGGCAGCCAGATGGCACATTAAAAGTGCTGGAAGGAAAAAAAAACTGTCAAGCAAGCATTCTATATCCAGTAACATCATCCCTCAAAAATGACGGAGAAATTTAGACATACCCAGAATAATTGTATGTTGATAAATTAGAAAACCTGGATGAAATGAACAAATGTTTAGCAATACACAAACTACCAAAACTGACTTGAAAAGAAATAAAAAATCTGAGAGACCTCTAACAAGTCAACAGATTTAATTAATAGGCAAAACCCTTCCGACAGAGAAAATTCTAGGACCAGATGGCTTTACTGGTGAATTCTGCCAAATATTTAAAGAAGAACTAACACCAATCACTTATAAACTATCCAAAAATAGAAGAGTAGGAAACACTTTCTAACTTTTTCTGAGTCTAGTATCACTCTGATACCAACACAGACAAAGACATCATAAGAAAAGTATAGACCAATATCCTTTATGAGAAGATATGCAAAATCCTCAACAAAATACCAGCAAATAAAAATCTAAAAGCATATAAAAATAGTCATACAGAAGGACTCTGATAAGATAGAAGAGTAGGAATCACCAGAAATATCTCTCCACCTAGACAACAATTGCACTGGCAGAAACCATCTGATATAATGATTTTGGACCTCTGGAGTCTATTGCAGGCTTTCAATTTCCAGGGGAAGCTAAATGAACTCCAAATAATATTAACTCAAAGAAATTCATACATATACCTATTATAATCAAACTGTTGAAAGCTAACCACATCAGAAACTTTGGAGACCAGAAGACAATGAGCTGATATATTCAAAGCAATAAAAGGGAAGACTCTCAACCAAGAATCCTATAACCAGCAAAATGGTCCTTCAAAAGTGAAAGAGAAATTAAGACATTCCCAGATGACCAAAGCTGATGGAATTTGTTACCACTTGGCCTGCCCTTCAAGAGATGCTTGAAAGGAATCCTACAGGTTGAAATAAAAGGACAGTAGGCAGTAAGTTAAAGCTATATTAAAAAAAATAAAGGTCTCAGTAAAAGTAAATGTATGGGCATTTTAAAAACTAGCATCATTGTAATATACAGTACATTACTGCTAAAATAGATTTTTAACATTTCCACCACAAAAAATGACAAATTGATGAAGTGATGAGTATGTTAATTAGCTCGATTGAGTCTATAATGTACACATGGATAAAAACATCGCATTCTATTTCATAAATATACACTATTATTTGTCCTTTTAAAATGAATAAATAAATAAACTAGTATTGTACAATGGTGTATAACTTCGATTTTTGTTTTCTATGTGATTTAAGAGAATAATGCATTTTTAAAAGAACAATTGTTAGCTCAAAAGCCAATATTATTGTAACTTCGGTTTGTAATTTCACATTTTTTTCTACATAATTTAAGGGTCTAGTGCATAGAAAAATAAGCTTATGTTTTAGGATGCACAATGTGCAAAGATGTATTTTTGTGACATTAATGACTGAAAGGGGTGGAGATGGAGCTGTTAATAGAGCAGTTTTTATATGTCATTGAAGTTAAGCTAGTTTAAATTCATATTAGAGTGTTATCACTTAGAATGTTAAATATAATCACCATGGTAACCATAAAAAGTAGTCAAAGAACATATACAAAAGGAAATGTGAAAGAAATTTAAACACTTTACTACAAAAGCTCACTAAACCCAAAGGAGAACAGTAATGTAGGAAGTGAGAGACAAAAACTATAAGGTACATAGAAAACAAATAGCAAAATGACAAAAGTAAGGCCCTCCTTACAAGCAATTACTTAAATGAAAATGCATTAAGCTCTCCAATCAAAAGATATGAATGCACAAAGGACAAAAATAAAAATGATCCAAGCATATGCTGTCTACAAGAGTCTAACTTTAGATACAAAGGCACAAATTGATTGAAAATGAGACATCAGAAGAAAAGGATGGAAAAGGATATTTCATGCAAACAGTAACCAAAAGAGAGCAGGAATGGCTATACTAATAAAAAGCAGAATAAACTTTTAAGCAAAAAGTTTACAAGAGACTAGGAAAATATTATATACTAATAAAAGATTAAATATACCAAGAAGATATAATAATTATAAATATTTGCACACCTAATAACAGACCATAAAAATATGTAAAGTAAAATTTGACAGAATTGAATGGGGAATAAAATGTTCTACAGTAATATTTGGAGACTTTTATACCTCATTCTTAATAATGGATAGAACAAACTGATAGAAGATAAATAATAGAAGACTTAACACAATAAGCCAACTAGATCTATATAGAGTACTTTACCCAACAGCAGCAGAACACATAATCTTTACAAGAGCATATGGAACAATTTCAAGGATAGACCATATGTTAGGGCATGAATTAAGTCTCAATATATTTTTAAAGACAGAAATCATATAACTATCTTCTCAAACCACAACAGAATAAATGTAGAAATCAGTAACAGAAAAAAAACTGAAAAATTCACAAATTTGTGGAAATTTAAAAACTACTCTTAAACAACTAATGGATCAAAGAAGAAATCAAAAGAGAAATTAGAAAATACTTAGAGATGAATGATAATGAAAAAAGAACATACTAAAACTTATGGGGCATAATAAAACAGTATTAAAGGGAAAATTTATCATTATAAATGTTTACATTAAAAAACAAGAAAGATCTAAAATTAATAACCTAATTTTACAACCTAAGGAACACAAGAAAATGAACAAACTAAACCCAAAGCTAGCAGAGAGAAGGAAATAATAAAGATTAGAGCAGAGATAAAGGAAATAGTGAATAGAAAAACAATGAAGAAAATCAACAAAACCAGAAGTTTGTTATTTTAAAAGATCAACAAAACTGACAAAATTTTAGCTAGATGTACTAAGTAAAAAAGTGAGAAGACTCAAATTACTGAAATTATAAATGAAAGTAGGGACATTACCCATAATACTGTACAAATAAAAAGGATTAGAAGAGAATATTATTAACAATTGTACCAAATAAACTTGATAACCTAGATAAAATGGACACTTTCCCAGAAACACAAAAGTTATGAAGAAATAGAAAATCTAAATAGACCTGTAACTAATCAGGCGATTGGATCAGTAATAAAAAATCTCCCAACAAAGAAAAGTCCTGGACTTAATGACTTCACCTATGAGTCCTATCAAACATTTAAAGAACTAACACAATCCATCTTAAACTCTTTCAAAAAATTGAAGATGAAAAACACTTCCTAACTCATTGTATGAGGACAGCATTACTTTTATACAAAATCCAAACAAAGACACTGGAAGAAATAAAAACTGCAGACCAATATCCCTTATGAACATTCATGCAAAAATCCTCAACAAAATGCTAACAAACTGAGTTCAGCAGCATATTAAAAGGGTTATACATCATTATCAAGTGGAATTTTTTCCTGGAATGCAAGGATGGTTTAACATACAAAAATCTATCAATGTAATACAGCACATAAAGAGAATGAAAGAAAAAACCTGCAAGTCTATCTAAACCGATGCAGAAAAAAACCTTTGACAAAATTTAACGCTCTTTCATGATAAAAATACTCAACAAATCAGGAATAGAAAGAACTTACCTCAACATAATAAAATGCTTATATGAAAAATACACAACAAACATTGTGCTCATGGTACAAGACTGAAAGTGCTTCCTTTAAAGTCAGGAACAAGGCAAAGATACCTATTTTCAGCACTTCTCTTCACCATAGTATTACAAGTCTTAGTCATAAAAATTAGGCTGCAAAAAAAAAGACATTCAATTTGGAAAAGAAGTAAAAACATCTCTATTTGGAGCTGATATAATCTAATATGTAGAAAACTCTAAAAATTACACACACATACACACACACTCACATACAAAAAATCTGTAAGAACTAATAAATGAATTTAGCAAAGTAACAGGATACAAAGTGAACATACAAAAGTTAGCTGCATTTCTATACACAAACAATGAACAATCCAAAAGAGAAATTAAGAAAATAATTCCATTTACAGTAGCCCTACCTAATACTCAATATAAAAATTAACTAATAATGAATTTATGACTGAAATGTAACATTTAAAACTATAAAACTCTTAGGAAAAAAACACAGGGCAAAAGCCCCTTGACATCAAATTTGGCAATGATTTCTTAGATATGAAAACAAAGACACAACAAAAGAAAAATAGATAAATTGGATTCCATAAATTTTTTAAATTATGCATCAAAAGATGCTATTAACAAAGTAGAAAGGCAATTCACAAGATAGAAGAAAATATTTGCAAATCACATATCTGATAAGGGATTAATAGCCACAGTATATAGAGAACTTCTAAAACACAACAGCAAAAAAAAAAACCTGATTCAAACATCTGCAAAGGACTTAAATAGATATTTTATCAAAGAAGATATATAAATGGCAAATAATCACATGAGAAAGGGCTCACCATACTAATCATTAGTGAAATGTAAATCAAAATTACAATGAGATACCACCTCATATCCATTAGGATGGCTACTATAAAAAAAAGCATTAATGAGGATGTGGAAAATTGAGACATTTGTGCACTGTTAGAGGGAATGTAAAATGGCACAGTTACTCTTGAAAAGAGTATAGCAGTTCCTCAAGGAATTAAAACTAGAATTACCATATGACCCAACAATTCTATTTCTGGGGATATACTCAAAATAATTGAAAGCAGTATCTCTAAGACATATTTATACACCCATGCCTATAGCAGCATTATTCATAAAAGCTAAAACATGGGAACAACTCAAATGTCCATCAACAGATGAATAAAAAAATGTGGTATACACATACAGTAGAATATTATTCAGCCTTAAAAAGAAAGGAAATTCTGACACATACCACATGGATGAACCTTGAGGAAATTATCATAAATGAAATAAGCCAGGTACAAAAAGACAAATGCTATATTATTCTACTTATAGGAAGTATTCAAATTTATGGAGATGGAAATAGAATAGTGGTTTCCAGGGGAAGGTGTAAAGGGGATGGAGAGTTATTATTTAATGTGTATAGAGTTCCAGTTTCACAAGTTGAGGAGAGTCCTGGAGATGAATGGTGGTGATCATTCTACAACAATATGAATATAGTTAATACCACTGAACTGTACACTTAAAAATGGTTAAGACAGTTAATTTTATCTTACAAGTATTTTACTGACAAGATTTTTAAAAGGATCCCACACCATTAATAAGTAGGATTTATCTCAGGAATATAAGGTTAGTTCAATATAGAAAAACCAGTCAAAGCAAAACAACATATTAATAGAATAAAGGGAAAAATTGCATGTTTATCTCAACATACACAGAAAAAGCATTTGACAAAATCCAAAACTCTTTAATAATAAAAACACTCAACAAAATAAAACAAAGGGAACTTCCTCAACCTAATGAAGGGCATCTATAAAAGGTTATTTAAGGTTGTAGGGGGTGGTTCCAAGATGGCCATATAGGAACAGCTCCAGTCTACAGCTCCCAGTGTGAGCAACGCAGAAGATGAATGATTTCTGCATTTCCAACTGAGGTACTGGGTTCATCTCACTGGGGACTGCCAGACAGTGGGTGCAGAACAGTGGGTGCAGTGCACTGAGCATGAGCCAAAGCAGGGCGAGGTATCACCTCACCCAGGAAGTGCAAGGGGTCAGGGAATTCCCTTTCCTAGCCAAGGAAAGGGGTGACAGACTGCACCTGGAAAATCGGGTCACTCCCACCCTAATACTGTGCTTTTCCAATGGTCTTAGGAAACGGCACACCAGGAGATTAGATCCCGTGCCTGGCTCGGAAGGTCCTACACCCACGGAGCCTTGCTCATTGCTAGCACAGCAGTCTGGGATCAAACTGCAAGGTGGCAGTGAGGCTAGGGGAGGGGCACCCACCATTGCTGAGGCTTGAGTAGGTAAACAAAGCGGCCAGGAAGCTCAAACTGGGTGGAGCCCACCACAACTCAAGGAGGCCTGCCTGCCTCTGTAGACTCCACCTCTGGGGGCAGGGCATAGCCAAAAAAAAGGCAGGAGAAACCTCTGCAGCCTTAAATGTCCCTGTCTGACAGCTTTGAAGACAGTAGTGGTTCTCCCAGCATGCAGCTTGAGATCTGAGAACGGACAGACTGCCTCCTCAAGTGGTTCCCTAACCCCTGAGTAGCCTAACTGGGAGGCACACCAGAGTAGGGGCAGAGTGACACCTCACATGGCCGGGTACTCCTCTGAGACAAAACTTCCAGAGGAACGATCAGGCAGCAACATTTGCTGTTCAGCAATATTCACTGTTCTGCAGCCTCCACTGCTGATATCCAGGAAAACAGGGTCTGGAGTGGACCTCCAGCAAACTCCAACAGACCTGCAGCTGAGGGTCCTGACTGTTAGAAGGAAAACTAACAAACAGAAAGGACATCCACACCAAAACCCCATCTGTACGTCACCATCATCAAAGACCAAAGGTAGATAAAAACGCAAAGATGGGGAAAAAAACAGAGCAGAAAAACTGGAAATTCTAAAAATCAGAGCACCTCCCCTCCTCCAAAGGAAAGCAGCTCCTCACTAGCAATGGAACAAAGCTGGACGGAGAATGACTTTGATGAGTTGAGAGAAGAAGGCTTCAGATGATCAAACTTCTCCAAACTAAAAGAGGAAGTTTGAATCCATGGCAAAGAAGTTAAAAACCTTGAAAAAAGATTAGACGAATGGCTAACTAGAATAACCAATGCAGAGAAGTCCTTAAAGGACCTGATGGAGCTGAAAACCATGGCACAAGAGCTACATGACGAATGCACAAGCTTCAGTAGCTGATTCAATCAACTAGAAGAAAGGTTATCAGTGATGGAAGATCAAGTGAATGAAATGAAGTGAGAAGAGAAGTTTAGAGAAAAGAGAATTTAAAAAATGAACAAAGCCTCCACGAAATATGGGACTATGTGAAAAGAACAAATCTACGTCTGATTGGTGTACCTGAAAGTGACGGGGAGAATGGAACCAAGTTGGAAAACACTCTTCAGGATATTATCCAGGAGAACTTCCTTAATCTAGCAACACAGGCCAACATTCAAATTCAGGAAATACAGAGAACACCACAAAGATACTCCTCGAGAAGAGCAACACCAAGACACATAATTGTCAGATTCACTAAAGTTGAAATGAAGGAAAAAAATGTTAAGGGCAGCCAGAGAGAAAGGTCAGGTTACCCACAAAGGGAAGCCCACCAGACTAACAGCAGATCTCTTGGCAGAAACTCTACAAGCCAGAAGAGAGTGGGGACCAATATGCAACATTCTTAAAGAAAAGAATTTTCAACCCAGAATTTCATATCCAGCCAAACTAAGCTTCATAAGTGAAGGAGAAATGAAATCCTTTACAGACAAGCAAATGCTGAGAGATTTTGTCACCACCAGGTCTGCCCTACAAGAGCTCCTGAAGGAAGCACTAAGCATGGAAAGGAACAACCGGTACCAGCCACTGCAAAAACATACCAAATTGTAAAGACCATCAATGCTAGGAAGAAACTGCATCAACTAATGAGCAAAATAACCAGCTAACATCATAATGACAGGATCAAATTCACACATAACAATATTAACCCTAAAGGTAAATGGACTAAATGCTCCAATTAAAAGACACAGACTGGCAAATTGGATAAAGAGTCAAGACCCATCAGTGTGCTGTATTCAGGAAACCCATCCCACGTTCAGAGACACACATAGGCTCAAAATAAAGGGATGGAGGAAGATCTACCAAGCAAATGGAAAACAAAAAAAGGCAGGGGTTGCAATCCAAGTATCTGATAAAACAGACTTTCAACCAACAAAGACAAAAGAGACAAAGGGATCAATTCAACAAGAAGAGCTAACTATCCTAAATATATATGCACCCAATACAGGAGCACCTAGATTCATAAAGCAAGTCCTTAGAGATCTATGAAGAGTCTTAGACTCCCACACAATAATGATGGGAGACTTTAACACCCCACTGTCAACATTAGACAGATCAACGAGACAGAAAGTTAACAAGGATATCCAGGAATTGAACTCAGCTCTGCACCAAGCAGACCTAATAGACATCTACAGAACTCTCCATCCCAAATCAACAGAATATACATTTTTCTTAGCACTACACCATACTTATTCCAAAATTGAGCACATAGTTGGAAGTAAAGCACTCCTCAGCAAATGTAAAAGAAGAGAAATTATAACAAACTGTCTCTCAGACCACAGTGCAACCAAACTAGAACTCAGGATTAAGAAACTCACTCAAAACCACTCAACTACATGGAAACTGAACAGCCTGCTCCTGAATGACTACTGGGTACATAATGAAATGAAGGCAGAAATAAAGATGTTCTTTGAAACCAACGAGAACAAAGACACAACATACCAGAATCTCTGGGACACATTTAAAGCTGTGTGTAGAGGGAAATTTATAGCACTAAATGCCCACAAGAGAAAGCAGGAAAGATCTAAAATTGACACCCTAATATCACAATTAAAAGAACTAGAGAAGCAAGAGCAATCACATTCAAAAGCTAGCAGAAGGCAAGAAATAACTAAGATCAGAGCAGAAGTGAAGGAGATAGAGACACAAAAAAAACCTTCAAAAAAATCAATGAATCCAGGAGGTGGTTTTTTGAAAAGATCAACAAAATTGATAGACCACTAGCAAGACTAATAAGAAAAGAGAGAAGAATCAAATGGACACAACAAAAAATGATAAAGGGGATATCACCACCAATCCCACAGAAATACAAACTACCATCAGAGAATACTATAAACATCTCTAAACAAATAAACTTGAAAATCTAGAAGAAATGGATAAATTCCTCGACACATACACCTTTCCAAGACTAAACCAGGAAGAAGTTGAATATCTGAATAGACCAATAACAGGCTCTGAAATTGAGGCAACAATTAATAGCTTACCAACCAAAAAAAGTCCAGGACCAGATGGATTCACAGCTGAATTCTACCAGAGGCACAAGGAGGAGCTGGTACCATTCCTTCTGAAACTATTCCAATCAATAGAAAAAGAGGGAATCCTCCCTAACTCATTTTATGAGGCCAGCATCATCCTGATACCAAAGCCTGGCAGAGACACAATAAAAAAGGAAAATTTTAGACCAATATCCCTGATGAACATTGAAGCAAAAATTCTCAATAAAATACTGGCAAACCGAATCCAGCAGCACATCAAAAAGCTTATCCACCATGATCAAGTGGGCTTCATCCCTGGGATGCAAGGCTGGTTCAACATATGCAAATCAATAAACGTAATCCAGCATATAAACAGAACCAATGACAAAAACCACATGATTATCTCAATAGATGCAGAAAAGGCCTCTGACAAAATTCAACAACTCTTCATGCTAAAAACTCTCAATAAATTAGGTATTGATGGTACGTATTTCAAAATAATAAGAGCTATCTATGACAAACCCACAGCCAATATCATACTGAATGGGCAAAAACTGGAAGCATTCCCTTTGAAAACTGGCACAAGACAGGGATGCCCCCTCTCACCACTCCTATTCAACATAGTGTTGGAAGTTCTGGCCAGAGCAATCAGGCAGGAGAAGGAAATAAAGGATATTCAATTAGGAAAAGAGGAAGTCAAATTGTCCCTGTTTGCAGACGACATGATTGTATATCTAGAAAACCCCATTGTCTCTGCCCAAAATCTCCTGAAGCTGATAAGCAACTTCAGCAGTCTCAGGATACAAAATCAATGTGCAAAAATAACAAGTATTCTTATACACAGATAACAGACAAACAGAGAGCCAAATAATGAGTGAACTCCCATTCACAATTGCTTCAAAGAGAATAAAATACCTAGGAATCCAACTTACAAGGGATGTGAAGGACCTCTTCAAGGAGAACTACAAACCACTGCTCAATGAAATAAAAGAGGATACAAACAAATGGAAGAACATTCCAGGCTCATGGGTAGGAAGAATCAATATCATGAAAATGGCCATACTGTCCAAGGTAATTTATAGATTCAATGCCATCCCCATCAAGCTACCAATGACTTTCTTCACAGAATTGGAAAAAACTACTTTAAAGTTCATATGGAACCAAAAAAGAGACCGCATTGCCAAGTCAATCCTAAGCCAAAAGAACAAAGCTGGAGGCATCATGCTACCTGACTTCAAACTGTACTACAAGGCTACAGTAAACAAAACAGCATGATACTGGTACCAAAACAGAGATATAGACCAACGGAACAAAGCAGAGGCCTCAGAGACTATGCCATATATATACAACTATCTGATCTTTGACAAACCTGACAAAAACAAGAAATGGGGAAAGGATTCCCTATTTAATAAATGGTGCTGGGAAAACTGGCTAGCCATATGTAGAAAGCTGAAACTGGATCCCTTCCTTACATCTTATACAAAAATTAATTCAAGATGGATTAAACACTTAAATGTTAGACCTAAAACCATAAAAACCCTAGAAGAAAACCTAGGCAATACTATTCAGGACATAGGCATGGGCAAGGACATCATGTCTAAAACACAAAAAGCAATGGCAACAAAACCCAAAATTGACAAATGGGATCTAGTTAAAATAAAGAGCTTCTTCACAGCAAAAGAAACTACCATCAGAGTGAACAGGCAACCTACAGAATGGGAGAAAATTTTTGCAGTCTACTCATCTGACAAAGGGCTAATATCCAGAATCTACAAAGAACTCAAACAAATTTACAAGAAAAAACAAACAACCCCATCAACAAGTGGGCGAAGGACATGAACAGACTCCTCTCAAAAGAAGACATTTATGCAGCCAAAGGACACATGAAAAAATGCTCATCATCACTGGCCATCAGAGAAATGCAAATCAAAACCACAATGAGACACCATTTCCCACCAGTTAGAATGGTGATCATTAAAAAGTCAGGGAACAACAGGTGCTGGAGAGGATGTGGAGAAACAGGAACACTTTTACACTGTTGGTGGGACTGTAAACTAGTTCAACCATTGTAGAAGTCAGTGTGGTGATTCCTCAGGGATCTAGAACTAGAAATACCATTTGACCCAGCCATCCAATTACTGGGTATATACCCAAAGGATTATAAATCATGCTGCTATAAAGACACATGCACACATATGTTTATTGTGGCACTATTCGCAATAGCAAAGACTTGGAACCAACCCAAATGTCCAACAATGTTAGACTGGATTAAGAAAATGTGGCACATATACACCATGGAATACTATGCAGCCATAAAAAATGATGAGTTCATGTCCTTTGTAGGGACATGGATTAAGCTGGAAACCATCATTCTCAGCAAACTATCACAAGGACAAAAAACCAAACACCACATGTTCTCACTCATAGGTGGGAATTGAACAATGAGAACACATGGACACATGAAGGGGAACATCACACACCGGGGCCTGTTATGGGGTGGGAGGAGGGGGGAGGGATAGCATTAGGAGATATACCTAATGTAAATGACAAGTTGATGGGTGCAGCACACCAACATGGCACATGTATACATATGTAATAAACCTGCATGTTGTGCACATGTACCCTAAAACTTAAAGTATAATTTAAAAAAAAAAGTTTGCACTGGAAGTTCTAGCCAGGGCAATTAGCCAAGAAAATAAATTTTAAAACATAAAGATTGTAAAGGAAGAATTAAAACTATATCCATTTATAGGTGACGTGTGTGTGTGTGTGTGTGTGTGTGTGTGTGTGTGTGTATTGGGAACAACTAAGGAATATGTATAGGGAATATATTTAGGGAATATTTATATATATATATAAATCATATATATATATGTTATGTATATAACTTGTGTGTATGTGTTTGTGTGTTCCTTAGGAATTCCATATATATATATACACACACACACACACACACAAATATAAACACACACACATATATATACCACTTATATATAAGTTAAAATATATGTGGAATTTAACAAATATATAAGATAGATAGATAGATAGACAGACAGACAGATATATATGGAGTTCCTAAATAATACACACATATATACACACAAATAAAACTATTAGAGTTAATATATGAATTCAGCAAGTTTGCAGGGTGATATGGTTTGGCTTTGTGTCCCCACCCAAATCTCATCTCGAATTGTAATCCCCATGTGTCATGGAAGGGACCTGATGGGAGGTGACTGGATCATGGTGCGGTTTCCCACATGCTGTTCTTTTGATAGTGAGTGAGTTCTCATGAGATCTGATGGGTTTAAAGTGTTTGGCAGCTCCCCCCACCCCCTCTCTCTCCTACAGCTTTGTGAAGAAGATTCTTGCTTCTCCTTCACCTTACGCCATGATTTTAAGTTTCTTGAGGACCCCCCCAAGCCATGCAGAACTGTGAGTTAATTAATCCTCTTCTCTTTATAAATTACCCAGTCTCAGGTAGTTTTTTTATAGCAGTGTGAAAAAGGACTAATACATGGGGTATGAGATCAATATACAAAAATCAGTTGTATTTCTATGTGCTATCAATAAACAATTGATAAGTGAAATTAAGAAAACAATGCAATTTATCTCAGCATCAGAAAGAAAAAAATGCTTAGGAACAAATTTAACAGAAGACGTATAAGACTTATACACTGATAACTACAAAACATTGTTGAAAGATTTAAATATCTAAAAAATTGAAAGACATCCTGTGTTCATAGATTATGAGACCTTGTATTGTTAAGACACCAAGCTGATCTGCAAATTCAATGTAATCTGTATGAAAATTACAACTGCTTTTTTAAGAAGTTGAATCCTAAAATTTATATAAAAAGGCAAGGGATTCAAAATAGTCAAACAATCTTGAAAAGAAAAACAAAGTTGGAGCACTCACAATTCCCATTTTCAAAGCTTAACACAAAGCTAGATTAATCAAGACAGCATGGTTTGACATATAGATCAAATGAATAGAATTGAGAGTCCAGAAATAAACCCATACATTTATGGTCAATTGATTTTTAACAAGGATGCCAAGACAATTTAAAGAATTGTCAAAGAATAGTCTTTTTAACAAATGGTGTTTGGACAACTAGATATCAAAATGAAAAGAATGAGTTTAGACCCCTACAGCATGCCATATAAAAATGAACTCAAATTTACATGTAAGAAGTAAAACTATGAAATTCTTAGGAGGAAACATAGTTGCAAACTTTTTACCTTTGATTTGGCAATGGTTTCTTAGATATGACACCTAAATTAAAGCACAAGCAAGCAAAGAAAAAAAAATAGATTAGACTTCATCAAAATTTTTTTAAATGGTGTGTCAAAGGATGACTCTACCAAGAATATAAAAAAGACAACTCATCAAATGGGAGAAAATATTAAGCAAATGATATATATTCCCCTCTCCCAAGTGGGCACAATATCAGAAGACAAAAATCCCCCTGTGCCCATGGTGTCTACATGAGGAAAAAAGAACTAGAGGAGGTCATTCAGCTTCCCTGGCACTTGAATCCTTTCTAGGAAGACCACTGTGGTCTTACCTCACTGGAGGTAACAGCATGGCTAGACACCCAAGAGTCAGGTAAAAACAAAGAAAGGAAACAGAGTTCATAGTGACCAGTGTGTAGATATTCGTCATAACTCTGTGTTTCTCCTAGCTTTGGTGCCCCATTGAAGATACCAGCCAACTGCATAGCCCACTCACAAAGCTGAACTGGTCACTTTCAGAAGCATGGTGGAAAGTTTAACTTGGCCTGAGTCCCTAGATGGGTAGACTTTACACCCAGATTCAATGCCAACCCCAATACTCCCACCCACGCCAGGAGATGCCTACCTTTCCCCATTTTAGAGAAGCAAAGGAACTAGATCTGTTTGGCCTGAGAGTCCAAGAGTGGCTCAGTTTAACCAAAAGCCCATGTCACCCAGGCAGTGAGACGTTCACCTTTGCCCATTTTGGAGAAGCGTAGGGACTAGACCTGCTCAACCCAGGAGATCAAACAGCAGCTCAACTCAATCAAAATCTTGCCCCTTTGCTTTGCCCAAATAGGTAGGCAATCTTCAACTGTGCATTTCTAAAGAGCATAGTCTCTGATCCCACCCGTCTTGAGCAGCACCCTCACCTAACCTCAGAGCCCAGCTTGCAGACTTGTCCAGCCACAAATTCCAAATAACAGAACCATCCAACAAAGGAATATATCCTGCAACCAGCCTGACAAGAGGCTATTACAGTACCCAGCTAACAGTTTCAACTAATAGCAAAGCCCAGCAACTAATCTCTCCAGATAGGGGAACCCAGATAGAAGCCCCACCAAACATCAGAGCAAAGTTTCCCAGCCAACTAGTGAACCCACAACAAGCTCTGCCTACCAGGGGTTGTCACTAGCTGCTCCTTCCAGAATTATAGTCTATACTAAATATTGAAGATCTAGCCCCACCATAGAACACATAAGGATTATGGAAAATCAAGGAAGTTTTGATTGACACCTTCAGAAAGTACTAATAAAGATACAATAATGAATCCTAAAGAAATTGAGATCTATAAAATGACTGGCAAAGAATTTAGAATAATTATCTTACAGAAGTTCAATGAATAACAAAAATGTATGGGTAAAAAAGTTAAGCAAAATTTAGAAAATACACAAAGCCAGAATTTTCACAAATAAATAAAAACAGTTTAAAAAATAGACATTCTAGGGATGAAGAATAAAATGCCTGGACTGAAAATTTCAATAGAAAACTTCAAAGCAAATGAAATCAACCAGAAGAAAGAGTCATTAAGCTCAGAGACAAAACATTTGAAATTATCCAGTCAGAAGATCAAAAAGAATAAAGAATAAAAAAGAATAAAGAAAGCCTACAGGAATCATGGAATACCATCAAGAGACCAAATCTTTATATAGTAGGATTTTCAGAGGAGAAAAAAAAATAGAAAAAGGGACAGAAATCATATTTTTAAAAAACAATGGCCACATACCTTTTTAATCTGGGCATAGATCCCAACATTCTAGTACAAGAAGGTGTAGAGGTCTCCAATCAAATTTAACCCAAAAAGGAGTTCACCAAGACATATAATCAATCTATCAAAAATCAAAGACTAAAAGTTTTGAGATCAGCAAAAGATAAGAATCAGGTTGCTTATGAAGGAGTGTCAGCATAACTCTTTGCAAATATCTTAGCAGAAACCCTGCAGGTCAGGAAAAAGTGGAATAATATATTCAAAATGATGAAGGAAAATACCTGATAACCACAAATACTTTACCTAGCAAAGTTGTCTTTCAAAAATGAGGGAGAAATAAAAACTTCCCCAAATGAACTAAAGCTAAGGGAGTTTATAACCACTAAACCTTCCTTAACAGGAATTGCTAAAGGGAGTTCTTTAAGCTGAAACAAATGACCACTAATTAATAACATGCAAAAGCACAAAATTCAATGGTATTAAAAAATAGAGGCATATTCAGAATATTCAAGAACTATAATTATGGTGTGTAAAGCAATCTTATTCTTAGTACAAGGGTTAGAAGACAAAACTGTTAATAACTAGTATAGCTGAAATGAGTAGACAAGGGATACACATTACAAAATGATGTAATTTCTAACATTGGAAACAAAATGGGTGGGAGAAATAAAAATGTAGAGTTGTTTTATGTAATCAAAGTTAAGTTGTTATCTGCTTGAAATAGGCTGCTTTAAGTATAAGATGTTCTATGTAAGCCATATGGTAACCACAAAACAAAAAATATTTAGTAGAAACACAAAACAAAAATTGAAAGACTTAACAGTATACCACTACAGAAAACTATCAAGCCACAAAGAAAAATAGCAAGAGAGGAAGAAATAAAATATCATAAAACAACCAGAAAACAGTTAACAAAATAGTAGTAAGTCCTTATCTATTAATAATTACCTTGAATGTAAATGGACTAAGTTATCCAATGAAAAGACGGAGTGACTGAATGGATTTTTTAAAAGACAAGACACAACTATACGCTGCCTAAAGGAACTCATCTCACATAGACTGAAAATGAAGGGATAAAAAATGATTTTATGCAAATGGAACCAAAAGAGAGCAGGGATAGCTACACTTACATCTGACAAAATAGACTTTAAGTCAAAAACTGTAAAAATAGACAAAAAACATTATATAATGATAAATGAGTCAATTCACCAAAAGGGTACAAAAATGTAAACACATATGCACCCAATATTAGGACACCAAATATATAAAACAAATATTAAAGGATCTGAAAGAAAAGATAGAGGGCAATACAATAATGGAGATTTCAATATCCACTTTCAACAATGAACAGATCATCCAGACAGAAAATTAAAAAGAAAACATTGGACTTGAACAGCACTTTTGACCCATGGACCTAAAAGGCATACACAGAACATTGCATTCAATAGCAAAAGAACACACATTTTTCTCAAGCCATACATGGAATATTCTCCAGGATAGATCACATGTTAGATCAAAAAAACAGCCCTTAGCATATTTAAGAAGATGAAATCATGTGAAGTACTTTATGACCACAATAATATAAAACTAGATAACAAAAACAGAAGGAATTTTGGAAAATTTGCAAATACATAAAAAATAAACAACATGTTCCTGAATAATCAACTGGTCAGTGAAAAAAATTAAAAGAGAAATTTAAAAATACCTTGAAACAAATGAACATAGATACACAACATACCAAAACTTATGGGATACAGCAAAAGCAGTTATGAAAGAAACAGCAAAAAATGCCTATATCAAAAAAAGAAGAAAGATTTTAAATAAACAACTTGATATTACTCTCCAAGTTACTAGAGAAAAACTAATCCCAAAATTAGAAAAAAGAAGGAAATAATAAAATAATAAAAATCTGAGCAGAAATAAATGACACAGAGACAGAAAAAAATACAATCAAAAAAGAAAGAACTTTTTTTTGAAAAATTAACAAAATCAACAAACCTCTAGCTTAACTAAGAAAAAAAGGGAGAAGACTCAAATAAATAAAACCAGAAATGAAAGAAAAGACATTATATCTGATACCACAGAAATGCAAAGAATCATAAGAAACTACTATGAACAACTATATGCCAACAAATTGGATAACCTAGAAAAAAAAAGATACATTTCTAGACACATGTAACCTACAAAGACTGAATCATGAAGGAATAAAAAATCTCAACAGACCAATAATAAGTAAGGAGATTAAATCAGTAATAAAGAGTCTCCCATTTGAGAAAAAGCCCAGGGCCTTATGACTTCATGGATGAATTCTACCAAATATTTTAAAAAAAAGAGCTAACATCAATCTTTTTCAAATGCTACCCCCCAAAGAAATGGAGAAGAGGGAATATTTCTCAACTCTTTTTTATAAGGCCAGCATAACCCTGACACTAAATCCAGACGAGGACATTACAAGGAAAGTACAGGCCAATATTCTTGATGAACATAGATGCAAAAATCATCAACAAAATACTAGCAAATCAAATTCAACAGCACATTAAAATGGTCACTCACCATGATCAAGTGGGATTTATCCCTTGGTTACAAAGATGGTTCAATACATGCAAACCTATAAATGTAATACACCATATTAACAGAATGAAGGACAAAAACCATATGATCATCTCAATAGATGCATAAAAAGAATTTGACAAAATTCAGCATTCTTTCATGATTAAAAACTGTCAAGAAATTACGTATAGAGGTAATGTGCCTCAGCACAATAAAGGCTATATATGACAAGCCCACAGCTAACATTATACTCAATGTTAAAAAGTTGAAAACATTTCCTCTAAGATCTGGAACAAGAGAATTATGCCCACTTTTACTACTTCAACTCGACTGAGTATTAGAAGTTCCCATCAGAACAATTGAGCAAGAGAAAGACGTAAAAGGCATTCAAATAGGAAAGGACAGAGTAAAATTGTCACTATTTGCTGGTGACATTATCTTATATATAGAAAACCCTAAAGACCCCACCAAAAACCTTTTAGAACTAATAAGCAAATACAGTAAACTTACAGGATACAAATTCAACATTAAAAAATCAATAGCATTGGCCAGGTGCAGTGGCTCACACCTGTAATCCCAGCACTCTGGGAGGCCAAGGTGGGCCGATTGAGGTCAGGAGATCGAGACAATCCTGCCTAACATGGTGAAACACCATCTCTACTAAAAATACAAAAATTAGCCAGGAGTGGTGGTGCATGCCTGTAGTCCCAGCTACTCAGGAGGCTGAGGCAGGAGAATCACTTGAACCCAGGAAGTGGAGGTGGCAGTGAGCCAAGATCATGCCACTGCACTCTGGCCTGGGCTACAGAGGGAGACTCCGTCTCAAAAAAAAAAAATATTAATAGCATTTCAGCCAGGTGGGGTGGCTCACACCTGTAATCCCAGGACTTTGGGAGGCAGATTGCTTGAGATCAGGAGTTTGAGACCAGCCTGGGCAACATAGTGAGACCCCCATCTCTACTAAAAATACAAAAATTAGCCGGGTGTGGTAGTGTTTGCCTGAAGTCCCAGCTACTCAGGAGGCTGAGGCACAAGCATCACTTGAACCTGACAGGTGGAGGTTGCAGTGAGCTGAGATTGCACCACTGCACTCCAGCCTGGGCAAGAGAGTGAACTCGGTCTCAAAAAAAAAAAAAAAAAAAAAGAAAGAAAAGAAAAGAAAAAAAAGAAAAGGAAAAAAAAAGAAAGAAAAGAATAAGAAATCAGTAGCATTTCTATACACTAAAAATGAACTATCCAAAAAAAGAGAAATCCCATTTACAATAACTACACACACACACACACACACACACACACACACGTAATACTTAGAAATAATGTTAACTAAATAGGTCAAAGACCTTTACACTGAGAACAAAACATTTATAAAACAAATTAAATAATATACAAATAAATAGAAAGCTATTCAGTGTTCATAGCTTGAAAGAATTAATACCATAAAAATGTCTATTATACCAAAAGTGATCTACAAATTCATGCAATCCTATCAAAATTCCAATGTCATTTTTCACAGAATAGAAAAAAAATCCTAAAATTTTGTATGAAACAACAGAAAAACCCAAATAGCCAAAGCAATCATCAGCAAATAGAACAAAGCTAGAGGCATTACACTACGTGATTTTAAATTATACTACAAAGCTATAGTAACTAAAACAGCAGGGTACTGGCATAAAAATAAAGACATTGACCAATGGAACAAAATAGCCCAGAAATAAATCCATACATGTACAGTTAATTAATTTTTGGCAAAAGTGCCAAGAATACACCATGGGAAAAAGATAGTCTCTTCAGAAAATAGTGCTAAGAAAAGTGTAAGTCTACATGCAAAAGAATTAAATTGGACTCTTTTCTGACACCATATATGCAAATCAACTAAAAATGGTCTGAACACTTAAATGTACACTGAAAACTGTAAAACTGTAAAAAGAAAATACAGGGGAAAAACTGCATAACATTAGTCTTGGTGACGATTTTTTAGATTTGGCCCAAAAAGCAAAAATAGACAAATAAGATTACAACAAACTTAAAAATTTCTGCATAGTGAAGGAAACAATTAACGATGTGAAGAGACAGTCTGCAAATTGGGAGAAAATATTTGCAATCCATACACTCAATAAGGAGCTAATATTCAAAGTGTGTAAGGAATTCAAGCAACTCAGTAACAAGAAAACAAATAATTCAATTTAAAAATGAGCTGGGTGCGGTGGCTCACGCCTGTAATCCCAGCACTTTGGGAGAACAAGGTGGGCAGATCATGATGTCAAGAGATTGAGACCATCCTGGCCAACATGGTGAAACCTCGTCCCTACTAAAAATACAAAAATTATCTGGGCATGGTGGCACGCGCCTATAAAAATTAGCTAAGCATGGTGGCGCGCACCTATAGTCCCAGCTACTCAGGGGGCTGAGGCAGAAGAATCACTTGAACCAGGGAGGCGGAGGTTACAGTAAGCCCAGATCACACCACTGCCCTCCAGCCTGGCAACAGAGCTAGCGAGACTCCGTCTCAAAAAAAAAAAAAAAAAAATGAGCAAGGGGACTAAACACACATTTCTCAAAAGATATACAAACGGTCAAAAGGTATTTGAAAAAATATTCAACTTAAGTAATCATCAGGAAAATGCAATTTAAAACTACAATGAGCTATCATCTCACACCAGTCAGAATGGCTATTGTCAAAAAGACAAGCAATAAGAAGTGTTGGTGAAGATGTAGAGAAAAGTAAACCCTTGTACACTGTTGGTGGGAATGTAAATTAGCATAGTCTTTATGGAAAACTGTATGATGTTCCTTTAAAAATTACTAATAAAGCTGCCATATGATCCAGCAATCCCACTTATGGGTATTTACCCAAAAGATTTGAAATCAGTTTATTGAAGAGACATCTGCACTCTCATTGTTATTGCAGCACTATTCACAATAGCCAAGATATGGAATCATCCCAAGTGTCCATCAATGGATGAATGTGTAAAGAAAATGTGGTGCACTTATACAATGAAATATTATTCATCCATAAAAAAGAATAAAATTCTATCATTTGCAGCAACATTGCAGGACCTGGAGGGTATATGCTAAGTGAAAGAAGCCAGACATGGAAAAACAAATACTACCTGATCTCACTTACATGTGGAATCTAAAATGTTAAAGAAGCAGAGAATGGAATGGTGGTTACCAGGGCCTGGGGTAGGAGTAGGGGAATGGAAAGACTTTGGTCATAGGATACAAAATTCCAAGTAGACAGGAGGAATACATTCAGGAGATCTATTGTACAGCAAGGTAATTATAGTTATATAATTATGGAGTATAATTATATACTCCATAATTGCTAAGCGAATAAGTTGATTTTAAATTTTCTCACCACAAAAAAATAAGTATGGGAAGTAATGAACATGTTAATTAGCTTGATTTAGTCATTCCATAATGGATACATATCTCTAAACATCAATTGAAAAATAAACACGTAAATAGTAAAATAGAAATAAGTTAATCCACACATGCACACCACATTTCACCTGGCAGTTCTACTTAATCTATTATATAACGTGCATCATCTAATATCTTAAACAATGTGCCACATCTAATATGTTATACAATGTGCTTCTTTATCTCACTGTGCTTTTCCCACTAAAATGTAAGCTTGACAAAGGCAAGGATTTTTACCTTTTTTTCCCTGTTGTGTCTCTGGCCACTCTTACAGTTGGGCACTAAATAAATATTGAATGAATAAGTGGATGGAGAGAGGGAAGGAAGAGAGGAAGGAGGGAGGAAAAGAAGGGAGGGAGGACGAGAGAAAGAAAGGAGAAGGAAGAAAGATAAAGAAAGGAGGGATAGAGGAAAGGAGATGAGAGTGTTATGTGCTCCTGAGTATGAGGATGACGATACGACATCTCGTGTTTGGGTACTGAGTTGGATTTTAAAATCGCATGGTGCAGTAGCACATAGCAAACATTCAAAGACTGTGTGCTGCCTTAATGAACAAGCTTCCTTAACTTGCGTCTTCCACTTCCCTTAATTACTGCAACCTCCTCTTTTTCCTCCAACCAGAGAAGGTCTGTAATGGAATTCTTGTGCCTTCAGGGGGCCACAGGACAAAATCTGCAGCTGGAGGATCACTTCCTATCTCTACTTCCTCCTGGCAGAAGGCAGAGCAAGCCCCCTGAGCATTCCAAGCCCCTGCTCCGATGTACCTTGTCAGGGTTAAAAGCACAGCAGGTTGGTGTGTGCGGAGACCGGTAAATAAGAAACAATGGCTTTGGTGTTTGGAATGTAGAAAAGCTGCTCAAATCGCTCAGGTGGGTGCTCTATGAAAGTAAACTTCCATTGGTTCCAGTTTTATTTCATCTTGCCTGTAAGTGCGAAGATTGTTTACAGAGGCATGCCCACCGTCCTAGGCCCATAGTAGGACCAAAATGTTGATGCTGAACATTTTTGTTTTCTATGTTTGCTTTAACTGGGGAGTCACAAGTTCAAACAGCCACAGGAACCAATCCTGGGGTGAAGAGTAGGCTGTGTTGGGGACTGTGGTAAACTAGACGGCTCATGCTGACACCCAGTTCCACTGAGGGTGGCCACGGATGTAGGGTTGCCAGAGTTGTCACATCTCCATCTCTCTCTCTCTCTCTTTCTCTCTCTCTCATTCTCTCTTTCTCTCTCATTCTCATTCTTCCTCTATCATTCTCTCTCATTCTCTGTCTCATTCTCTTTCTCTCATTCTCTCTCTCATTCTCTGTCTCATTCTCTTTCTCTCATTCTCTCTCTCATTCTCTGTCTTTCTCATTCTTTCTTTCTCATTCTCTCTCAGTCTCTGTCTCATTCTTTTCTCCCATTCTTTCTCTCTCCCATTCTCTCCTTCTCTCTCTCATTCTCATTTTCTCCTTTTCTCTCTCTCATTCTCTCTCTCTCGCATTCACTCTTTCTCTCAGTCTCAGTCTCATTCTCACTCTCATTCTCCCTTTCTCTCCCTCATTCTCTCTTTTTTCTCATTCTCTCTCATTCTCTCTCACTGTCATTCTCTCTTTATCATTCTTTCATTCACTCTCCTCTCTCATTCTCTCTCTCAGTCTCTGTCTCATTCTCTCTCATTCTCTCTTCCTCTCTCTCATTCTTTCTCCCCAAGATAAGCTGAATGTCTGAATTTTCTGTGAAATGTAATTTTTAAATGCTAGAAAATGACCTGATTTGCTTTGAAACACCTATATTTAGATTCTGTATTGTTCATTTATTTATGTATACAGTACAGAGTTGTGCAAGCATCACCAGAATCTAATTTTGAGTACATTTATATCATTTCAGTAAGAAATAGTGTGCCCCTTAGTGGTCACCCCTTCATTTTTCTCCTGTCCCCCACCAAGCCTAGACAATATTTTCTGTCTGTATAGATTTGCCTATTCTGGACGTTTCATATAAATGAAATAATACCAAACATGGTCTTTTGTGACTGGCTTCTTTCACTTGGTGTAGTGTTTCGGGAGTTATCTTTGTTTTGGCCTATATCAGAACTCTATTTCTTTTTGTTGGTGGTGGTAAATAATATTCTATTGTATGGCTACATGACATTCTGTCTGTTTATTCATTAGCCATCAAACAAGCATATCACAGGCTGGTCCCAGCCCTGGGGGACCCATTTTTCACCATGCAACAGCCTCCTGGCTGGTGTCCCCATCTCCTGTTCAATCCCCCTGCCCTCTGCTGACACAGGGTGTGCATGCAACCAGCCAGACAGCCCAGGGTAGAAATATTGGGACAATTTTTCTAAACCAAGGCTTTGAGCATGTCACTCTCCTCCATCCCCACCTTTATGCTGAAATCACCCTCCTCTCTTGGCTTCAGAGTGGAGCTCCAGCCCCTTAGTCCAAAACAAAAACTTTTGCAAGAGCTGGCCCCACCACCCTCCACACCCTTCCCTGCTCACAAACCCTGTGCTCCAACACACCATGTCACCCTCTCCTCTCAAAGCCTGAGCATGTCCAGTCCTCTGTCCCCTTGCTCATGCTGTGCCACTGGTGTGTAATTCACCAATTGTGGGTCATTCTCCTCCACTGAGTGGGGAACTGTTCTGGAAGGAGAAGGGGTATTCTCTGTCCTCAGGACTTGGGACAAAGCAGGTACATAATGAATGTCTGACGGTGGAATAGACACAGGCCATTCCTCCATCTAAAATGCCCTTCCCTACATTGTCCATCTCACATTTGACAGCAGCTCTCCTTGCTCACCCACACCTGATCCAAGCACTGATTATCTAGTTCGTCTCTGTGCTCATGCAGCACCTAGCTCTGTGTGTGCGTGCATGTACGTATGTGTGTGCGAGCGTTTGCGTGACTTCATCAGATTTCAGTCCTTGGGGACAAGCTTTTCCCCATATTGTTAAAAATTCAGTCTGTGCAATAATTTGTTGAGGCCTAATTTGCATGCACTGAGATGCAACCATTTAAGTGTATAGTTTGATGTGTTTCAAGAAATGTTCACCTGTGGATTATACTCATGTAGCCACAGCTGCCATCAAAATATAGAACATCCCCATCACCCCAGAAAGCTCTTCTGTGCCCCTTCCAGGTCAATGCCCTCACGCCCCATCCAAGGCAACCACTGATCTCTCCTGACACCACAGCTCAGCGTTTGCGGCTGTGGGGCTTCATAGGCACGGACTGAGGCAGCAGACAATCTTGCGTGTCTGTCTTCATTTGCGCGGCGCAGCATCTGTGAGATTCAGCCATGCAGTCGGGTCTGTCGTGAATTCACTCTTTTTGCCCCATTCCCAGCACAGTGCCTGAGTGTCAAATTGAATAGACTTCAATTGCTGTGAGGTGATTAATAGCAAATTGTGTGTTATTCATGAATAAAGAAAAAAGATGCAACGTGTTCTGGGAGGTGGAAAAGAGAAAGAAACCCACCCCGACCCCGCCTTTCTGTTCTCACCTAACGAAGTCTGGAGTTCAGCAAGAAAAGGTGTGAGGGGGTTTTTCAGGAAACAGATAGGCCACCAGGGTCCAAATCAGAGGTAGAGTGGCACATCCAGCCCAAATGGAAACAAACGATGCAAGCCTATGGCTTAAATCAGAAATTAATCTCTACTGGTAGTTTCCATGAACTCTTCTCCAGGTAAACATCACATGTAAAAGTAAGTTCCTGTCATTATAGAATAATTAGATTATAAGAACTAAATTTATAGTGTATACTACGCATTACTGCAGAATTGTAGAAATTATGCAACCCAGTCCTTAACAGAATTAAATGGGAATCTATATTTTTTCTCAGTAAGTCTTTATTGAATGAATGGAGTCATATTCTGTTTGTGTTTTTCTGTGCTTTTGCAATTTCTCAAATTAAAGATAAATAAACGGTCTCTTCTTGGCCTCGTGGCTAAGATCAAGTGTAAAGACAAGTAAATGGTAGTTGAATGAAAGAAACCAGGAAAAGTTATTTTTGGAGTGTGTAGGGTGTGCCTCGCCTCCTTGGACCCACCTCGTTTCTCCCAAGAGCAGACCCAGATACACTAACTCGATCTGCCTCCCGCCTCCTCCTTCTGCTTTAATCAACTGTGGGTCCTGCTCTCTTCAATGCCTGCGTGTCAGCTAAGTTTGCAATCACCCCGTTTACAGCTTGAAAATGAAGCCCTGTCTTTTCTGCAAGTAAGAATCTTCCTGAACCATGCATCCAAATGTCACATTTCCAAACATGTTGTGAGCTGAGGACTCCAAGTCATAAACTTCAAAGCAAGTACTTGTAATGGGAATTCTGACTGACAGTCCCTTAATTACAGTCTTTAAATATGCACAGTCCCTGACGGAGCCAGGCTTTCTGAGGAAAATTCCTGCCTAACTGGTTGAAAATGTGAACAGTGGGGTATAATTCCCTGAGCTGCAAGGAGCCACAGATCAGAGAAAATGCAAGAGAAACTCTAAAGACCCTTGTAGGATGAATTTTGTCTTTTGCAGGCGGTATGAAAACCGAAAGAGGGGAGACAACTGGGACAAGGAGAAACAAATATTTCCTGTGCTTGAAGCTGACACACATGGTTTATTTGCCGGTGTTTGGAGAGGTTAGAAAGCAAAGATAGCAGAGGAAGAATAGGTTTATCCTTGAGGACAGAACATGCATGCTGGTGAGTGGGAAGGGACTAAAAACAAGGTGGCTGGGCCGGGCGCAGTGGCTCATGCCTATAATCCCATCATTTTGGGAGGCCTTGGAGGGAGGATCACTTGAGGTCAAGAGTTAGAGACCAGCTTGGTGAAACCCCGTCTCTATTAAAAATAAAAAATTAGCTGGGTGTGGTGGCTCGTGCCTATAATCCCAGCTACTACTCAGGAGGCTGAGGCAGGAGAATTGCTTGAACCTGGGAGGCGGAGGTTGCAGTGAGCCTAGATGGTACCACTGCACTCCGGCCTGGGCAAAAGAGCAAGATTTCGTCTCAAACAACAAACAAACAAAAAATGACAGGGTGGCCCAAAACAAGGCAGTCCCACTGATCACGGACTCCAGTGACATTAACAGAGACCAGGGGGACATGGTTGCCCCTGTGTGCCCTGGGTCACATCACAGCCACTCCTTATTGGCCCTAGCCACAGGATGTGCTATGTCTCAGGCAGTGGCGTGTGTGCAGGTAACTTCTCCATCAGAGCCCCAGAAGGCAGCATGGCATCAGGTTTGGCAGTCTTATGCCACGTTGAGATCAGAGACCTTGTTTTATTAGCACAGGGTGCTCAGCCAACAAGAATGTCAAGCTGGTGTTTTTGCTACCACAGCCCCAGTTTAATGACAGAGAGTAACCTTGATATGTAGTTTGGTGACCAGTTAGGCAGGAAATTTATGGCAAAACACAGAAATGACCACACTGGAGTGGATTTAAGTCCTGATGCTGCCAATTAACAGCTATGTAGCTTTGCCCTTGGGCCAGAGTTACCACGTAAAACACAAATATCCAGCTAAATCTGAATTTCAGATATATAACAGATAATTTTCCACATATAACACATACTAAAACATTATCCATTGTTTATCTAAAATGCAAAGGTAACTGAGTGCTCTGATTTTAATTTGCTAAATCTGGCCAACGACTTTCTCTTGCTGAACCTCATTTTCCTACTGTTTCCAAGTGGACAGCAGTGCATGTCTCAAGGGGGTTTGAGACCAGCTGAGATGCTGCTGGCCCAGCACAGGGTTCCTACACTATGAGGGTGATCAACTGAGCTCTCAGTGCTTCTTCTCCCTCAGGATCTTTGTCTGCCTTTTAGCTCTTTCCAAATGTTAAACTTTCCATAAAGGCCAATGTTATGTGTCCCCCATGGCAGAACATTTCTTTTCTCACCATAGAAATCAATTTATTGTATATTTCAAAATAACTAAAAGAATGAAATTGGAGTGTCCCTAACACAAAGAAATACTCAGTGCTTGAGGTGATGGATACTCCAGTTGCTCTGATCTAATCACAACACATCATATGCTTGTATCAAAATATCATCTGTACCCCATAAACATGTGAAACTATTATGCATCCATGATTAAATATAAAAGTGAATAAAAAAGAAAGTACAAGAAACTCAGGGTCAGAGGTAGGAAAGGAAGGCAGGACTTGAAGGTGACCTTGATGTCTCCTCAATCCCAAGACTTATCTGATGATACTGCTCTTCCCCCACCCCATGGTTCCCTTTTTGGCTGTCAAATAGCATTCTGAGCCAGGCATGGTGGCTCACGCCTGTAATCCCAGCACTTTGGGAGGCCAAGGCAGATGGATCACCTGAGGTCAGGAGTTTGAGACCGGACTGGTCAACATGGTAAAACCCCATCTGTACTAAAAGTACAAAAATTAGCCAGGCGTAGTGGCATGCGCCTGTAGTCCCAGCTACTAGGGAGGCTGAGGCAGGAGAATCACTTGAACCCGGGAAGCGGAGGTTGCAGTAAGACAAGATGGTGCTATTGTACTCCAGCCTGGGTGACAAAACAAGACTCCGTCTCAAAACAAACAAATAAGCAAACAAACAAACAAACAAAGAGTGTTCTGTATATCTCTTTCAGAGCCAGAAGATGTGGTTGGTGTGTCTCTAATCAAGCTCCCTGCTTTTGAAAGGGCCAGGGAGGGAAATATTGCCGACGAGATCCACTCGGAAGTGGAAATATGCACTGAGCTCCTCCCGCCCACTCGCCTTGCACACTTTGGCCAGGGAGTCCCACTAACCACTGTCAGCAAACACAGCTTCAGAACAGCTCCAGCCATGTTTTACGCCATTCTGCCGCATCCAACATAATGTCTAACTACATACGTGCATCAATAATCTTTTATGACATCATAATGCATTTTAGTGTGTGGATGGTTATGATCTTTTAGAGGCCCCTATTTAGATCTATGGAGCAAAATAGGAAAGTTTTTAAAAAATGTAATCTAATTAATCTAAGCGCACTTGGATGCCTATTAAAATTCACCTGTCCAGGATTTTCCATTTATCATAATTACTAGGGAACAGCCATTCTGAGAAAGGGGCCGCCTCTTCATTTAATACAAAATGATGATATATTATCCTGATGCTTTTAGGAATGGTTTAGACATAATGGATAGGTCTGTGTGACGAATTCTGTGAATTAACGCTGTACAATTAGACATGTTGTTCTTTCATGTAGAACACACCTCCAAGATGGCCGGGAGACACAGATCATGGAGTGTGGACAAAATGGCCCCATGGAGCCACCAGCAGGGGAAGGGAGACCATCCCTTAGGTAGCTGGCAGGTGGGCAACCTCTCTCTGATTGCAGATGGCAAGGCCACTGGCCCCCAAACAGTGCCAGCGTCCCTCCATGAAGCTTGGCATCACTCAGCATGGCCTAGGGAGATGCGTCTTTTGAGCTATCAATTCCCCAGGATTGGTACCCCCGATCCAGAATTGAGACAGAAGAATAGGGTCTGGAGACAACAAGCCTAAAGCCAACCTGAGGGTGGCTTCTTGGAATTGGACCAAAAGGAAAACCCCACCTCTCCATGCCCAAGTGACAAGAGGTCAGAGACCCCACCCTCTACAAAACACCGTCTCTCCTACATCACAAACAGGAAATATCTGATTGATTGATCATGGGCCAATCCTTCATTTGCATAGAGTGTAACCAACTGGAGGCCTCTAAAGAGTATCTAGGGGTGTTACCAAATTCTTCTAGCTTAATAAAAACCCTAAAGAACATTCCAATCAGGGCTTTTGAGCCGCTTGCTCGAGTCCACTCCCACTCTGCAGAGGGTAGTTTTGCTTTAATCAATCTGTGCTTTTGTTGTTTCATTCTTTTATTGCTGTATTTGTGCATTTTGCTCAATGAAAAAACTCACTGTCAAGACTTTTCAGCCAGTAACAGAAGGAGGTGCTTCCTTTCATGAGTATAAGCAGCAGGCACTTGCCCTGGGGCCTCCTTCCCTTATTGGGCCTAGGGAGCAGCTTTCCTATTCAACCACACCCAAGGGCAGCATTGCTCATCTGGGAGTCCACTTCCCCTCAACCTGCAAACCCTGCAATTGGGAGGCAGAACCCTGATGCTAAACTGAGCAAACCTGCCAGGATATCACCGGGAAGGGAGTTGCCAGGGACCTGGGGGTCCCCAGAGATGAGAGGCCAGACCACATGGATGCACTCAGTCTCTTTCCAGACCCCTGCCAAGCACCACAGAGTGCCGAGCCTCCCCTTGTCCCGCCTGCAGACAGGAAGGGCCGGCATGTCCAGTGGAACTGGCCCAGAGCTGCAAGCCTTGGATCTGCCTGGGCCCTCTGCAAGGTGGAGGCATTTCTCGGGTAAAGCAGTCCTTTACTGCCTGTATGGGGCCAACTGTTCTCCCCTGCATGGCACAGGGCTCCATTCTCGGTAACCACAGCCCTGAAGCGTTTAGGAAATGCCCCCAACACTTCACCCCCCACTGAATTTGTTGTGATGGGGCTTCCATGTGGCCTGGGAACGGCCTCTGTGTGGCCTCTGGGCTCCCCCAGGGCGCACAGAAATCAGAGCATCCCAGAAACAGACCTTGGGTCAGCCAGAGGGGTGGACCCAGAAATCCCACAGGTACCAACACCTGCATCCCCCTGTAGCTGCTGAAGTGTGAGGGGGACAGAAAAACCCAAGTGGCTAGAGCTCCTGGTCCGTGTGCTGGTTGGGGAAGACCCAGGAGAAAGAAGGAAGTGACCAGATTGTAGGTAACAATGTGGCCTGGCCTACCTGCAGCTGGGCTATTCTTCAACATTGGTGTCTGAGTCAGGGACGGGCTGTCTCTCCATCCAGCCTCCTTCCTGGCCCCAGGCCTTTCACTCTCTCCATCATCCTGATAAAACTCCCATGACACACCCTCTCTATGCAGTGGCTGTCAAGTGTCAGGGCTGTCAGGCTGTGATGAGAAACACAAACTCTCTGCCTTCGAGAAGTGTGAAAGGCGGCTTCATTCAACCCAACATCCAGCCCCACAGGTGTTCTATGTCTGCTAGGCACAGTTTTTTCTTTCTTTTCAATTGAAACACAGGTATGGCTTGCTCTCCAGGTTTATCCCAGCCCCCATGCTCCCCTGCAATAAACTCCTGGCCCACAGGACTTGGTATTTGTTATTTGACTGGACCCTCCAGGCTTTTGAGTGGGGAATCTCTGATCCTAAATTGCAGACACAGACCCAGTGCCAAAGAGCACACAGTCCTGGGGGTTGGGGTGGTGGGGAGGCCAAGGCACATACAACCAACTCCAGCACCAGACAGACCAAATAGCCCCCACTCTAGGGGCACAAGCCATGTGCCATGAGGAAGCAAAGGGAGGGCCAGTGGAATCCACTCGAATGTGCAGGAGGGCTTCCTGGAGAAGGAGACGTCAGAAACAAGCCCTGAGGAATGACTTAGTATCTGAGCACTGGCGATCAGGGCACACTGCGTAATCCAAGCATGGTGTGTTCAGCATTAATGAGGGTCCTTGGCAGGACTCAGTGTACAATGAGTTCACAAGACCAGTGACTTCAGCTGGGCTCCCCAGAGAAAGAGACTGATACAAGGATTCCTAGCAAGATGTGTGTTAGGAGATGATCCCAGGGCCCACAGAGGACAGAGTGGAGGGTGAGATAGGGAGGAGCAGAAAGCCCACAGAGGGTGCATTAGTGAGCAGTTACTACTGTGGGCAGCCAGAGCACAATCTTGCTGGGGACCACACCTCACAATGGCTGCACGCCAAGGGGCAGAGGAGCTGGGTCGTTTGTCCACCGACTCTTGCCAGCATTAATTGAGGGCTGCTCCTGGATGTGTTGATTCCAGGACAGTTCCAGCCAGCCACGCATGCAGGTAGCAAAGCAGGTTCCTGCAGCCAGAGAAAAGGCTTCAGCAGAGTCTTGGCACTTATGGCAGGAACCACATCGTGTGTGCATGGTGCAGGCCAAAAAGGATCTAGGAAGGGCATGCGATAGCATCATCTGCCACAGGGGAGAATGCACGGGCAGATGGGCAGGACCGTCAGAGAAGCTCTTTTTTTCCTTTTTTTCTTCTTTTTCTTTTTCTTTTTTTTTTTTTTTTTTTTTGAGACAGAGTCTCGATCTTTCACCCAGGCTGGAGTGCAGTGGCACTATCTTGGCTCACTGCAACCTCCGCCTCCCAGGTTCAAGCGATTCTCCTGTCTCAGCCTCCCGAGTAGCTGGGATTTACAGACATGCATCACCAAGCCCAATTAAATGTTTTATTTTTAGTAGAGACAGGGTTTCACCATGTTGGCCAGGCTGGTCTCGAACTCCTATCCTCAAGTGATCTGACCGCCTCAGCCTCCCAAAGTGCTGGGATTACAGACGTGAGCCACCGCGCCTGGCCCAGACAAGCCCTTCTAAGTGAAGTGCAGGCAGGACTTAGCTCACTAGGTGCAGTGGGAGGAGAGGAGCATGTTGCTTGTGCCTGGTGTGAAGCACCCCCATCTAGGGCCATAGGGACTGCTAAGCAACCCCGAAAGTTTCCATAGGCAAATCTCTCAAAGTTTCAATACATACAGGATGGCCCCTGTGACAAGTTGACCCACGGCATCTGGGTGGTCCTAGGTGGGAAGTGTGTATGGAGGTGGAGGGAGTGTGTCTGGTCTTCCGATAGCATCACTTGCCTTATGTTTGTTCCTGTCTGGCCTGTCCTAATCCTGCGGTCCTAGAGTTAGAAGGGGAGATGTCTGGGGAAGCAAAGTGTGGATGTGGAAAGTGTTTCAAGGTAAACATAAGCAGATAAGAAGCATGGCGTCTACTGGCCTCGAGCTACAGACAGAAGGAAGACGCAAAGCTTAGGGGGCACCTGTGACAGTGATCCCCACACACACCCCACCAGGGTGAAGCATTTGGTGAAGGTCCAGGTCAGATTCATCCTAGAAGTCATCAGAAGTTGCTAAAACACCTATGGAGCCTAGCACATAGTATGTATTTAATATATATTTATATAACATTTCATTTTTAAAATGCTTAACATTCAATCAAACCAGCTCTTTGGCCTTGAAGATCAAATAAGATTTGACCAAATTCAACCCTTTAATTTGTTTTCTGAGCTCTATTTCCCAAAAACAATGTTTTAGCAAAGGACAGATATGAAGTTGAGAAGAATGATTTCATAAACTTAGGAATCAAGGTTCTTTATACACAAGACAATAGAGGCTCATCACTGGTCAGTTAGTTAGACCCCACATCAGCATCTTTGGGAGTTGACTAGTCCTGGATCCCTAACACAAAATCCAAACATTCCTGCAGTTATTGACAGGCATAGATAGCCTGAGTCAAGACAATGCATCACATTAATTATTTTTATTTTATTTTTTTTTAAAGACAGGATCTTGCTGTGCCACCCAGGCTAAAGTGCAGTGGTGTGATCATAGCTCACTGTAGTGTTGACCTGCTAGGCTTAAGCCATCCTCATCCTCCCACCTTAGCCTCCTGAGTAGCTGGGACTACAGGTGTGTGCCACCACTCCTGGGTAATTTTTAATTTTTTTCTAGAGACACGGTCTTACCATGTTGCCTAGGCTGGTTGCAAACTCCTGGGCTCAAGGGATCCTCCCACCTTGGCCTCCCACGGTGCTGGAATTGCAGGTGTGAGCAACCACACCCAGCCACGTCTCATTTATATTCAAATAATTACTGACAATTGATTTTTAAGTAATTATTCTTCCCACCCGTTAGCATGGAGCTTGGACCCAACAGCAAATATCTGCCACCTAAAATTGAGATACAGCTCAACCCTCCAAATCCTTTGCGTACCCTCACCAAGGAGCCCCTCCATCCCTGCGTACACCACTCTTTCAAAGCCCAGGGCCTGGAAGGGCCTGGCTTTCACCCTGAGCTGCTTCCTTACAGAACACAGACCTGGGTTACCAACAGAGCCTCCACCATCTCCATCCTACCTCCGACCTCAGAGAGATGCCAGTAAGATGAATGCAAACTTTGCCAAGGGAAGGTCTTGAGAAAGTCAAAAGCCATCATTATTAATTCCCCGCTGTTTGGCTGGGATGGAAGCCACTGGTGCACCGATGGAAGAGGCTTGACTCCAAATAAATAAACACACGTCCTTTGGGCAGATGTCGGGCCAGCTCCGGCTGTTAACTGATGGCCCCGCACTGTGGCAGCTAGCGCAGTGTGGGCAGGCGAAGTGACACTGGCAGCGCGGAGTCTTCCGCCTCATCGCAACAAGCTTGGCCACATTTCCAAATCCATCTCTTTGAACCGACACAGACAGCTTAATGAAGCAATATTTATGGAACTGATACCACTGGGGAGATGGCTGCTCCTTCTCTCCGTCTCCTATTTTTAATATTTGATCTGGCAAACGTATTATTAAAGGAATATTTCATCTGATTACTCTTCTGTTTGACTGCGCGTCTTATTCATGCATGCTGGGTGCCAGGGGAAATTATACCGACCAGTTTGGGAGTTCTATTATGTCATTCTTCCAAACAGCCCTTTGCTCCGAGTATAATTACCATTCATGTGCAAGGCTGTGGGCGCTCTGGCTGACCTGGACCACCTCCTTTTAATCACAATGGCCTCCTCCTTCCCCTCCAGTCCCACTCGAGGCCCTTTCAGGACTCTTTTCCTGGGGACCAAGAACTTTCTTTCTTGCTGGGGACGGTGACTCCATGCCTGTAATCCCAGCACTTTGGGAAGCTGAGGTGAGCAGAACACGAGGTCAGGAGTTCAAGACCAGCTTGGACAACATAGTGAAACCCTGTCTCTACTAAAAATACAAAAATCAGCCAGGTGTGGTGGCAGCGCATGCCTGTAATCCCAGTTACTGGGGAGCCTGAGGGAGGAGAATCAATTGAATCTAGCAGATCAAGGTTGTAGTGAGCTGAGTTCCTGCCACTGCACTCCAGCCTGGGTGACAAAGCAAGACTCTGTCTCAAAAATAAATAAAAAATTTAAAAAATGAACTTTCTTTCTGAGAGTGGTCTCTCTGGATATCTGAAAAGTTGCCTTGATGTTGTTAGGGGTCTCTAAAATCACTGACTTGCTTATGAAGCTGCAGTTTCCTCATAAGGCAGAAACAGAAAAGAGATGGGTGCACCCTGGCGTGGCCTGTCCTTGGCTATGAGCTCTTCGTCCAGCATCAGCATGGTGTTCAATTTCCCAGAGGCCACCGGTCTCCTGACTCTCTGCCTTTCCTTTTGCTAGCAGCTAGCTCCACCTTGACGGTCTTGAATTGCCTGATAAATCTACCCTCTTTCTGATTGGGCAACTGGCTGTATTTCCAACTTGGCCTTAAAGGTGGGGCCAGAGGGACATTTTGAGCCCCTAAACAAGGGGAGAGCATTCAAGTGGGTGTGGCAGAATCTGGCCCCACCATCCTGGCAGAGACCCAGCAGGAGGCTTTGTGCACAAAACAGATGGGGCATGACCAGTGTGCAGGCTCAGCTCCCACTGCCCTGCTGACAAATGAGGCCAGCTCTTCACCTCTCACGAATTTCCTTGATTTTTGTTTCCAATTGTTTGCTATTTACTTTTTCTGTAAGGGCCAGATAGTAAATGCTTTAGTCTCTGCAGGCAGTACTGTCACTGCCACAACTACTTAACTCCACCGTCATACCACCAAATAAACCATAGATGCTATGTAAATGAATAAGCGTGGCTATGCTCTAATAAAACCTATGTACAAACACAGGCAGTGGGCCAGATTTGACCCATGGGCCATAGTTTCCAAAGTCCTGCTTTAGACTTTTCTGTGAATTAGGCGTGCATTTTTTACATCCTCAAATACCTTAGCCTCATAAAACTAAAGTCTTCATTTGTGAGTTTATGTATGTGTGTATAAATGTGTGTGTGTATGTGTGTGTATATATATATTCCCCTAATACATTCAAAATATTTAACTAAAAGAAAATGTTTTAAGTTATTTCATATTCCACCTGAATCCCTCCAGAAAATGCCAGATCAGATGACTGTTTCTTGAGTGTGAAAATGCCCAGGGGCCCTAAGCAAATCATTCCTTTCAGGTTTTATCAAACAGAAAAGTGAGGCCTCAAGAAGCAAACCACATGGTCCCTCAGCACAGGGTCTTGGCAGCTCCAACCCTGACTCTGCAGGGTTCCTTTCTCCTGACTCCAGGGGTCCTAGCCCAACCTTGCAGGCTATGGCAGCCTTGTCAACTCACGCTTGCTGCACGGATATCCACCCAAAGGCAGACCCTGGCTGCCATGATGGAACCCACGTTTTCAGAGGGGCTGTGTGCAATAAACAAATGAGCAAATAAAAGACATGTGATTTTAGTTAGTGATCAATGCAATGGAGGAAAAGTGAAAAGTAGGCAGGATAAGGGAATAAAGAATCCTGGGCTGTTTTAGATGATGTGGTCAGAGAGGGCATCCCTGCAATGACTCCAAGTCGATATAGGGTGGATGAGAAAAACTGAGCCACACAGAACGCAGGCAGGTGCAATCTGGACTGAGGTGGAACTAGGCCTGCCACACCCAGGACACAGGGGCAGCCAAGAGGGCAGCAGGTCCATGAGTGGGAAGGAAGATGGCTGCAGCAGAAGTTGGAGATGTCTCAGCGCCTTGCAGGTCCCACAGGTGAGGTTATGAGGTCAGGCCTTCATGCCAGCTTCTCACCAAGACTCTGGCCACTCCCCTGGTTGCTGTCAGAGCACGCCCCCTTGGCCCTAAAACTGTGGAATCACAGCTCATATTCTTGTTCTTCTTACCCATTTCTTAGCTGTTGCTTTGCAATTCTTAGAATAAAAGTAAAGTTGCAGGAAATTTCAGAGCATAAACATAAGGGTACATTTGGATAGTTGCAGAAATTCCCCAGCCAACCAGCAGCAGACAGGGCCCCACTTAATGAAACCTTCAGCGAGGGTCAGGTCCACATACCCTTTGGCAGACAGTCCAACCTCACCTGGAGTTGCTGCCAGGGGTGTGATTTCCACAGGCTTTCAGCACCGCTGATATTCATGATTTCTCAACAGCTGCCATTATACAACATTTAGATGCAAAATGGACAATACATCAAAGCAGATGTTCTTGGAAATCCTATTAACTCCAAAGGGTTTGGGAAGGCTTGGAGGCTGGCTCCTTCGGCACATTTGCAAGCGAGCTGTGTTTCAGTTCCCTTGGTGTGGGTGGATGCAGCTTTCCTGCATTCCCAATCATTCACTCAGCTCCAGAGCCAGAGCACCAAAGGCTGCAGAAATGAACACCTACACCTCACATCCTAAAAGCACTACAAGGACTTCTGTGGAGCTGAGGTCGCCTGCAAACACTTTCATTTATTTACTCCAGAATGACCAGTGTGCACGTTCTCAATGGCACCTGACAATTAACCATGAAGCAGTGCACCTAGAGCCAGACTTTCTGGAGAATTCCATGGAAAGCCCATTGTGGGGAGGAAAAATGTGACAGCAAGAGGGGAGGGCTTGCATCTTTCTAGGCATGTGGGATTGAACATCCCAAAGACTTCTTCTGCTCTGATTTGTTTACTGTCTATAAATTGCAGTGTTGGTGTGAGTAGGGCCATCTGAGGATCAAGCATGATGATGGAGGCCCTGCCCCACTGGCTACAGAGAGTGTCCAGGCCAGGATGAATGTGGTCATCATGGTTCCTACATGGTTCCTATCACGGCAGCTCCGTGCAACACAAACCCTGACTCTCCCTCCTTGCCTGCTTTTCTCCTTGGCTGGTTCCTTCTCACCCTGCAAGTCGCCTCCTCGGAGAGACCTTCCCAGGACATCCATCAGTACCTGCCCTCCCCAGCCACGTCTCTCTCTGTCCCGTCACCTAGTTTTATTGTCTTAATAACAGCACTTTCCACTAATGGCTACTTGTGTGGTTTGTTGTTTCCCACTGGTGTGGGACTCCAGGGAGGGAGCTGGCCCCTGGTACTTAGAGCTGCAGAGAAAGCCACTCCTATTATTCCCAGCCATGTGTGGAGCCCCTGCAGCTGCAGTTTGAGGACTGTGGGGTTGCTGCATGGGAAGTATAGTCAGCAAGCCGAACCCTGCACCGAGCACGCTTCACTGTTTGCTAAACTCTGACGCTGAGCTCAGAGCCGGCAAGGTCCCTCAGCTTCCAACCTGGCTGCTGCAGTAGTTTTGAGGGTCCTTGGCAGGTCACCCAAGGAAGCAGAGGCATTTCAGAATGGAGGAGACAGGAAGAGGCACATCTCAGCAAAAACTAACTTTCCCTGTGCACAGACTCACCCCTCACCCAGGTCCGCATGGAATTGAGACAGGCCGACAGGCTGGTTTCCTGTTTTAATGTGGTTTAGAGAAAAAAACAAAAGCCCCTTACTCATGCTATAGTTTACCTAATTTCCAGCCAACCAGCAACAAAGACCCAAGAAGCAGTGAGCCACGAGCTCCTGCTGTAGGGGGTTAGGGACTTCCTCCGCCTACACGTGCGGTTGGACTTAAACTCACCTTATAGTGACCTTTTCCTCCTTTTCATACTAAAAGTCACACCCGTATTACATGCAATGTATGAAGAAGGATGTAGAACCAGTACACAAGTACTAGAGAAACCTCCTATCCATGCCCTGACAAAACCCTTCCCGAAAGAACCAGCCCACATGCTACCCTCCAGAGCAGCCCGTCCTTGCCCTTTTGCAGTGCTGGCTTCCCTTGTGCAAAAGCTAAATGAAGCTTTCTCTTTCCTTAAGTGCAATGTCCGGCAATCCATCTTGATTCCTATCCTGGGAGATTGCAAGAACCCAGGGCGCTGATAACAATCCCTTCACTCATGGCTTCGTTTTCTTCATTGGTCAGTGGAAGCTGAGTCAAACTGCACTGACAAACATCCCCAATATCTCCAGGGTTTAGCACAGTGAAGGGCATCCCCGTTTTACTGAATGTCCCACATGGGTCAGCCAAGAGGACTCTGGTCCTCGTCACCCTCAGGGGCTCAGGCTGGGGAAGCTCTGTCTCCACCTGTGATTCCATGATGACGAAGTCAGAAGGGAGCAAAGCAGGCACTGGCTGTGAGGTGTCACCCAGAGGTGACACACATCACTTCCTCCATGGCTGATCCCCCAGGACCCCTTCGACTCATTCCACATGGCCCTACCCAGACACCCACCCAGAGGTGCTAGGAGTGCATCCCACCCAGTGCCCAGGGAGCAGGAATCCGGGCACATTTGGTAACAGCACAAATGACCACCACCCCTCCTGTGTCACTGTCTGTGCTGGGGAAATTGGAAAGGAACTAGTCTTATTAAGAGCATATGCTGGGCCGAGCGTCATGGCTCACTCCTGTAATCCCAGCACTTTGGGAGACCAAGGTAGATGGATCACCTGAGGTCAGGAGTTCAAGACCAGCCTGGCCAACATGGTGAAACCATCTGTACTAAAAATACAAAACTTAGCCAGATGTGGTGGCAGGTGCCTTTAATCCCAGCTACTCGGGAGGCTGAGGCAAGGTAATTGCTTGAACCCGGGAGGTGGAGGTTGCAGTGAGCCGAGATCACGCCGCTGCACTCCACCCTGGGTGACTGAGTGAGACTCTGTCTCAAAACAAAGAGCATGTGCTATGCCAGTGTTCCCTGTGCTGCACACATTTGTATCATTATTATTATCTCATGTGCCAGGAGAGGAAATCTGTCTGGAGAGGAAGGGCCTCAGCCAGGACCACGAGTGCGCAAGCAGAACAGACAGAACCCAACACTGGGGACTGGGCCCCAGGGCCTTTGCTTTTATAAATTTTATTTTATTTTTTCAGTTGGGGTCTTATTCTGTCACACAGGTTGGAGCACAGTGATGCAATCAAACTCACGGCAGCCTCCAACTCCTGGACTCAAGCAATCCTTTCTCCTCAGCCTCCTGAGTAGCCGGGACCGGAGGCAAATGCCACCACGCCTGGCTCATGTTTTAATTTTTTGTAGAGGCAGGGGTTCTTGCTGTGTTGCCCAAGCTGGTATCGAACTCCTGGCCTCAAGCGATCATTCCACCTCAGCCTCTCAAATTGCTGGGATTACAGCATGAGCCACTGTGCCCAGCTGGTCTTTGCTCTGGGCCGCAGGACACTGTCCTCTGGGCGCTGCAAGGCCGAGGCACTATGGCTCTCGTCCTCCCTCTGTCTCCAGCTGTGCGGGACTCTGGGTTTGTGGCTGAACCTCACTGAGCTTTATTTCTACATTTGTGAGGCTGGGGACTTAATTCGTGCTCTGCTCTTGACTTCAGGATTAAGCATGGGTGTTGTGAGCATCCATAAGGCCCACCGAGCTAGGAGGTCTCCAGGGAAACTGCTTTCCTCACCAGATGCCTGAAGGGTGCCCCATTCTGCAGGGGAGAGAAGGAGGCTGGGACCAGCCTGCCTGGGGACCCCAGTGGAGATCCGAGCAGAACTGGGTCCTATCAAGAGAGGAGCAAGGATGCCAGTACTTCAGAAGGCTACAGTGGCGGAGACACCTTTGAAAGCATTTTATTCTGCCAAGTCAACAACCATTTATAATCACTGTCATTTCACAATGGAAAGGGCAATGTAAGGCCAAAGGGGTGGAAAAGGTCAGAACTTGGGAAAAACTCTAATTGAATAAGTATAGCTATGCAAAACATAACTTGAGTCTGTTTTCCTCATTTCACTGCAAGTCAGGGCAAACATCAGCACAGACAAGCACCTGCCAGTGAGAACCAAAAAGCAGTCTTACCATTGACTTTTAGAGTTCTTTCGACCACAGGCCAGGAGCTCCTGGCCAGCAATGAGGGCACCAGTGCCCGGCCACGAGCAACAGTGATCCCACAACAGTGGGAAGAATCAGGATTTGCACACTCCAGTTTTCACGTGAAATCACTTAGCACTTACCCTCCCTGCCCTCACCACATCACTGCTGCACCCTCCCTGCTCAGTTTTCTTCCTCCCCTCCCCTCACGCTCCTTCCCTGCCCCTGTGAGAGCCCGGCCCTTGCCCTCTGTGACCTGGGGCTCCCCACCTCCTGGAATCTTTGGGCTGGGAACACCTACAGCCTCCTCCAGGAACAGTAATTGGACTTTTCTTTGAGACTGTCCCCAAGCTCCTTCTCCTTGTTTATCTGCTCTGGATTAAAAGGCCATGAAGAATTGATTTTGCAAAGGCTTAATAATCAGGCACAGTGGACATGTATGTAATTGAATGACAGTTCCGGATTCATCTTTCACAACAACTGTGGTCTCAGAGCTGCTGCGCCAATGACAAAGTGGAGACAAATGAGCCCTTTTAGCATGATGCTAATTACTGCCAAGTCCAGCCTCAGGGTTTTCTCTCTGGCTGGGCTTGGGCTGGTCCAGCAGGGGAAGGATTCATAACCCTATAGTCAGAAAAAGGATCCGCCCACCTCGGCCTCCCAAAGTGCTGGGCCAGCTACCCAGGAGGCTGAAGCAGGAGAATCGCTTGAACCTGGGAGGTGGAGGTTGCAGTGAGCCCAGATTGCACCACTGCATTCCAGCCTGGGTGACAGAGTGAGACTTTGTCTCCAAAAAAAAAAAGGAGACCGGGCACAGTGGTTCACACCTGTAATCCCAACATTTTGGGAGGCCAAGGCAGGTGGATCACCTGAGGTCAGGAGTTCGAGATCAGCCTGAACAACATGGCGAAGCCCCATCCCTACTAAAAAATAAAAGATACAAAAACCAGTCGGGCGTGTTGGTGGGCGCCTGTAATCCCAGCTACTCATGAGGCTGAGGCAGGAGAATTGCTTGAACCTTGAAGGCAGAGGTTACAGTGAGCTGAGATCACGCCACTGCACTCCAGCCTGGGTGACAGAGTGACAGAGTGAGACACCATCAAAAAAAAAAAAAAAAAGGAGCCAGGAGGTCTCAGAGCTTGTTACTGGGAATTGGGATGGGAGGCAGGGCTGGCCTCTTTATGATTCTGCTGAGTTTCCATTAAATCAAAGCAGGTACTGCAGATCCCCCAATTAGTCAGAGGGCAAATGATGGAAGCCCAACTCAAACTGCTCAGACAGTCATCGGAAGATATTGCCTTATGCAAATACAAAGAGGCGGATCCAAGCTTCAGGCAAGCTAGATCCAGGTGCTTAAAGATGCCATTGGGCATCCACCTCTCTCCACTTACAGCCTGCTCTTAGCTGACTTCACTCTCAGGAAGGCTTGCCCCAGGCTTACATCCTCAAGCCAAGCGACCCCAGTACCCAAACAGCTCCCACTTTCCACCACTAGCTCCAGAAAACGTGGGCTTGGCTTGGATTGGGTGCCCAGCCTGGTGTATTTAACACTTACTAAGTTCCAGACACCGTGCCAGGTTCTGGAGACACCAATATAAGACCTGCCACCTTTACTCAAGGAGCTCACAGCTTTGCCGGAAAAACTGGGCAGTGAACAGACAACGTCATGAGTAACCTGTGTACAATGCCGTTCCCTGTGAGAGGCCGAGGGCTTTATTACAGGGCACAGCTTCACAACAAAATTAAATTTTTCTTTTAACTGTGCCATCCTCCAAGCCTCTGGCCCAAATATCCTTCACCCAGCAGAGTGGTGAAGAGCTCAGAGCCCCGCAGTCTGACATCTGCATCTGAATTCTGGCTCTGCCATTTAGGAGTTCTGGGAACTCAGAAAGCGAATTCATTTCTCTGTGCCTCTCTACAGTGAGGCTGATAAGAATGTCTACCTAATAAGGCTGTTCTGAGGATTCATTGACAGGATGCACACGAGGCATTGAATTCACTGCCAACACACAACGAGCGCGGAACAAGTGGTCTTTGCTATTATTTCTATTCCCCGCTGGCTGCTGGACTAGTGATGGGGGTTTTGATGCAGGACAGGCGAGCCCCAAAGTGGGGCTTCACCCAGGAAAAAATTCAACAGTGAGCCAGTGGTAGGGTAGAAGAAAACAGCTTTATAGAAGCAGCAGTGTTACAGCTCTTGGAATGATACAGCCCAGTGATTTCCCCTGCAGAGCAGGGCTACCCACAGGCAGTATGCTGAGAGCAGCAGCTCAGGCCAGTTCCGCAGTCAGATTTATACCCACTTTTAATTACATGCAGATTAAGGGGCGGTTTATGCAGAATTTCTAGGGTAGAGGTAATAACTTTTGGGTCATTGCCATAGAAAGTGGTGGTAACGCCTGGGTGTTGCCATGGCAATGGTAAACTGACATGGCACTCTGGTGGGCGGGTCTGATGGGAAGCTGCTTCCGCCCTGTCCCTGTTTTAGCTAGTCCCCAATTCGGTCTGGTGTTTGAGCCCTGACTGCGGGGTCAAGTCCCACCTCTGACCTCAGTTTGAAGCCCCGCTCTGTGGGGGGAAGGCTCTGGAGTGTTTTCACCCAGCACAGACAAAGGCCCACTTTGGAGGCAGGATTCCACCAGACAGATATCTGAGACAGAAGTTGCCCCCCAAGACAAAAGGGACTCTGATGTTACTCAGGGATGGAATTTAGAAGTCTCATGCTGGGGAGGCATGAGTTCCCAGGGTGAACACAGGAACTGGAGGTGAGGGGTGGTGCTGAAATGGGCCTCGAAGCCAGCTTCCAGCACCAGCATGTGAAGTCCTGAACCAAGGGAGAGAGGGGGTGGCAGGAGGTGGATGGGACATGTTTGGGGTGGGGGTGGCCCTTGGGAGAAAGAGTTCATGGGATGAGGCTCAGCCTCTTGAAGGGCTGGGGGTGCCAAGGCCACCCACATACCGCCAGGCGCAGCCCCTTCACGGCACATCACCCAGCAAGGACTCCAATCCCTGGGAGGGGGAAATGGACCAGGAGCAGTAGCAGGCACCTCCAGGGATGCCCAATGTGCATACCCGCTGAGGACACCGCTCGCAGTTAGAGCATGGAATCAGAGCTTTGAGGGAGGCTGGCAGAGCTCCAGTTTTGCGTGGGTTATCCACCCTCCTAAAATAATATTTTCAACATATCTGTTTTCTGCCAACAGAACGGAATCCAACTTTCTTAGCCTGGTGTGCGAGGCCCTCCCTGTCTCTGGCTGCAGCCTACAAACAGAACGCAAGGCAGCTTCCTCGGCCACCCCGGCAATGGCTCTCACACATGTCACTGATGGGGAGGAGGAAAAAGCCCCCAGACCCCCAGACTTCACTTCCTCCAAGATCAGCAGAGGTTTTCTTTCTTTCTTTCTTTCTTTCTTTCTTTCTTTCTTTCTTTCTTTCTTTCTTTCTTTCTTTCTTTTTTTTAGATGAGATCTTGCTCTGTGGTCCAAGCTGGAGTGCAGTGGTGTAATCATAGCTCACTGTGGCCTTGACCTCCCAGGCTCAAGTGATCCTCCCATCTCAGCCCCTTGAGTAGCTGGGATTACAGGCATGTGCCACCATGCCTGGCTTTTTTTTTTTTTTTTTTTTTTTTGAGATGGGGATCTCCCTATGTTGTCTAGGCTGGTCTCAAACTCCTGGGCTCAAGTGATCCTCCCACCTAGGACTTCCAAAAAATTCAAGTCTATTTTAATGTTCTTTAAATAGACTTGAGGGAAAAACCAACCCCTGGGAAAACCAGGGGCTGAAAGCCCTGTCCTCAGCGGGAGAGCCTCAGCGTTCTTACAGACCAGGTCCCTAAACATGTGGCTTCAAGGGTGTCTCCCTTTCCTCTCCAGCAGTGACCTCCTCAATGTGCCTGTTCAGTATTCCATAAACGGAGAGCATGGGATGCAAAAGCTGCCTTGGTTCAGCTGGGGAAAAAATGCCTTTGAGAGTTTTATCAACTACTAGAGACAGCCCCTTTATAAGGAGTATGCGGAACAGCCACCCCATTGTCTGAGAACAGTGCCCATGCAGAGATGAGACCAGGGAATCCCGGGGTACAGGCATCTCCACTGGGCACAGCTACCTGGCCCACTCAAGGTTGTGGGACCTGGGGGACCAGGGAAACTACCCATCATCTGGGCTGGGCTGAGCCAATCGCATCCTCCCACTTGAGAACTTGAGGCTGGAATCAATCCCTAGTCAGTCTTTCTTGTGCTTGAGCTGGGAGGGACGAAAGGCTGAGACAGTCATTTCCACCTTGAAGAAGGAGAAGAGAAGGTCACACAGCAGTGAGAGAAGAGAGACAACAAAGAAGGGAAGATAGAGACAGCGGCTGCTTTGCCAAGTCCCACCTGGGGAGGTTGGCTTTGCGTCCAGCTCATGGGGTCCTCGAACTGCCCCTATGTCCTTTTCCCAATTAAACCGGCCTGGGCAGTTTCCGTCCTCCACCCCCAGTTATCCCAAAGACGAATCCCAGCCACTTCCACAGCCCTCAGCAGATCCCTGGGAATACTCAACAAGACAGGAACTGAGCTTCTACCCCTTAAGCAATTCTGCAATCTTTTCTTCATTGGCTGCCTCCTCAAAGACCCCAAGTTTGGTGCCACTTGGGCTGGACACAGTGCAAGGCCCAGGGAACCAAACTCAGCCCTCTGCCAGCACAGAATGTGAGACGCTCAAGAAAATGTTCACGCCGTGGGTGCTGCTGGCTCCTCGATGAGCGCTGGACTGAGCTATTACCATATTTCACTGCCATTTACAGAGCACAGCTGTGTGTGCTTTAGTTTAATAAACAGCCATGGTTTGTTTCCTGGGCCAATATTTCTTTTGTATTTACTGGGCTTGGTTTTTGTATCTTGGTTTAAAAGATTGGCTCATGGGTCTGCCTTGTGTCCATCACCTTATTTCTACTGACTTCTGCACTCCCAGCCGCCCCTTCTTCATGAGCTTTCAGCTTGCATCCCCTTACTGGAAGGAGAAGCCATTCTGACACCCTAGACCCACTGTGGTTTTCTCCTCTGCCTCCACCTGGTTTCTGTATCTGCCAGGAGTCGCTTCTGCTGGGCACCCCATTGGAAAGATAGCATTGCAGAGTGAAAAACTCCAGGCACCCCCGTGCCCTGTGACTCACTATAGGACCATCACCTCTAGCTCACCATGTGATCCTGAGCATGTCACTTCCTCCCCTGGGCCCTGGTTTCGTGGTGCGCTGGAGGAAGGCACTGGCCCAGAGCTCCTCCGGCCTCCCGCAGGTCGGACCAGCCATGTGGCTGTCTCCCTGCACTCCCGCAGCTCATCAGGGCTGGGCTCAGCTAGGGGAGGTGCCTTTCCTGCAACTCACCCGCAGCTCAGCTACAGATGCACCCTTGTCAGTGCCTGGTTCGGGATACAGCCAAGCCTCTCAGGCCAGGCGCAGCCTTTCCAGATGCATGGCCCGGCTGGAGTCCTCAACTTTGTATAGTGTCCACACATGCCGCCGAGGGTCTCCCGAGTATCTCTGTCACTTTCCTGCATTGGTGGGTCCCTGTGAGCTGTCCTTCACCTCCCAAGGCTTCCACTGGGCCCTAGGACCCCTGTGTTCCAGACTGGAGTTGGGGAGCAAGAAGGTGTAAAGATTGGGATAGATAGGCACAAATGCTAAAAGCTATTTATTTTTGTCCACTATGTGGTAATTTTTAAATATCCTCATAAATATTTTGGCCCTCCTCCCTTTGCAAGATGAGCTAACCCCCTCCCCATGTGTGGGCCATGCATAATGATCCTTATTAGGAGAATGTGACGGGAGTGATGCTGTATGGCTCATGCTGTATGTATGGGAATAATGCTGCTCATGAAAAGCATAGCTTCTGCTGGGAGCCCTCTCTCTGGGATTGCTTGCTCTGAGAGAAGCCAGCTGCTGGGTCAGGGGGACACTCAAGCAGCTCGGAGACTAGAGCCGTGAATGGAGGAACTTCCTTCCCACCAGCACCCAACACCAACTCGCCATGTAGGTAAGCCTCAGGTGGCTTTCCCCCTGAGCCTCAAGTGTATCTTCCAACGCTAGGTGAGGCTTTATGTGACTGCAACCTCACAAGAAACCCTGGGCCAGAACTCCATGCCAAGCCACCAAATCCTTGACCCAGAAACTCTTGACTCAGAAAGGCTGATAATCAGTGTTCATTGTTCAACCCAGGTGCCCATCAGCAATGGACTGGATAAGGAAAATGTGGCACATATACACCACGGAATACTACACAGCCATCCAAAAGAATGAAATCATGTCCTTTGCAGCAACATGGATGCAGCTGGAGACCACTGTCTTAAGAGAACTAATGAAGGATCAGAAAACCAAATACCACACGTTCTCACCTATAAGTGGGAGCTAAATCGTGAGTACACATGGACATAAAGATAGGAACCATAGACACTGGGGACTACTGGGGGGGAAAGAAGGAGGGAGGGCATGGGCTGAAAAACACCTATTGGGTACCATACTCACTACCTGGGTGACGAGATCATTTGTCAGAAAGAGAAAAAAAAAGTAAAACAAAAAAGAGTAAGAAATAAATATTGATTGTTGTTTTAAGTCATTAACTTTGGGTGATGCATTATACAGCAATGGATGACTAAAACAACCCGAGTCCCCCCAGAAGCTAAGTCTGTGTCACGCATTTCTCTCTGTGCATGGAGAAGCAGGAGAGTCCTTCTATGATCGCTGAGTTGCCTTTAGTAAGATACTGAGCAGGTGAGGCTTCACTGCATTGCTGTGCAGCAACCTCACATTTTGCCCAGCTCTCATGCACGTGGCTCAGGTGCCTCCATGCATCTACAGCCTTTAGCTGAACGAGGTCTCGTAGGGCCTGAGTAGCCACCACAGTCCAGGGCTGGTCCAGAAACCACTCACTTTAGGAGAAGCATGGCTGAGCCCAGAGAAGCTCCTGTCACCAAGTCCACAAATGCCAACACTGAGGCAGCCTCACGCATCATGTTGCGAAAAATATTTCCCTGTAGCACAGGACCACAACCTCAGCTCAAACCTGTGCTCTGAGAACCATGGTAGGAGCATGACATGGGCAGTCAGAGATCTTTGCTAATGCAGCCTGCTGGCTTCTCCAAGGCATGTCTGGACCAAGGTGTATGAGGTTGCATCATTCCCTCCTGACACAGGCTCTAGATGCCAAGAGCTTGAGGAGAGTGAGAGGGATCACGTTTGTGCTAAGCCAGGCCTCCAGCCAAGAGTGCTGGAGGCAGCCCAGCCTCTCTCGTCCTCATGGGCAATGACAGATCCATCATCTAAGCTCTAAGCATGGAGCCCAGTGCTGCCAGGGATGCCTGCCAGCTCTCAATGTGCCCTTATGGGCCTCGCATTATAAAGGGACAGACATTCAAGTCAATCCAGTTTAGCAAACACTATCTGACCATCTACTGCCTGTGGGGCACAGGAGTAGTGGCTAGAGGAAAGAGGAAGCCAGTGCAGCTCCTGCCTCCAAAAGCTGCACTCTCTAGCAAGTGAAGAAATACAGGATCACTCAGGCAAAATGTGGACAAGGCTGGAGCTAAAGTATTAGCTGTCTCTGCCTCTTCTGAGACCCTAAGAATTGTGAACATTAAGAGAAGTTCTGTCAAAGGGTCTATCTTTGGCATGGGCTCTGAAGAGGTCATAAAGAAAGGCTTCGGCCAGGTGCAGTGGCTCATGTGTATAATCCCAGCACTTTGGGAGGCTGAGGAGGAAGGATTGCTTGAGGTTAGTAATGGACCCACTAATGTAGGAAAATTTGAGACCAGCCTGGACAACATAGTAAGAACCCCATCTCTACAAAAAAAATTACAAATTAGCCAGGCATGGTGGTGCATGCCTGTAGTCCCAGCTACTCAGGAGGCTGAAGCAGGAGAATTACTTGAGCCCAAGGGTTTGAGGCTGCAGTGAGCTAGGAGCTAGGAGCACCACTGTACTCCAGTCTGAGCAATAGAGCAAGACCCTGTTTCCCAAGGAAAGAGAGAGATCAAGAGAAAGAGAGAAGAAAAAGAAAAAAAGAAAGAAAGAAAGAGAGAGAGAGGGAGAGAGGGAGGGAGGGAGGGAGGAAGGAAGGCAGGAAGAAAGGCAGGAAGGAAGGAAGGAGAGAGAGAGAAAGAGAAAGAGAGGAAGGAAGGAAGGAAGGAAGGAAGGAAGGAAGGAAGGAAGGAAGGAGAGAGACAGAAAGAAAGAGAAAGAGAGGAAAGAAGGAAGGCAGGAAGGAAAAGAGAGAGAAAGAAAGAATGAGAAAGAAAAGAAAGAAAGAAAGGAAAGAAAGAAAGAAAAAGAAAAGAAGAAGAAAGGAAGGAAGGAGAAAGAGAGAGAAAGAAAGAGATAAAGAAAGGAAAGAAGGAAAGAAGGAAGGAAGGAAGAAAGGAAGAAAGAAAGAGAAAGAAAGGAAGGAAGGAGGAAAGGAAGAAAGAAAGAGAAAAAGAAAGAGGGAAAGAGAGAGAGAAAGGAAGGAAGGAAAAGAAAGAAAGAGAAGGAGAGAGAAAGGAAGGAAGAAAGAAAAGAAAGAAAGGAAGAAAGAGGGAGGGAGGGAGGGAGGAAGGAAGGAGAGAAAGAAAGAGATAAAGGAAGGGAGGAAGGAAGGAAAGAAGAAAGGAAGGAAGGAAGGAAGAAAGAGAGAGAAAGAAAGAAAGAAAGAGAGAGAGAGGCTTTTAGTGAGGGGCAACAACACAACAGAAGACATCATCATGGAGGTGACATCATGGAGGTGCAGGACAGCAGGGTGTGCTCAGGGACTGTGGCCATGACTCTATCATGCCAGTAGGTTATTCAGGTCAGCTAGCGCCATGATAATGTTGCATAACAAACAACTCCTAACAGTAGCAGCCTACAACAATGAGAATTCGTTTCTTTGCTCACAGTTGTCTGGTTGCTGAGATGTCTGTATGCTAGACTGCTGGTCAAAGTCAGGTCTGCTGGCATGTCTTTCATTCCAGGACTTGGGCTGGAGGAGCAGTACTTACCTGGAGCACATTCTTCTCCAAGTGCAAGGCAAGAGGGCAAGAGTCCAGGTTCAATCATATTGAAAGCCTCTGGCTGGATGTGACATACATATCTGCACACATTCCATTCGTTGGAGCAAGTCACGTGGCCTGCTCAGTAGGAGGAGCAAGTCAGTAGGGCAGAGAAGTACTCTCTGCTTACAGTGAGCCTGGAAAAGTGTGGGGAGCGAAGGAAAAACAGTGAACAAATAATACAATGCAATGCAATACAATACAATACAATAGATGGTGACCAAGAAGTCATAATATGAGACTGGAAACACACACTAGGCCTCCTGTGGGAGAGACTAGATTGTTGTTCACCAAACAATTTCTCTTTTCCTCTGCACACAAAACTAGGTATTTCCCAGTCTCCTTCGCCATTAGTGTCTGAATTCTGGACAATGGGGTATAGCAGAAGTGATGGACTCTGCTTGCAGGCCCAGCCTGCTACAACTTCCTACTTCACCCTCCACTCTCTCCTTGTCTGCTGGGTAGATATACAAACCCAGCAGAGGAACCTGTGGCCCAAGGTGATGGCAGAGCCACAATGTGGAAGGAGGCTGGGTCCCTGAGTCACCGCCTGGACAGCAGCCACCCGGAAGATCTACTTGACCCACATTAGTCTGTTTCAGCAGTTGTAAGTAAACTTGTATTGTGCTAAGCTACAGGGATTTGGGGGTTATTTGTTACAGCAGTTAATCTACCTTACTATTCCCCCGTGTCACAGAGGCCCTCGGTGTGGGGCTAAGTGAAACACACTGAGAAACGAAGTCAGGCAGGCTTGGATTGAAATATCAGCACTAGCACTGTTTAGCAGGATGACCTTGAACAAATTGCTTTACCTCTCTAGGTCTTAGTTTTTCATTTTTAGATGGGATTTATAGTCCCTGCCTTAAAAATATATATATATATATATAAGTGACAAACTCTGTTACTCGAAGAGGTGGGGTATCTTGCTGAGACTTGGCAGAGCTGCACTATTGATCCAGGAGCTTACAAGAGGCTTTTGAGAGATGGCAGCATGATGTATCAAGGCTTCAGTCTTCCTGGGGCTCACTCTGCTGTGGGCAGGGAAGTGGGTGGGGAGCAGGATGGCCCTCCATGGAGTGGGCCTGGGGAGACCCCTGCTGCAAGGTAGGCAGGACCTTCTGCTTCACCAGGGGTTTCTCCACGCATCTGCTAGAAGCTTGCAGAAAAGGGGGCTGTTGATTCTCACCTCTTAGCCTGCCACCTGCCTCTGACTCCCCAGACCCCCCACCAGTGAAACCTGCAAAGGCCCTCTGAACCCCAGATGCTGAGGCTCAAGCTTAACCAGGTAGACAGATGATCTCCCAGAGTAAGATGAGCAGAGGGAGCTGGGAGGGCTTTGGAGGCCCCAGGACAAACACCAATGCAAAGGCCTGTGGCAGCCTTGAGTCTGGGTGGCCAGGCGTTACTTACATTTTATTATTTTAGTGGGATTTTGCTGCTGCTATTGTTGTTGTTTGTAGAGATAGGGGTCTTGCTATGTTGCCCGGGCTGGTCCCAAACTCCTGGCCTCAAGTGATCCTCCTGCCTCAGCCTCCCAAAGTGCTGGACTTAACAGGCGTGAGCTACCATACCCGGTCTAGTTTTGTTCTGTTCGGTTTTTTTTCCTGAAAGACACAGAGGAAGAGAGCATAGACTTGGGAGATTTTAAACTCCCAGCTCTGCCTCTTGCTTGCTGTGGGACTTCAAGCAAGCTGCTTACATCTCTGTTCCTCAGTTTCCTCAACTGTAAAATTAAGCCAATTGCAGTTCTCTCCGTGTGGCTTTTTTTTTTTTTTTTTTTTTTTTGGTGAAAATGACATGAGTTAATATTTGTAAAGTATATAGAGCTATGCCTGGGATGCATGAAGGGCTGTGCCAGTGTTTGTTCAATGAATAAAGCAGACAAGAGAGTGAGGCAAAGGGAGAGACAGGCAATGAGAGGGGGAGGTGGAGGGACTCAAGACAGAGAGAAAGAGACAGCAGTCAGATGGCACAGATAGGGAGGCCACCAGGTGCACAGACCGACAGGAACAGACAAGCAGGAAGGAGGGGGCAAAAGCAAAAGCCTTTAAAAATTAGAGAAAGAGACCCAGTGAAAAAGAAAAGGGGAGGCCAAAATCACAAAAATCCAATTAGAATGGAACACAAACGGCGTTCTTATTTAATTGCAAACTGCCAGCTCACCAGGTGGCCTTCTGAAGGCATCTCAGGTCAAAAACCATCACCCATCCCTGATAAAGCCATTTGCCTACATTCCCTGAACAGAGGGGACAGTGGCCAGCCTCTGAAAATGGTCCAGCTGTGAAAGCCCAGAAACCCCAAGCCGCTTTTGCAGCAAGTGTGCACAGGAAAACGGCAGGTCCCACACATTTCCCGGCACTGGACACTCAGATCCTGTCTCCTCCCAGGGCACCCCAGTTCTACCCATGGCCCAGACCCTCATCCTGTCAAAAGTCCCTAGGACAAGGCTTGAGACAAATTAAGAATTTTATTGAAATTTTTATTTCCCAATGCAGCCAAGCTGACAACCTCTCTCTCAAGTTTCAGCCTAATGTGATTTCAAATGGCAGCCTTATACACCTCTGAAAAATGGTGTTTATAATCAAAGCACCAGCAGCTCCTTAACTCTAGGGGCACTCCTGGGCTCAGCTGTAATGACATTAGCGTGTTTAGAGCTGTCAGAAGCAATGTCACTAATCTGCGTCTAGGAGGGAAGAGGCAATGATAAATGAATGGCGTCTCTCACCATAACGGGTGTCCCTGGTCCGCCAGCTACCTGCCTGGCAAACAGCTATGACTCAGTCCCTGCTAAGCAGAACACTGGCCCTCTCCCTGGGGTCTGGGTCTGCCTGGTAGGCTTGGACAATCACAGTACCCAGGCAGAGAAGGAGTGAATCAGAAGCACCGTGGTGATATGGAAACCACTGAAGCTAAGAAACACGGCAGCACTTGGTGAGAATTCAAGAAAATGGCCTGCCTCTACTCATGGGAACAACTGAGCCCAAGCCCCAAGCCGACTGCCAACCCCTGCTTTCCCATGTCACACTCAATCTTTTTTATTTTTTCTTTTTTTGTGGAGTCTTGCTCTATCACCCAGGCTGGAGTAGAGTGCCGCGATCTGGGTCACTGCAATTTTTTTTTTTTTTTGACACGGACTCTTGCTCTGTTGCCCAGGCTGGAGTGCAGTGGTGCGATTTGGGCTCACTGCAATCTCTGCTTCCCGGGCTTAAGTGATTCTCCTTCCTCAGCCTCCTGGGCAGCTGGGACTACAGGTGCTCGCCACCATGCCCAGCTAATTTTTGTAGTTTTAGTAGAGACAGGTTTCACCATATTGGTTAGGCTGGTCTTGAACTCCTGACCTCAGCTGATCCACCCACCTCAGCCTCTCAAAGTGCTGGGATTACAGGCGTGAGCCCGGCCACACCTTTGCTCTTGACTTCATCTTATAAATGATGGAACACATAGGCAGACGTACAGCTCCATTTTCCAGCGCGTAAAACAAGGGCATGACAGTCCAATTCTTGGGGGTGTCACAGGGATGCTGGGGAATGACGGATTACAGTGACATAGATGGCTCAGAGGGTGGCACACAGCAAGCCCTCAGCAGGTGTGACCTGCTGTCGTCCTGGCTGCTATCATTCCTCATCACTTTTATTAGCTTCTGTTAATATTGTAATGAAATTAAGTGACATGGCATGTTTTCCCATGCAGACTGAATTCCCCAGGGCCTGAGTCCACTCCCACTTTTGTCTCTGACCCCAGATGCAACTAGAAATGCACTCAAAATGTATATCTCCCTAGCACATCCGCCAGAACAAACATCAGCGTGCCGTCCCTGAGGGACCAAAACAGACATCCCCAGAGCCTCTGCCCCATGTCTCACCTGCAGCTGGGGCTAAACAGTCATCATTGCAATGAATCAGCACAGGACTTTGATTATGGAACCATCAGCATCCCCGTTTCAGAGAGGAGAAACCGCAGGATCAGAAAGATTCAGCAGGAGGAGAGGCGGGAGGCTGACCTGGGTCTGGAAGTCAGGAAGGCTGGTGCTTCACACTTCACTCCCATGTCTGGCCTTCCATGTGGCCCCTCCCACAACTCACAAGATGCTTCTGCAGGCAACACCAGCCTCCCTTGGAAACAGAAGGGCCACGACAGGGCACACATTCCCGTGTCGGATGGAGTTGGTGGGGAAAAGATAAATTAGCAAGAGTGGGGGAAGAAAAATAACTTCCTGAGGAGAGAGCAGCGGTGCTCAGTTTTCTGGGAACACGCACACGCGGACTCAGAGAAACACACACAGCACAAGCACACACACACAACATGAGCACACACAAGGACACACACAGATGTGAGTGCACACAGCACCCACACAGGCAAGTGCACACACAGAATACACACAAAAACCCCCACAGGTACAAGTGCGCACACACACACACGCACACACACAGGCACACCTGTCAGCTTCTGGCACAAAGCTAACACAGGCTCACATAGAATCACAGGCACTCACATACACACACACACCACACACACCCACATGCTCCAGTCATCCTCAACCCCAGCATAGAAGCATTAGGCCCTTGGGCACAGCCTTCCTAGAGGAAGCAGCAGAACTTGCTCAGAGCTCACTTCCACAACTCCTCCCTCCCTCCCCACCCCCTGTGCCCCTGCTTCAGACCTGGGCAGCCCCTAAGTTCTCTGCAGGTTCTTGAGCCTCCTTAGTTCTGGCAGCTGAAGTCCCCAGCCTCTAGGGTGGCACCCAGGGAACAGCCATCCACCCCAACTAGAGAGGGTGGAAATCTACTGAAGGGCCAGTCCGGCTCCTGGAACAGCCCTGGGGGCAGGTGCTCCCTGAAGCCCATAGGACTCTGTCTCCTTGGCTTCTCTCCCTGCCTCTCCCTTGGCCTTTCTGTAGAATTTCACAGCCACTGATATGCAGGAAACAGCGAATACCTGGTTTCAAAAAGGGAAGCCGTGCTCAGGAGCCTGAACACAGGAGGCCCGAAACAGGGCTTGTGTTGCATGGACCTGAAGCCAGAGGTGAGGGCGATTAGGAAATTCTTTCCCACATCAGGGGAAGGATGCTGTTGAAATGGGAGGCCCAAGGCATCTCTGCAGGACAGAGACTGGACATATGCCCAGAGAGGTTCAGGTCCGTGAGTCTGGAATATCCTCCTCCTCCCCAGGGACAGGGGAGCAGGTCTGGGGCAGGCCCATTGGTTGGAGGACGGGGAAATGAGCTGTAGATGGTGCCCCTTTGACCCTCTGATCCATCTTCCTGTGCCTCACAGTCTGACCACCAACACTATGATCACATAGTTCATGCAGGTTCTCGTAAATTCATTCCTTCACTCTCGACTGTGAACAAATCGGCTGTTGCCTTCATGCTGCTGAAAAGCTCGTCCACCCTGGCTGTTTCTGCTCCATGCCCGCCTGTCTGCACAGGGGAGTGCCCTGCCCTGAGGGAAACCAGGCATTCTTCTGGGCCAGACAGTCTCCTGGAAATGAGGAAGGGAGAGAATTGTCTAAAACTGCTGGAAAGTTGAAGAGTACACCACATATACACAGAAGCATTTGTCTTTTCAACACACTTTCTCTCCCCTTCAGAGGGACCAGGGCTGAAACCTGAGCTGATTCAGCCCAAAGGAGCTTGGTGACTGCAGGGAGTCCACTATCAGCAACCTCCTTCCTCGACCCCAGGAGCCCAGAGTCTCACCTGCCCAGAATGTGCCAATCACTCATTCATTCAACAAACTTCCTGGATCAACTGGGCCCTGGGCACCCTGGTGCTGAGATGAAAGGCCAGCCTCCACTGCAGGGACACACTCTGGAGAGAGAGATAAGACTCCACCAGCGACTCCACATATGGCTGGAAGATCTGTATTTTAAGAGAAACGTGAACCAGAACTTGCTTAACCCCAAGGGTTGAATTTCAAACACGGAATTGGAGGCATTGGTGAGCAAGATATGCACACACACGGCATCATACAGCCTGCTTTCTAAGCGCAAGGCCAAGGGGAAGAGGTGGTTCCTGCCACACTCTGGGACCCCGCTGGGTGACTGTGGCCTGGCATGGTGAGCTGGGGGCCAGCCACTGCCCTCAGGACAGCAGGGTCCTCTGCCTTTCCCCCGCAGAGTGGCCTGGCCTGCCTCATGCTTCCTGCAGAGCTGGAGGCTGATGGACTCCAGACCCAGCACTTCTGCTGCGGCCTCAGCCATTCTCCCAGCTCCTCCCCATCTGGAGGTCGTGGGTAGCCCTGTGAGGGTGTGGGCTTGGGAGCCAGCTGAGCTTGGGAGCCAACTAGGCTTGGATTCAAATCCTGCCTCGGTCCCTCTGTTCTCTGAATGGAAATCCTCACCTACAGTGGGGGAGCTGGCAGTATTCCTGCAGGGCTGCTGGGTTGAAGCACAGGTGCAGGCACAAGCCTTGCTCAACAAGTATCGGGAGGCTCCTCCCATCTGGAGAGCACCCAGGGCACGGCATGTGGCCCAACAGGACCAGGCTGGAGATCCAGGGAAGGCGGGGATGGGGAAGCCCCAGGAACCCCCTGCAGACAGGAGGCTCTGCCCTGAGACTGCTTCCTCCTGCCAAGCCCCCGCAATTACTCAAGTGCAACAGGCGCTCGTGGTAATGAAGTTGGATGCCTCTGAGTCCATTTAATGATATTTAATTATGCACCACTTTCAACTGACAGGCTGAGGGAGATCTACACCTAGCTCCTGACCCTGGGCGGGCTGCACTCATATATAGGTCTCATGTAGACTTTAGGACTGCTTGTCAGAAACTGTGCTTTTGCCTGGAGAAAAATGACTCAGAACAAAGAGAGCCGGAGAGCCTACAGGCACAGCGTTCAGGCACCTTCCAGAGGAACCTGGGAAGGGTCTCTAGGCCTGGCCTCCTAGTTCAACAATATCTCCTGGGCACCTACTACAGGCCAGACATTGTGTCAAGCTCTGGGAATAAAGCCATGCACAAGACAGTTGTGCAGTACAACCTCCGCCCATGGGGTTTCCAGCAATGCCCAGATGGGCAGACATGGGCATGGGAGAAGGGAGGGCTTTGGAGTGGAGAAGAAATGGGGGCAAGCTCCAGAGGCTTGTGTGCTTTGGGGCCTCTGTCAAAGAGAGCCCCCTTTTCCCCAAGCCCTGTGCACCTCCCACCCACACTCACCTGGGTGCCACCTGTCCCAGCACCTGAGCTCTGGACAACGGAAACTTAGCTCGTTCTCCAAGTTGATTTCTCAAGGTTTGCATCCAGGAACTATCTAGAGGTGTAAAGGTTAGCCTTACCACAGTGCACAGATCTGGGCACACTCAGCCAAGCTGTTGGTGAGATAAGGCGCTGAAGACCCCACAGTACCCTTCAGGAGGAAGACCCCAATCCCACTGCCCAGACAGAACTTCATCATGCCATGCCCGAGTTCCAGTCTTCCTGAGATTTTTCCATTGTTCTTCAAGAGAAAGGAAAGGAAAGGAAGAAGGTGGGAAAGAAAGAAGAAAGGAAGGGAAAAGGAAGGAAAGGAAGAAGAAAGAAGGGAGGGGTGGCAGGAAGGAAGTGGGGAGCCGAGATGGAGACAGATGTGGTAGGCACGTGTAGATCAGCCTTGCCCAGGCTTCTGCTGTTCTTGGAGGATGACGACGATTCTCTCCGTATTTAAGAAGCTGTGAGTTTGGCCTCCTCCAGTTCCCTGGGGCTTGTGGCTGTTTTCCAAGCCAGTGTTAAGGGACTGAGGACAGGCTGTGCCCTCCACGGATGGGACTTGCTGGACGACATCAAGACATACAATTCCGCTCTCCACAGTCAGAGGTATCGCCATCCACTTAGTCAGTCTAACTGAAAATGCATCTGCAATTCCTGTTTTGTTTGGTTTTGTTTTTAAGGATTGCTTTCCCTAGCCTATCGATCTCCAAGCCTGACATAGCCTTCTGTAATTGTACCCGAGCCCATCCGCCAGAATGATGAAATGCCTGTAGTGTCACCTGCCAATAGTGATACGATTTACCCCCTAGAATTCTCCCCGGTGGAGGTAGCACAGCCAGGCTCACTGTCATCCATGATTCCTTGGGGAAGATGGTTTCTCAAACAAGATGACTGTGTTCTCCCCAAAAGACACCAAGTTTCCAGAACGCTTGCATGGACAGAACAGAGGACGAAGCCAACACCCGCAGTTGCTGGGGACAACCGAGAAGGCTGCTGTGCATCTGTGCTCAGACATCAGCATGTGCCCCAGCCAGAGGGGCCTCCCAAGGCTGAAGAGGATGCCGTGCACAGCAGAAGGGCCATCCTCCACCTGCCCCAGAGAGCAGTGGCTTCTTCAAGGTGCCTGTAAACCAAAAAGCATCTGAGACGGGTCTCAGTCAACTCAGAGTGTATTCTGCCAAGGTTGAGGACACACCCAGGAAAAAGAGACACAAGTAGGATCTGTGGCCTGTGCTTTTTCCAAAGAGGGTTTGGAGGACGTCGATCTTTAAAGGGGAAAGAGCAGCAGGAGGGGAAGGAGGAAAGAAAGAAAAAGGGCTGGTAGGTAGTGAGGAGAGTGGTCACGTGCTTCTGAGGCTTTGATTAGCGCTCACTGAGTCCACTTGTTGCAGTGGCAGGAGGGTAGAGAAACGGCCAATTATGCATTCATTTTGTGCTCAGTAAATCTGCACTTTACATAAAGTAAAATAAAGTAAAGCATGGAGCAGAGAAAGAAGCCAGATGCGTTTGTCTCAGGGTGAGTGGAGGAATGTCTCGGCCCGTCTTTGTCCCATAGCTGTGAAGGTGAGCTGGTCATTGACGTTGTCAGCGTCAGATTCCACAGAACTCATTTGAGAGCTAGTTTAGAGGGGACATGCGGATTCTGAAAGATCTGGGGGCCCACAAGGAATTCCCTTGTGATTAATCAGTGAGGAAAGCCACCTGGGGAGACGTATGGCCTTCTATCACTGCAGCTATCTCTTCAGAGAAGAAAAGAAGGACTCAGTTTCCAAGCTTCCCTTTTCCCTTGGCATAGTGAGTCTGGGGCCCTAAGATTGGATTTTCCTTTCACATGTCTGTCCCTTGAGCCCCGCACTCATCCCCCAGCATTCTGCAAACTTCCCCAGGCCAGACCCTACGGTAAGGACTTGGACCCAAGCAGGCAGTGTAGATGGTGATCCTGGGAAACACCCACGCGGGAGGAAAGGGACAGCAGCCAGGACAGGTGTGACAATGAGCAGGCTGCTGCTGAGGGCATACTGGGGAGGTGGGCAGGGCAGGCCTTAGGCTGTCCCCCTGGGGGCAGGTGGGCTGGAGGATGCATGGACCCGCTCTGGTCCATCCTTGGCTCCTGGGGGCATGGAGTCACCAAAACTCCTGGGCTGCCCCACACAGACCAAGCCCACTCTTGTTCCAAAAGAGGCCCTTGGGAGAAAGGGCCACAGTGGGCATGGGAATGATGGGTGCCAAGCAGATGTGGGCATGGTGGGGACAGGGTCTGCAGTGTGCTGAGTGCTTGGCCGTGGGGTTACAATGAGTCACACAGTCTCTGCTCTCAAGGAGCTCCCACTGGGCACAAGGGAAAAAAGGACAGGAGACACAGCCCCTGAGAGGCTCTCACGGCCTCCCGCAGCAGCATCGGTACCCACACGGCCTGGCCTGAAAGTCCGCCCGGCCTCTGGGCATGGGAGATGGGCAGAATTCCGTGCTGCTGGCCTGGGATCCTGTCACCAGCAGGAGACAGTAACAGTAACAAAACCACACCACAAACTGAGTCCACAGGTCTGTGCCTCCCACGCACCAAACCCTGTCTCTGGGGATGACAGTGAGTAGGAGGAGAAACGTGTTTCTCACATCGGGAGACAGAAACAGGAGGCAGGGCGCTGCTCTTTCATCTCTCAGGCGATGCATGTTCATCACACACAGAGTCCGGGGGGGCAGGAGCAGCTTCAAGTCTCTCTGAGCTGGGAGCTCACCTCTCACGGGTCACCCAACCTCTCTGGGTTCCAGATTCCCCATGGGGAAGACCCAGGCACATTAAGCTTCCAGACAGCCCAGAGTGGGAGGCAGCAGAGTGGAGTGGAGGAGGTGGCGCCCAGCCCACGCTCTGCATGGTCACCAGGCTCCTGAGCCAGACATGCCCCCACCGCCCCTACCGGGCAGCGGCCTCCAGCTGCATCACCGTGTGTCCAGAACACAGAACTCACAGGGGCCTCCGGAACCTCCTGCCAGGCCTGGTGTTAACAGACTCTCCTCCCAGGACCCCCCATATCCTGCGTGACAAAATAGATGACATCAGGAATCCCAAGATGGAGTGCCTAAGGGGTGCGAGGCCAGAGTACAGGTGCCCACTGGCCGAGCGCCTGCTCCCGAGGCTGACTCAGCTCTCTGGAGCTCACTTTGCTCTAGACCAGCCAGCGTGTCCACCCTGCTCTCCTCCCACTCCTCCTGGCTGAGAGATCTCCAAAAGCCTCACCCCCACCCGCAAGCCTGGCCAGCTTCTGCAGGGTGGGGGCACAGCTGGAGCCAAATAGGAGCCAGCCCTCCTCAAATGCCCTCCTGTCCCAGCTGAGACAAAGGAGCCTCCAGGGAGCTGCCCAGACCCTGAGCGCATCTCACCTCTCCCGTTGAGGAGGACCTGGTGTAGAAAGGAGTGCTGGGTGTTGGGGGGTACACCTTGGTCATTTTGGCCTTCCTCCCACCATGACCCCTCTTGCCCTCAAAGAGTGCTGGACAGAATCTTTCTCAGAGGGCCACCCCATCGGGAAGTCCCCTACGTATCTAACCTCCATCCATCATGCTGTAAGGCAGCCTCTTTCCTCTCCTTCTGCTGTTAGTTGAGATGGGCTGGAGCCGAGCTTGTGTCCAAATGAGAGCTGCTGTGGACCCAGTCATGGCTCCGTCAGTGCCCAGCGGGAGCCTTTAGTGAGAATATCAGTGACAGGGATGGCAGTTGTTTGCTGAATGCTTCCTGTGGGCCAGGCACGGCTAAGTGAAGGATCTCACTTACCATGTGATGATCAGCCTCTCATAGGTCAGGAGGAGGCCAAGGCAGTTAAACAACTTGGCCAAGACCCAGCCATGGGTGAGCACAGAGCTGAGATGCAGAGTGGCCCCTGCCCTGTGCCTGCAGGACACCCGCCACTCCTGGGAGGCCTCAGCATTGGGTGTCAGGAGGGACCCACCGAGTCCCCCCAAGAGCCCCTCGGCTGTGCTCCCCTCCCCCTCCACTTAGGCACTGGCCCCTCCAGCAGACCCCTCAGAAGCCCAGTGACATCGAGGGAGCACTGATTTGCAATGACAGATTGAGCAGCTGGAACCCTGCCCATCCATCCTCAGAACTGCCTTGTGCTCCCAGCAACCCCACAGCCAAATCGCAGAAAAAGAGGCTGCCCTCCAGCACAGCCAGCTCTCCAGGCTTGCACCTGGACGCGTGCCCACTCTGGGCCTCAGCCCCTCTGTCTGTGATGGAGGCCAGAGGCCCCTCCCACTCATAACAGGGCTGGCAGGTAAGGGGCAACATTGCCTTCCTGTGGAGTTGCACAGTCCCCAGAAGCAGGTGGTGATTTAAACACCCTGATTCGCCTGTAATCCCAGCACTTTGGGAGGCCGAGGCGGGTGGATCATGAGGTCAGGAGATCGAGACCATCCTGGCTAACAAGGTGAAACCCCGTCTCTACTAAAAATACAAAAAATTAGCCGGGCGCGGTGGCGGGCGCCTGTAGTCCCAGCTACTCGGGAGGCTGAGGCAGGAGAATGGCGTGAACCCGGGAAGCGGAGCTTGCAGTGAGCCGAGATTGCGCCACTGCAGTCCGCAGTCCGGCCTGGGCGACAGAGCGAGACTCCGTCTCAAAAAAAAAAAAAACACCCCGATTCACAACACAGGCCCTGTGGGGCACCAGGCAGTGGCAGGCACAGGTGGCCCCTGGAAGACATGAGTGCCCTGGAGAAGGAAGGCTGGGCCTGGGGCACCCTGGGCTGCCCTCTGCCCAAGCCACAGGCCCCAGAGACTCTTCCCACCCAAGCCAGAAGTGGTGAGTCCCATCTCTGGCAAGTCTCAGCCCTGCCAAAGGCAGGGTCTCTTTCACCAGGAACTCAGCGTTCTGCATCTTCGAGTGTCTATGTAAATAAAACAAACTTCTGTCTGTCTGCCCCCCACGCCCTGCCCCATCACAAGGCAGCCAGCGGGTCTTAGATCAGGGCTGCATCTGTGGTGTTCCCACTCAAAGCAGCCTGGGCGCTCTGTGGTGCCCACACTGCCCTCCTTGAGGACTTTGAAGGCACCTCGGAGGCAGTCCTTCTCAGAGTGGCTGAAACTCAGAAAGCATCACACCATTCATTCGGAGACCCCACGCATGAAGAGAGCTAGGGTAGGTTCAGCTACAAGCCCCAGATGGAAGGGCCCAGGGGCAGGGTCGAGCTGCATGAGCCACTCCTGGGGGCAGCCCTCCCAGGTGGCAGCAGCTGAGTGCATTGTTGGTGAGACGCATGGCTTTTCTGAGAAGCACGGGTAAGTTGGTGAGCTGTGCTGGAGGGAACGAGGCCCGCCTTCCACGTGCTCCCCTTTCAGCTGGTGGCAGGAGGCTGGGCCCCGGTGACTCCCCAGGAGTGCCTCCAGCTCTGGGCTTCTGCAGCATTTCATTCCTCCCTCATGGGGCTTGTTGGAATCTGTGTGTCCACTGAATGGGGGTCATCATTTCAACCACAGCACCCAAGCACCTCCTCAGCAGGGAGCTGTCTTTGTGCAGGATGATGCTGGATACGCTGCTCTGCACTCAGCGGGAGAGGCAGGTGCTGCTGGGCGGGTGCTGCAGGGTGGCAGGTGCCGCTGGGCAGGTGCACAGGCCCCCTCCTCAGAGCCCGGCATGCTGGCCCTGCCAGAAGGATGCCAGGAAGCAAGAAGTGGGGGCACAGAAACGTGTGGCTGTGGACAGGCAGAGAGGAGTGCGAGGGCGTTCTAGGTGAGCAAAGGCTGGAAGCAGAAATGTGCTGGTGATGAGAGGCCCATGGACATGCCGGGGAGGAGGGCTGAGTGGAAAGGGCTTGGACACCAGGCTGGGAGGTAGAGGAAGGAGAAAAAAATGGGCCTGGATTGGCCTGAAGCTAGAGAGACTGGGAGAGGCAGAGAAAAGGAAGCAGCGATAGGGGCGAAGAGTAATGGAAATGGAGGCAGAAGAGAGACTCCGAGAGGAAAGACAGGAAGGGGCAACCGAAGAACAGGCAGAGAAGAAAATGCGGGTCCAGGGCAGGGAGGGGCGAGGAGGCCACTTGCACTTCTGCTGAGGGGTGCCTACTCTCCTCCCTGGCCACACTCGCACCTCCTGGAAACCCTCTAGGTCCCAGCCATGGCTCTTGATATCCCCTGAGCCCAGGACCAAGATACTATGCTGCAGCCTTCCCTCTCTAGGGCTGCCAAGTCGACAGCCTTCTCCAGGTCCTGGATAGTGGCTGGGGGTCCCTGGGAGGCAGGTCCGGCCTGGGGAGGGGGCGGTGCCGGGAGGCTGCTGTCTGTGCCACAGAGGTCACTAAGAGGCTCCCTGCTGTGTGACAGTGGCCCCAGATCATTGGAGTACAGTGCCGCAGGCCCTCCCAGCCTGACCTTCTGGGAGACCCCAGGGCGTGCCGGAGGTCTGGATAGTCTCCCTGTCCTGGGTCCAGGGCCAGGCCCGGGACTGAGAGCTCCGCACAGTGAGGCGCGCACCACTTGAGCCCAGCAGCCTGGGGAATGGACCTCGCCTCTCCCTCGAGCGCTGGGAGGGGCGGGTAAGGCCTAACAATGTGACCATCTGCTTCACCCCTTTCCACTCTCTGGCTCCTCCTCTGTAAACGAGCTCCACAACATTCCAGACCGCACGCCAAATCGGAAAACTCTGGACTCACAACCACGGGCTTAAATGCCTAATTAAGCTCATTCTTTGAACCAAGCCATATTTGAATGCATCTGTCAGCCCTCCTCCAGCTCGCCTCGCAGCGGGGTGGGACAGCGCTAACGGGAGTGGGAGAGGCAGCGCAGCCTGGCAGACAGGCCCCTGAGCCGTCCCCAGCCTTTCCTGGTCCCCGATCTGCCCTGGTGGGGCTGTTCGAACGCTTGGTCCCTGAGGTTTTACAGTCACCAGATTCATCTGTAGCCTTTGCTCCTGGGCCTGCAGTGAACCCCTCGGCTCCCCACCTCCCTGTCCCCGTCCCTGGAAGGCTTGGCGGGCACCTGCCTCGGCTTCAGACTCCTCTGGTGCAGCACCTGCCAAGCCCAGGCCCTGCCTTGCTGGGGAAGCTCCGTGTAGCTGAGGCCTGCGTCAGTTTCCTCTATCCCGGACCAGAGATGGATGCTCCCTCCCTTCTCAGCACCCTCCATTCAAACCATTTGTGGCAGCCGCGCCACACCAGAGGGTGCAGGTCGCAGCCCAGTGCTCTGAAGAGGGGGCCACGGGGAGCCAGGAGACCACAGGCGTGGGTTCTGAGCCCACGTCCGCTGCTGCCTCCCCGGGTCCCGGCATCAATTCCCCACCCGCTCACCTCCCTGAGCCTGCAACAAGAGGATGTGGATGAACAGTGTTCCACTGTGTGTGTATATTAATACCACGTTTTATCTATCCGCTCACCTCTTCATGGTCATTCTCGGCAGCAAGGATGTTTAGAGAATGTTATGCTAAGTGAAAAAAGCCAGGAACAGAAAGACAAATAGCTCATGATCTCACTCATGTGGGAGCTGAAAAAGTCGATCGCATAGAAGTAGCGAGTTGGGTGCTGTGGCTCATACCTGTAACCGCAGCACTTTGCGAGGTCGAGGTAGGAGGTCCCTTGAGCCCAGGATTTCGAGACCAGCCTGGGCAGCATAGTGGGACCCCGTCTCTACAAAAAGTTTTGTTTTTTTTTTTAATTTGCTGGTAGTGGTGGGATGCATGCCTGTAGTCACAGCTACTGGGGAGGCCAAGGCGGGACGATCGCTGGAGCCCGGGAGTTGGAGGCTGCAATGAGCCATGATCACACCACTGCACTCCAACCTGGGTGACCAAGAAAGACCTTGTCTCTAATGAAAAAAAAAAAAGAACAGGGTAGAATAGTGATGACCAGAAGCAGGGAAGGGTGGGAGGACAGCCAGAGATGGCTTAATGGCTATAGAACTACATCTAGACAGGAGGAATAAGTTCTAGTGTTCTATAACACTGTAAGATGACTATCATTAACACAATGTATTGTATATTTTCAAATAGCTGCAAGAACGAATTTTGAATGTTCCCAACCCAAAGAAATAATAAATGTTTGAGGTGATGGATATGCTAATTACCCTGATTTGATTATTACACATTTCTACATGTATTAAAATATCACTGTACCTAATGAATGTGTAGAATTATTATGGTCAACTAAAAATAATAATAAATGCAAAAAAAAAGGATGTGAGGAATAACTCCACTCACGGCCCTCCCTGGGGTGCACCTCCTCCGTGTACCTGACCACACATCAGGGGAAGGCACAGAGCTGGGACAGAAGCCCAGAGGTGTCCTGTCACCCCCCTGCTGCAGGCTGTCAGCCCCTCCTCATCACTTGCAGGGCCCAGACAAGGCAGCCCACCCGCCACAGGTGATGGGACCCCCAGCCACCCCTCCGGCCCCCCAACCCTGTGCCCCTCTCCCCAGCACCCCTCTGGTTCTGATGCGACAAGCCTTCTACAGGACCAGTGGCCACACTGCTCCCACCCTGGCCCTCACACTCTCTGCCTTCTCTTCCAGAAATGCTTGCCCCTTCCTCCTTGTTACCTGGCTCCCCCGATCCCTTAGGCCTCCCCTAATCCTCAACTGGCACCCCCAGCCCCTGTGTGGCCCCTTCCATCCTGGCACTTGTCTCTCCTGCTGACCTGGGAGCTCCAAAGCAGCAAGGACCTCAGCTGTCTCCCTCCCTGATCCTCAGGTTCCCAGCACCCAGGGCTGGGCCAGGCTTCAGCTGAGTGCTCTGCTGTTACCTGTAGAGTGAGTGGGTGGGTGGACTTTATAACCATGGCCCACCAGCCTTGACCTTTCATACAGTTTGACAGACCTCTTGCTGCCCCAGGCAGCCCCATGGCCCTGAAGGCAAGGGTACCCCTGTAGCACATCCCAGGGACAGAGCCAGACTCTACTACCTCCACCCCCTGCAACACCATTTTCTTTCCTGCCCTTCCCTGTTGCAAGCATATTCAAATGTTTAAATTCTGTTTGGGGAACAATTAGCCTGACATATGGTCTCATCACGTTTTGTCTTCCGATGGAAAAATCCAGGGGAAACTTGGAAAATGATGACTGGCGAGGCTTTAACGTGTTTTTGCTTTTTTTGATGGTCACAAGCAAGCCACAGATGAAAAGCCTGTTACCATCTGGTCCAACCCTCTCATCTGACTCAGGGGGAAACTGAGGCCCAGTGAGAAGAAGGTACCAGCCTAAGGTCTCCCAGATGCAAAATCCAGAGCCCTTGGCACTTGCCTCTCCGCCTCAATAACCTTCAGAGAGTTGGACCTAATCTTTGCAGTGGGGTGGTGGAAAGAGGGGCTTTTAGGGCCAACATGCTCGAGTTCTGTCCTCGAGATTGTGTGGCTGGAAGGCTTCATACCCCTGGACCATAAGAGGATGGCAGAATGGGGAGGACCTGCAGTTCCCTGTCTAGACCCCTCTTTGGTATCCCCATCAGGCAATGGCTTGGCCAACCAGGCCCCCGCTTCACTGCCCAGTGACGTCCAGACCTTGTTGCCATCCACCCTGCAGCTCCTAAGGATCCAGACGGCATCTGCCAAGAAGATACAGCAAGCCTGCCTGGAATCAGAACCCACTCCTGTGACTGCCAGAAAGAGCCCACTCCCTGCATCTTGCCCCGCTGGGCCTCATCTTTCCTGGGGATGGGGGTGAAATACCCAGCCACTTTCTGGCCCCTAGAGGCCCGATGTGCACATAGACGGGCTGGATGACATGTGCCTGGGCTCACTTATGGAGCATCTGTCCCCTCCCTCACCACAATATCAAATCCCGCAAGCAGAAGCAGGAGGAAGTCTGTCTCTGCCTGCGTGTGGTAGCTGGCACATCCCTGGTGCTCCATGCTGTGGGTGCCCGGCCACTCGCCTCTACAAGGACAGTGCTGTATGCTGACAAAGCTTTTCCATTCTGCATAATGGTTTTGTTTGGTTTTTGTTGTTGTTCACAAGAACCCAGGCAGGTATGATTATTATCATGCTGACTTTGTGAATGAGACAACGGAGACTCAGAGAGTGAAGGCGACACATTCAGTAAGGGGCAGGGCCAGGATGTCCCCTGTGTCATAGGCTCTAGGGAGCTCAGGCACTCCTAGAGGGGAGATGTGAAGGCATCTCCCTGGGCTGGAGCTGAATGAGGATAATTCCCCTCCCTTTGTTCTGCAAGGAGTGGAGTCCCTGGAGCTACATCCAGTGCCATGGTCCAGAAAGGGCAGACCTGTAGCCAAGAGATGTCCCCCAAGCACCGTCACATGCCTGAGGTCCTGAGGATGCTGTGGAGGGGCCACCCTCAGTGCACGCCTGAGCCGACACTGCAGAGCCTGGCTGTGTAGAGGTTCCCAGGAAGGACCTCCAGCAAGGGCAGGGCTAGATCCCGCCTGCCCACAGGGAAGGAGAAGCACAGGTGGGGAGAGCACAGGTGCTCTTTCCCTCCCGATGTATCAGCTGGGGGCCTAGCGCACAGGCCTTCTGCCAGGAGTGGAGGCTGCATGGGCATTCTGCAGGCCACCCCGTCCCCCCAGAAGCCCCACCACAGACAGCCACATGTTGAGCCTCCAGCTGACAGGGCACAGCTCTGACAACAGTGAGCAGCTGGGGGACCACACTCGTTAGCTCCCATTTAGGAGAAAAGGCATGCCTTGTCCTTCCTCCCTGAGCTGGGCTCCTGCAGGGCCTGGCCGGTGGCAGTTAAAGCATCCGGACGCTTTCGGACTCCCTGCCGCAGGAGGGGCTGCCCGGCCAGGGCTAGCGGGTGACCATGCTGTGCTGAGCGCCCACAGAAAGGGCTGGGCCCTACAGACTAATCCATTGTAGGGGCATGGATGGGAGTCGGGAGGCTCCTGTTGCTACAAAATGACAGTCCATCCATCCAATGTTCACTGCTGCCAGCTCTGTGGGCCCCCAAGAGCCACACGGTCTCTGACCTGGGGAGCACACAGGGAAGAGAAGCCAGCCCAGAGGTAGATGGCTTAGCCTGTACATGTGGCCCATGGAGGGCCTGGTAGGCTTCCTAGAAGAGGCATCTGACATCTGGGTCTTGAAGGATGAATAGGAGTTTGCTTCCAAGGGCGGATGGGAGAGAAATAGTCCAGACAGAAAGCACAGGCCATGTCCAGTCACAGAGCTAGAATTCTTCAAACCCAGGTCTCTCTGCTGTCAAAGCTGGTACTCTTAGAAGCTGCATTCTGCTGCTTGATGCAGGGGGAGCTGCAAACACCAAGCCAAGACTTGGAGAAGGGCCTAGGAACGGGCGCATTCAGGTGTTGTCTTCATCCATTTCGGCTGCCATAACAAAAATACCAGAGACTAGGAGAGACTTGTAAACAACAGAAGTTTATTGCTCACACCTGGAGGCTGGGAAGTCTAATATCAAGGCCCCAGCAGATTTGGTATTGCATGAGGGCCCCCCACTTCCTCACAGATGGCCATCTTCTCACTCTAACAAAACAGCAAGGAATCTCTCAGGCCTCTTCAAAAATGGCATTAATCCGTCAATCCCATTCATGAGGGCTCCTCCCCAGTGGCCTAATCACCCCCCAATTCTCCACCTCCTAAAACCATCACCTTAAGGACCAGGATGTCAGATTGTTTTGTTTTAGAGACAGAGTCTTGCCCTGTCACCCAGACTGGAGTGCAGTGGCACAGTCACAGCTCACTGCAGCCTCAACCTCCTGGGCTCAAAGGATCCTCCTGCTCCTGTGTGTAAATCTCCCACCTGCTGAGAGAAGCCAGCTCCCCAAACCACATGCACATCAGACTCTATCTCCAGATTCCATGTGAAATCCACCAAACGTGGGCCACCCAGGCGGTGGAGCACCGAAGGAGACACACATGAGGAAGACACAGGAAGGGGCTCTGTGTCACCTGGGACTGGCTCTGGGAGGATGCTGCAGCATTGGCTCTCAGGGACACAGAGCAGGCAGGGACACCCTCTGGGACAGGGACAGGACAGTTAGAGTGTGGAAAGATGGGGAGGGCAGAGGACACACCACACAGAAGTGTGGTACAGGCAAAGGCATCGAGAGAGACCCTCCCAGGGCAGGAGGGGACAGAAATGGTCCAGACAGAAAGACAGCCTGGAGGGAGCCAGCCACACTGATGATGATGGATAACATCTGTGGAAGGTTTGGAAACAGGAAATGACAAGAGCAAAAAATAAAAAATAAAATAAGGAAAATTAACCTAGCCATGGTACAGTCAGAAAACTACTAAGTATTCCAGGAAAAGGTTGGAGAGAGAAGGGTTTCTAAATTTCATTCTCAGAATCTAAAATAAAACTGATTTTCTGGCCTCTGGGAGCTCTGGAGAAGCTCTGGAAGTTGCAGGACCTGTGCAGTCACCACATCTTCCAGCTTTCCAGCCAGGTCATCGCTCCCCAAGTCCCAAATTGTGTGACTGTGACCACGATGGTCTCAAGGTGAGGGGCAATCAGAAGGGCTTTCAAAGACATGAGGTGTGGGCTCAGAGGCATGCACCAACTCATACATGCCAACTCATACACACACACACACACGCACTCACACACATGCGCACACACGCACACACATGCACTCTCACGCACACACACACATACACATACACATACGCATACACAGCAGCTCAGCGGTGGTGCACATTTTCTGTTATCAAAGGAGACAACAAAGAGGGGTCATGAAATGCAGCCAGCAGATGGAAGCCCGCTAAAATGTCAGCCAGAAGAAATAGCCCACGTCAGAAAAACAAAATTCCAGTTTAGCAAAATCCTTCCCTCCTCCCCCACTCCTCAGAGAAAATTTCCCGTGGAGGCCCCTGGAACTTTGGCAATCCAAGAAGAGTTATTTATTCTGGACCGCCGCGCCGCTGTGCATGTTAAGTACAAAAAGGAAAAATGCTTTCGGATTTGGAAATGGGGTTGCAGTCGCAGATGGTGCCTGAACATGCATAAATTCGGTGACTGCGTGAACAGATGGAAACTTGAAGGGGAAAAAAAAAATTAAAAAAAAACAACCTAGCATTTATCTGCCAGGCCACTGCGGAGCTGGAGAAGGGGAATCTGTCACTTGACTAGGAGGGTCTCGGTCTTCCAATCTGTGGGATGGGGGTAAGAAACCACCATACTCAATGGTCATTCCCAGCTGAGTTTCAGCCCTGTCTCTGCCACTGAGGAGCTGGGGGACCTGGCCCCTTACTTAACCTACTTCTTCATGTGACCCCGGGGATAATGCAGATGACCTGGCAGGGTTGTTGTGAGAATTGCCTGAAGTCATCCATGCATAGGACCTATCTGTACCTAGCCAGGGCGACAGCCCCATGAGTGGGGCCTCACTTGCCAGATAAAGCCCGGAGTAGCCCAGAGAGGAAGATGGAGCACCCTGAAAGCTCCACTGGTCGGTCCCACAGGAGAGGGGCTGGGGAGAGAGAGAGAGGAAATAGAGACGGACTCCTCCCAGCTTCCCCTTTCCAGAAGGTTTCTGGGCTCTGGGCAAGAGCTGCACAGGCATGCTGTTCAGGAGAAGCCGACGGTAGGCCAGGCTGCAAGGGCTGTGCCAAGAAAGGGTCTGTGGGCAGGTTCAGTGGGAACGTAGGAAGAATGAAGATAACTTAGAAGGAGGGTTCTTTCTCTTTTTGTTTTTGAGACAGGGGCTCCCTCTGTCACCCAGGCTAGAGTGCCGGGGTGCATTCATGGCTCACTGAAGCCTCAACCTCCTGGGCTCAAGATCCTCCCACATCCGTGCACCAACACACCTGGTGATATGGGTCAGACTTTGTGTCCCCACCAAATCTCATCTTAAATTGTAATCCCCAGGTGTTGAGGGAAAGACCTGGTGGGACGTGTTTGGATCATGGGGGTGGTTCCCCCATGCTGTCCTCATGATAGAGAGTGATTTCTCATGAGATTTGATGGTTTTATAAGGGGCTCTTACCCTTTCACTTCCTACACATCCTCTCTCACCTACCGCCACGTAAGACGTGCCTGCTTCCCCTTCCGCCACGATCATAAATTTCCTGAGGCCTTTCCTGCCATGAGGAACTGTGAGTCAGTTAAACCTCTTTTCTTATAAATTACCCAGTCTCAGGCAGTTCTTCATAGCAGTGTGAAAATGGACTAATACACTTGGGTAATTTTCTTTTAATTTTTTGTAGGGACAAGGTCTCGTTACGTTACCTAGGCTGGTCTCGAACTCCTGGCCTCAAGCAATTCTCCCACCTCGGCCTTCCGAAGTGCTGGGATCTCAGGTGTGAGCCACCATGCTCAGAGCCAAAGGGAAGGTTCTATCCAGGGTGCCCAGAGATTCTTAGCAAGTCAGTCCTCAGATTCTGCTCCACACTGGGGAGTCCACATGGTACGGTGAATTGACTGCAAAAAAAATAGCCACAGTTCTCCACCCCTCCCTGCCTCCAGGCCCCCAAGGACATTTTGCAGCTACTCCCTGAGGAGGTGGCATCTACTTCTCCAACCTAGCAGGGTGACCTGCTGTGGCTGACAGAACCCAGTGGCAGTGAGTGTGTGTGCCAATGCGAGGCTGAGCTGCCACTCTCTTTGGCGCTTCTACTTCCACCAGGAGGACAGGCCCAGGTTGGCCTGCTGGAGGAGGAGATGCGTGGAGCAGAGCCACACTGGCCCCAGGGGCCCAGCCAAGGGCCCTAGGTGGAAGAAGATCCCACAGCCACCTTGCCAACCCGCAGACAACCACAGGCCCATGAGTGAGCCCTGCCGGGCCTGGCTCAGATCCGTAGAGCCACAAATGACCCACTGTTGCACAGGGAAAAAAAAACACATGTTTACAATTGCATGTCACCAGGTCTCAGTGGTTTTTATGCAGCGATTTTGTGACAACTGACACTGACCTACCTTCTTTCACCACACTCCCACTCCAAAGCAATTTCTGGCTCTGGAGAGAATGGGGGTTGGGGAGAGTCTCAGCACAAACCCAGAACTACAGTTCAAAACTCAGAAACTATGATTCAGAGGCAAAGGGCTCCCTCCCCATAGACCATGGCAACAGCTCCACCACTAAGGGCCAAGTCACCAGATTGTCTGAGAGTCCCTCTGCTTGCACCACTAGTTTCCCTGATGAAAGGCAGAAACGCCAGCCATCTCTGACCGAGGCCATCTCTGCATAGGGAGCTTCTGGCCCTCAGCTGTGGGGCTGGCACTGCAGAGAGGGCATCCCCACCCCTGCACGTGCCCACACAGGTGAAAGAAAGCCTGAGCAGCTGCCCCCAGCACAGGCTGGAAACCCTGGAGCTAGTCAGGAAGGCAGCCCCAGCAGAACTCTCCCCGGCCCCCAGTGGATGCCTCCAGGGAAACCCTCCCACCAGCCCCACACAGCCTCACAGAGGCACAGATCCTGGATTGTTTTAGCTCCATGCAGCCCAGCAGGGTTCTATCTAACACTTCCCTGAGTAATCATAACCTGCCAAGGTGATGGGGCATGTGCCCATCGGGGTGGCCGTGGCAGGCAGCGTGGTGAGCTCTGTGATGCAGAGTCAGGGATCTGAGCTCCACCTGCCCCTAGTCCTGGGCAGACCCCTGGACCAGCCTCCAAGTTCATCTGAGGCCTGAGTGCTGCAGAGGATGGTCCCAGGGGAGAGAGCCTCAGCAAGAAAGAAGGAGTCTGGCCGGGCACAGTGGCTCATGCCTATAATCCTGGCACTTTGGGAGGCCAAAGCAGGTGAATCACTTGAGGCCAGGAGTTCGAGACCAGCCTGGCCAACATGGTGAAACCCAGTCTCTACAAAAAACAGAAAAATTCACCAGGCATGGTAGCACATGCTTATAATCTCAGCTACTCAGGAGGCTGAGGCATGAGAGTCTCTTGAACCTGGGAGGTGGAGGTTGCAGTGAGCCGAGATGGCGCCGCTACACTCCAGCCTGGAAAAAAAGAAAGGAAAAAAGAAGGAGTTGTCTTCTCCTCCCACCCATCTCTGCTTCTAAAACTGCCCATAGCTTGTCTCATTTGAAAACACTTCCTGGAGAATCATCCCTCAATTTTCATTAATTATGAATGTAACTTTCCTCTTACTAAATTCAACTTTCTTTTTTCCAGTTGCTGTAAAGTCTCATTCCTCAGAGCCATCCAGGGTGCTCTCCTGGGCACAGTCACCTCTGTCTGGAATGCCTTTCCCTACTTTTCTATCCTGCAAACTCCTGCAAATCCTTCAAGACCTACCCCTTTTCCATGAAGTCTTCCATGATTTCCCTGAACAGTGTTAATGGCACCATCTTCTGGGCTTTCTGAAACCCAGGCTGTGTATTAATATCTCCATGGGTTCTGACCACAGATCAGCAAACTGTGGCTCAAAGGCCAAATCCAACTCACCTCTCATTTGGCAAATAAAGTTTAATTGAAACAGAGCCAAGCCTATTCATTTACTTATTGACTATGGCTACCATCAGACTACAATACTGATAGAGACGATATGGCCCAAAAAGCCAAAAATATGTGCTATCTAGTCCTTTACATAAGTATTTTTGTGCACTGAGCCCTGCCCGAGACTGTGCTCCTCTCTGGGGCTAGGACAAGCAAGAGGGCCGCTTGCCCTCTGGAAGAAAGCTTGCTGAATTAATGATTGGATGAATGAGTGAGTGATGGAGAAGCCCATGTTTTCAATTCAATGCACAATTCACTGGGCCAGTGTTTCCAGAGGGCCCCGCGGAACTCTGCATGGACCACCGCATGCATCAGGGTTTCAGTGTATACTGTCCGCCCTCCACGCCCATGCATTCTGCATCTGCAGATTCAAAAATATCAAAAATCTTTGGGAAAAATCAATAAAAGCAATACAAAAATTAAAAATAATACAATTTTTAAAATACCACGTAATACTTTGAACGTAGCATTTGCATTGTATTAGGTATCATAAGTAATCTAGAGATGATTTAAAGCACTTGACAAGATGTGTGTAGGCTATGTGCAAATGCAAGCCATTTTACATCACAGATTTGAGCATCCTTGGATTTGGGGAACCAAAGCAGGTCCTGGAACCTATGTCCTGTGGATGCCCAGGGATGACCAAAAGAAGGTGTTACAGGCTTCAAGGCGTATGGGCAACCTGATATGCTGGACAGCGCCCTGCACCACATCTCAGCTCATCCTTTTGCTCCAGCAGTTGCAGGAGAAACCAGAAGGAGGTGCTGGCAGTGCCTCTGTGGCAATCCACGTGGCTTTCTCTGCTTTTGCCTCTGGGATACCCCGGATACCCAGGAAGCCACTCAGCCATCTGGTGCATATCCACCCTAGGAAGTGCAGGGGAGTTAAAATCCACAGCGACTCCAGTGGGCAATTCTGATGCATGTTCTACACGCTGCCCCAGAGGGTCTCCAGTCACCCACCATGGTCTCCCTCCACCCCTCTTCACCTTTCCTGAGGGTGCACTCCTGCTTCCCGGGAACATATCCCCCAAATTAACTATCTACACACAAGCCATTGTCTCAGGCTCTGCTTCGGCTCGGGGTATGGGATATCAGTCTCCAGCACCTGGGTTTAACCTGGTCTAAACCTTACGGCGGGACTTGTCAGCATCTTCTGTATCTTTAATACTCTGTCAATCTCCAGCAAGGACATCTGGTAAATCTGTTTCCTGGGGCTGCAGCAACAAAGTGCCACACGCCAGGTGGCTTACAACAGCAATTCATCCTCTCGCAGTTCTGGAGCCAAGAAGTCCAAGATCAAGGCGTCCACAGGTCCACGCTCCCTCTGAAAGCTCTAAGGGAGGGAGGCCCTCTCTGACACTTGTCAATCTCCCTCTCATTCCTCTTCTGACACCACTAATTGGATTTGTGCCCCCCCAATCCAGAATGATCTCATCTGCAGATCATTTATTTAATTACATTTGCAAAAACCTTATTTCCAAGAAAGGTCCTATTTATAAGTACCAGGAGTTGGGACTTCGAAATTCTTCTGGAGGAACACTAGTCTGCACAGGACGTTCAGTGAGTGGCATTTCTTACACTTCTTTGATGGTAAAACTTTTTTATCCACCAGAGTACCTCTCAGGACTGGTGCTCTTCAGGAAAATGTGTGTTCACCAGTATTCCCCAAGAGGACGAAGGCCACCTCTGTCCTGTCCAATGCTGCAGCCCAGGACCTGGCGTGGTACCTGTCATAGACACTGTGCCAGCAAGCAGGCTGGGAGCAAGCTGCCCAGACAGGGAGAAGCTGGGAGAGAAATCTCAGCACAGGAGCAAGAGGGACACCCAGGAGGCTCATCCATGGTCCCTTGAGAGCTCCTGGGCTGCCTATCTGGAGCTCCAGAGAGCGGGCTGGACTGAGAGCTGAGCCAGCCCCGGGCTGGCCTCCCCGCTTCCCTGCGGGCAGAGCCTCCTCCAGCCACAGCCTGGCTGCTGGCACCAGTGCCTTCCTGCCTCGGGGAATGCCTGGTTAGCCCTGACTGGGAATTCAATGGGGGCCTGCACCAAGCCCTCCACTCCATTAAGCTCCCCACTCCACCAAGCCCTCTACTCAACCAAGCCCTCCACTCCACTTCCTGAACACTCAGAGAGTCTGATGGGGACAAACCAGGTGCTCTGAGGCACCCTTGGCAGACAGGCATGAAGGATTAGAAACCTCTCCTAAGGTACACTCACACCTAGCCAGACACACCTCTCTGTGGGGCCAGACTGTTCTTGAAGCAGCCCTCTAGGGGCGCTTGCAGAGGGAGTGGGGCACTGTCCACACCTCTCCCAACCCGAGGAGCTCCCAATCCTTGCCTTCTGGGTAGGTATCAGCACAACTTCAACCTGTGGGAGGCCCCAGTTCTCCATTAACGCACTAGGACCACCTTCCAAAGGCCAGAAGCCAGTGCCGCTGGCACTTGGCTTGTGTTTCTCTTGAGGTTTGGAATGAAGCTGTCCATGAACTTTTAAAATGGCTGCTGGGCAGTGAGCCCCCAGGCTGCAGGTGCTGGGCCTTCTAGAGCTCCGAAACCTCCGCGTCAGGGGCCAACCCCTTCAGCAAGTTGCTTCTGCAGCAGTGAGTAACACACCTGCACACGGACCAGCTTCCTCCCAGGGCCCTTCCTATGGAGGCCACTCCAGAATCCCTTCTCCTCGTCTGACCCTCTGGACCCTGGACTTCCACTGCAGCCTCCCCCAATTTCTGTGGCCTCCAAAAAGCAAACCCTCCAAAGAGAGGTGCCCCCACTCTAACAATACACTGAGTTGGACAAGGCAGTGCTGGTGAGCCCAAGACCCTCCCCAGGGGGTGCGGTCCCTGCAGGGTCTCATTAGGTGTTAGTGGTGTCCCCGGGGAGGGTCTCACCCTCCCCTCGCCTCCTCCAGCCGCTGACCAGCACAGGGCCCCACATACAGGAGCTTAGAGCGGGTTTGCTGACTCATTGGAAGGCAACCAGCAGGTAGGGTTTCCAGGCTCTGCCTCAGGAGGCAGCCTGAGATGGACCTACCAGTCATCTTCATGGGCAGAGCAGAAGTGCAGAGGAAGCAGGCATTTGTATTTGATCAGGTTTTTATTCCTGGCTCAGCCTGCAAACAGTAAACATTTCATTGCTTGTCTCACAATTACATTAAAAGGTAGATAAACCCCTTCTAGCTTACATTTGGCATTTCAGCCTCTAATCCAACAAATCGCCCTTTATCCCCTCTTTCATACGCACGTGCGCACACAGTCGGGGCTCTGTGACCGGCAGGGAGCTCCCGCCTCCCATCTTCAGCAGAGCAGCCCGGCTCCCGGCTTCAGGGCCACACACAGCAGGGCCCCAGCTCTGGCCAGGCTCTTACTTGCAGGACTTCTCAGGACCTTCGTATCCTATAGCAGCTTTTCCTAAATGCCCTGGATTGTAAAAGGCCCAGCCCACATGAGTCAGTAAAGGAGGAGACAAGTAGGGCCCCATCTGCTGCAGCCAGGACCGGTGGCGCCCATTGTGTCATGTCTGTCCCACCCTCGTGAGCAGCAGAGCCAGAGCTGAGCACAGCCTGGGGTCGTGTCACCAGGTCCAGGTGCTCCCCAGGGAGGTCTGGGGCTGGGGAAAGCCCTGAGCCACTGTGGAGGGGAGGGGCCCGGGCTGGAAGCAGAACATCTTCTTTCTGAACCCGCTGGGGCCTGCAGCACTGTGTGAGCTCAACCCAGCTCTCAACTGCCTCTGGGCCTTCTCTCGCATCTCCAGGTACACAAGCACAGCATGGATCACATCTGGGGCCGCATCCAGCCACTTGATTCCTTGGGAAGCAACCCCACAGTCCTTCAAGCACACTCCCTGTTCCCAGGAGAAGCTGCACATGGTGAGGCCACCATAGCCTGCTGGTGGCAGCCTGTTGGCCCTGACCCATACCAGGCTGCCCGTGCCAGGCAGCCCATGCCAGCTCAGGGCTCCCTTCTCCCTGCCCTACAGCTCACAAACCCAGGCCTTGATTCTCTTCCCCTAAAGGCAAGGACCCTCTCTTCCCAGTGCCTCTCCCTCTGCCCTTCCTGTGTCTGGCCTTCCCCAGAATACCAGTTCAAAGCCAGGGAAATCTAGGCTCCTGTGGCCACATGTGCCAGAGGCGACATACGCCCAGCTTTGGGGGCCTATGTGCTCCAGGAACATGCATATCCAGGAAGGCAGTCAGCATCCACCTGCCCCACACTCCTCCCTTGATCTGGGGGTAACTTCCCTCTCCAAATGAGGGGTGCTTTTGGAGACTTCCCACCATCATCCCCAAAAGCCCTGTGACCTGAGCCAAACCAGTTAGGCTCCTTCCCTGAAACTTTTCCCACCGGAACTAGGGAAGAGAGGCCACCCATCACTCCTGAGGGGGTGGGGCAAGTAGCTCTCAGAGGTGGTATGCATTAAAGAGAGAGACACGGAGCAGGGTGGGGAACTGATCCCTGAGATAGCCCGATGCTTGGTCCCATTGTCCCTGGGGCTCAGTGGCCCTGGCCGGTGCACCCAAGCTTGCTTACATTGGGTTTGGCTGCTGCTGGGGAGCCCCAGTTGCTCCTGTGACCCACCCCCACCCTTCTGCTTCCACTCAGTGGCACAGTGCAGGGAGGACCCTGGGGTAGCGGTTGGGTGTCACTCCACCAGGAAACCCCGGTCACAGCTTGCCCCTCTTGGGCACAGTTTCCCATCTGTGGCATGATCATATTGCCTTGGGTGGTCTCAGTGGCTTTCCAAACTCAAAGGGTGGCGGCTCCTGGCTCAGGTGCTGAACCTGCCCTGCTGTGTGGCCACAAGGAAGTAGCTCGACCTCTCTGACGCTCTGCTTCCTCACCTAGGGACTTCGAATAATATCACCCCTCCCCTCACAGAGTCAGTAGGACACAATGAGCTGGGGGTTTTCACACGCCTAGCACAGTGCCTGGCACGTGGTGAGAGCTGGTTGTGGGAAGCCATCATCATCCCAGCACCTCAACTCCCACACACCTGAGCCTAAGACCCCCAGGAACACGCAGCACCCACTGGCTGGGGCCTCCTCCTTCCCCAGTAAAGAGCCACACCCTGAACTGGGGCTTCTGCCTCATAAGTGAATACCTATGACGATCCTGATGACCCCAGTAATGACGCATAAGCATCACACACACACACACACACACACACACACACACAATTCACATGCCTGTACATAGTCTCACACACAGTCTCACACATGCACACTCACACAAGTTCACACACATGCTTACAGATGCACATTCCCATACATCCACATGCATCCACATACATGTGCACACACATACACATAACGGGTACAATTCACACATCTGTACATGGTCTCACCATGCTCTCATAATTGACACATGCTCATATGCTCACACAGATGCCACTCACATACTTATACATGCTCACACATGTGTACAAATTCACATGTGCACACAATCACACAGTGCTGCCACACTCACACTGACGCGCACACACACTCATGCACAGGAAAACATATACACACGTGCCCTCTCAAGTGGGTGCAGGCACTGATCATCACATAGGTACACAGTCATGCACACATGCACATACCGAGTGTGTGCACACCCTCACTCACACATACACTCACGCACACCTCCCCCGGCCTCCTCTCCACCCACACTCACACATACACTCACACACACCTCCCCCGGCCTCGTCTCCACCCACACTCACACATACACTCGCACACACCTCCTCCGGCCTCGTCTCCACCCACACTCACACATACACTCACACACACCTCCCCCGGCCTCCTCTCCACCCACACTCACGCATACACTCACACACACCTCCCCCGGCCTCCTCTCCACCCACACTCACACACACCTCCCCCAGCCTCCTCTCCACCCACACTCACACATACACTCACACACACCTCCCCCGGCCTCATCTCCACCCACACTCACACATACACTCACACGCACCTTCCCCGGCCTCCTCTCCACCCACACTCACACATACACTCGCACACACCTCCCCCGGCCTCGTCTCCACCCACACTCACACATAAATTCTCACACACCTCCCCCGGCCTCGTCTCCACCCACACTCACACATACGCTCACACCCACCTGTCCCAGCCTCCTCTCCGCTCAGAACATATTAGCTGTCTTTTCAGCCCAATCAACCCACTTTTTAAGTCCCCAGCTGGAAGGGGATGGCCATGATCAGACTGAGACCTTACATGCCACGTCTCAGCCCTAGAGTTTTTATGGCCCAGTTTTAAACCTCTGATAATGGAGGTTTATGGTGCCAGTGCAGACACGGCCTGGGCAGGGGAACGGTGAGCGGGGCTGGAGTGGAGACAGGCAGTGTGCAGGGCGAGAGCGAGCGTGTCAGTCCCGCCAGCCCATGACTCACAGGACGTGCAGCATTAGGGGAATTATCAGCGTCAGCCCTGATGATTTCCTGGCCCTCGTGTAAAAACCATCATATATTTTCCTAATATCTGGTCTCAATTTCCTCTCCAATTAATGGTATTTCCAACCCATAATACACTGATTTGGCTTTCCACTTGTGCTCTCTGAAAGCACAAAAGGGTCCACAGACACCGACTTTCTCCATCACGGGGGGCTAGAGCTGCCCCCACCTTGCCTTTATTGTTTAAATCACCGCTTTATGAATCATCGATTTCTGATTCTTCCAGCTACCTGTGGAAGTGCTAGATGCACTAAGAAGATGGGAACAGGAAGGCTCAGTGTCCCCTTCTGAGGGGAAGGCAGGACTCCCTAATCCCCAGAGCACTGATTTGGTGCCCAAGAGCAGCCCACTGGCGCAAGGCAGGGCGCTAAGGTGATGATGTGGCTGAGAAGCATCTCCCCGGGCCCGTGTCATCAGAAGAGCCAGGCTATCACACTTCCTCTCTAGTGCAGGTACCAGAGGAAACTGTCTAACGCTGGGGCCAGAGCACCTAGGGACCAGCAGGGGACATAATTTATAGGAAGAAAGCCTGCTCTTCACTGCTGCAGAGCTACCCTGTTGGGTTAAGCATTGCCCTACTGGTTCTGCTTTTTAAAGTTCCAGAGAAGACCCAGGCTGACCGTTCTGGCACCTGGCTGAGGCTGAGTGCAGGGCAGGGTGGGTGGGTCCCTCGGCAGTGGGAGGACAGGACAGCAGGAGTAATGAGACTGCCTGCTCAGACGGCATCTGCCACTCACAGAGACTCAGCCTCCTGGCCCACAGGTGTTGGATCCAGCCCGTCACTGGAGCGATGGAGAAACTGAGGCCTGTGGGCCTGGGGTCAAGGCCAGAGTTGGCCACCACAGGGAGTGATCTGGCTAATCCAGGCCCCCCCAGCTGCCTTCTTCAGGGGTCACCCAATCCGCAGAGCTGTGGGCCAAGAGACACCTCCTCCAAGGAAGCCCTCCAGACCACCCTTTCAGCAAGCCCTGCTGTCATGGCCTGGCCTGGCCACGTCCTTCTAGACCAGGGGTCACAGACAAACTGAAGCAAGCCAGGTCCAGCCCAGGGAGGTGTCGTTTTTGTCATGTGTTTTATTTTTAATTTTTGGAATTCAGTTTTAGAATTAGATTTTTACACACACACTAGATTTTCATCGTCCCTTGAACCATTGGAGACCCATGTTCCTGCAGGAAGCAGGGAGACATCTGGCTGGAATGAGGTGGCAGCTGTGACCCTGACCCTCCCAACCCCCACCACATATATATATACACACACACACACACACACACACTCACACACAGCTCCTGGAATGTGACTTTTTATGCTGTGGAAATGCTCAACATGACCCTGTGCATGATTCTGAGCTCCAAGAGCAGACGTCGGTACTGCAAGCCCGCCCTGCCCTGCCAGCCTTGGTAAGGGACCCCCCAGCACTCAGAGGTGACCAGTCTTTGACCCCTGGCTCCAGGAGGAGACAGCTGGCCTGTTGCTCACCCTACTGCCAGGCTATTCTGGAGGTGGCACAGTGCCCAGCTTCCCACAGACCCATCCCTGGGGACCATGTTTCCTGAGACCCCTGCTCTCCCACCCAGAAGCCCAGAGCCCAGAAAAAGAATGAGGGCCACGAGGCCATGGAGAGATCCATGATCCATCTCCTTCCCTCCCTCCCTGACACTCAGCGTCCACTACACACTTCGGCTTTGCCTCGTGAATGCCTATGTGCAAACCAGGCAGGACACGGGCACGTGCTGCCAATCCAGGAGGTGGCATGACATTTCTCATGTGCCTAGGGAGACATGAACTGGGGAGAATGGGTCACAGATGTCCACCCAGAAAATCAGAGGCTCCACTCTACCTGGAACCCCAATCCTCCTCACTCCAGGCCCAGACCTCTGGCTCTTTGCAGGGACTACCTGTCACCTGAGAAATGTTTCTGAGAGAAGTGATGCCAGATATAAAAGTATATAAGTGTATGCATGTGTGTGTGTGTGTGCATGCATGTGTGTGTGTGTGTGTGTGTACTTTTCCTCAGAAGAGGGATAATTTGTTGGAAAGTACAGATTCAAAATAAAGTTCTAAATATATTAGCCAGTCAAAAATCCTGGTAGAAAGCATTTCCTTCCTTTCCTATGTATGGAGCATTTAGGTTTGGAGACATCTCAAACTCCAGCACCCTCGCAGAGGTCAGTCAAGTGGCAGAAATGACAGGAGAGGCAGATGCAGGGCAAGAGGGAGGAATGAGGTTTGTGTCCTCATGGGACTGCACTCATCAAGATAAAATCCCATGATGACACCCAGCCAGTCAGGGTGATGGTGACAGGCCGTTCATGTGGCATATGTTACCAGCACCCCCTGACATGGTTTAGCTGTGTCCCCATCCAAATCTCATTTTGAACTGTAACTCAACAATTCCCATGTGTCATGGGAGGAACCCGGTGGGAGGTGATTGAATTATGGTGGTGGGTCTTTCCTGTGCTGTTCTCGTGATAGTGAATGAGTCTCATGAGATCTGATGGTTTTAAAAAGGGGAGTTTCCCTTCACAAGCTCTCTTCTCTTGTCTGCCACCATGTGAGATGTGCCTTTCATCTTCCACCATGATTATGAGGTCTCCCCAGCCATGTGGAACTATAAGCCCAATAAACCTCTTTCTTTTGTAAATTGCCCAGTCTCGGGTATGTCTTTATCAGCAGCATGAAAACAGACTAATACTCCCCCTTACTTTATGAGAAATGTACCTACTCTGGAGGATGTAAACTCAGCATGTTCCTAGGAGAATGATTTGTGAGGATAACATCTTATGGTGATGGGAAAAGGCATTAAACAACTGTGCCACACAGCCTAGGGGAGCTGCCCAAACACAGAAGGGCCAATGCAGCTCCAGAGCCACCGGTCTGGGAGCCCTGGAATGGGCTTGATGTCCTGTTCCACTTTGCCCCAGGGACCTTGGCTAGACTCAAGTCACCTGATTCTGATTGCTGAACTCCATCCCCAGCCCCAACCAGGCAAGGCAGTGGGTCCTGAGGGGAAGTCAGAGCAAGCCAGGTTGGAAGAGGGCTATGCCAGACCCAAAGGAGGATGGGGGGCATGGCAGGCAGTAATTGTTGCAGTGTCTCAGAGGGGTCCTAATTGTGGCTTCCCAGAAAGCAGGCATACTTGTCAGGGAGCTGGGAGATGGCAGAGACTCAGCCATGGTTTAAAGCCAGAAGCCAGAGCAAGGGTGGAGGCAGGGCAACACTTCCACCGTCTCTTCCCACTTGGTGCTCACACCTGAGAAGCCAAGGACCAAGAAGAGTGCAGAGCTTGGGGCAGGCCCTGCCCTCCCTGCCTAGCCAGCACGTCCTCCTGGTCTCCCTGTGCACCTAACCACCCTCTATATGACCCATGGCCATCTGTCTCAATCTGTTCAGGCTATTATAACAAAATCCCATATACTGGGTGGCTTAAACAACACCTTTTTTTCTCACAGTTCTGGAGACTGGGAAGTCCAAGACCAAGGCAGAGTCGGTGTCTTGAGAGGGCCCTCTTGCTGATTCATAGATGGCCGTCTCCTCACTGTGTCCTCACATGGTAGAAGAGATGATGGAGCTCTCTGAGATCTCTTTTATAAGGCCACTAATCCCATTCATGAGAACTCCACACTCATGACCTGATCAAATACCCCATCTCCTAAAACAAATGCCCCACCTCCTAAAACCAAATGCCCCGCTTCCTAAAGCCATCACCTTAGGGGTTAGGATTTCAGCATATACATTTAGGGGGAGGGACAGAAGAATGTAGTCCACAGCCTCATGTAAGAGGGAGCAATCATGAGTCACTGTTCTGCCTAGAACCCTCCAACGTGCCCTTGAATCCTGGTGTTTGCAGCACTCCAGGCACCCCCTGCCCACGACAGGCACCCAGTGCAGCCTGGCTCTCCAAAACACCACTGGGCCCCTCTACCCACTCTCTGCAGCATCTGGGGACTGAGGATCAGCCCTCCCAAATCAGCCAAGAAGATGTCCTACCCTCCTGCCTGCCTTTCCCTATCACCCCAGCCTGCTCCCCAAGGGAATGCTTTGAAGCTTAAAAGGTACTCTCCTCTCTGCCTTTAAGAAGAGCTTTGAGGCCTGAGCTGCCACCAGAAGTTGCTGGCTTGGGTCTTGGGGCATTTGGGAAGCTGTGCCCCTCACTGTGCCTACCTCACTCTCAGCTCCAGCCACACTGGCCTCCTTGGAGTGCCTCTGAAAGGCCAGAATCCCTCCTGCCGAGAATCTTGGCACAACTTGTACTCCACAGCCCCCGATCCTCTTGCTTGCTCATGGTTCTCAGTCAGGGGATACTGGATGATGTCTGGAGGCATTCTTGTTGTCACACCTGGGGGAATACTATTGGCATCTAGAGTGTGGAGGCCAGGGATACTATAAACATCTTACAATGCAAGGGCAGCCCCCACAACAAAGAATCATTCAGCCCCAAAAGCCAGGAGTGCTGAAGCCAAGAAACCCTGTCCCAGGCCCACGTTCTCCAAGGCTGCCTTCTAGATCCCAGCAACAAGCCTGTCTGTCCCCACTCCACTTTGCAGCCCCACAACCAGCCACCCCATCTCACCTGGCCACCTGCACAGTGGGTGGACACTGAGGACTGGAGACACAGACAAAGCTTCACAAGGGAAGCTCAGCAGCTGCCCTGGAAAGGTCTGAAGTGGGACACAGTGGGAGGCAGTGACAGAGACCTGGAGGCAGAACCAGGCACCTCTGGACAGCTAGAAAGGGTCCTGGTGAGGGTGGGGAGGATTTGGGGAGCCTGACAAAGGTTCAGACACCCACACAGCCCTCCCCCGACATGCAACAGTGACAGCCGCCAGGGCAGAGAAGATGCTCAGAGAGAAGATGCTCAGAGAGGGAACAGAACACAGGCTTGGGCTCCCCCAAGATGCAGACCTGCTGCCTACCTCTGCCTTCCACCTGTTCTTTAACTCTCCAGGCAAAGGCTCAGCTCCCCAGGGAGCCTTCTGGCATAAAGAAATATATCCATTGAAGAAAAGAAAAAGGAGGAGGAAAGGAGGGAGCAAGAATGTCACCACCTCTAACCTACCATTTTCTACATGCTTTCATCTTTCTGCTTAATTCAGTGAGTGTTTGTGGAACATCTACTATAGGCAATTCTCTTTGCTAGGTGTTTTGGAGGGAGATGGCCATGAGAAGAGGAGAAATTAAGTCAGCTTCATGGTCAGAGACATTTCCTAAAGGAGATACTACATTGCTGTTGCTGCTGCTGCTGCTGCTGTTGTTTGTTGTTGTTGTTGTTGTTGTTGTTGTTGTTGTTGTTGTTGTTGTTGTTTAGATCAGGGGTCCCGAACCCCTGGGCCATGGACTGGTACCAGTCTGTGACCACCCGTGGCCTATTGGGAATTGGGCCACACAGTGAGTGAGCAAAGCATCATCTGTGTTTACAGCCATTCCCCATCGCTGGCATTACTGCCTGAGCTCCCCCTCCTGTCAGATTAGTGGTGGCATTAGATGCTCATAACAGCGTGAGCCCTATTGTGAACTGCACACACGAGGGATCTAGGTTGCACACTCTTTATGAAAATCTAATGCCTGATGATCTGCCACTGTCTCCCATCACCCCAAGATGGGACCGTCTAGTTGCAGGAAAACAAGCTCAGGGCTCCCACTGATTCTACATGATGGTAAATTGTGTAATTATTTCATTATATGTTGCAAAGTAATAATAACAGAAATAAAGTGCACAATAAATGTAATGCACTTGAATCATCCCCAAACCATCCCCCTCCCCTGGTCTGTGGAAAAACTGTCTTCCATGAAACCGGTCCCCAGTGCCAAATAGATTAGGGACCACTGGTGTAGATTATCTCTGTGTCTTACACTGTTCTAAGTGCATCACATTTGTTAACTCATTCTATCCTTTCAACAACCCTAATAGTGGGTACTACTATTATTCTCATTTTACACATAAGAAAACAGAAGCACAGAGAAGGTAAGTGACTTTCCCAAGGTCACGCAGCTGTTGAGTGGTGGAACCTGGATTTGGACTGAGGCACTCTGTCTGGTTCCAGAGCCCAGGCCCCTCCCACCATGCCCTGCTGACCCTTAGAATCTGGCATTTGAGCTTTATCTTGAAGGATGGTTAGGATTGTACAGATGGAGCCCAGTTTGCCAGAGAGAGAAAGAGAGTGAGAATGCAGAGAGCAGAGCCGGTGTAGGTAAGGGTTTCCAGATGGGAAAGTGAACTGTGGTTACACCAGAGGCGGAGGCAGAGGACTGAGCTCTCTTGGGGAGTAGCGAAGACCTGTCCTGCTTGCGCTGTCGGTAATGAGGCTCTCTGGGCTCAGGGCTGATTATAAACTCTACATACAAGACCCCATTCTCCCATCCCTGGTTTACCAGTGGTTCCTGCCACCAGTAACGGTCACACGGTCACAGCAGTGACACATTACATGCAAGTGCTCTGCCCAGTTCCTCCCCTGAATCCTCACAACAGCTCAGCCATGTGGGTGCTGTACAAGCAAGGAAACTGAGGCTCAGGCAGGAAGAAACATGTCCCCATCACACAGCTAGTGCAACGCTTGGCCAGGGCACTTGCCTTGTCCTCCCAGGTTGCAGAGCCTGGTGCTCCCAAGTTTGCTGCTGAACCTTCCTCTATCCTCCCCACCACCAAGGTCTCCCCTCTCCTCACTCCTTCCCCCCAACCGCCCCCTGCCTGTGCCCACTCCACCCCCCAGAGCACACGCAGCCTGGCGACTGCTCACACAGCCTCTCACAGGCTTAATAGCTCCAGCCTGTAGAAATGGAACAAACTGATGGCCATGTGCATCACTTTTATGTGCTTATAAGAGAGTCATAATTAATTTCCCAAATGCACACAGGACTCAGGGGATAGACAGAATGCTATTCACAGATTGCACGATCGTTTGACAGTTTTAGGCAAATGAGGAGCGAGTATTATTTGCTTTTCTAACGACTGCCTGGTGCATTTTGGTCTTGATGATGGCATTTCCAAAGCAATTTCAGAAACAGATTAGAGAAGTAACATTTTTAATCTTTAGCAAAAACCTAAGATGTGAGGGAGATTGTAATGTCTGTTTTTTCAGCACGATGTTTTCTAGCGTTAGGGCAAAATGTAGCACAAAATGAAACAACATCACTTACTGTGTAAACAGTTACATTATCTCCAATTACTCTTCAGCTATGCACTACCCCACCCCTCTCAAAAGAACAAAAAAGAGAGCCCCCTTATTTCCCTGTTCCAGGGGCCTGAATCATCACTGCAGCTGCCCTGAAGACCATAACCCACCAGGAACAGGGAAAACCCCCTACCCGACTCTCGCCGCCTGAATTCCACTGTTAGAATGCACTTCTCCAGCAATGCAAATCCTCCAGGAACAGTGGTCACTTTCCTGCAAAAAATACCAGCACTTAACTTGGTGGAAAAGGAGGAAGAATCCAGAAAACAGCCTGAAAGTACAGAAAGGGGACACAGTATTAGCATCATGGGAGGGAAGGACGGGCAACGTGGCGCAGGGGTAGCAGGTGCAGGAATGACAGTTATCGGGCTGAGGGTGGGCAGAGCAGTAGGAGAGGGGAAGGTGGGAGGTCAGTGCCACCTCCGACACTGCTGGGCTGCGCTCACTCCCTCCCTTGGCATTCCCCATCCAGCCAACAGCAGCACCTGCATCTCCACCAAAGGGCAGTCTCTGGTCACAGGGACACACTAGGTCAGCGGCCTGAGCACAACACAGCAATGGGGCGCTGGAGTGCACATCTCCAGGAGCAGCCCTCAGCACGTGATGAGTGGGAGCTGGAGGACAACACACAGCTTCCTGGCCCTGCAGGTGGAAACACTCCCCAGTGTGTGCCACCCCATCTCCCGGGCTGCCCAGGGGCTGAGCCTCAGTGGCCTCAGTGGTGTCAATGGCCCACGGCAGTAACCTGCTTATCGGCTTCTTTCCCTTCTCTGTCTCACTTCTCGTCTCCTCTCCCTATGCTTCCTGGAATCAGCTCCCAAGCCAACTCCCTGCACCGAAAGTTTCATCCTGGGGTGGAGGGCAGCTTCAGCAGAAGACAGCCCCTCTCACTGGCCCATCTTGGGTCACATGCCATCCCTAGGCCAAATGCCATGTCCAGAGAGGTAGAGCATGGATAGGCCAGACCTGGGCCCCATGCCTGCCCTGGACCAAGGGATGGGGTCAGACCCACCCGAAACACACAGATGAGTGGAGGAGGGGAGTTCCCGGGGAAAGGTCAGGGCCTGTTCCCAGAAGAGAGAATTCTATGGCCAGCAGGCTGAGCAGATGTCGACAGCGGCCCGCCATGAGAGGGTCCACACGGGTCAGCGAAGCACCGTCTTGGAGGGCATTCGGGTGGAATTCTAGCAGAGGCTGCACTAAGTCAGTGGTTCAGGGCACCAGAAGTGAGTGAGCTGGGAGTGAATGCCTGTCCCCCGCCGCCCGCCGTCAGGGGTTACTTGGTGCTGGGGCTGAGGGGCAGAGCCACGGGAAGTCCACCCCACTATCCCACAGCACAACTGGCTCTGCCTCAGGAGGCTGGGTGGCTTCCTCGCCCCACCCAAGCTTCCATCCAGGCTTAGAGATCCATGGTAGGGGGCTTGCTACACCCCAACTTCCGGCTCAGTGTTTCTGTATCCCAGGCTGGAATGAGGGAGCCCACGGAGATGGAGAGTGAGCTCCCTGAGGGATGATGGTGGCATCTTTCTCCAAGGGTCCCACATCATCTGATATAGGACAGAACCCGCAGGGTCTCAGAGATGCCATTGTTTATATAACTTGACCCTCCCAGATGCCAGGAGCCCTGGGGAAGCCTTTCCCAAAACGTATGCCTCGGAGCTCCTAGTTTGACAAACTGGTATGTCCTGATATGGTGTGAGTGTGTGTCCCCTCCAAATCTCATGTTGAAATGTGGCCTCCAGTGTTGCAGGTGAGGCCTGGTGGGAGGCGCTTGGGTCATGGGGCAGATCTCTTATGAATGGCTTGGGCCAACCCCTCAGTGATGAGTGAGCTGTCGCTCTGAGTTCACATGAGATCTGGTTGTTTAAAGCGTGTGGCATCTCCCCTTGCTCTCTCTGGCTCCCTCTCTCACCATGAGAGACTCCTGCTCCCCCTCCACCTCCCGCCATGAGTAAAAGCTTCCTGAGGCCTCACCAGAAGTCAGATGCTGGCACCATCCTTCTCGTCCAGCCTGCGGAACTGCGAGCCAAATAAACCTCTTTTCTTTATAAACTGCCCAGTCTCAGGTGTTCCTTTATAGCAACACAAGACAACACAAGAATGGCTGAATACAGTTCCCATACAGGGCTGGGTTGGGCAAAAGGGGATGGTGTGATTCTCCCATTAAGAAAAAGTGGGACAGGGTGGATTGAATCAAGTTGAACAGGTGTCTATGGCAGGGCCTCTCAGGGTCTTCATTGCATGATATTGCTATGACTTGCCAGAAAGAGCCATCACATGCGGCGTTTCCCAGACTTTGCTCAGAAAGTCTCAGAAGTGTGGGTCAAGGATCCTCATGTCGGAAAATGCTAAACCAGCAAGGCCAGTGCCCATTCCCTAGGAGCAGCCAGGCCACAGGTCCCATTCCAGACACTCTGCCAAACAGCCCCACCTAGGTTCCTCACACACACCTGCCACCACCCACCCCCAAATCTAACATGAAGTACAACCAAGCTAAGCCAGCAAAGTCCAGTGCAGCTTGTTAAGCCACTCCAGGCTAGACACAGCAAAGCCTCGTGTTGTCATTGTGCTGAATAGGTCTTCAGACTTTCCAGTATACAGTGTGACAATAATGAAGAGACTTCTGTGGCTGAGTGTGGGGTCCTCATAACCCTGAATGCATTTTCATGTCAGTGATGGTCAGTGGTAAACATCTCCTGCCATTAGCTGGATGAGACACCTTATTACAAAAATTGCAGCAGAATCTTCATTGTTTTCTATTTCCACTATTACAAAATTCATTTTAAGAGATGTTTGTCTTTCTTTTTGCTTTTTGATGTGCAGCACAGTTGTCTAATAGCTCATCTCATCTCTGATAAGACGTCATCCTCACGTAATCATTCTTCCAGGATCCTGCTGGTTTTACATCCTCTTACAGTAGGTACATTTCTCGCAAATTAAGTGCCGGTAATATATGTCTACCTGTCTAGTGGTGTCACCATAAACAGCCTGTAACCGTCGCCCCAACACTCCCCAGGGACACACTAAACTGACTGTATGTCACCATGGTGTTTTGTCTTGATGAGTACACATTTTAAAAGTCCATGTCCTAGCAAGAAGAGGACTAAACATAGAGACTTTCCCCCTCGAGGCAACATACCCTGTGAAAATCTGCTCAGCGATGTTTGAATATCTCATTGAGGCTCCCACATTTGCAGCTCAAGGCTAGATGCTGCTTTACCTCTTCTGAATCAGATGGAAGAGGCTGAGTTTGGTCCCTTTGGAACCCAAGTGAAGATAATCACTCAGCCCTGCAAATAAGCAGAGAATTTACCAGCCCACAGCCATGTTCACCAGCCTGCTTCCGTCACTCATGCGTACAAGATACTTTGCCATTTGAACAACTCTTTTGTATCTAGTATTTAATTTTATCCTCATCATGGGTCTGTGGTATAGAGGAGAAAACCCACATTCAGGGACGGGTAAGTTTTGCTCAAGGGCGTGAGGTGCAAGCAGCAGTAGGAGAGACAGAATTCTCGGGCAGTGTTCTTCCACTTCCTCTCCACTTCCTCACGTGTCCTTGATGAAAAATCAAGCTGGGCTCTGGGACGGGTGAGACAGAGTTGGGTCTGCGGGAGGACTTTCCCAGCAGTGAGTGGGGCCTAGGGGCTTGGAGGCAGCCACATCACGATGTGGATCCAGACAGGGGCGCCCCCTCTCTCCCCTCACACCTCTCTCCCTCTCTCTCTCTTTCTGTCTCTCTGTCTGTGTGTGTGCACACGCACATGCATGCACGCGTGCATGTGTGTCTGTCTCCTAAATTGCTAAATCGTCTTTCTCTGCTTTTCCAAATCTCCCATCTGATTATCCCTCTTTTCTTCTCCCAACCTCTCCCTAGGAGCCAAATGAAGGTGACAGTAAGCTCAAGCCCAGCCTGTCCTGGCCTAGCCTGAGGGCCTCTGCTAAGGTGGACCCCAACCAGCTCCAGCCCAGTGACCCCAAGGAAGACTCTACCTGCCCAGCCAAACCTAGGCCACCAGTCACCCCACCCAGGCCAGCTCAGTACCGCCTCCACAAAGCTCCCGTGATGCCCTCTCCAGGGCAGTGGCACCTCCTTCCAGTCCTCTCTGCCTCTGTTTCCCACCCACCCCCCTACATCCCCCTCTGACCTGGGCACTCCATGGGACAGCTTGCATGTCACTCCCCTCTCACAGAGCTGGGTGCAGAGAAGAACATGGTGGGCGCCTTTGCTGAGCAAGAACAATGGGTTGCACCGTGCAGCCTCACCCACCTCACCCACATCCCCAGCCCCAGGTGCCACGGTAGGGACTGAAGCGTTGACAGCCTTACCACCAGGCACAGCCAGCTCCCAGCCAGGCACAGTCCCTGCCCCAGAATCCATGGAGGGCAGCTCCCTTCCCATGCCCCTCCTATCATTCCAGGACGTTAAAAGGCACAGGTGACTCTGAGCCCTGCTTCCTGCTGTGTGCTGCAAATCAGTTGATCCAGGAGGCTTGTCATGCCCCCATCCCTCTCTCCAAAGAGAAAAGAAACCTCTCTGCCCTGGGGGCAGCCAGATACCTCTACAAGGCCCAGACAAGGGGAGCTGAGGTCAGGCTCAAACACCTGGGGCCTGCAGCATATCATGAACTGCACAGCGTCTGCCCACTCTAGGCCCTCTCCATCGGCACACGATTCAGACCCAGAGCTGGTGGCACATGTGCCCCCCGACCCATCTGCAAGGGCTGCTCCAAGTCCTGCAGACCATTTAGCCACACCTCAGCCAGTTTCTCAAAATCCTTCTGGGCATAGCGGGGGCTCAGCACTCTCTGCAGGGCACAGACCCACCCAGAGCCAGTCCTTCCTGAACCCGGGCTGACGGCCCTCTGCCTCCACCACCCCAATCGCAGGGCTCTGCCATGCTTGCTTTCTGGCCTGCAGAATTCCCAGTTCCAGCAGCAGGGGCTCCTTCTCCCTCTCCCCAGTTTGGGAGACCCCAGAGTAAGGAAGGAGGTCTTACGGTCTGGCCCATGCCACTCCCAGCAGTCACGTTGTTTAGGGTGTCAAGGATCCTGGTTGGCTTTGAAGCCAGGCAAACCTGAGTGTGAATTCTCCCTTTCAGCTACATGACCTTGGGCAAGCCCTCTCCCCATGAATCTCAGTCACCCCATCTGTAAAATGGTCAGAGTATCTACTTCCTGACCTCGCTAGAAATCGAGGTACCACTGGCAAGTGTCAGGCCCACAGGAGGGGCTCACAAGGGCCAGCTCCCTGTCCAGCCTCCTCAAAGCAGCCTCTTTCTCCTTCTCCAGGGTCAGGGCCACTGCCCTGAGTGTGGACCTGCTCTTGTCCTTGCAGCTCAGCCCTTGTACCACCCAACCCCAAGCCATGCTCAGTGCTGGGTGATGTAATTGTCCTGGAGGAGGGGCACTGATCCAGCCACGCACTCACCCCCATCTGAGCCACGTTAGAAGCACTGCCCATAGGGGTCCTTAAAGAAGTGACCTAGAGTCTCTAATTAGCACCAAACTCCCATTTTCACCCTAATGAGCTTCCAGCACCACACCAACCCACCACATTGCAGTGTGAGAGGAGACCTTTGGATGCTGTCGGTCCAAGCCCTTTCCCCATGCCCGGGCTGCTTTTCTGGCTTCATCACTAGCCCAGCCCCTGCCCTAAGCCCGTCCTCTGCCATACCAGGCTCCCTGTCATGTGCTGTGCTGCTCCTCACCTTCACACCTGTGATTGTGCTGAGCCCTGTGTGTAGAATGCCCTTCCCTTCCCTCGCCCCCTGGTGAGTCCTCGTCACTCCTTTTCATCCTGTCCAATAGGGAGCCATAAGTCACATGTGATGAGTGAGCAGTTGAAACGTGGCCAATACAAATTAAGGCTTGCTGTTTATGTAGAACGTCCATCAGACTTCAAAGGCTGAAGACAGAACAAAGAATGTGAACTATCTCATTCATAAATGTTTTGCAAGCCGGGCACGGTGGCTCACACCTGTAGTCCCAGCACTTGGGAGGCAGAGGTGGGCGACTCAGCCAAGGTCAAGAGTTCAAGACCAGCCTTGCCAACATAGTGAAACCCTATCTCTACTAAAAATACAAAAATTAGCCCGGTATGGTGGTGCGTGCCTGTAATCCCAGCTACTCGGGAGGCTGAGGCACAAGAATCGCTTGAACCCGGCAGGTGGAGGTTGCAGTGAGCCAAGATCTCACCACTGTACTCCAGCCTGGGAGACAGAGTGAGACTCTGTCTCAAAAAAAAAATTAATTAATTAATTAATTAATGCTTTGTAGCCAGGCACAGTGTTCATGCCTGCAGTCCCAATGCTTTAGGAGGCCAAGGCAGGGGGGTTTCTTGAGGCCAGAAGTTTGCCCCACCTGGGCAACACGGCAAGACTCCACCACTGAAAAAAGTTTAAAAATGATCCAGATGTGGCAGGGCACACCTGTAGTCTTAGCTACTCAGGAAGCTGATGTGGGAGGATCCCTTGAGCCCAGGTGTTCGAGGCTACAGTGAGCCATGATTGTGCCACAGCACTCCAGCCTGGCAACAGAGCAAGATCCTGTCTTTTAAAATAAGAAGAAGAATTTTGTGCTGATTATACAGTAAAATAACATTTTTTGCTATATTGGGTTAAGGAAAATTTCACCTGTTTCTTTCTAACACAGCTACTAGAAAAGGTAAAATCCCACATGCCATCGGCTGTATATTTCTACTGATTAGTGCTGCCCTAGAAGGCCCCACTTTAATATGGTAAGAAATGGCTCTAGAGCCCTCAGCAAGGCTGGACCACGTGTACCTGTGGATCCCACTAGGAATTTGGTCTTCATGCAGCTGTAAGCCATTGGAGGGTGTCTGGGGCACAGAGGCTCTCACAGCTCCTGGAGTACAACAGTCAAGAAGGAAGATGAGGCTCCTCCCTGCCACAGCTAATGTTCTAGTGGAGAAATCAGACAACTAACTAAGCAAATGAGGGAAGCGATGTCAGCCCCCAGTCAAAGGTCATGAAGAACGAACCTGGGTGATGTGGAACGGAGTGACTGGGGAACCCCTTCACTGGGGTGTTCACTGGTGGCCCTGCTCTTGTCCCTCAGGGACAAGAGGTCCTCTCAGAGGAAGCGGCATTTAAGCTGAGACTAAATGAAGACCTGGAGCCAACTAACCAAAAAGCTGCACAGAGAAGCAGCAAACGACTGCCTGGCAGGGAGCCGGGAGTGAGAAGTGGATGTATTAGGACTCAGGAGTGTTTTGGATCAAAGCTGACAGAGCTGACGGACTGGCTGGGAACAAGAGGAACTGCCCCTGACCTTGGCAAGGGGGTCATGTCTCAGGAGGAGCAGACATCCAGGGACGCTGGGGATCTTCTCGTTATCTGGCCATCAGGGTACCTAGGCTCCTGTCCTTTGTCCACTGACTTGTGGTGACTTTGGGCAAACCTTTCTGCCCTCTGAGTTCTCATCTCTAAAATTGATGAAGAACCTTGCTGGGCTCCCTTGCAGCAGGGTCCTGAGAACAAAATAAAGCAATGCCTGTGGATGCTCCATTCATTCTGCACCCTGGCAGGCCCCAGTAGGGCTGGGGTGGTAGAAATGAGCACTGGATTGAAACGCTGGTTTGTGGGTCTGAATGGAAACCATGCACAGCGCACAATGTGGGGTAAGAGAAGAGCTTGAACAACAGTACTAGGGGGGCCTCCTGAAAACAGGGCTTCTCACCTGGGCCTAGATGCCTACTCATTGTCAAGCAGAAACGAGAAGAAGATAGCACAACGAGAGGCAGTCACGACACACGCAAAAACATGGAGATGGGATACGGCAAACGTGGAAAACAGACCACAGGGCACTCACCGGCCTCAGTGAAACGCCCAGGGAGAAATGCCATCTACCCAACCTATGTGACCGCCAGGAAATCACAGATGCATCCTGGGAAGAGCCTCTTTCATTGCCCAAGATGGCCCCAGACTGGCCCCAACACTCTCCAAGACAGCGCCAACAGCTTGTCGGTAAGGGCAGACAGCACCAAACATGTAGACGAGAAATGTAAAATGAGTAAACATTATTGAAAGGGGCTGTGTAATGCCATGAATTTTTCAGTGGTAAAAACAGCTGAGAAGTTATTAAAAAATGCATGACTTTCATATTTGATTATAAGTCAAGAGCGGCCAAAAAGAGAGGGGGAGAGAGCGCAGGGGGTGGAGGAGGGGGGATGGCAAAAGACACCAGCAGCCCGGCAGACTGGAATTAATGAGGTTGTTCCTAACAGGGAAGAAGTGACATGGTGATTAGTTAATTACTATTCAGCCGCCTGTAATTAATGCACAACTGAAATTGGTGTACAATGAATTAAACTACCACATAAAGCTGCTACCCAAATTGAGCCGAGGAGGCTATTACTGCGGCTTCACCATTGTGATTTCAATAGTGTCTCCCTCCGACAACGTGTTATGCAACTAGTGGGAGAGTGGGGCTGGAGAGATGGAGGGCCTGAGGTAGCGCGTGATCCTGATGCTCACACTCAGAGGGGCCTCCCGCTGGCTCTGACTAGTGTAGGGTCTGGGCCCCAGCAACCAGCCCAGGGCCTGGTCCGGAGAAAGTTCTCAATGAGTGTAAAGAGGTGGAGTGGGGATGACTCGGGAGGCACGACAGATGAATGGGAATGGAGAAGGGAAGGAGACCGGACCGCTGCTAAGAAGGAAGATAATCATCTGTTTACATCTTTTCTCTGAAGATAGGCACTGCTGTTATCTCAGGCTCCATGTCACTCATGTCCTCCACCCCAGGACCACTGCAACCAGGACAGTCTACTGCACCAGTCCAGGCACCAGGTACCCCTTCCAACACATTCTGCACACAGCAGCCTTTTACATCAAGTCATGTCACTCCACTGCTTAAAACCCACCTGTGGATTTCTACTGTAATGAGAAGACCATTTACTCTCCCTGCCATGCACCTACAAGGCCTGGTGCAACCTGCTCCCGACACCTCCCCACCTCACCTCTCCCTCACCCCTTTAATTAGATGACCCAGCCATGCCATATTGGTCTTTCTGTGCCACAAAATCTCCAAGTTCAATTCCGCCCCAGGACCTTTGCATGTGCTGTTCCATCTGATTGAAACTCTCCAGCTTTTCCAAGGGATGAGACCTCAGCTCAAATGTCACCTTCTGAGAAAGGCCTGCCCTGGCTTCCCTGTCTAAACTAGTCCCTCCCCTGTCACCATTATTCTCTCACATGACCCTGAGTCTGTCCTTCCTGGTCTACCCGAAGACAGGGGTTGTTATCTCCAGGTATGCTGGATCTTGCTCATGCTCCATTTCTCATCACAACACAGGCTCTATACAGGAGAAAAGCATCTGTTCTCTCCAAGTGTACCCAGGGTCCTGCGACTAATTGGAATGAGAAGAGACAGGCAGGAAGGACCCCTTGGAAGCCCCTTTGTAGGTGATGGGGCTTGTGGCTCAGGTCTAGAGCTGCTGGAGAAGTTCTGGGACTACCTATTGTCATATGCTGTCATTCCCCCTCACCCCAACAAATGGATCCCAAGAAGTAGTAGGCTGAGAGTGTGGCAGAAACCATCTGGTATAAGTAAGTGACTGTGGTGGTCAGAGACTGGCAAACACCCACACAGGCTTTACAACCAGGTGGTCTCAGTCTCTGCCCGGGCTGTGATGGTGGTCTCCTCCACACCCAGAGACACTGCTTCCCTTGGGCCTTCCTCCCCATCCTCCAGATCCTGGGACACTAAAGTCCACGTGCCTCATCCCATCTCAGGTGGTGCTGTTGCCTGTATTGGGCCACCTCTGGGCCAGTCACAGGGCCAGAAGGATGAACGCTCTGATTGGCTAGGCCTGGGGACCTGCCCACAGGGAGGTGGAAGAGTCCAGGCCCCTCCAAACCACAGCAGCTGAGAGAGAGGGAGGGAAGGAGAGAGGGGGATGGGGGGGAGGGAGAGAGAGAGACGGAGGGAGAGAGACAGAGAGGGAGAGAGAGAGAGGGAGGGAGAGAGACAGAGAGGGAGAGAGGGAGGGAGAGGGAGGGAGAGCGGGACAGACAGGGAGAGGGAAGGAGGGAGAATGAGAGAGGGAGGGGGAGGGAGAGAGACAGGGAGGGATGGGAGGGGAGAGGGAGAGAGGGAGGGTGGGAGAGAAAGGGAGGGGAAGAGAGGGAGAGAAGGAGGGGAGAAGGGGAGGGAGAGGGGGAGGGAGAGACAGAGGGAGGGAGGGGGAAGAGAGAGGAGGGATGGGGGAGAGAGAGAGAGAGGGAGGGAAGGAAAGAAAAGAGGGAAGGAGAGAGGGAGGGCGATAAAGGGAGGGAGAAGGGAAGGGAAGGAGAGAGAGGGAGGGAGAGGGAGGGAGAGGTGAAGGGAGAAAGACAGAGAGGAAAGAAGAAAGGGAGAAAGATGTAGGGAGAGAGAGAAGAAGGGAGAGAGAGAGGGAGACAGGGAGGGAAGGAGAAGGGGAAGGAGGGAGGGGAGAGATGGAGGGAGGCAGGAGAGAGAGAGGGAGGCATGGACAGGAGAGAGGGAGGGAGGGAGAGAGAGAGGGAGGGGAGAAACAGGGAGAGGGAGAGAGAGTGGGAAGGAGAGGGGGAGAGAGGGAGGGAGAGAGGGAGGGAGGGGGGAGAGAGGGAGGCAGGGATGGAGGAAGGGGAGAGAGGGAAGGAGAGAGAGAGAGGGAGAGAGAGGAAGAGAGAAAGAGGGGGAGAGAGAGAGATGGAGGGAGAGAGAAGGAGAGGGGATAATGGGAGGGAGAGGGGGAGGAGAGGAAAAGAGGGGAGGGGGGTGATGGGAGGGAGAAAGGGGGTGAGGGAGAGAGGGAGGGGAGGGGAGAGAGAGGAAGGGAGAGAGGGAGGGAGGGGAAGCATCAAAGGAGAAAGGAACAGAAACAATAGATGCCCACTGCCTTAGCGGTGACAGACCCAGAATTATCATGGACCAGCTTAACTTCAAAATGCAAAATTTTATTTCCCTTTCTCTTTAGTCTTGAGATATAACCTTGGAACAAACTGCAGAGGCCTTTTCCCTTAACCTCAAAATAGACTCCAGGTTGGTCCCTTTCCCACTGTAGATTCACATCACATTTACCAAACTGCATGCTAGTATCTAGTTTGGTGCTTACTTGGGAGTTCCCCGGGCTAATCTGGAGACAGGTGTACCAAGCCTGTAGACCCAGCTGCAGCATCCCAGTGGTTAGCTCAAGGTGACTAGTCAACACCAGCCATTGTTTAGATGATGCCAGCCCATGCTCCAGGTAGACAGAGACCCAATGAGAGGTGACAACGTGCTGGTGGCCCTCGCTTGCTCTCAGCACCTCCTCAGCCTCGTGTCTGCTCTGGCCATGCTTGAGGAGCCCTTCAGCCTGCCGCTGCACTGTGGGAGCCCCTCTCTGGGCTGGTTGAGGCCGGAGCCAGTTAGCTTTCCGGGAGGTGAGGAGGGAGAGGCGCAGGTGGGAAGTGCGGGAACTGGGGCTGCGCGGCTCTCGGGGGCCAGCGTGAGTTCCAGGTGGGCTTGGGCCTGGTGGGCCCGCACTCTGAGCGGCCGGCCAGCGCCACCCGCCCTGGGCAGTGAAGTGCTTAGCACCCGGGCCAGCAGCTGCAGAGGGGGCCCCGGATCCCCCAGCACTGTTGGCCTGCCGGCGCCACGCTCAAATTCTTGCCAGGCTTCAGCCGCCTCCCCAGGGGGCAGGGCTTGGGACCTGCAGCCCACCATGCCCGAGCCCCGTGCGGTGGGCTGCCGCGTGACTGGAGCCTCCCTGACAGACACTGACCCCTGCTCCGTGGCACCAGTCCCATCTACCACCCAAGGGCTGAGGAGTGCAGGTACTCTGCACAAGACTGGCAGGCAGCTCCACCCTCGCTCGGCCCCAGCGCAGGATCCACTAGGCAAAGCTAGCTGGGCTCCTGAGTCCAGTGGGGACTTGGAGAACTTTTATGTCTAGCCGGAGGATTGTATATGCACCAATCAGCACTCTGGCACTCTGTGTCTAGCTGGGGTTTTGTGGATGCTCCAATCAGCACTCTGTATCTAGCTAATCCGGTGGGGACTTGGAGAACTTTTATGTCTAACTAGAGGATTGTAAATGCACCAATCAGCACTCTGTGTCTAGCTGAAGGTTTGTAAATGCATCAATCAGCACCCTGTGTCTAGCTCAAGGTTTGTAAATGCACCAATCAGTGCTCTGTGTCTAGCTAATCTAGTGGGGACTTGGAGAACTTTTGTCTAGCTAGAGGACTGTAAATGCACCAATCAGCACTCTGTGTCTAGCTCAGGGATTGTAAATACACCAATCAGCACCCTGTCAAAATGGACCAATCAGCTCTCTGTAAAATGGACCAATCAGCTCTCTGTAAAATGGACCAATCAGCAGGATGTGGGTGGGGTCAGATAAGGGAATAAAAGCAGGCTGCCCGAGGCAGCAGCGGTAACCTGCTCACTCCAGTCTTTTCCCACACTGTGAAAGCTTTGTTCTTTGGCTCTTTGCAGTAAATCTTGCTGCTGCTCAGTCTTTGGGTTTCCACTGCTTTTATGAGCTGGAACACTCACTTCAAAAGTCTGCAGTTCTACTCTTGAAGCCAGCCAGACCACTAACCCACCAGAAGAAAGAAATTGTGAAACCGTCCAAACGTCAGAAGGAACAAACTCTGGACGCACTGTCTTTAAGAACTGTAACACTCACCACGAGGGTCCATGGCTTTGTTCTTGAAGTCAGTGAGACCAAGAACCCACCAATTACACCAAGATAGCCACCAAAACAAGACACACAGACCTTGCACCCAGGTCAGCCCCTGCATGCCTCCCATGTCAGGTTTCCCTGTACAAATCCTTGCCTTCTCCCCAGAAATTTGAAGTGGCGGGCTTTGGATGGGAATCCAGCCACTTCCCCTTTGCTGGTTTTGGTTAATAAAAGTCACTTGCTTACTAACAGACCCCACCCTTGTCAAGTGGGCTCTGCAAGCATAAGGGGTTAGACCTGCATTCCATTACAGAATTGTTTGCAGGGAGTGAGGGAAGGATAGAGCTCATGAGAGACAGGTCCCCTACAGAGCCTGGGGTGCTGTGTCCTTGATGAGGAACGGAAGTCTTGGGTTTGAGTCCCAGCCTTCCCCACCCACGATGATTGCAGCAAGTCACTCAGCCTCTGTGCCCACTGGGCTGGGGCTGTGGGCTCAGCTCGTACCAGGGGTCACCTTGGGCACCCTCAGGCCAACTGTGCCCAGGTTCGCCTTTCTGCATCAGCAGGCAGAGCCACTCATAGCCTCCCCCCAACCCTCATGCAGAGAAGGAAGGAGCCAGCTCTATTTTCCAACCAAATGCTGCACATGGACTTCTGGAGACATCCCCCATCTCAGTGCTTGGCCCCCATCTCAGAACTGTAAGAGAAGGCAAGATCCCAGGACCTGTCGGGCAGCAGATAAATGAGCAGGACTGCCAGGCCTCCCCGCCTCTACTCTGGCATTATGAGAAGGAAGCCATAGCTCCCTCCCCATCAGCCTTAAAGGGAAATAACTGCCGATCCTAAGCAGAAACCTCATGGGGTGGGTGGTGGAGGCTTTGGAGGTGTCCACAGTCCTCTCCTGACTTCAGTTCTCCCATCTGTGAAATGGGGGCAAGAATTCCGGCCACCCGAGGTTATCCTGAAATCACATTTACCTATGGTGAGGTTACCTATCCCACCAAGTGCCCCAGTAACTCGTGGCTGAGAGTGAACCAGCCCGGGGAGGGAAGAGTCTCAGGGCCTGGTGCAGGGCACCCCCTGGGGAAGCACGGTGCCCACCCCCCGTCCCACACCAACCTCGTTTCTGTCAGTGGCTGCCAGGGCTCTGCAGAGCCAGAACCCATTTCAGGCCAGAATGGTAACATTTCCCAAGAAGGAGAAAATTAGATTGTCTCTGGATCTGCCTCCTCCACCCCCTCCTTCCGAAAGCTCCCTGGTGGGCACTGTTGCTCTGCAGGGAGGCTGATCCAGACTCCACAGACAGTTCTCACTGAGCAGCAGCTTAGGCCTGCAGTACGTCCCTGCGTGATGACCGCGTGGAAAGCCTGTGGGCAACCAGCTGCTGGAGGCCCCCTGCCTTCCCTCCCGCCTCTGGAGGGGACCTAGAGGCCACACTCCTGGAGGAGATGGGATTCCTTGCCCCACAGATTGAGGACTGGGGACCATGCCCTCATCCTATCTCTGCCGCTAAGCTGCTGTGCAAACTTGAACACAGCTGTTCACCTCTCTGGGTGCCACATTGGGATGAGCCCTGGCTCCTGAGCGAGCAGCCCCACTGCTGCCTGGAAGTGAATGACCCACGAACCTGAAAGGCTCTGGGAGCTGGCCAAGTGCTGTCATCATAGCCCCTGCCCAGTGGGAGGGAATAGATGGTGACCCCCAAGGGACATGCAGTGGCCCAAGGACCTGGACGCACCTGATATGAAGGAGAGGAGGAGTCAATGCCACAGTGAGGACCTGGGAGGCAGGCAGACTGGGCCAACCTCGCCCAGCCTGAGAGTGGCCTCTGTGCAGGAAGCTTCCAGTTTTCTGGAGTACCCAGGCCAGGGGTTTAGGACAGAGTCCTCTCATCCCTGCAGGACTGGGTGCCGTGGGCCACATTGCCAGAATGCCACATTGCCAGACTGAATCAGAGGCTGCAGTGAGAGGCTCCCAGAGGTCCCTCCTGGGGAGTGGGGAATGGGCTCTCTGGAACGCCCACGGGCTCTCAGAAGAGGGCTCCAGGGGCTCAGAGTGCGGGGGAGTTGCGGGCATCCTCAGGGGTGCAGTGGGGAGAGGCCACAGGACCACAGCTGTGACTCAAATTGTATTGTTTGTTATTTTTTTTAGATATAACATACCTGCAATCAAGTATCTCCAGTGTCTGGCTGAACTAATTTTAGCCCAAGAATCCACTGTGTAACCATCACCCAGATCAAGACATAGTGTATTTCCAGCACCCAGAAGTTTCCATCGGGCCTCTCTCCCATCGCTGACCCAAGTCACTCTCCTGTCACTGCCAAGCTGACCACTATTCTAACTTCTATCACCACTGATTAATTTTACCTAATTTTGAACTGCATTTAAATGGTGCTTTTTTCCCCAGCAAAATGTTTTTGAGATTCTCTGTGCAGATGCACTTATCAGTAGGTTTTCTTTTCTGTTTTATTTGCTAAGTCATATTTCATTGCATGGTTGTACCCAATTGGTTTAGCCTGCTAATATGCACTAGATGGTTTTCCTATTGGGGGTATTATGAATAAAGCTGCTGTGAACTCTTGTTTCTGTCTTCGGTACACATAGCCATTATTCCCTGGGTATATACCTGGGAGTGCCGTCAATGAGGCATAAGGTGTATATGTGTTCAGCTTTGGGAGGAAACGCCAAACAGTTTTCCAAAATGGTTGTGCCACTTCTCATTTCCACTTGGAATGTCCCAGGTGCTTCGTGTCCCCACCAATACTTGGTATTGTTCGTCTTTTATTTTAGCTGTTCTGATAGGCAATATTTTACTGTGGCCTTATTTTGCCTTTCCCTGGTGATTAATGATGTGGAACTTTTTTTTAACTAGTGGTTGACCATTTCTTCATTTTCTTTTGTGAAGTGCCTGTTCAAGTCGTCTGCCCATTTTCTTATAGAGTCCCCTATCCTTTCTTTGATTTATAGGCATTCTTTATATATTGCAGATACCAACTTCTTTATCAAGTATATGTATTTTGAACATCTCCCAGTCTACGGCTTGCTATTTCTCTCTGTTTTCCTCCTTCCTTCCCTCTTTCTTCCTTCCTTCCTTCCCACCCTCCCCCCTCCCTCCCTCCCTCCCTGTCTCTCTCTCTCTCTCTCTTTCTTTCTTTAATTTCAATTTTCATTTTAGATGCAAGGGGTACCAGTACAGGCTTTTCACTTGGGTATATTATGCGATGCTGAGGTTTAGGGGATGGTTGATTGCATCACCCAGGTGGTGAACAAGATTCCCGATGAGTAGTTTTTCAGCCCTTGCCTCCCACCCTCTCCTGCCCCTAGTAGTTCCTAGTGTCTACTTTTGTCATCTTTATGTCCATGCTTTTCCCTCTGTTTATGGTGTCCTTTGAAGAACAGAAGCTGCTAGTTTTAAGGAAGTTAATGGATCTTTTCTTCTATGGCTGGTGCTGTCTGTTTCCTGTTTAAGGGAATCTTTATGTTTCCCAAGATGTGACCTGCAATGTATTCCATTCAGTCAGCACCGACTGGGCAAATCACCTACCAGGTGTTTCTGGGCTCGTCCCCAAACTTCCATGGGTGAAGAAGTGTGCTGCTCTGCTCACATTTTGCTCTGAGGACCCTGCTGAGTGCAGAGTGGGAAGGCGAGGCACAGGGTGAAGTCCCATTATGAACAAGCCTGCAGATGTGTGGGAGGTGAATCAAGGGGGTCTTGACAATGCCTGTCTACACGAATGGTTTTGGTTTTGTTCTTTGTTCTTTTTAGAGACAGGGTCTCATTCTGTTGCCAAGGCTGGCGTGCAGGGGTATAGTCATAGGTCCCTGCAGCCTCTAACTCCTGGGCTCAAGTGATCCTCCTGCCTCAGCCTCCTGAGTAGCTAGGACTACAGCCACCATGCCCAGCTAATTTTATTTTATTTTTCTATTTTTTGCAGAGACAGGGCCTCCTTATGTTTCCAAGACTAGCCTTGAACTCCTGGCCTCAAGGGATCCTCGTACCTCAGCCTCCAGAAGTACTGGGATTATGGACATGGGGTTCTAAAGGTTCTACAGCAAATGACTTGACTTCCCAGTGTTCTGGAGTGCTGTGTTGGTTCTCTCCCATCCCTACTTCTCTCCACTCTTTGGGAAGGAGGTGGAAGCTGAGAAGAGGCTCCTAGAGACAGCAAATGTCCAGGTTCTGTGCAGAGTTCCTGAGTCAGCAGATGTGGGTTAGAGGCTTCCAGCTCTGCCACTCGCCAACCTTCTTATGCCTCAGTCTCCTCACCTTTAACATGAGGATAGTAACAGGGTCTACCTTGCAGGGTCACTGGAGGAAGTAAACGGGACAATGCATGTGAGGTGCATACAGTCGGTGCTCAATAAATGGTGGGCAATTTTATTTACCAGACAACAAGTGGAATAAGGTCTCAGGTGCCCTTCAGTTTTAAATGGCCATCTGTTGTCTTGATAAGGGCTCGTTTTTTTTTTGTTTCTGGTTCTGTTTGTTTGTTGTTTTGTTTTGTTTGAGACAGGGTCTCACTCTGTCACCCAGGCTGGAGTGCAATGGCAGGATTTTGGCTCACTGCAACCTCTGCCTCCTGAGTTCAGGCAATTCTCCCACCCCAACCTCCCAAGTAGCTGGGAGTACAGGCATGGGCTACCACATCCGGCTAATTTTTGTATTTTTAGTGGAGACAGGGTTTCACCATGTTGGCCAGGCTGGTTTGTTGTGTTGTGTTTTGTTTTGTTTTGTTTTTGAGAGGGAATCTTGCTCTGTAGCCCAGGCTGGAGTACAGTGGTGTGATCTTGACTCACTGCAACCTCTACCTCCCAGATTCACGTGATTCTCCTGCCTCCGCCTCCCGACTAGGTGATTACAGGCATGTGCCACCATGCCTGGCTAATTTTTGTATTCTTAGTAGAGACAGGGTTTCACCAGTGTTGGCCAGGCTGGTCTCAAACTCCCAACGTCGGATGATCTGCCTGCCTCAGCCTCCCAAAGTGCTGGGATTAGAGGTGTGAGCCACTGCTCCTGGCCTGAGGGTTCAGCTTTTCCTTGCAGGAGGCCTCCAACCAAGCTCCTTGCATCCATCTTGCAGTTCTGTGTGAATGTCTAGGAGGCCTGAATGGTACAGAGCAACAAGCCCCAGCAACCTCACCTCTGGGCTCCTGCTCTAGCCTGCTCCCCATGGCTTATCATTAAAGTACCAAGAGCAGATGATGGCTCCACTCCTCCCACTCCAGAGCTCCCAGCTGTCAGGCCATCCTGCTCCCAGACAGCCGTTTCTGTCCTGTCCCTCCCCAGGCAGTGGCTCTGTCCTCCCATATACTTGTTCTGTTTCACGGGTGGCTCCTGCTGCCTGCTGGCAGCCATTTCAGCCAGCGAGTTTATCCAATATAATAAAACAGCTACCACCCCAAGGATGTGTCAGAAGAGCAAATGCATGTATGTCCTTTAGATTTCAGAGAGCTCCTTAATTAATTGGCCAACCCCAAGAGGCGGCTGCCCAGGGCCTGGGGCCATGTCAGAGAATCACAGCCCACCCTGTCCACAGCACAGAGACTGGGCTCTCCTGGCAGGGGCGCTTGCTTGTCACAGTAGCATTCAATCGATGTGCGTGGAATGAATGGATTAACTAACGACAAGAGCCCAGCTGTCCTGGATTCATGCATTCACGCATGTATTCATTCAGTTTCCACTCAACAAGCATTACGGAGCACTACTGTTTTCAATAAATGTTGTGACCAGAACTGAAGAATTCCTTTAGCAAAACACAGAATCCCTCCTGTAGTTGATAGTAGGGGTCAGTGGGGTGTGAAGTGGCAGTGTTTCACCTGCCCAAGGGATGCCTCTTCTCCTCTTCTCAACAGCCCCATGAACTAACAGTCCACAGCCATGATGAGAAGTTTCTCTGTTTTCTGGTCCCTACACAGCCTGTTCTGGCTTCACTGAACACATTTTCTGAATCTCTACTGTGGACACCTAAAAATAACAGCCTAGTGCATCCCTGAGTCTGAGGCTCCATCCCTGTTGATGGCGCCTCCTGCTTCAGGCTTGAAAGAATGGACCTGTCTCTGGAGCAGGTAGCCTTGGGAAGGAGGAACCAAGCCTCCAGGCTTGGCCCAGGAGGGAAGACGAGCAAAGCTCCCTGCCCCAGTCCCTCACTGTGCACAAGGACCCAGAGACAGGCTTTCTGAGAAGCATTTTTCCCACGGCTCCTGGGATCTCACTCACATGCGCTCGCGCTCGCTCTCTCTCTCTCTCTCTCTCTCTCTCTCTCTCTCTCTCTCCCTCTCTCTCTCTCTCTCTCTCTCTCTCTCTCTCTCTCCCCCTCTCCCCTTCTAACCCTCTGGCTGCCTTTCCCAGCCTCAGCTGAAGCAGTGACTGAGTGTTAGACTTGGAACAATAGCAGATGCTCCCCAGCTGGCATGCTCTGTTCTCTTGGGTTCCATCGTCCCCTGGCTGGCATTTCAGAATCTCCCAATGTTAGATGACCGAAGATGGGATATGGCCAGATCCTGTCCTGGGATTCAAATGGTTCTGTCAGGGACAATGCTGGTGTTGACCACCTCCTGGAATACTGCAGGATTCTTTCAGAGCAACAGCCAAATGAAGACAGCCGTGGGATCAAGCCTTCTGTACTAATTGTGATGTCACTGGGAAGTGGGCTTCCCCTGTGGACACTGGATTGCTATTGGACCTGAGTTTTCAAGGTTCTGGCCAACCTGGGCAGCTAAGGAAGCTCCCTGACACAGCAAACCATGGCTGCAGTACACAAGTGTGCTACAGCCCAATCCTGGACATATGGTCGTTACCAAAACCCCAGTCATCTTCTTGAAGGAGCCTTAGTATAGGAAACCAGAGGTGACCTAGAATCTTCTATTTGATCAAGGGATGGCTCATTATCTGACTTAGCACCAGGGATTCATGCTAAGATGTATTGTCTCTTGATATCAGAGTCAAGACCCAGGTAAGCTGGCCCGTGAGGCGTGGTTCCCATCGCCAGGAGACAACAGCCGCGCTGACCAGCTGCTGGCAATTTCTTCGGTCACCCTGCCTCTCAACTTCCAAAGCCCCATGGTTTTCGGGTTTACCCACATATGACCCTTATGTAAATTTGCTTGTCCCAAGAACCCTTAACTCATATCGTGTCTGTTTCCTGTGTGGTTGGTTATTGATATAGTTTGGATAAAATGCCTTGGTCTTTAGTATAGTTTGGATATTGTCCTCTCCAAATCTCATGTTAAAATAAATGTGACCTCCAATGTTGGAGGTGAGGCCTGGTAGGAGGCATTTGGATTATTGGGGCAGATCCCTCATGAATGGCTTGGTGCCCTCCTCGTGGTCATGAGTGACTTCTCGCTCTATTAGTTCAGGAGTTTAAAGGAGACTGGCACCTCCTTCTCCCTCTCTCGTCACATGATGTGCCTGCTCCCCCTCCACTTTCCACCAAGATTAGAAACTTCCTGAGGCCTCTCCAGAAGAAGATGCTGGTGCCTGCAGAACCATACGCCAAATAATCCTCTTTTTAAAAATAAATTGCCCAGCCTCAGGGATTCCTTTATAGCAATGCCAAATGGACTAATACAGTCACTACTATGTGCGTTCATAGGCAGAAGGCATTGCAGGGCAATGAACAGAGCCATTGGTTAAAGATTTGCCAACACTTCCCAGCACATGCTTCCTTTAAACATCTCGTGTTGCCAACTAATGAGAAGAAATGGTATCCACAAATAATACCAGCAGTCCGCACACCTGAGGAGTAAGTACTTATTCAGAAAGCTTTGCTCCAATGACAGTGGGAGGAAAATTGGCCAAAGCAACAGGGACTCCCCCAGGTACAGTGTGAAGAGCAAGTTTCTCCCCAGATATCCTCAGCAAGAAGATGGCAGGATCCACAGAGAGACAATGTCCCCTTTTGGGCAAACAAGAGGGAAGGTGTGATCATCACGCTGTGATCTGAAAACCCCACGGTAAGCACAGTGGAAGTAATGACACCAACCACTGGCCTTTACTGTGCACTTTGTCTGTGTCGGGCATGAGACTGAGAATTTTGCCTTTATTATTCTAGTTAATCCTTCCATTTACACTGTGAGACTGTTGCTACCACTTCCTCTATTTTACAGTGGAGGAAATTGAGTCTCAGAAAGGTTAAGGAATTTGCTCAAAGTTGCAGAACTAGTAAGTAGCAGAAGGCAGTTTACACCCAGGTCTGTCTACTTTTACAATTTATTTGGCCCAGTGTCCTGCCTGTGCCACCCTCTGCCATGTGCCCCCTTGTCCAGAGGCCCTGGAGCTCAGGTCAGGGGCTCATTCAAGCCTGCCGCGTGGGGCTGGGCCAGAACATCCCTCAGCAAAGCCATCTTTACACAAGCTCAAAGAGGCCCCGACCCAGATCTTGAGCGGATCTGGGATCTCCGTGTCCCCATGGCTTTCCTGACATCTTGAGGTTTCAGTATCTGGACATGAGCAAAAGTGTCATCTCTCTACCTGCCTAAAGGGAAAGTCTCCATTCAACTGAAGAATCTTCTCTTCTCTCTTCACTTGATTATAAAGAACACACTTCTGTTAACTTCAATATTTGCCTTAGCCCCACACTCTATTTAAAAGCCAAACATGGTGCCGGGTGCAGTGGCTCATGCCTATAATCCCAGCACTTCAGGAGGCCAAGGCAGGAGGATCACTTGAGACCAGGAGCCCAAGACCAGCCTGAGCAACACGGCGAGACCCCATCTCTACAAAAAATTATTTAAAATTGACCAGGCTCGGTGGCACATGCCTGTAGTTCCAGCTACTGGGGAGGCTGAGGTGTGAGGGCTCACTTGAGCCCGGGAATTGGAGGCTGCATTGAGCTATGATTGCCCCACTGCACTCTAGCCTGGGCAACAGAGCAAGACTCTATCTCTAAAAACCAAAGACGAAATTGTGTTTCCAGTTCTCCTCCAAGGCCATCCAGGCCACACACTGGACCCCAACAGCCTTCCTCCCAATCTCTCTCTCAACACAGGACTGCAGGTTTTGGATTTCTAGTTGTGGCACAAGCATTACTCTGGCCAACCCTAAAATAAGGCCCAGCACTGCCTTCCCTCCATGAACACAGGCTGGGTCCCCCAGTTGAGAGTCTACCATAATCAATCTGTCTACATGGGACCGTCAGGAGAGCCGCCAAGAGATCAGAGGTGTGGAGGCAAGGACTTAGCCTGCAGGGCCCAGCTCTATGACTTTGAGGAAAGCTCCCATTACTGCAGACCTGGGTTTATTCTGTAAAATGGGGGTGCTTCCAGCCTGCCCCAGCGCCCCCAGGCAGTGAGTCAGGGTGCTTGGCAAGTGTTTCACTTTGCAGAAAATGGTCTCCTCTCCTGTGGGTGAGAAGTCCCACCACTGTGCCAGGCATTCCATCAGCAGCAGTTCCAGGAAAACCTTCATGAGTCTCGTTGGAAAAATTATGTATATTAGTTACATAGGCCCCCCCTAATTCAGGTCTGAGAGCGCTCTGTGGGACTTCAGTCAATATTGGCTGAAAATCAAATACAGACCTTGTTATGATTCCATGCAAACACTGCACTGAATTCCACCAAAGCATGCTCCAGGCTTGAGAGAGAACATTACATTAACTTGCACAACTGTCCATGGGGCAAAACACATGTCCTGACCCCTCTGCCAATTACAAGGATGCGGGCTCCACCCAGGCATTCTCATAAATTCAAGGACTCCACTATCGAGGCAGCAAATCAGCACCAACACACTTGAAAACAAGCGGGCATAGATAGAGACTGAGAACTGATGTAACTGACTTGATTGAGAATGGACGCCCAATATTCAAGTGAATGAGTAAGTGAATGAGTGAGTGAGTGAGTATGTGAGTGAATGGAGAGACAGCTAAGTGGAATAAAGAACATCAGATATGGAGTCACAAAATCTGAGGTCTAATCTTGCTCTTTCATTCACTGTAATTTTCTAGCTTACCTTCTAAGCCTCTGTTTTTTCATCTATAAAATAAAGTGAAGATTATATATAGTAAAGATTAAGTGAAATGATCCTTGTAAAGTGCTTAGCACAGTGACTGGCATATAGGCTCTCAAAAAATTATAATAAACAACCACTCAATAATAATGACAAAGCCACATACCAAAATGCACAATTGAGATTTAGGTACCTTAGAAGCATTGGCTACTTTTAAATGTAGATATAGAAAAAGACTGACCCACTCAGGATTGGGTTATATGTTTCTGTTTGGAGGCATCCCTGCTTCAAACTCATGCCAGTATGAAAAGCAAAATGTAATTCAAGAAGTTGTAAAATACATAGCCATCTTCAAAAACAAACACTGCAAGAATAAGATATGATTTGAAAACAAAAAGTGGCAGAACTCCAGTGGCTGAATCCCTGAAGTTCCTATTGTGAGGAGTGGTGGGACTACGAGTAACCTCTGGGAGGCAAGGGCATAACTGAAAGCCACTGTGTGAGCCCACCGGCTGAAGCTGTCCCCTGAACATGGGAAAGGTAGCTGGGAAAAAGTATGACGGACTGTGAGCGGGTGAAAGGGGATGCACTAGATGATTGCCACATCTAGGATCTGAGCGATATCAAAGAAGTAGAAAGTCTGATATCTGTGGAATTCGTTGGGTGCTGCTAAATGTTATTGATACATTGAAGATTAAAATTACAGACTCAAGTCAGTCAATTACCAATTTAAGGCATGGATGATAGGCAAAAGGCCTCCATGACAATGCTTAAATAAATCATCCTTCCCATGGTCAGATAGCAGACCATCCAGAAGATGGAACCTAGAATCTGAGTGAAAGAGAGCAACGCTTCAGAGAGAAGTGGGGTCCCATATGCCAAAATTAAGGTCTTGACAGGACAGAATTGGGACCCTGAAATGGGGTAGAGACATCTGGGTGGAGAGTTGAAAACACTAAACCTCCAGATTCCCTGGAACTCTCTCTACCTGCAGAAGTGGTGGGCTATTCCTTTGCGGGAGACAGCAAATGCCCTTGCTTGAAATCTACTCAGAGGCCTCAGTGGTGACAATCTCTTGTAAGACTGTCTTTCCTCCTCAAGATCTTCCTTCACCATACTCTACCCTCACCCCCACTGGCCACAAGAACAATAACCAGGGTGGAGTCTCAGTAAGGTCTAACTAGGAAATACTGGCCCTCCTAAAGTAAAAGAAGGGCGATTGAACAAAAATGTCTGGCCAGTAATCAACACATCAAAAAATAGATGTTGGCATGGACGTGGTGAACAGGGAACACTTCTACACTACTATAAACTAGTACAACCACTATGGTGGGAATGTAAACTAGTACAACCACTATGGAAAACAGTATGGAGATTCCTTAAAGGACTAAAGTAGAACCACCATTTTATCCAGCAATTCCACTACTGGGAATATACCCAGAGGAAAAGAAGTCATTATGTGAAAAAGATAACTTGCACATGCATGTTTATAGCAGCACAATTTGCAATTGCAAAATTGTGGGACCAGCCCAAATGCCCATCATGGATAAAGAAACTGTGGTATAGCTATACAATGGAATACTACTCAGCCATAAGAAGGAATGAATTAATGGCATTCGCAGCAACCTGAATGAGATTGGAGACTATTATTCTAAGTGAAGTACCTCAGGAATGGAAAACCAAACATCGTATGTTCTCACTCATAAGTGGAAGCTAAACTATGAGGATGCCAAGGCATTAAGAATGACACAATGGACTTTGGGGACTCAAGGGGAAAGGGTGGGAAGAGGTGAGAGATAAAAGACTACAAATTGGGTGCAGTGTATACTGCTCGGGTGATGAGTGCACCAAAATCTCACAAATCACCACTAAACAGCTTAACTAACGTAATCAAACACCACCTGTTTCCCAATAACCTATGGACATTAAAAATTTTAAAATTTAAAAAATTTTTAAAAATACCTGGCTGATATGAACCCATAGGAATCAAGAGAGCTTGCCTGGAAGTGGGTCTTAAGGCCACTGAACCAAGAGTGGGTATGAAAAAGGGCACAGAATTTGAGGCTGGATGAGAAATTCAACACTTGGTCAAGGTCCTGGGAGTCAGTCCTAGCAATTTCTGAATGGTTCTTAGTCTCTTGAAGAAAAATACCTTACCATAAATAAAATGTGGAGGGGATGTGAAGAAAGCCTTGCTGGAGTGTCAGGTAAGGGGTTCAGTTCTTGTGATCCCAGAGAAGTGGCCATGTTACCATGGATCTGTTACATAAGATCTGAGTTCTCATCATATGTTTCCTGAGAGAATTCAGAGGAAACTTCCCTCACTGAGGAGGTGGGAAGGAACTGGGGAAGGAAGAAAGATGGAAAGAGGGGAGACTGAGGAGGCATCTTAAGCTCAGTAGTATCTATCTGCTCTAAGCTATGCTGATAATAGGAAGTCTTGTCATGGAGTGGAGCTTTCTAGAATCACCAAGGACAAAAGGGTTCTGGAACTGTGGAGGCCATATAGCAGCACTTAATCATTAGAGGCAAGGTAGACACTGAGGTCAGGATGGCAACCAGGGGAATGTTACCTACAGGGATGTGTGATGACCATGGTGTACTTAGTGACTCCATGTGGCTGACAAAGGTATTGATCAAGAATGGATAAAAATGAGCAAAGAAAGGAGATTAAACGTACCAGTGGGCAGTAAGTTACATGTCAGTCAGTTCTCAGACACAGGACCCATCAATTGAAGGAGAGGCTCTCTTGAGAAAAGACACTGCGATGCCACAGGAGGTATAAACAACAGCAGTTACCCCTGTTACAAGTAATTGTGCCTTGGAAAAGGGAAGAAGTTTATATCTTCAGTGTGCTGTTGGATACAGCATCAGAGCTAACATTCATACCTGAAGGCTCAAAACACAAATGCCCTCCACCCCGCATTAAGGTGAAGGTATGTGAGTGCAAGCAGTGAATGCAGTCCAGTCTTTCTCTCAGTGGGTCCCGCAGGTCCACAGACCCACCAAGTGGGCATTTCCTCCATTCCGGAACACATCACCAGGATGGACATACCTAGCAGCTAACATAGTAGGAAAGGCCGAACGCCAGCTCCTGAAATTGCCCCCTGACCCAAGCAATCAAAACTAATACCACGGGCCAGGCGCGGGGGCTCACGCCTGTAATCCCAACACTTTGGGAGGCCGAGGCGGGCGAATGACCTGAGGTCAGGAGTTCGAGACCAGCATGGCCAACATGGCGAAACCCCGTCTCTACTAAAAGTACCAAAATTAGCAGGGTGTGGTGGCAGGAGCCTATAATCCCAGCTACTCAGGAGGCTGAGGCAGGAGAATCGCTTGAACTTGGGAGGCGGAAGTTGCAGTGAGCTGAGATCATACCATTGCACTCCAGCCTGGGTGACAAGAGCAAGACTTCATCCAAAAAAACAAAAAAAACTAATACCACATCTGGGAGTAGAGGTAGAAATGAGTGTTATTCTCAAAGACTTAAAGGACAGATTGGCATGGAATTCCCTTATGTCCTCCCACTTAATTCATAAGTCTGGAACTTGCAAAATCCACATGAATCATGGTGGATGAGGATGGACCACTCAGACTTAACCAAGTGTAACCCCAGTCACAGCTACTTTGCCAGATATGGTGTGTTTACCTAGAACAGATCAACACAGCTTCTGCTATGTAGTAATGCAGCTATTGATCTACTGGACTTGTTTGAATCTTCATCAAGGAGCATAAGAGGCAGTTTCACTCACACAGGATGGGTGAGAATATACATCCATAGTCTTCTCCTGTGGCTATGCCAGCTCTCCTTCTATCTGTCACAGTACAGCCTAAGGTGACCTTGAACATCTGGACATTTCACAGAAAATCACATTTCTCCACAATAGTCTTGCAGAGGTTGGAAGACAAACTCTGCAGGGTCCAGATTAAGAGAAGGCTCTGCAGCAGGTCCAGAATATAGTGCAAGCAGAGCTGACACTTGGGTCATACGATTCAGCAGATCCTATGGTACTAGAAATATCTGTGGTAGATAAAGGTGCAGGGTCAGGTCTCTGGAAAGCCCCAACAGGAGAGTTATAGTACAGATTCCTGTGGCTTTGGAGAAAGCCATGTTGTCTGCTGCAGTCAAATATACCTTATGCAAAAATCTGCTCCCAAAATATAAAAGCCACATAAAACCTGAGCCCCTGACCATGGAACATCAAGTGACTGCAACCAGAGCTCTTGTACCAAGCTGGGTGCTCTTTGAACCAACAAGTCATGTATTGGGTGGATTAAGCAGTAATTCATGTGTGGGAGTTATACATCCAGGAGCAAGCACAAGCAGGTTCAAAAACACAAGCAAGCAATACAAACTGCTGGCCCAGACCCTCATGTCACCCACCTATGTCATGCCAATGCATCTCCCTCAGCTCACCGTATGGCCTCTTTGGGGTGGGAGGGGGTGATCTCTACAACCAGCTGACAACGGAGGCAAAAACCAGGATGAGTCTGCCCTGCATGGCAATGCAAGATGAAAGTGAACTTCTACTGCACTGCAGCTGCACTCAGGGGTGGCCCTGAGAGTCCAGGCAGTCATCCACTCTCCATCTCTCAATTGCATGGAGAGAGAAATGGCCCGAAATACATATATTCCCAAGCAGTGTGAATTATCTGTTTTCTGACTGACTAGACAGACTCTCAAAAGAGCAAGATTGAAAGATTGAGAACAGGCTGGGCACGGTGGCTCACGCCTGTAATCCCAGCACTTTGGGAGACCAAAGCAGGTGGATCATGAGGTCAAGAGATCGAGACCATCCTGGCCAACATGGTGAAACCCCATCTCTACTAAAAATACAAAAAATTAGCCAGGCGTGGTAGCAGGTGCCTATAGTCCCAGCTACTCGGGAGGCTGAGGCAGGAGAATGGCGTGAACCCGGGAGGTGGAGCTTGCAGTGAGCCAAGGTCGCGCCACTGCACTCCAGCCTGGGCAACAGAGCGAGACTCCATCTCAAAAAAAAAAAAAGAAAGAAAGAAAAGAAAAGAAAGAAAGATTGAGAACAAGGAGATTTTGGCAAGCGTCATGTGGCTAGAACTATGCAAGTCAAGTGTGTGGATTTTGGGATCACACATCAATGCCCACCACAAGCAGCCACTTCAAGGGAGGCATTAGACAACCAGGTACATGGGAGCTCTTACTCAGAGGTGTCCAGCAGCACCATCAGCCACCCCGAATCTGCCCAGTAAATAAATGCTCAGCCAGTCAGCAGAAACCTTCGATACAGTGTCACCCTCCAGGAAACTACCAAGACAAGTTAATGTTGTGTCAAGTTAATTATATACAACTTCTTCTACCCTGGAAAAAGTGATTCATCCTGAAAGGAACTAAAACATAGTTCCAGAATCGCTTTGCCTTTTTTGCTCATAATGTCTCAGCCAGGACCACTATCCAAGGGGCAAGTACATGATTGGTCATTGGATTGCACATGGTATCAACTTGCACCAAAAGACCCACTTTATGACAAAGGAAAACACATCCTATCACCTAGAAGCTGCCAGCCTGAGGTGTTCACTTGGAGATAACCCCAAAAAATCTAGGATACAGTCCCTGAGATGCAGAATATATCTTGACTCAAAGGCCATCATGTGTCTTCAATAGAGAAGAGGTGTGGATTCAGGAACCAAGGGGTGACAGTGGGCATACCCTGCTGTACCTCACTCCCAGTGACCTTCCATTTACCCCCTCCCAACTTTAGAGGTCTTGTTTCCCTGAAGATGAAGTTTCCACCCGGAGACATTGTAAAAGTCCCACTAAATGTGAAAGTACAGCTGTCACCCGGTCATTTGGGGCTCCCATACCAGTAGGTCAGCAGGAAAAGAAAGGATTTCCCATACTGGCAGGATTGTCAGGAGGAGATAGGGTTCATGATACAGAGTGGGAACAGGAAAAAGTAAATTTGGGACATAGGAATCCACTGAGACATCTGTTGGTGCCCACATACAGTGATTATGGATGGCAATTATACCAATATAGCCTGAAAGAATACGTTCAGACACCACAGGAGATAAAGGTCAAGTCTAGGCAAGCCACTGAGACCAGGAGAAGAGAATCTACAGTGGGTGGCTGAGGAGGGAGCTGCTGAGTATCCAGTACAGCCTCAAAACCAACTGTTGTAGTGAAGATCATAGTTTGTCTGACTTGTCCTCTTCTTTTAAGTATTTTTTTCCCAGAAATTTGAAGCCATCACTCCCTTACCAAATTCATAACAGAATGGAGTGATGTAGAAGGATTTGAAAGGTTGGATCATGCAGTCCTTTACCCAAACTCCTTTTTACCATGTTTGGGCACCCATCCTCTATCTCCTAGACCTGAATCTGCACAATGCTGAAGCATACTTCCACTGCAGAACTCCCTGTGGAATCAGGCTGAGGCCACCCTCTGTGGGACTCTGCCTGAGATCACATCTTGCTGGCTTCCTCCCTTCCCTGCCCCACCTCCCTAGCACGCTCCCTAGGAGCATTACCATAATAAACTACTTGCACATTATCTTAATCCATTTCATGCTGCTATAACAGAATACCATAAACTGGGTAGCTTATAAACAACTGAAACTTATTTCTCATGATTTTAGTGACTGTGAAGTCCAATGGCACAGCACTGACATCTGGTGAGGGCCTTTGTGTTGGGCCATAACATGGTACAGGGCATCATATTGGTGAGAGAGAGTGCAAGAAGGAGCTGAATTTGTTTTTATAAAAATTCTTTCTCAGTAAGGTACTCACTCCTCTGATAACAACGTTAGTCTATTCATGAAGGCAGAGCCCTCATGACCTAATCATTTCATACCATCCCACCTCTCCATACTGTTACACTGGGGATTAAGTTTTTAACATATGAACTCTAGGAGACACATTCAAACCGTAACACACAAACCTCATTTCAGATGCTTTTTCTGTAGACCTGAGCTAAGAAGGCATTTTATATGCTTTGGCTCTGTGTCCCCACTCAAATCTCATGTCAAATTGTAATCCCCAGTGTTGGAGGAGGGACCTGGAGGGAGGTGACTGGATCATGGAAGCAGATTTCCCCCTTGCTTTTCTCATGATAGTGAGTGAGTTCTCAGAAGAGCTGGTTGTTTGAAACTGTGTAGCACTTCCCCCTTTATTTTCTCTCTGTCTCCTGCCAGCCATGTGAATAAGTGCCTGCTTCCCCTTTGCCTTTCTCCATGATTGGAAGTTTCCTGAGGCCTCCTCAGAAGCAGAAGCCTGTACAGCCTGCAGAACTTTGTGCCAATTAAACCTTTTTTCTTTATAAATTACCCAGTCTCGCATATGTCTTTATAACAGCATGAGAACAAACTAATACTACATCATTACTTTTTGTTTGTTTGTTTTCTCACCCTAACGGAGTGGAAAATGTTTTCGAGGAGATGTAGGGGACTGGGAGAGTGAACAACAGGGCTGAGCCTCCCATGTATCAGAATGAAGGCCCAAGGACACCTACTGAATGGGGAAATGTTCCAAAGCCTAGGGCATCCTCCACATAAATGGTATCGTCTGACAAAGCCTGCATACCACCCAGAGGCACTCTTACTCTGCCTTTTCCACCATCTCAAACAGTGAATAGAAAGAAACTATGCAGCCATTACACTGTAGCTAAGAGGGAGGACCAGGAGGTCTCAGGTACAATATTCGAAGCAAAGAGGATGCCTAGACAGAGTTGGCACTCATGAACTAGATGAAATGTCTCAGCGTGGAAGCCATGTGAGCACAAAAGACAAAGAAGAGAGATAGGAACGCAGCAGTCAAGGAGTCCAACCTATACAAAAACATTACTCAGGGAACAGAAGAAAATTACCCACAACTGATTAAAATTAGGGAAAAATTTAATAGAAACATGAATTCAACAAAATTAAAATTCAAAGATGAGATGATAAAGCTACAGAACAATATGGAAAAAGAGATTAGAAACTTGGGAAACAAAATTAAATCCCAAATAGCATTACTACAGAGAAACAGAATAGGCATGACTGATAATCTAATTACTGACATAGAGAAAATGATATAATATGTAACTGACATAATAAAAATGAGTGCATATAAAAAAGAAATTAGGGGAGGAGCCAAGATGGCCGAATAGGAACAGCTCCGGTCTACAGCTCCCAGCGTGAGCGACGCAGAAGACGGGTGATTTCTGCATTTCCATCTGAGGTACCTGGTTCATCTCACTAGGGAGTGCCAGACAGTGGGCGCAGGCCAGTGTGTGCGCGCACCGTGCGCGAGCCGAAGCAGGGCGAGGCATTGCCTCACCTGGGAAGCGCAAGGGGTCAGGGAGTTCCCTTTCCGAGTCAAAGAAAGGGGTGATGGACGCACCTGGAAAATCGGGTCACTCCCACCCGAATATTGCGCTTTTCAGACCGGCTTAAAAAATGGCGCACCACGAGACTATATCCCACACCTGGCTCAGAGGGTCCTACACCCACGGAATCTCGCTGATTGCTAGCACAGCAGTCTGAGATCAAACTGCAAGGCGGCAACGAGGCTGGGGGAGGGGCGCCCGCCATTGCCCAGGCTTGCTTAGGTAAACAAAGCAGCCAGGAAGCTCCAACTGGGTGGAGCCCACCACAGCTCAAGGAGGCCTGCCTGCCTCTGTAGGCTCCACCTCTGGGGGCAGGGCACAGTCAAACAAAAAGACAGCAGTAACCTCTGCAGACTTAAGTGTCCCTGTCTGACAGCTTTGAAGAGAGCAGTGGTTCTCCCAGCACGCAGCTGGAGATCTGAGAACGGGCAGACTGCCTCCTCAAGTGGGTCCCTGACCCCTGACCCCCGAGCAGCCTAACTGGGAGGCACCCCCCAGCAGGGGCACACTGACACCTCACACGGCAGGGTATTCCAACAGACCTGCAGCTGAGGGTCCTGTCTGTTAGAAGGAAAACTAACAACCAGAAAGGACATCTACACCGAAAACCTATCTGTACATCACCATCATCAAAGACCAAAAGTAGATAAAACCACAAAGATGGGGAAAAAACAGAACAGAAAAACTGGAAACTCTAAAACGCAGAGCGCCTCTCCTCCTCCAAAGGAACGCAGTTCCTCACCAGCAATGGAACAAAGCTGGATGGAGAATGATTTTGACGAGCTGAGAGAAGAAGGCTTCAGATGATCAAATTACTCTGAGCTACGGGAGGACATTCAAACCAAAGGCAAAGAAGTTGAAAACTTTGAAAAAAATTTAGAAGAATGTATAACTAGAATAACCAATACAGAGAAGTGCTTAAAGGAGCTGATGGAGCTGAAAACCAAGGCTCGAGAACTACGTGAAGAATGCAGAAGCCTTAGGAGCCGATGCGATCAACTGGAAGAAAGGGTATCAGCAATGGAAGATGAAATGAATGAAATGAAGCGAGAAGGGAAGTTTAGAGAAAAAAGAATAAAAAGAAATGAGCAAAGCCTCCAAGAAATATGGGACTATGTGAAAAGACCAAATCTACGTCTGATTGGTGTACCTGAAAGTGATGTGGAGAATGGAACCAAGTTGGAAAACACTCTGCAGGATATTATCCAGGAGAACTTCCCCAATCTAGCAAGGCAGGCCAACATTCAGATTCAGGAAATACAGAGAACGCCACAAAGATACTCCTTGAGAAGAGCAACTCCAAGACACATAATTGTCAGATTCACCAAAGTTGAAATGAAGGAAAAAATGTTAAGGGCAGCCAGAGAGAAAGGTCGGGTTACCCTCAAAGGAAAGCCCATCAGACTAACAGCGGATCTCTCAGCAGAAACCCTACAAGCCAGAAGAGAGTGGGGGCCAATATTCAACATTCTTAAAGAAAAGAATTTTCAACCCAGAATTTCATATCCAGCCAAACTAAGCTTCATAAGTGAAGGAGAAATAAAATACTTTATAGACAAGCAAATGCTGAGAGATTTTGTCACCACCAGGCCTGCCCTAAAAGAGCTCCTGAAGGAAGCGCTAAACATGGAAAGGAACAACCAGTACCAGCCACTGCAAAATCATGCCAAAATGTAAAGACCATCGAGACTAGGAAGAAACTGCATCAACTAATGAGCAAAATCACCAGCTAACATCATAATGACAGGATCAAATTCACACATAACAATATTAACTTTAAATATAAATGGACTAAATTCTGCAATTAAAAGACACAGACTGGCAAGTTGGATAAAGAGTCAAGACCCATCAGTGTGCTGTATTCAGGAAACCCATCTCACGTGCAGAGACACACATAGGCTCAAAATAAAAGGATGGAGGAAGATCTACCAAGCCAATGGAAAACAAAAAAAGGCAGGGGTTGCAATCCTAGTCTCTGATAAAACAGACTTTAAACCAACAAAGATCAAAAGAGACAAAGAAGGCCATTACATAATGGTAAAGGGATCAATTCAACAAGAGGAGCTAACTATCCTAAATATTTATGCACCCAATACAGGAGCACCCAGATTCATAAAGCAAGTCCTGAGTGACCTACAAAGAGACTTAGACTCCCACACATTAATAATGGGAGACTTTAACACCCCACTGTCAACATTAGACAGATCAACGAGACAGAAAGTCAACAAGGATACCCAGGAATTGAACTCAGCTCTGCACCAAGCGGACCTAATAGACATCTACAGAACTCTCCACCCCAAATCAACAGAATATACATTTTTTTCAGCACCACACCACACCTATTCCAAAACTGACCACATAGTTGGAAGTAAAGCTCTCCTCAGCAAATGTAAAAGAACAGAAATTATAACAAACTATCTCTCAGACCACAGTGCAATCAAACTAGAACTCAGGATTAAGAATCTCACTAAAAGCCGCTCAACTACATGGAAACTGAACAACCTGCTCCTGAATGACTACTGGGTACATAACGAAATGAAGGCAGAAATAAAGATGTTCTTTGAAACCAACGAGAACAAAGACACCACATACCAGAATCTCTGGGACGCATTCAAAGCAGTGTGTAGAGGGAAATTTATAGCACTAAATGCCTACAAGAGAAAGCAGGAAAGATCCAAAATTGACACCCTAACATCACAATTAAAAGAACTAGAAAAGCAAGAGCAAACACATTCAAAAGCTAGCAGAAGGCAAGAAATAACTAAAATCAGAGCAGAACTGAAGGAAATAGAGACACAAAAAACCCTTCAAAAAATCAATGAATCCAGGAGCTGGTTTTTTGAAAGGATCAACAAAATTGATAGACCGCTAGCAAGACTAATGAAGAAAAAAAGAGAGAAGAATCAAATAGACACAATAAAAAATGATAAAGGGGATATCACCACCAATCCCACAGAAATACAAACTACCATCAGAGAATACTACAAACACCTCTATGCAAATAAACTAGCAAATCTAGAAGAAATGGATACATTCCTCGACACATACACTCTCCCAAGACTAAACCAGGAAGAAGTTGAATCTCTGAATAGACCAATAACAGGATCTGAAATTGTGGCAATAATCAATAGTTTACCAACCAAAAAGAGTCCAGGACCAGATGGATTCACAGCCGAATTCTACCAGAGGTACAAGGAGGAACTGGTACCATTCCTTCTGAAATTCTATTGGAAAATCAATAGAAAAAGAGGGAATCCTCCCTAACTCATTTTATGAGGCCAGCATCATTCTGATACCAAAGCCGGGCAGAGACACAACCAAAAAAGAGAATTTTAGACCAATATCCTTGATGAACATTGATGCAAAAATCCTCAATAAAATACTGGCAAACCGAATCCAGCAGCACATCAAAAAGCTTATCCGCCATGATCAAGTGGGCTTCATCCCTGGGATGCAAGGCTGGTTCAATATACGCAAATCAATAAATGTAATCCAGCATATAAACAGAGCCAAAGACAAAAACCACATGATTATCTCAATAGATGCAGAAAAAGCCTTTGACAAAATTCAACAACCCTTCATGCTAAAAACTCTCAATAAATTAGGTATTGATGGGACGTATTTCAAAATAATAAGAGCTATCTATGACAAACCCACAGCCAATATCATACTGAATGGGCAAAAACTGGAAGCATTCCCTTTGAAAACTGGCACAAGACAGGGATGTCCTCTCTCACCGCTCCTATTCAACATAGTGTTGGAAGTTCTGGCCAGGGCAATCAGGCAGGAGAAGGAAATAAAGGGTATTCAATTAGGAAAAGAGGAAGTCAAATTGTCCCTGTTTGCAGACGACATGATTGTTTATCTAGAAAACCCCATTGTCTCAGCCCAAAATCTCCTTAAGCTGATAAGCAACTTCAGCAAAGTCTCAGGATACAAAATCAATGTACAAAAATCACAAGCATTCTTATACACCAACAACAGACAAACAGAGAGCCAAATCATAAGTGAACTCCCATTCACAATTGCTTCAAAGAGAATAAAATACCTAGGAATCCAACTTACAAGGGATGTGAAGGACCTCTTCAAGGAGAACTACAAACCACTGCTCAAGGAAATAAAAGAGGACACAAACAAATGGAAGAACATTCCATGCTCATGGGTAGGAAGAATCAATATCGTGAAAATGGCCATACTGCCCAAGGTAATTTACAGATTCAATGCCATCCCCATCAAGCTACCAATGACTTTCTTCACAGAATTGGAAAAAACTACTTTAAAGTTCATATGGAACCAAAAAAGAGCCCGCATCGCCAAGTCAATCCTAAGCCAAAAGAACAAAGCTGGAGGCATCACACTACCTGACTTCAAACTATACTACAAGGCTACAGTAACCAAAACAGCATGGTACTGGTACCAAAACAGAGATATAGATCAATGGAACAGAACAGAGCCCTCAGAAATAATGCCGCATATCTACAACTATCTGATCTTTGACAAACCTGAGAAAAACAAGCAATGGGGAAAGGATTCCCTATTTAATAAATGGTGCTGGGAAAACTGGCTAGCCATATGTAGAAAGCTGAAACTGGATCCCTTCCTTACACCTTATACAAAAATCAATTCAAGATGGATTAAAGATTTAAACGTTAGACCTAAAACCATAAAAACCCTAGAAGAAAACCTAGGCATTACCATTCAGGACATAGGCGTGGGCAAGGACTTCATGTCCAAAACACCAAAAGCAATGGCAACAAAAGCCAAAATTGACAAATGGGATCTAATTAAACTAAAGAGCTTCTGCACAGCAAAAGAAACTACCATCAGAGTGAACAGGCAACCTACAACATGGGAGAAAATTTTCGCAACCTACTCATCTGACAAAGGGCTAATATCCAGAATCTACAATGAACTCAAACAAATTTACAAGAAAAAAACAAACAACCCCATCAAAAAGTGGGTGAAGGACATGAACAGACACTTCTCAAAAGAAGACATTTATGCAGCCAAAAAACACATGAAAAAATGCTCATCATCACTGGCCATCAGAGAAATGCAAATCAAAACCACTATGAGATATCATCTCACACCAGTTAGAATGGCAATCATTAAAAAGTCAGGAAACAACAGGTGCTGGAGAGGATGTGGAGAAATAGGAACACTTTTACACTGTTGGTGGGACTGTAAACTAGTTCAACCATTGTGGAAGTCAGTGTGGCGATTCCTCAGGGATCTAGAACTAGAAATACCATTTGACCCAGCCATTCCATTACTGGGTATATACCCAAATGACTATAAATCATGCTGCTATAAAGACACATGCACACGTATGTTTATTGCGGCATTATTCACAATAGCAGACTTGGAACCAACCCAAATGTCCAACAATGATAGACTGGATTAAGAAAATGTGGCACATATACACCATGGAATACTATGCAGCCATAAAAAATGATGAGTTCATGTCCTTTGTAGGGACATGGATGAAATTGGAAACCATCATTCTCAGTAAACTATCGCAAGAACAAAAAACCAAACACCGCATATTCTCACTCATAGGTGGGAATTGAACAATGAGATCACATGGACACAGGAAGGGGAATATCACACTCTGGGGACTGTGGTGGGGTCGGGGGAGGGGGGAGGGATAGCAAAAAAAAAAAAAAGTGTATTTTTATGGAATACATAAAAGGTAACTCTTGTGAGTTATGACTTTGAAAAAAAAAAAAAAGAAATTAAAATCATTTGAGAACCACTGACTGTAAAAAAAAAAGACAGACAGTTTATCTTAAGAATAACTGGTGTTCCTAAAGAAAAAAATCCAACAAGTAGAACAAAATATGTATTCAAAGATATAATACAAGAAATTTTCCCTGTATTGAAAAAAATAAATGAACATGCTAAAAACAAAACAAAATAAACAAAATAGCACAATGTGTTTTAGCAACATTTGATACAGAAATTCCAACACAAAGACACAGCCCATCCAATTAAGTTATTAAACTTCAAAGTTAAGAGAGAAATTTTTACATATCTAAGCAGAAAGAGAAAAATCACACACAATGGGAAAATCAGGCAAGACACTGACTTCTCTACAGCAACACTCAGAGCCCGACAAAAAGGTATTAATGTCTGTGTTTGGAGGGAAAGAAAAGGCAGCAAAGAATATTACACCCAGCCAAAGTTATTCATGTATAAAGGCAAGAAGCATCCATTCTGAAATGTTAAATACTTCAGGAAATGTAGAACACAGAAGCCTTTTTCAAGAAAATAAAATGAACTATTCACAATTAAATCCAAGCAATTAACAGATTAGAAATACGTAAAAATAAACATAGGAATTGAGACATTGGGGTAGAAGAAGGAGGAATGAGCAGAGAGTTCACTTAAATATAGATAAACATTAAGTAACTCAGGGAATTATGATGACAGAACAAAGTGTGAAATTAATTAAGCTGGACAAGGTAAAAGTAAAAAAGCTAACAACTCTTGGGAGATAGGATGGTAAAATGACGGGGAGGTGAGTAAATCAACATCTCATCTTTCAAAGAAAGGAGCCAATAGACTAAATTTGAAACTTTTGAGAAAACTCGAAACTTGAAATGAATTTTTTTTTAAAAAAATGACTATAAACTCCTGATGTGTTTCACAATCTCTCTTTTTTGTTTTTAAGGGATTTTCTGGGAAATAAATTTTACATAAAAAAATATGTATTTGAAGTTCACAGTTCCCTCAGTTTCACTTCACTTACATTTTCTTCTATTAAGTAAAATTAAATACTTTATATTTTGAAATAACATCTAGAGATGGTCATTTTTTATAAAGATAAGTATTTGTCCAGGTATCCATGTTACTTTCTATCAGCATACATAGGTGTCTGGAATTATGTTTGCCTAAGTTAGTGAGATTTAGGGTTTTTTAAAAGATTTTCTTCACTGTACATTTTTGCCTCATTTAACGTCTTTATGATATGCATGATTCATTTTTATAAAAGCAATAGAATGATTTCCTTAAGGCAATTATGCCAAGATATTAATTATAGTGATTAATTTCTGGTAGTAAGAATACTGATGGGTTTTTTTTGTTTGGTTTGGTTTTTCATAATGCAACTTAAACTTCAAAAAATATAGTTAGGAAAAATAAGGATGGATAATCATGAAAAAATAGAAGTAAAATCTGTAATTTCTAAATCAGGAGAGGAAAGTGATGAAAGCTTTAGTAATTAAATGTAAATGAGGAAAAGAGTTGAAGAGAAGAAAATAAAATGGTAAAGAAAACATATATCAGACCCTGTTGAAAACAAACAAAAAAAGAAAACATAAAATAAGCAGTAAAAATAAGTTCAAATAGATCATGTCAGCACTTGTAATAAATATAAACAGGTTTAAGTTATAAATTAAAGGACAGAGTCTAACAAATTGGATTTTTCTTAATCTAGTGATATTTTGCTTATAAGAGACACACGAAAATAAATGACCCAGGAAGGTCAAAAATAGAGGAATGGAAAGAATATCGCTGGCACAACAACAACAAAGCAGAATAGCAATATTAGTAGCAGATAAAATCTAACTTAAGGCAAAAAGCATTTATGGAGATAAAGAACTCCATGTAATTATAAAAGGAAAGGACTCACCAAGGAGATATAACAGTCATGAATTTTATGTACCTCACAGCAACATAGCCTCAAAAATGTGTAAAGCAAAACTGACAGAATTTTAAGAAGAAACTGATAAATCTATAATCAGAGTGGGAGATTCTGGCTCACTGTATTGGAAATTGCTCCAGCAGACAAAAATTACTTATAACATAGAAAACTTGTACAACATCGTAGCAAGCTTGGTCTAATAGATATACAAAGAATCCGTCAACAAATACAAAGTGTGCATTATTTTCAAGAAGATAAGGAATACTTACAAATAACAAATCTTGCAACAAAAGTCTCAACAAATTTCAGAAAATCAAATATCAACAAATATTATTCTCAGACCCCAATGCAATTAACTCAGAAATTGACAATTAAAAGACAAAAATATAGAATATTTTAAAATTACACTCCTAAATTACTTGTGTGTTAAAAGTGCAAATTACCGAAACATTAAAATATCAGGGGCTAAAGGAAAACAGGGTTCTACAAAACATAAGTTGTGGAATAAATTCAATACTGTTCTTGATAAATTCATTTACATAAAAAGAGTGAAAATAAATGTTATACAACTCAAGAAGAAGATTAAACTCAAAAAAGGAAAAGGAAGAAAATGATCGTAGTTAAGGACTAGAATGTAAGTAGTTTATTAAGGAAGTACTCCCAGAAGAAACAAGTAAGGAAGTGGGAAAACACAGTAAATACAGAGAAGATTTGTTCTGTCTTACGGCAAAAGAGTTGAGATATACTGTATCTAGCCAGTTACTGGCTACAGGATGTCTGAGGTGGGAAGCATGTAAGCCTCAGGCACCTTTAGCTCTCCATACCAGCAGGTGGCTCCAGTGCCCAACAGCAGTCCTTTGAAGATTGCAAGTGCAAATTTTTAAGAGCAAAATACACGGAAGCTTTGGGAGATGAGCTTACTGAGCTGGTAAATAGAATGCACAGGCATTTAGTAAGGGCATCCAGGGAGGCTACTACAGAATTTTACAGAGGAGGAAAACAAGTACCACCACCAAAGGAAATGTTCAATACAACCAGAAATCACTCATTTTAAAAGAACGAAGTAGATAGATCTCTAGAAAAACAGATGAAGAACAGCAAAACTGCATTTTTCAAAAGGCAATATGTAAGCAGCCAACATTGACTACGCCTAGTACGACATATCTCTCCCACCCATTACAACTAAAAATTCTAGACAAAATACAAAAAGCAACTACCTGGGGGTTTTGAAAAGTTAACAATTCCAGAGCAACCACTAAGAAAAGTGCCAGTAGATTAATTTAAAAGAAATTTAAGAAAAAAAAAGAAGGCAGAAAAGAAAAGAAAAACAAAAGTAGAGAGGACAACAAACAACAATAAAACGTAGACCTAAATCCAAACATATCAATTATTGTGTTAAACGTAAATGACTTAAACATCAAGTAAAAGACAGAGATTATCTATTTGGATTTTCTAAAGACCCACATATCTGCTATACAAATACTTAAGGAAGAAACAGTAACAACTCTATTCAATTTATTTCAGAATATAGAAAAGGAATGAATACTTCCCAACTCATTTTGTAAGAGATGTATTACCTTGATTTCAAAATCCAACGAAGACATTACAAGGATTTTTAGAAGTTAAAAACTACAGATCAATATTTCTCATGAGTGTAGATGCAAAATTATCACCAAAATATTAACAAATTCTAATAATATTATAAAGATAATACACCACGATCACATGAGGTTTACTCTGAGGATGCAAGGTTAGTTTAACCTTGCAATCAATGTATCGTATTAGCAGACTAAAGAAGAAAAACCATGTGATTATCTTAATAGATGCAGAAAAAGCACTTAACAAAAGTTTACCACCATGACTTTTTTTAATACTCAGCAACCTAGGAATTTAAGAGAACTTTCTAAACCTGATTAGGGCCATCCACAAAAGAAACCTACAGCTAACATCAAATTTAATAGTGAAAGATGGAATGCTTCTCCCCTAAAATGAGAAACAAGGCAAAGATATCTACCTTCATCTCTCTTATGCAGCATCATACTGGAAGTCCCAGCTAGTTTGACAAGGCAAGAAAGGGAAATAAAAAGCATACAGATTGCAAAAGAAGAAATAAATATCCCTTTATTTTCAGATAACATGATGTTAAATTAAATACATTAAATACAAGATCAATAAACAACAAATCAATTGTATTTCTATATACTAGCAATGAAAAACATTTAAAATATGTTTTACCATTTACTGAAACAGGAAACACATAGATATAAATCTAACAAAATATATGCAAGACCTGTAGGCTGAAAACTATGAAACACTCATAAAAGAAAACATTCTTTTCTTTTCTAAATAAATGGAGTGACAAATGTATGTCCAGAGGTTGGAAATTCAGTATTGCTCTCAATTCTCCCTAAAATGGTCTACAAATTCAATGCAATCTCAATCAAAATCTTAGCAGAAATTGTTGCAGATACTGACAGGGTGTGTCTAAAATTTATTGGGAAAGGCAAAGGAAATAGAGTAACCAAAAAAATTTTGAAAAATAAAAGTAAAGTTGGAGGACTCCCACTACCTGATTTTAATGCTTATCATAAAGCTACAGTAACCAAGAGAGTGTGATACTCGTGGCAAGATAGACATATAGATCTATGGAAAATAAAGAAACTCCAGAAATAGACACAGACAAAGGTGGCCAACTGATTTTTGACAAAAGTGCAAAGGCAAGTCAACTGAGAAAAACATAATGCCTTCAACAAATGGTGATTAAACAATTAGGCAGACAAAAACAAACTCTACTGACCCATCCACACCTCACACCTTATGAAAATATTAAAACGTAGTATAGGAATAAATGTTAAATTACAACACTTCTAGAAAAAAAGGAAATCTTTATGACTTTGGGTTAGAAAAAAATTCTTAGATACATCGCAAAAATATGATCAACAATAGAAAAAAAATGAATTTGATCCAAATCAAAAACTGCTCTGTGAAAGACACTACTAATAAAATGAAATGAGAAGCCACAGACTGGGAGAAAATATTTGCAAATCATTTATCTGACAAGAAAAACTTCTATTCAGACTATATCTTAAAATCTAAAAACTCAACAACAGGAAAACAAACAACCCAATACAAAGTGGGCAAAATATTTCAAAAGGCACTTTGACAAAGATGATACACACAGAGCAAATAAACACTTAAAGGTTTTCTACACCATTAATCATTAGAGGAAACACAAATTAAAAACCACAGTGACCTGCTAAAAAGACTAACCTGTGCCTATTAAAACAACTGAAAAAAATAAGTAAAACCTGATCATTTTAACTGCTGCCTAGGATGCAGAGCCACAAAAACTTTCCAACAATCGCTGATGGGACTGCAAAAGGTAGAGACACTATGGAAAACAGGGTAGCAGTTTCTCATAAAGGTAAACATGCATTTACCATATAATCCAGCAATCCTAAGCTTAGGTATTTAACTAATACAAATGAAAACTTATGTTCACGTCAAATCCTGTACATAAATGTTTATATAGCAACTCTATTCGTAATAATCAAAAAACTACAAACAAGGTGAATATCTTCAACTGGTGAATGGATAAACAAATTGTGGTCTACACATACAGTGGATACTATCCAACAATAGAAAAAGAACAAAATATTAAAAATACAACATGGATGAATGTCAAATGCGTTACACTGGTATAGCAGTAGGTAGTATGGTATGTAGCTTTTGAGTCTAGCTATATAATCCTATTTGTATGTCATTTTGGAAAAGGCAAAATTATAAAGATGCTTGCCAGAGGTTGGGGGTAGTAAAGGTAGTTGACAACGATAAGGCAATATGAGGGAACTTGGGGGAAAACACTGAAACAGACTTGGTGTGCTGGTGGTTACATTTGTCAGAACTAGTAGAACTATAGACCAAAAAGGATAAATTCAACTGTATATAAATTAAAAATAAATAAAAACGATTTGAAAAAAATACTGAGAATGAAAGAGAGACAGCATGACAGATTCAGAAGAGATATTTTTTAACCATAAGAAAAAACATGAATCACTTTATGCCAGAAAGTTAGAAAATATAATTGATGTAGACAATTTTTGGTAAAAAATATAAATTATCTAATATTGTGACTCAAAAAAAATGAGAAATTTGAATGAACAAAGAACGATTAAATAAATTATATATGTTGCCAGCCGAAAATCTATTTCTTAGATAGACAGCAAGCCCAATAACTTTATAGGCAAATATTTCCTAGATTCTAAACATACTACCACATCATACTAAAAATATTTTTTAAAACACAATTTCAGAGGACAGAAAAAGGAAAACTATCCAAATCATGTTATGGGGCTACTATAACCTCATTACCAAAACCAGATAAAGACTACTAGAAAACAAATACAGACTTGTTTGCACACATGTATATGTGTGTATATATATATATGTGTATGCGTGTGTGTATTTTATATATACATATATATTATAAATACATAGAAAAATAAAGTTCATCAAGAATCCTAAAATCAAGATCAGCACATAAAATCAGTAACTCTTCTAGAATCCAACAATGAACCATTAAAAATGTTATTTTTTAAAGAGTCATTCATAGCAGCTGTAAAAGCTAGCAAGAAATATAATGAAGCTATTTAATGTACTTATGAAAATATTACATACTATAAAAACACCAACATGAATACCAATATGTACTATGTTCATGGATGAGAAGACATTATCATAAGCACATCTAATTTTCTTATATTGAACTATAAAATAAGAACAATCTCCCTTAGAATGTTAACACTTTTTTGTAATGAAGCTTAGCAATCTGATCCTAAATTCGTGCTGAGTGACAGGAAGGACAGACAAGACAATTTTTAAAAGAAAGTGTAAACAATGTAAAGAGGATGTAACCAGTAATAAGATTTGCTATAGAGTTGGCATCACTGAAACAATGTGGCATTATACAGGAACAGACAAATAGATTAGCGGAACAAGGAGAAAGCGCTGAAACAGACTCAAGTAAATATAAAAACTTGATAGATAACAGAAAAGAAATTAAAAATTAGTAAAGAAAAGTGAACTCAATACATGGTGCTGGGACAATGATACATCTATCTATACATACATAGATGTACATGTATATGTATATCCATGTTAAATATATATATATCCTTGTGTATAGATATAAAAATATTTAATGTTTATATAGAATATATTGATAAATATACAGTATATATAGTCCTACATTTCACTATTTACAAAAAAGCATTCTAGGAATTTTAACATTTTGAATGTAAAAATGTAATCTAGAGAATTTCTGTTTTCCCTCTGTATTTAGTAACACGTAACTGACAAATAAAATTGTATATATTTAAGGTGTACAATGTGATACCTTGATTATATATAATATATAAAATATATATAATATATATAATAAAATATATATTATATATAATAAAATATATATATTATATATATATTTTATATATAATATATATTATATATAATATATATAAAATATATATTTAATATATATTTTATATATAATATATTTAAAATATATATTATATATAATATATTATATATAATATATTTAAAATATATATTATATATAATATATTATATATAATATATTTAAAATATATATTATATATAATATATTATATATATATATATCTTGTGAAATGATTACCACAATCAATTTAGTAACACATCCATCACCTCACATAGTTACCTTTGCTGTGGTGAGAATATTCAAGATCTATTCTCTGAGTAAATTTCAAGTATACGATACAGTATTACTAAATATATTCACCACACTGTTCACCTAGAACTTATTCCTCTTGTAACTGAAAGTTTGTACCCTTTAACCAACATCTCTCCTTCTTTCCCTCCCCCGGCCCCTGCAACCCCACTCCACCTTTATTTCCATGAACTTGTCTTTTTGAGATTCCATATATAAGTGAGATGAGATAGTATTTGTCTTTTTCTGTCAGACTTATTTTGCTTAGCAAGATTTCATCAAGTTTCATCCATGTTGTCACAAGTGACGGGATTTCCTTCTTTTTATGGCTGAATAATATTCCTTTGTGTATATACACCATATCTTTCAACATATGATTCATCTATTCATCCTTCAACACTTATGTTGTGACAAAAGCCATAGCTTGACTATTGTGTATAATGCTGCAGTGAACACGGGAGTACAGGTGTCTCATCAACATACTGATGTCATTTCCTTTGAATATATACCCAGAGGTGGGGTCACTGGATCATACACCAGTTCTATTTTTAATGTTTTGAGGAAACTCCCTACTGTTTTCCATAATAGCTGTGCCATTTATGTTCACACCAGCAGTGCACAAGGGTTCTCTTTTCTCCACATCTCACCAACATTTGTCATCGCTTGTCTTTTTGATAATAGACAAGGTGTGAGGTGATATCTCAATGTGGTTTTAATTTGCCTTTCTTCCGTGATTAGTGATGGTGAGCCCCTTTTCATATACCTGTTGACCATTTGTATGTCTTCTTTGAGAAAATCTACTTGCCCATTTTTAAAATCAGGTTCTTTGTATTTTTGGTATTGAGTTGTATGAGTTCATTATATATTTTGGATATTGGCCTCTTATCAAATATATGGTTGACAAATATTTTTTTCCGTTCCATAGGTTGCCTTTTCATTTCACTGATTGCTTCCTTTGTTGTGCAGAAGTTTTTAGTTTGGTGTATTCTCACTTGTTTATTTTTGGTTCTGTTGACTGTGGTTTTGATGTCATATCATAGTTTCTTAAACACAATATCAGGAACACACACCATCAGAAATAATAAAATGCTATGTGTAATTATATTAAGATTTTAAAACTTCTGTGTGCTAAAGATACAAAGTTAAAAGATAGGTTATAACATAGGACTATATTCCAACACATATAACCATTAAAGGATTAGTATCAAGACTATCTAAAGAACTCCTACAAAGCAATTACAAATAGTTTAATGGTCAAATTTATAAAAGATAAAGCCCTTATGGACTGAATGTGTATAAAATGCTACTTCATTTCACTAATACTCAGAAAATATGCAAATCAAAACAATGAGATGAAATACCACATCAGAACACATCACCAGATTAGCTAAAATTTTTAAATCTGGCAATATCAAGGGTAGTTATAGTTGAAGGGAAATAAAAACATTCACAAGTTGTTGGTGGGAATTAAAATTTATATAAACACTTTCAAAAACAATTTGGCAAGCTGATATTAAGGTGAAAATCCATACATCTGATGGCTTGGCACTTCCACTTCCAGGTGTACATGGAAGAGGAACATGGCATACAAGTCAAGAGGACCTGCTCAAAGATGTTGGCTGCTTCAAGGTAAAGTTCAGCAATGGAAGAATAGGTAAATGATCGTGGCATATTCACATAATAAAATATAACTGCACCACTAAAATAACTGAAGGTGTACATCTCAACAGGGATAAATATCTCAGAAATACAATGTTGCATAAAAATATATTAAAGGCCAGTTGTAGTGGCTCACGCTTGTAATCCCAACACTTTGGAAGGTCCAGGAAGGTGGCTCACTTCAGGCCAGGAGTTCAAGATCAACCTGGGCAACATAGTGAGACCCCATGTCTACAAAAAATAAGAACATTAGCCAGGCATGGTGGCATGTGCCTGTGGTCCCAGCTACTCCAGAGGCTGAGCTGAGAGGATCGCTGGAGCCCAGGAGTTGGAGGCTGCAGTGAGCTATGATTGTGACACTGCAGTCCAGCCTGGGCAACACAATGACACCCTGTCTCAATAAAAGTGGCAGATATGCATGTATTGTGTGACCCCATGTACTTAAAATGTGGATGACACATAACAATTATGTATACTGTTCATGGATACATATACATGAGGCAAAAGTATCCAAAGCCTGATAAGGAAGGATACATCCTATTTCAAGGAGTGGTCCTGCAGGGGGGTGAGGGGTGTATAAAAAAAAGACTCTAGCTCTATCTGTAATCATTTGCCTTAAGAAAGAAGAAGCACAAGAGAAAAGGTGAGAGAAGAGAGGGGAGGAAGGAGGTTAAAAGATAGATGGATAATGGAAACATGGATTATTGCTACATTTTCCCCGTTTTTTTTTTTTTGCTTGAATTGTTTTTATAACAGAAAGAAGGAAAAGATAGGGGAGGGAGGAAAAGATTAAATAGAAATTCACCAAAATGTTTAAAGCAACTATCTCAGGGTAGGGCATAGTGGAGAATTTTATTCTTTTATTTACATTTTTTTCATATTTTCCGAATTATCCCCAGCAAACATGTATCGCTTTTATGAGCTGACAAAAACAATAAATGCTCTTTGTAAAAGCACCTTGCTAAGCTGTTGTGATTTAAACGCCTGGATTGTGGGAGAGACGCTGATATTCTGGACATCCGGGCCAGCTCCCGGAGCGACTGTCCAAGACAGGTTTCTGGGGGAACTGATAAGCGAACAACCGAATTTAAATTCCAGTATCAGTAGCAGCAACCCAGGCCTCAGGAGGTGAGGGCTCCAGGAGTCTCCATACTCTGCCGGCCTCCCAGGGGACAGGGCTGCCACAAGAGATAAAAGCCAGCTCTCTGGTTCTCTCCAAAAATCTTTGAAAATCGTTTTTTGAAGATCGAGGTGACTGAACCTCATAACCATGTTATCACAGGCCCCATCTATGCCATTGAAGACAAGACGGGCATCCCTAAAAGACCTAGCCCGTGGGCATGATCCTATGTGCTTCCTGTGGACACCCGGCTCAATGACTGGCCAAGCCCATCCCCAGTGGCTTTTTCATATTGCTTAAAACACCTCTGGGAAGTCTTATTAATCTTGTCTCTATTTTACAGAGATAAAAATGGGACTCAGAGAAGTTAATTGACTTGGGACAGGGCCACCCAGCTAATAAGCAGTATGGAGTCAACACCCAAGAAAGCCACTCTGTGCCCCAGGGGAGTCCCAGGAGGCCACCCTTTGCCCCAGTAGTAGAATATTGGGCACCAATAACAGGCTAAGGGGAGAAATCATATTGGATACGTATGCAACATTCCCCAAAGTCCCAAACCCACCATGACAGCAGCCCCAAATGCAGGGGCAGAACAGGGCCTATTCTGAGGTCAAACTGTACATTCCTGTCCCCTGACTCCAGTCCTCCAATCCCCCTCAGCCCACAGGGGTCCTTGTAAGCTAGAGAAGCTGCCACATTCACGGTGCCCACCCTGTCCTCCCATCTCCCACTTCCCGTGCTCAACTCTCAGACAGTTAATGTGAATAGATGAGAAGTTTAAGTACCTTGGAAAGGGCTAAATGAATAGGAATGGGAAAATCCCAGTGTTTTTCTCCCATCAGTCTTTCTGATTGCTCTTAACTCTATTTCCTGGACAGGGTCTGTGGCAGTCAAGCTCCTGGCTAGTCATTTTTTATCACCATCGGGAAAAACACACAGTACTTAGAGCAGCAGGGGCCCTCTTAATATCTAGGCAGGAGGTAACCCACAGGGCAGCTATTCCCCAAAACTGGAAATGGCTCTTGGAGGCCCGGCAGGTTTCTGCACACCAACCAAACGCCTGAGCTCCCAGGAGGGAGAAGAGGAAGACTGGAGCCTTCTGCCCAGCCTCCTGATTTTCTTCCCAGGGCTCCCGGACCCCCTACCCCAAGCCTTAGCCCAGCTCCCATGCTAGATGACTTCATATCCTATCCCATGGGGCAAGTTACAGAAAAACTGGAACTCCCCATTTTTATATGAAAGTGCCTCAATTTGTTATTAGTGGCAACTAATTTTAAAAAGCTCTAAATGCTCTCTGGACTGAATGAAACAAGTCTGCAGGATGAATCTGGCCTCTGGGCTACTGTTTGGTCCACGGGCTGGCTAAGAGCAGGTCTAAGACAGACAGCAAAACAACCACAACATATAAATGATAGAAGATGCCTCATGCCTATCCTGCCCTGACTGTGCGCCAGACAGCCCATGCTACAGCCATTGTGTGGCAGTGAAAGAAGGCCTCGCATGACCAGCTCCGTTTTGCTCCTAACCTACCCCCACATGATATCTTCTAGGTTAACTGCTATTGCTGATCTCTGCATGTAGGCCAAGCTCACTATGGGAGGAATTTCATTTATAGTTTAAAGCAAAGACGATCATGGTCTCTTCCCAACACTCACCCCCAAGGAGATAAGGAGGGCATCCCACGAGCAACACCACGTGTTCAAGATGCATCCCTGGAACCTGAACACGGGCAGAAGATTGCACAACCTCCCTGGACCCTTACTGGAGCAGGCTGTCCGCGGTCCTCAGTCACTTTTTTTTTTTTTTTTTGAGATGGAGTCTCGCTCTGTCACCCAGGCTGGAGTGCAGTGGCTTGATCTCAGCTTATTGCAGCCTCTGCCTCCCGGGTTCAAGCAATTCTCCCACCTCAGCCTCTCAAGTAGCTGGGATTACAGGGGTGAGCCACCATGCCCGGCTAATCGGCTAATTTTTGCATTTTTAGTAGAGACAGAGTTTCACCATGTTGGCCAGGCTGGTCTCAAACTCCTGACCTCAGGTGATCCATCCGCCTTGGCCTCCCAAAGTACTGGGATTACAGGCGTGAGCCACCGCACCTGGCCCTTGGTCACTTTTTCATCCCAACCTCCCCCGCTTCCCCTTTCCCTTAACATCAAAACAGCCTGAGATTTGTACTGACTTAGGATGGTTCTGTAGGGCATTCATCTACCCTCCTCTTGGCTGCTGGCTCTCCAAAATAAAGTCGTCTTCCTTGTCCCGACTACTTGTCTCTCGATGTCCATGGGTTTGGGCTTATGCTAAACCAACACCATGAGGTAGCGGCGCAGGTGTTTTCGGTGCCCTTGGTCTATCCCAGATGTCAGCAGCTACTATGGTGGGCAGGCCCACAAATGCGGGCAGCAGCCCTCCCGAGGGCCTGCCCAGCCTCTCCACACTCTGGCTACCAGGCTTCTTCCAGGGATACAGGATGAAGTCTTCCAACGTGGGAGCTGGGCCAAGACCTGGGGCTGCTCACCCAGAAGTGGGGCAGAAGTAACCCTTGGCCCATGGGATACAGGTATCAGTGGATGCAGGCCTCTACCTGTGGCCTTTGGAGGGACAATTTTGAGGGGCATTCTGCATGTACCTCAGGGGGTCCCAGACACCGCGAGCCCCTGTCACCTGCAGCCATAACCAGCCCAGCAATGCACTCTTTCAGAGGAATCCGAGTTAAGATAGTTTGCTGATAAAGACCCTGCAGCTCAGAGAGGTGAAGTAATTTGCCGAAGGCCTCTCAGCTGCTGAAGGACACTCAGGGATTGAAGAAGGACGAACTGGCTCTCATGTCCTGCTCCTGACCACTGCACTACCACCTTCTTAGAGAAAACCAGTCGGACCCTCCAGGCCTGTGGCTGGTTCTTGCTTTCTGCATCTGAACCTGTCAGTGAGTCCAGAGGAGGGCTCGCCAGGACTGTAGCCAAAAAACAAGAGTCCCATACGTGCACTAGAGGGTCCAAAGAGAGCGCAGTCGGCGGGACACCTCCTCCTTAATTTGGGCCCAGGATGCCACACAGACCTCCGGAGCTTACCTGCTCTTCTCCTTGGAAGGGACAGATCAGAGCTGGAGGGGCTTCGAGCTCCCTCTAGGGGCCAGCGAGACCTGTGCCAGCCCCAGAGCTGCAGCAGGCCCCGAGGGCAGGCGCTGAGGCCTTTGCTCTACAATGGGAAGACGGGAGCCGCCCTTCCCCAGACCCCACTGGCTGGGGATGAACAGAAGGCTCATAAAGAAGAGTTGTTCCAAAAGCTTGCCCTTCCTGGGACCCAGTGAATCCCCCATTGCCTCAAGACGCAGGGCGGAGAGCTGATCTGCTCAGGATGTCTGGAGCGAGCGGGGCTCATGGGCAGGCGAGGGTCTGGGTGTGAGGCAGGCGGCGTGCGAGGCTTGCCTCCCTGCAGACTGTCACGCTGGGGGTCTCACTCCCCTTCCTCGTCGCCCCTTCCCAGGAGAGTGGACACAGGCTAGGACCCCAGGCCTGTCTGCAGCGTGGCCTCCGTCACCGTCTGTGGGATCCTGGGCCATCAGGCAGCTTTCCTGGGTCTCAGTTTTCCCATGTACACCTCAATAGCCACAATATGGATTAAGCTGTCCCTCCACGCCAGGCCTTTCCCGCATCACAAAAGCTCCACGGCTCCAGTGCTTAGTGGTCATCCCCATTGTAGAGCTGAGGGAACTCAGATGCAGAGAGGTTGAGTAACTTGCCCGAGGTCGCACAGCCAGCCCACACCCTTGCGAGGCTTTCCGACTCCAGAGGCCACATGGAGTTCTATGCGTGACCCTTCCTCTACACTCTTTCTTTCTGGAAAATATTATTTTAGAGACAGCCTTGAGCCCAACACTTCTAGGATCCTTAATTGAGCCCAACACTTCCAGGATCCTTAATCTGCAAGGATGTAGAAAAAGAAGCCTAAATGATCCCTGAGTTTTGAGAGGCTGTGCAGATAAACTCATCACCCCTGAGCAAAATGGAAAGAGTGAGGAGTGAAGAGCAAGGGCACAGTGGGACAGTGATGGGCTGCCCAGGGTCCTGGCACTCACAGGGTAGAGAGGTCAGCAGGTCTGGGAACTAGAGTACGCTGGATCCCTGGGTGTGCCTGCAACCCCTCACCAAGACACTCCCTGAAACATCCCCAGGGAAAGACCCATCATGGCCTGAGCTGCAGCCATGAAGATTTAGGGATCATGTGGGAGAGAAAAGTTGGAACCAAGGGCCCACACTCCTCAGGAGGGGTGCCACCCCACCTCTCCTCACACTAACCCAGCTCTGCAGTCTTGGCAAAGTCCTGGGAGAATGAACAGAGTCCCCCATGCTCAGCAGCCAGGAGTTGGCAGGAGGATACTGCCATGGACCCCTTACATGGCCACAGCCAAGGAGAGCTGCTGTGGGGCACACCTGCCCTTGTGCAGGGCCAAGAGTGACCTACATGGCTGTTCCCCACAGGGCGGAGACCCGGGAGAGTCTCTCTAGCCTCTTTTTCACAGCCTCCCCTGAAGCCACTGGCATGTGGCCAGCGAGACCCACTGCCCTCAGAGACCAATATGTAGCCACTGACCTCTGTCAGGAGAGAAGCCAACCAGCTCTTGCTCTCTGCCCACTTTGCCACCCCTACCATTATTTTTGGGGCCTTTTAATCCCTCCATAAACCCACCTCATAAAGCAGAGTATCAGTGCTTCTCAGCAGTGTCCAGACCCTCCCCCAGAGGACCAGATCAGGAGGGAAAGGAGGAGGGACTGAGTCCTACACAGTGGCTGGCACCCCTCCCTTACCACTTGGGCTAAAATCCCAGTTCTTTCCGTCTGGGCCTGAAGATCTGTTATAAACTGTCCCATCCCTCATGACCTCAGCTTCAGCAGGGGAGTCCAGCACCCGGAATCCAGGAAGAGGCAGGAAAGCGTCTGCTCACATGAGGAGTCACATCCATTGCGGTGCAGGCCCCCGGAGGGGTCAGGGCTGCTGTGCTGTTCCCATGTTCCCAGCTAGGACCCTGAGCCTCAGACAGGGCCACCAAGCAGAGCCAGGCCAGGAGCCCGGGCTCCTGATGACACACTTTTCCACATGTCCATCCCACACACTCCCAGTCAGCCCCTTGCTGTCCACTCACCCACCCCATAAACACCTGCAGAGCACTGAGGCTGGACCCTGCGGAGGCTGCCTGAGGCATCTGAAACCAGCCAGGTTCCCCATAGAACTGATGTTTATGGATTTATTTTCATAAACATAGAAATTGACCCTCCCAGTCTTAAAGCATGAAACTTACATTTGTCTTATCTGAGTTCCTTTCCCAGGAAACCAACCTTCAGGCCTCCTGGATAGTATCAAGAAACTGAAAATCCTCTTCTTTACCCCTCTGGAAGCCTATTCCTTACTACATAAACTCCCAATTTTAGTCAATTGGGAGGATGGATTTGAGACTGATCTACTGTCTCCTCAGCCCCAACACCCGAAAAAGCCTTCTTCCCTGGCACTACTCATTGTCTCGGTCACTGGCTTTCTGTGTGGCAAGCAACAGGACCTAAACCAAAACCTGGTGTTTTGGTAACACATCTGTAGAGTCTAGGCAGGAATCTGGACCAAGTGCTCCTTGGGGTCAGGAAGGGCTCAAACTTGCTGGGCCCCCCTTATGCCCAGAAATGCATATACAGTGGCCTCGGGTCTGGAATTCTCTCCCACAGGGCCCAGAAGAAGGCTGGGCCACAGACACAAGGAGGAGTATGAAAATGCACTTGTGTAGCCCACATGATTAAATAACAGGGACCACACACACACATTGTGCCAATGTCAAATTCCTAGTTTTTTATATCGTGCCATAGTTATGTAACAGTGGAGCAGCAAAAGAACTAACAGCACTCACTCCATTTTTGTTTAAGGGGCCTTTACCTGTTCCTGCAGGTCAGCTAGAATAATTTTAAAGCACTGAGATAAAATGCAAAAATTGCATTCATGTAGTTCTTGAAACTGTATTAGTCCATCTTTGCATTCCTTTAAAGAACTACCTAAGACTGGGTAATTTATGAAGAAAAGAGGTTTAATTGACTAACAGTTTTGCATGGCTAGGGAGGCCTCAGGAAACTTACAATCATAGCAGAAGGTGGAGGAGAAGCAAATACCGTCTTCACAAGGCAGCAGGAGAGAGAGTGAAGGGGGAAGTGCCACTTTTAAACCATCAAATCTCATGAGAACTCCCTCACTATGATGAGAACAGCACGGGGGAACCCCCCAACCCTCACCATGATCCAGTCACCTCCCACCAGGTCCCTCCCTAACATGTGGGGATTACAATTTGACATGAGATTTGGGTGGGGACACAGAGCCAAACCATATCATTCTGCCCCGGCCCCTCCCAAATCTCATGTCCTTTTTGCCTTTCAAAACCAGTCATGCCTTCCCAACAGTCCCCCAAAGTCTTAACTCTTTCCAGCATTAACTCAGAAGTCCAAGTCCGAAGTCTCATCTGAGATAAAGCAAGTCCATTCCACTTATGAGCCTGTAAACTCAAAAACAAGTTAGTTACTTCCAAGATACAATAACGGTACAGGCATTGAGCAAACGCTCTCATTCCAAATTGGCCAAAACCAAGGGGCCACAGGCCCCATGTAAGTCCAAAACCTGGCAGGGCACTCATTAAATCTTAAATCTCCAAAATAATCTCCTTTGACTCCATGTTTCATATCCAGGGCACGCTGATGCAAGGGGTGAACTCCCAAGGATTTGGGCAGAAACTAACTCTGCGATTGAAGGGGAAGTGTGTAAATAATTGTGTTTTGTTCAAGATTTATAGGAGCACTGTGACCTGACCTAGGACAGAGGAGTTCCCAACCTCCTGGGACCTTCACAGGCACCCAGATGTCTGCAGCTGGTCACACGTCTTGATCCCAACTCCCTTCTTTTCCCCCTGCCCTCAACATCAAAAGAGCCTGAAATGTGTGCTGACTTGAGACGACCTTTGTGACACTAACCCACTGTCTTCTCAGGTTGCTGTCTCTTGAATAAACCTGCTTTTCCTTCTACCAAGTCTTGTCTCCCAAAGTTGGCTTTCAAGTGTGGAGCAGCTGAACCTGGGTTCAGTTCCAGTTTCATAAGATGTGACCAGGAGAAAAGCAAGTGAAGGGTGCACTGGTTTTCTATCTTTAGGGACCTCTCTTACTGCTGTCTTTGCAATTTCCTGTCAATCTATAATGATGCCAAAATAAAAACCGATTTTAAAGTCCTCACAGGGAGGTAAGACTGTGAGATGTTTCTGTGGGATGGTGGTGTCTGCCAGGAAACTGACCAGCTGACCTGGTGAGTCTGCCAAGAAGGTGCCAAGCTGTACAGATGCTATCCTGGGCAGCGTCTTCCTGCCCCAGGCTCCAGTTCAGGGCATGTCTCGCGGTTCTCTTCTTGTCCATTGCTGCCAGTTTGCAAAGACAACCCCATAGGAGAACATAGGCTCCTCCATGTGAATAGAAGAGACCCTGATTTATTTCTTGGATGGGGAAAGATCTTGGAGGGGCTGCAAAGACTTACAAGAGGACAGTGGGGAAACGATTACATGTCAGGGTGTTTCATTGTCTGGGGCCTCAGCAGCCCAATTTACTGTTCCTGGGAGGATCAGAACAAGGGCCATGATAAACCAAGGACTGGAGGTGAGCAGGGGTGGATGTGAGAGGGACTGGTGTCAGGAGAAATTTGTGCAAATGGCTCACAACAGGGAAAATCTCTAGTTAAAAATAGGCTAACATCATTCCCAGCAGCCCATTCCTTTCCCACTGTGCTCCCCAGGAACAATCCCACTCATCATGATAAAATCTGGGGAAAGAGAAAGGCTGGAGGGCACCACCCCCCCGCCCCTCAGTGCAGTGTTCCAGGGCCTGCCCACTGCCTGGGGAGGCGATGCCAGCACTCATCTCACAGCAGAGCATGTACCATCCTGTGCCATCCTGAGCACTCCTTGCACACTGTCATTTCCTGCCCATATCAACCCTCTGAAGGAGGGCCCATTTCCCAGGTAAGGAAACCGCGGCCGAGAGAGCTTACGGAACTCATTTGAGGTCACGCAGCCAGGTCTATCTGACCTCAGCTGATTCTTTGAAATGCTGTGTCAGGCTGCCCCCAGCAGTGACAAAGGTGACCTAGGATGGAGACATATTCCTTTAAAACAGCTGGAGTCTCCAGGGGTCAGGATGGATGCTTGAGTGATGGGTGCAGGCAGCCGGGCCCAGAAACCCTAAGGTGCTTTCTCTGCCATTACTCAGAGCCCCTCGATGTCCCCCCAACCCTTTCCAAAGTCCCTCAGCCTCCATCATGTTTGATCCTGAGGAAGAAGAGGTCTGTCCAGCCCCATTTTGCAGATGATGAAGCTGAGGCCAGAGTCTCACAACAGAGCAGACACCACATCAGGCCTTCTGACTCTGGGCCGTAGAAAGGCTCTGCAGAGAGGAGGTGTGGGGAGGACTCCTGTGAGGCCTGGCAGGGCATGGGATCCCCTCTAGCAGTCTCAGGCTATAGGCAGCAGAGGCAGAGAGTGAGCCTGGCAGGGGTTCTGGAGCTCCTGGCCTCTTCCTCGGCCTAAATCTCGGCCTTTGCAGCATGCGCATGTCAGCTGCACCTCTGACCTCACCAGGGGCTGCCAGCTGACTCTGATTTACCTGGAGCTTCCTGCTTCAGGGACAGTGAGGAGCCAGCCGGCCTCTCCTGGATCTGCACCCAGTGAGCTCCCATTCCTACCCTCCCTGGGGCCTGGGAGCTCAGGGAAGGCACTGGGCTGGAACAGCAGGATGGGCTGAGCCCATGGGCCATGGCACTGGGGACCCAGGTTCCTGTCTCCCCCAGACCACTAGATGACTAACAGTGAAACAGCAAAAGAACTAACGTCACTCACTCCATTTTTGTTTAAGGGGCCTTGACCCATTGCTGCCCACAGGCTAAGATAATTTTAGAGCACTGAGTTAAATTACGCAAAAACAGCAATCATGTCGTTTTTTTTAAGCTAACACTGAGGCTAAAGGGAAGTCTGTCAACAACCAACTATGTTTTGTTAAAGATTACAGGAGTATTGCCACCTGACCGAGGACAAATGTGTTCCCAACCTCCTCGGAACCTCGCTGGTGCCCAAACGTCTGAAGTCCTCTACCACCTCTTAATCCCAGCCCCCTTTTCTTTTCCCTGCCCTTAACTTAAAAAGAACCTGAAATGTGTCCTAACTAAAGATGGTACTTTAGGACGCTAGTCCGCCATCTTTGTGGTTTGCTGGCTGGTCTGAATAAACCTGCTTTTCCTCCCACCAACTCTCACCCCTTGTGTTTGATGTTTAAGCAGTACACAGCCGAACTGGGTCCTGTTACAACTGCAGCTGCTTCCCATATCTACGGGATCCCCATTGGTGTGGTGCTGACCGCCTGGAAGTCCTGCAGGGACTCCTAACTGTGAGGCACGTATCCCAGGAGCAGGTCTTGGCCTGGTAAGACTGTCCTAAGTCAGAGGCTAACAGAAAGCCTCCAGCCTGGTAGGATTTGAAAGGGGATCCTGGAAAAGTCCCCAAAACCTCCCAACTATGCCTGAAAACTCAGAGGTCTGCAACAGCCCCCAGCCCACCTGAGGAGGAGGTCTGCATTACTCCACCTCCAGGGCTGTCTGTCTTTTATCAACCCGGATGCAGGGGCAGCTTTCAGGGATGCATGGTATGGGGCGGATAGGAGCTACTGGGATGAGAGCGGGGCTGCAAGGGGAGGGGGCAGACTTCCCTATCCTTGTCCTACTTCATTCTCCCTCCATCCCTGCCCGGTTCATGCTCCCATTCCCACTTCACAGATGGCCCGGCCACAATGGTGAGGGGTGGCTGAAGCCAGGATTCAAATCCACATTACCTCACTCCCGAGCTCTTTTCCCCATGCAGGACTGCAAGGAAGAGAGGATGGATGGACAGGTCCACATTGTCACCAGTCCACCACCGTGGCCCCTGGGACACAGAGCCCCCACTCAGCCCACCTGGTCTGCCATGGACAGGATAAGTTAGCAAAAACCAAGATGAACAAAAAATATAGGAAATCTGACTATAAGTTAATAAATTTGATTTGCTACAGAAAATGCATCTACTTTTTCAGCATTCATGACCAAAATAAATACTTTTGACCACAAAAAATACCCTCTATAAGTTCCAAAATCATATAAAATGATATGGGCCACATTCTTTCATCACAATATAATAAAACTAGATGAGAATAATTAATGTTTAATGTTAAAAACCTAATCATTTAGGGTTTTGTGTGTGTGTGTGTTTGCGTGTGTGTGTGTTTTGGTTTTTTGTTTTTGTTTTTTTTCTGAGACGGAGTTTCTATGTTGTTGCCCAGGCTGGAGTGCAATGGTGTAATCTCAGCTTACTGCAACCTCTGCCTCCTAAGTTCAAGTGATTCTCCTGCCTCAGCCTCCCAAGTAGCTGGGATTGCAGGCGCCTGCCACCATGCCCAGCTAATTTTTTGTATTTTTAGTAGAGACGGGGTTTCACCATGTTGGCCAGGCTGGTCTCGAACCCCTGACCTCAGCTGATCCACCCACCTCGGCTTCCCATAGTGCTGGGATTACAGGCATGTGCCACTGCGCCTAGCCCATTTAGGTTTTTTTAATTTAAAAAATCTAAAAGTCTCCTACAAAACTCTTGGGTTAAATAGAATTTGCACACTATTTAGAAAAGAATGACAATCTTAGCATCAATCAAAGCTTACAGGATTCAACCAAAAGTAGACTCAGAGGAAAATGAATAGCCTTGTTTGATCTCATGACTAAACGAGAATAAAAATAAATGAACTGAAGAGTCTACTCAATCATTAGAAAAAGGAGATAAAATGTAGCACAAGAAAGTAGGAGAAAGAAAGAGGCTTCTGTCTCCACCTGAGCAAAATAAATGCTCAGGTTCCCATTTCATTTACCCACAGACAGTTTGCACACAGTAAGGCAATACAGATGCTTGAGACTCTGCTGTAGATCATTTTACTTATGGAATCTGTTTAAATAAACATTATAGAATATTTCCTGACATCAAAAACTATTTTCTACGTAAAATTATTTTCTATGTAAAACATTAAATGAATGTAGCACAACTTCAATGTCAGAGCCAGACTAAAACTTGTGAATGAGTATCCTTGACCCCACCCACTAGAACAAGTCCAACCAATCAGACAGAAAAATCTCTGACAGAACACCTGCGTGTGCTCTCTCTCTCTCTCTCTCTCAACCCCAGATGCCAGATTCAAAAACTAACTAAATCACCACCATACATATAAGGTTTGTTGTAACCAACACAGATTATTTGAAAAGGTGAACCGATGATGGTGATAATTAGGTGAATTCATACTAACAATAATCATTAAATATTAAAAGTATAATTTATTTTACAAAATTGCCCATGCAAGGCCAGGCGCGGTGGCTCATGCTTGTGATCTCAGCACTTTGGGAGGCCGAGGCGGGCAGATCACAAGATCAAGAGATCAAGAGCATTCCGGCCAACATGGTGAAACCCCATCTCTACTAAAAATACAAAAAAAAAAAAAAATTAGCTGAGCGTGGTGGCACGTGCCTATAACCCTAGCTACTCAGGAGGCTGAGGCAGGAGAATCGCTTGCACCCAGGAGGCAGAGGTTGCAGTGAGCTCAGATTGCGCCATTGCACTCCAGCCTGGGTGACAAGAGTGAAACTCCATCTCAAAAACAAACAAACAAAATGTCCATGAACTGAAAAGACCATAATGAGGGCAGAAAGCCTGAATCAAGTACTACAGAAAGTTGAAAATGAGCGATTTTGAGGAACACAGCATGCTGTCTGCATGAGTGTGGCAGAGGAACCCGCTGACTCCAGTGCTGGCTGAGGTGGGCCCCCTGACACGTTAGTCAGGGCAGCTGACTCCCTGGCACCTGTGACCACAGGGCGCATGACTGAAGACCGAGAGCCTCCTTGTGCTTGTGGTGGTGTCTCCTCTGCCAGCAGTCAATGAATAAACTCCCTGGGGACAGAGGCCAGACCATGGAGCCCTCCAGGAAGCTTACTGTCATGTGGGGCCTGAAGTGAGTGCACGTCAAATAATAATCTCTACAAAACGTTAGCACTATTGGAAAGATCCCACTCTTATCAAGAAGCAAGGCCAAAATAATAAGAGATGCTGAGGAAGTAGGGGAGGTGGAAGAGGAGGAAACGAAGGACAGGGAAAAAGAAGAGGAAGGGAAAGAAAACAGAAGGAAGAAAAGAGGAAAGGAAGGAAAAACGGAAGAGAAACAGCATATTATATGCGAATGTCTGCTAGCGTTCCATTTGAACACACCTGCTAAGCAATTTTTAGAATCCTTCAGTGTCCACCTCAGAACCTTCCAGATCATCCTCATCTCATATGATCCACCCTTGGCCTGCAGCAGTGATTGTCTGTGTGACCCACACATGTCTGTGTTGATTATAATTAACTTAATAACCACTTTATTTTTAACAAATTTATTGAGGCATAATTTACATACCATAAAATTCACTCAAAATTACTTTAAAGAATGCATCATGAACAACGAGAAAAGAATGTCTGCAAAGTTCTTTGGGGACCTGCAATTAAAGCATGCACTGAATTGCACCTGCCCTGAGAAGTGGCTGCCATGGACTGGACCCTTTGATCCGCTTTTTAAGAAAGAGCCAAGGGCATGTGGATTCCAGGGGGCAGGTGCGACCGCATGTGCTCAGGTTCCTGGACATTCTTGCAGTACACAGAGCAGCCCCACTTCATCGCACATATTATTTCTCTGAACACTGCTAGAAAGGATTGTGGGCTATAATTAGAATGATGCCCCACAGGATTACATTCACAAATGTAATTACATAATCATTTAGAGCTGACTGGCACAGGAAACGACATTGCTTCCTAAGTGTGGAGTGAGGGGAGGTGCTGGGCACCTCTGGTGGAGCTGGGCATTCTGAGACTCCTTTCTCATGCCAGCTGAGCCCAGAAACAGTTGGAGATGAGTCCAAAGATCCGTAATTCTTCACTGGATTTGTCTTGGTCATCAGTCTGTATCCCAGGGTCCCAGGTTTGGGGTTACACACAGTGCAAAACTACCCACTAGTGGCCGGGCACAGTAGCTCATGCCTATAATCCCAGCACTTTGGGAGGCCGAGGCAGGCAGATCACCTGGGGTCAGGAGTTCTAGACCAGCCTGCCCAACATGGAGAAACCCTGTCTCTACTAAAAATAGAAAAATTAGCCAGGCATGGTGGCACACACCGATAATCCCAGCTACTCAGGAGGCTGAGGCAGGAGAATCACTTGAACCCAGGAGGCAGAGGTTTCAGTGAGCTGAGATCGAGCCACTGCACTCCAGCCTGGGCAACAGAGTGAGACTCAGTCTCAGAAAAAAAAAAAAAAAAAAGTACCCACCAGTAACGGTTGCACCTTGAGTTGTTGTTTCAAAAATTTCCAGCAAAAAGCTCATCTCTGGTAAAACAAAAACTGATTGGATCCAGAGATGAACTCTGGGGAACTCTCCTAGTTACCATACTAGAATCCATGGCCAGAGAGGAGGCTGTTTTCTCTACATGCAACATATGTGGAAGCATGATCTACGATCGCCTTGACTCCGCCTCTGCATGCAATGACTCAGCTCCCCAGCCCAATGCAAGCCCTGCTTTCTCCAGTGTTTAGAAAAGCACTGCTCTGGGAACGATCCCCGGTGTTGTGAGTAATAAAAGCCAACATGGTTGTGGTCATTGCACTGCCGACCACCAAGCCATCAAACCCACCCATGGTGTGGGTGACAAGTCCACCACAGAATTTCATGGATGATGTGGAAACTTCCCAAGACGCCCCAAACTGGACTTCTCCCCTGGCTCCTGTTAAACGCACCAGGAAAGTGACAACGGGCTTGGCATCCATCTGTTCTTCTTGTTTGTTTGATAGAAATCCTGTCTGTGGCACATATGTGATTGCAAGCACAGAGTGCCGGCCACATTAGAAAAGTGCATAGTGTCTGTTGTCTTACTCTCCTGAAGCCTGGGCGGCACTCAGTCCTTTGGAGTTTCTCCAGCGTTGTCTAGCTGCAGGTACTGAGTCCGTCCTATTTCACACAGAGATCAACGTGGCGACACACGCCTGGGCTTCCTGACACATCCTGATCTTGCATCACTTCATTCTCTCTGATGGCAGTGATTTTGTTCAGTATGCCCCACTTTCCACAATTTTCTAAGATCTTCCATATATTTGCATGCATGACTGAGAAGAAAATATCTTTTGTTGGTCCAAGTGTCCTAAATTTGGGTCCAAAAAAAAAAGTGGTAGCTGTATAAGTAGACCACATCTTTTGAAAACCATGATGATAAATCACATTAATTTGGACCCCATTAATCTGGACTATGTGCTAATCCCATAGGCCTAAGAGGAAGCTTAGCTTAGAAGAAAGGGTTTGCTTTCTAAGCAAAGAAAGATGCAAACAAGCCACAGCAAGCGTAACCTACTTAGAAGCAGATGCTGTCCTTAAAGAAAAAGGTGTGCAATAAGCTACACTGCCTGTGAGTCCTAAACCCCAGCTCATCCTCCACCTTCGCCATCAGCCAGCCTACCTACAGTGTCCTATGAAACTCGAGTCCCTCACCCATTCCAAGCAACCACAGCACTTCCTCCAAAACTGGCATCAGAAGTGGAAATGCTCCTGGAGGCTCCCTGGTCCTGTAGCCTCCTTGGGGAAACTGAAGCCCAGAGAGGGGACGGAGCCAGTCCAGAGTCACACATCCAGCAGGTCAGCCTGGTGATTAGAGCTCAAGTTTTGACTCCTCCAGACTGAGTTTTTAAACTCAGCCTGGACTCTTACTTGGGGATGTTAGACAAATTCCTTGACCCCATCGAGTCACCATGTGCTCATGTATGCACCGCAGAGGGAGGCAGGAGCCTCCCTTCCCACTGAGGTCTGGGTAAGACTGGCCTGAGCTCCAACTCTGTACTCTGTGTAAGTCCAAGGCCCTCCCCAAGATCACTGCAAATCCTTGTGCTCATCCCTGTCCCAGAATCCTGCTTCCCTGACACTGTCTCTGTTCCTCACCACGTTGACTCAAATGAGAACACCCAGCCCCATCCTCAACATGCACACACAACTGTTTGTTTGTTTGTTTGTCTGTAGATGGAGTCTTGCTATGTTGCCCAGGCTGGAGTGCAGTGGTGTGATCTCAGCTCACTGAAGCCTCCACCTCCTGGGTTCAAGCCATTTTCCTGCCTCAGCCTCCCAAGTAGCTGGGATTACAGGTAACCATCAGCATGCCCAGCTAATTTTTGTATTTTTTAGTAGAGACAGGGTTTCACCATGTTGGCCAGGTGGGTCTCTAACTCCTGACCTCAGGTGATCCACCTGCCTCGGCCTCCCAAAGTGCTGGGATTACAGTAGGCGCAAGCCACCGCTCCTGGCCGCACACACAACTTTCTAAGTGTTGCAGGCTTTGTTGAAGGGAGTAGACTTGGGTTGTGTCCTTAGCAGGACAGAAAGAGGGCCAGGGTTTTGTACTCCTTTGTCACTCAGCTGTGAGCTATGGGGAGCAGGGGGTGTAGTGAGAACAAAGTGATTCTGGGGTGTGTTCATCCACTTTGTGTTGCTATAAAGGAATACCCAAGGCTGGGGAACTTATAAAGAGAAGAGGTTTGTTTGACTCATGGTGCTGCAGGCTATATAATAAGCATGGCACCAGCATCTGCTTCTGGTGAAGCCTCAGGAAGCTTCCACTCACGGTGGGAGAAGAGGGAACAGATGTGTCCTGTGGTGAGACAGGGAGCAAGAGAGAAAGGAGGAGGTGCCAGGCTCTTTTTCTAACCATCAGATGTCCTGGTAACTAACAGAGCGAGAACTCACTCATCACCAAGGGGACAGCACCAAGCCGTTCATGGGGGATCCACTCCTATGAAACACCTCCCCCCAGGCTCCACCTCCAGCATTGGGGATCACAGTTCAAAATGAGACTTGGAGGGGACAGACATCCAAACTATATGAAGGGCAACAGCCAACACACAGCAGCCAGGGCAGGGAGCAGCAGCTCAGGAACTGGGGCTAATCTGGGCACCACCAGTACCTGCCGCAGGGGAGGAGGTGGAGATGGGGCTCTCTAGCTCTCATTGCAAAGACACACTTAGCATCAGGCACCACTGTTCTTAAAACAGCCTTGGCCTGCACTCTCACCCACATCCACACCACCCTCACACCCTCTTGCCCCTTTCCTCAATCCTCTGCCTCTCTTTCTCTCGTCTCCCTCCCTCTAGAGAACAACAACAAAAAAAAAACTCATTTTCTTCTGCAGAACAATTTAATCATTCTTTAATTCCTCTGTTGCTGAGCTGCTGCCAACACCCTCAATGTGGCGACCCCCATCCCAGGTTGCCAGTTTTAGAGCTGAAAGTCCCCCATCCCAGGAAAACCCTCAGTCCCAAGCAAACTGGAACAACTGGCCACTCTCCAAACTGCTCTTCCAGCAGCCACGGTGGCTCTCCAGGCTCCCTCCCAAATGGACAGTAAGTAGGAACTGGCTAAGACAGCTAATCATCTTTTCTTTTTAATCATGAATGGGTGTTAAATTGCATCGAATGCTACTTCAGCCTCTATTTGGAGTCACATGGTTTAATCTACCAATGGAGTAAATTACATTAGTAGATTTCCTAATGCCATTCCTTTGTTGCTGGAATAAGTCACACTGGAACACGCTGTATGTATTTTTCTTGTGATCACATTCTTGATTTGATAGACTAATATTTTATCAGTAATGTTTGTTCCTAAATTGAGTTTCATTCACCGTAGTCTTTGGCCGCTTTTCTCTGATGTTGGTGCCTGGAACAGACGTGCCTTTTAAAATGAGTGTGAGAGCACTCCCACTTTTTCACACCTATTTCCTTCCTGCCTGGTCTGGGGGCATGAGTGACAAATGAAAGAAGAAAGGCATCAAAAGACATAATATAGGACATTTGTTTCAAGGTGAAGGACTTTATGTTTATATCCAAAAGGCACAACATGTTCAAGAAAAATTTATTGGAAATGACGAGCATCAGGAAATACAATGGTTAAAGAAAGAAAATAATTCTTCATGCACTCACAGAGGAAAAAGAAGAATTTTCGGGGGAAGGGAGGACTCATAAAATCATGCTGGATTCAGATTCTTCCTCGGCAAGTTTCATCCAGAGGGTAACGGAGCAACATCCACAAATCACAGTGAAAATAGGAACCCGTAATGCTGTGGTCATCTGACTTGTCATTGGAGCCAAAAAGCCACAGGCAAACATTCTCAAAGAGCCTGGAAGAACTCAGGGAGTGCCGCAGCCATGTGCGTGTCTTTAAAATCTCTGTGATAGTTACATCCGGGCAAAGTGAATCACAAGGAAAAGGAAACTGGATATTGGGGTTGGGGGAGGGAAGATGCAGGGAAAGAAAGGGAGGGGGAGGGAATCCTCACACTAGTGCAAAACCCATGGAAAGGCAGCTTTAAAGGGAAAACCAAATATGCTTCAAGTTGTCCTTAAAATATAAAAATCAAGAGACAGGCATTCTCTAGCATGAAGGACACAGGCAACACAGAACCCATGATGCTTGAAAAGAAAGAAAAACCATTTCACAATAAAATAGAGCCTCAACATAGAGGAAAAAGCCTTGGAATGGAAAAGTCATGAAAAAAATGATGAGAACTGAATGCAACAAAATGTAGAATTAAAAGAAACTCTGCAGAAGAGAATCCAAACATTATAAATATAGACAAGGTAAAAAGACTAGTGAACAAAAATTAGTAGGGGACCTTCAGGAAAAAAAAAAACAAAAAACTCCTAATTTCCTCACCTTTCAACAGCACAGAGCCCGTTGAAATTGTCTAGAATGGAAACATCCTTTAAATAAAATGACTCCCAGCTTATTTTTTCCATAACCTTTTTTCCCTCAATCTTCAGAACTCTTTTAAGAACGATGGTTTTTTGAGGCAAAGAAACATTGCTCTGAAATTCAACCATTGTCTCAGTTTCACTTCAGATATTTCATTGCTGCTATTAACTAAGAAAAATTCAACCATTTTATTTTAAAGGAGTATGTGGGCCAGGCACAGTGGCTCCTGCCTGTAATTCCAGTATTTTGGGAGGCTGAGGCAGGAGGATCTCTTGAGGCCAGAAGTTAGAGACCAGCCTGGGCAACATAGCAAGACACCCATCTCTATTTTAAAACTTTATAAAACTTAGCCAGACATGGAGGTGCATGCCTGTAGTCCCAGCTACTCAGGAGGCTGGGGTAGGAGGATCGCTTGAGCCCAGGAGTTTGGGGCTGCAGGGAGCCATAATCACACCACTGCACTCCAGCCTGAGTGACAGAGACCCTGTCTCTAAGAAATAAAATTAAATTGAAATTGTTCCACTTTATCACACTGCTCCTATTCATGTATCTGATATATTCCTAGAGAGACATCTGGAACGACCACTAGTTAATTTTAACAATTATTTCTGGATAGTGAGATGTTGAATTGTGTATAATTATTCTTTTTTCTTTTATTTTTGCTTCTCTTTCACTTGAATCATTTATGAACATGTAATATTTTTGTAGAAGTAATAAAGGCATTATTTTTAAGGGAGAGAAAGGAAGGGAGGGAGGGATGGAGGAAGGGAAGAAGGAAGGAAGGAATGAAGGAAGGAAGGAAAGAAAAGGGGAAGAAAGGAAGGAAGGAGGGAGGAAAGAAGGAAAAGGAAGGAAGGAGGGAAAGAAGGAAAGAAAGAAGGAAGGGAGGGAGGGGTGGGGAGGGAGGAAGGTAAGTAAGGAAGGGATGGGGAGGGAGGGGAGGAAAGAAGGGAAGGAGGGAGGCAGGGAAGAAGGGTAGGAAGGGGTGGGGAGGGAGGGAGAGAAAGAAAGGGTGGGGAGGGAGAGCGGGAAGGAAAGAAGGGGTGGGGAAGGAGGGAAGGAAGGAAGGGGTGGGCAGGGAGGGGGGGAAGGAAGGAACGGGTGGTAAGGAGGGAAGAAGGGAAGAAGGGAAGGAAAGGGTGGGAACGGAGGGAGAGAAGGAAGGAAGGGGTGAGGAGGGAGGGAGAAATGGAGGGAAGGAAGGAAGGGGTGGGGAGGGAGGGAAAGAAGAAGGAAAGGAAGGGGTGAGGAGGGAGGGAAAGAAGAAGGAAAGGAAGGGGTGAGGAGGGAGGGAGGGAGGGAAGGAAGGAAGGAAGTGCGCCAAAGCTCTTAGGCCTGAATGTCCAACTCTCTTATCTGCCTTCACAAGGCCCAAGCCCCTCTCATCAGTGGCCACCTTCCTAGACACCCACATCCCTGCAGCAGTGTGGTGACGCCAGCCAGGGGCTGCTCTGACTCTGACTCTCTGAGGCGCCTCAGGAGGTGGGGGGATATTTGACACAACAGACTCCTTATCAGGCTATGATTTTGCCTGAAAAGGGTTCAGCTTTTGTCTCCCCTTTTCTCTTCCATAGCCCTGGATTCACTTCAGAAATCAACACAGGAATTGACAGGAGTCAATGGGCCATCCCTGAGGTCACAGTGGTCAGAGCCCTGGGCTGGGGGTCAGAAGACCAGGCTTTCCCTGGCCTCACTGCGCGACCCTGGGCAAGTCTCCCCCAGTCTCTGGGACTCTGTTTTCCCCTATTGAATAAGAGGGCCTGCGGCTCTGAGGTTCCAGCATGCAGTGAACTCTCATTAGCAATGGTAAATTAAGAATAGGCATATGGGCCGGGCATGCTGGCTCACACCTATAATCCCAACAATTTGGGAGGCTGAGGCAGGTGGATCACCTAAGGTCAGGAGTTCAAGTCCAGCCTGGCCAACATGGTGAAACCCCATCTCTACTAAAAATACAAAAATTATCCGGGCTTGGTGGCACACACCTGTAATCCCAGCTACTTGGGAGTCTGAGGCAGGAGAATCGCTTGAATCCAGGAGGTGGAGGTTGTAGTGAGCCGAGATTGCGCTATAGCATTCCAGACTGGGTGACAGAGCGAGACTCCATATCAAAAAAAAAAAAATGGCACATGGTACTGGGCTGGACGGTAGAGGCTTCCACCCGAGGCCCAGGCACACCCCCCGTGTCAGACCCCATTATTGGCTGCTGGTTGATGAAGTGTAGATGAGCTCAGGTGGGTTCAGAAACTTGCCCAAGGGCATCCAGCTAGTAGTCGAGTCAGAAACAGGATCTCAGCCCCATCCTGTCTCGCCCTAAAGTCTTATTTTCAGTTGCTACTCCCTCAGTTGCCCCTCCCTGCAGCACCCCTGTCCCTGAGCCGAGTTTGAGCAATGGCACAGGGGTAGGCCTCTGCTGCTGGCCTAGTTCCATGCCCTGGGACAGAGGGGAGAGACAGGCTCAGTCCCTCCCCAGGGCCAAGCAGCTTGCTGCCGCCCAGGAGGCACTGGTAGAGGTGGCCAGTCCAGGGTATGGGAGGAGAGGGCTGCTGAGGCAAGGCTGGCCTCCTGCTGAAGGCTGGGGCTCTCCTGGAGGGGTGGGCAGGACTGGAGGGACCAGATGTGGTCAAATGAGAGCAGTGGAGGGACTAGGCACAACCTTCTGGGAAGGAGGCAGCTTGGGGCCTCCTCCCCAGAGCTTCTTCAGCACCAGGGTGCCTCTCAGAGCTGAGGAAGGCCTGAAGTGCAGGTCCCAGCATGGAACTGGGATAGTGGCAAGTGAGAGGAGCTGCAGCCAGGACAGTGCTGGGCAGGACCGACGTGAGGAGGGCCCGGAGAGCTGCCCCATCACTCATGGGTCCAGGCAGGGCCCAGACACACCCCTGTCCAGGAGGCTGTGGAGGGGATGCCTGCCAGTGGGGACGGTGGGCTCCATCACCCCTGCAGAGAACACATGGTCTTTCTACTGCCCAGATCTGCCACCTCCCAAAACGACACCTTGCTATTCCTTGGGCTCAGCATGCTTCACCACCCTCAAGTCGCTGTGGTTCTGAGAGATGCATGACCCCAATCTGGCCAGTTAGGACGCCCCAGTCCCCTGGCCACTGCCAGGGGTTCGGGTATAGAAACATGACTTGACTTGGTTGAGGCCACTCATTCTAAGACTTTTGCCAGAATCACTAGGGAAGGGAGAATCTCTGGATTAAACCCAAACAGCAAAGTAGACAGACACATAGACAGGGAGAGAGACACACACACACACACACACACACACACACACACACACAGAGAGAGAGAGAGAGAGAGAGAGAGAGAGAGAGAGAGCCAGCCCCTGGATCAAGCCATGCCTGAAGCCTGACCTTTTGTTGACTGAGTCGATAAATCGCCATCTTTGCTTTATAAGTATATGATATGTTTCTTTTTCAGCTATAACTGCAAGCATCCCAATAAAGCAGGTTCCTGAGGCCCTTCCAGTTGGGATTTGGCAACTTCTCTATCCTATAAATAATTCCCTGCTAGGCGTACTACTGTTTCTGATTGATCTCACCTGCTCAATTCTCAAGGCTAATTATGAAGTAAAGCAGTCAACACGTGGCAAAAGTCCCTGAGCCGACACCTGGGGGAACAAAATGCTACCATGTACTGGCTGCACATGACCGAAACACATGCCCCCATCCAGTCACCAGGCTCACCCTTCAAAAAAGCCACCTCTGGCAAGGTGACAGAGGCCACCCTCTTTGCCCCTGGGCCTACTTCTGCTTCAAAAGACCTCGAGGGAAGGGTCTCAACTCTCCCACTAATTGCTAGGAAGGAAAATTCTGGGGTGGAAAGCAGGAGGGGTCGGGCCAAGCAACACTTTGCAGAGGACATTGGTCAAGGCCCAGGCTGACTTTCCCAGGGGAGCAGGTGCTAAGGGGCTACTGTGTGTGGTTGGCACCAAAGCCTGCTGTTTGCAGACAGTGAGTTGGAGGAAGCTTGAGGCTCCCAAAAGCCCAAGCAAATGGGGTGAATGCAAGGGTGAGAGGCACCCACCCGCACCTGCACACATGAGCCTGCTGAGTCCCCACTGGAATTCCCTGCTTCCCATGCATGTCATGGGGACCTGGCTCCCCAGCCAATTGTGAGCTCGGGGTGAAGAGCTGAATGTGGCCTATCTCTGAACACCCTCAGCCCAGATCCCCGCCTGGCTGGGTGTTCAAAACCGAACGAACAAATGAACGAGTGAATGAATGAAGCACCTTCCACGTGCCTGGCACCATTCAGGGCTCTGGGGCTTACAGGAGCTGAAGGCAGGCAAGGGCTCTGCCTGGGTGCTCACCTTCTCTCAGAGCATACCTCTCAGCGGGGGAAGGTGGCCATCTAGACAAGGGCCGGGCACTGGTGACAGCAGGCTGCCTTGGGCCACCCCTGCCAGTTAGGACTGGCTGACCTTCTAACTAGCACTAAATGTCTCCTGTCCAAGCTGATTTCTTCAAGTGTCTGCCCCAGGCATGGCATTTCAAACTTCCCTGAGCAGAATGACACAGAAAAGCACGGTGAAGTCTTGGGGGATGAGAAGCCCGTGGGAGGAGGCAGCCCTTGTGATTCCTGAGTTCATGCAGAGATTGGACCCAACGTGGTCCCCCAGCTGTCCTGTGCTATAATGGGCTTTCCCATAGAGTCCTCATGGGCAGCTCAGTGTCACAAACCATTTTGCTGGAATCTAGAACCTGTTGCTAAGGCCAGGCCTGGGTGTGACCTCAGGGGGCTGAGGACTGGTGGTCCTACACAAATAAGCTCCCTCTTCCCCAGCTACCAGCCCTGAAGCTCTGTGAGGTCAGAACAGCAGGTCCTGCGGGATCCCTTCTGCAGGGCCATGGCATCCCCTTTGTTTTTATATTTGCATGTAAAGAAGGCCACTCAGGTGCTCAAGGTCAAATAAGCCCAGGTGACTTTCCATGCTAGCCAACTCCTTCCTTACAAAGCAGTTGAGTTCTACATCCAGGCACCGGTGACCCTCCCACCATCTCACTGATCTCGAGATGCAGGGAAGAAATGGATCAAGCTCCCCCTTCACCAATGGAGAAACTGAGGCCCAAAGAGGGGAGATGATCTGCCCAAGGTCATGAAGAGATGGCAGCAGGGCCAGCACCAGAGCTGCCACTCCTGCGGGCTCCTGGCTCAGTGCTTTTCCCACTGTGCCATGATGTGAAGCTGGTAGTCCTTTTTCTCTCCTACTGAAGGAACTAAAACACAGCCAAACTGTCAAAAATATCAGGAGCAAGATGACCACACTCCAAAGAAGCAACAGTTTAATGATTCTCCACAACGCCCTAACTGCTTGAAAGATAGTGCATTCTTCAAAACTGCCCCATGCCGAACAGCCTACCAAATAGCTTCCAAAGTTGCAGATCAAATCATTGCTGATATTTTGAGGAGCTCCGTGTCAATAGCTGATGTTAATATTTTCTGAGAGACGGCATTGTGGAACAAATGCAAAACCAATGCCATCTGTCTCCAGGAAACAGCTCGAGATTCCAGACATCGGAGAGGCCTGACACAACCAGGTTCCGGCACGAGAACCCCCACAGAGGTGGAGCAAGATGGGAAACAAAGAGATCCATTTCTGGTCCAGAGGAATCCTCCCCTGGTTCTTAGAAGACAAAATTAGTGAGATCTCTGAATGATTCTTCCTCTTTAAAACGCTGAGCCCAAATGCGTGTTTGTGATATCATCATCACATTTGGCAGCAGGTTGGCGTGTGGTCAGATAGCAGGAGGGACTTCCTCAGTAAGAGATACAGAGATCTGCAAGAGACCGGCCACTGAGGCTGGTTACCATGAATGCCCGTTCTCCCAGGACCAATTGCCTGAATAAGACAGCCTCCAAAGGCGCCTGGAGGCCGAGGACTCTTAGAAGACTGGGTCAGCTGGTATACCCATCAGAAGCCGGCTCTGGGAACTTACACAGAGGGGATTTTCAGGAAGGATACTGAGGCCTCACAGACTCACTATGCAGGGAGCAACTTGGGCTTGGGAAATGGTCCATGGCAGCTCCTGAAGTCCAGGCCTTCAGATGCACTGTGACCACTGAGTCAGCCCTCAGAAGACTCCCCAGGAAGCGTGCAGCAGAGCCCCAGGGTGGCCCGTTCAGGAGGGCATCCCTGCGGGGATGACAGCACTCAGCAAACTGCCTCCCCGCAGATACAGCCACTCCAGCTCCGGAGTTCCTGAAGACCTCAGAGGCTCTTAAATGGCGAGCATCCTTGGCTACCCAGCACGGAGGCTACTTGTGTACATCTTGTTTCTATGGTAACCCCATTCCCCAAACCCTAAGCAGGACATAAGGTTAGATGAGACAGACACATGTGCATGGGGAGCAAGGAGCAGGTTTTAAGCCTGGAGAACTCGGGTGCCCAGGGTGGCTCTGGCACTATCTCTCTGCGGTGGACCGTCCCAGTACACCCGGGCAGCTCTGTGCTCCCAGCTGCCCTGAGCATCAGTGTCATGGGCTGAACCAACACACAGGGCAGCCCCAGCCCTCCCTGCTCCAACCTCTGCCGGAGTCAGGGCTCTCCAAGACAGTGCAGCTGGGCACCATGGTGGTGACCGGACGCCAACAGCTCACCGCCACCCCGTTCCCTCGGATGGACCCATGTGCCTCGTGCAGTGGAAGGGGCTGGCTCTTGTCCTTTTCATTCTCTCATCAGCCTGGTTCCCCTGAGGACTGCCTCAGTCTCTTGATTGGATTGGGGACTGCCTTAGCATGCTCTGGTGACAAGTGACATTCGTCGAGTGGTGGGACTGGAACAGATATGCCACAGAACAGACGATGGGGCTGCTGCCATCGGTCACCAGGATTACAAGGAGCGGGGGCCTTGGAGGCTGGACGAATCTGTCTTAATGTAGGAATGACAGTCAGGACCCTTGGTGACAAGTGACAGAAACACAGCCTGAGCCAGATCAGGGAAGAGGGAGGGCTTGTAGGTTTACAGGCCAAACCTCAGGAAAGGCTGGCATGCTGCGGACAGCTGGGATCACCAGGATAGTCTCCATCTCTCATCCGCCTTTCCCAGGATCAGCACCACGCTTGCAGACCTGTCCCCTCTGAAGAGCTTGGCTGTGGCAGCCACAGGTCCCAGCTCACAAGCTCCCAGCCTCCCTAGGGTGATGAAGGCTGGGGCAAGGCCTTTTCTCAGCCCCCAGTTGAAAACTCCTGCTGAGGTGCTGGCTTGGAGCTTGGGGCATGTGCCCTTCCTTGGGTGCCAGCCCCATCCTTGCCCCCAGGACCTGGATGGTGAGTAAGGGAAGATGTCCCCCCCAAGAGGAAGGATGCTGCTGGTGCCAACAAGAAGACAGCACTCAGCAAAGTGCATGATGCCCACTTCAGGGCCATGGCCTCAGAGCATCTCCGTGTCAGCTCTTTTTTTTTTTTTTTGAGAGAGAGTCTCGCTCTGTCGCTCGTGCTGGAGTGCAATGGTATGGTCTTGGCTCACTGCAACCTCCGTCTCCTGGGTTCAAGCAATTCTCCTGCCTCAGCCTCCCAAGTAGCTGGGATTACAGGTGGCCACCACCAAGCCCGGCTAATTTTTTTATTTTTTAGTAGAGATGGGGTTTCACCATGTTGTCCAGGCTGGTGTCGAACTCCAGGCCTCAGGTGATCCACCTGCCTCGGCCTCCCGAAGTGCTGGGATTACAGGCATAAGCCACCATGCCCAGCCCTGGGCTCTTCTTACTGGCAAGAACAGACCCTGAGTGTGGACCCTGCACAGGCTTTAGCATCTGGACGGGACTGTGAGTCTGTTTTATGTTGCCAGAGAGGAATGTCTGAGGCTGGAGAATTTATGAAGAAAAGAAGTTGATTTGGCTCACGGTTCTGCAGGCTGTCCAGGAAGCATGGCGCTGGCATCTGCTTCTGGGGAGGCCTCAAGAAGTTTCCAATCATAGGGAAAAGTGATGGAGGTGCCAGCATGTCACATGGTGGGAAAGGCGGGGAGGGGCCAGGCTCCTTTAAACAACCAGCTCTCAAGCGAGGTAACAGGGCGAGAACTCCCTCGTTACCTCCAGGATGGCCCAAGCCATTCCTGAGGGATCTGCCCCCGGACCCAACACCTCCCACCAGGCCCCACCTCCAACACTGAGGGTCACATTTCAACATGAGATTTGGCGGGGACGCACACACAAACCATCTCAGGGTGTTTTCCTGGCTTCATCCCGAACTGCACTGATGTGCAGTGGAAAGAAAGTGGGGGCAAAGGTGCCCCTCCCCAGAAAGATGTGCCCTGAGCAGGGCCCTCAACCCCTCAGCCTCAGAGAAGCACACACTCATCCACTGAGCATGCCAGGAGCCCCCATGAGTGGGGTCGGAGGGAGAAGCCGGCAGGTGATGTACCCTTCAAGTCACTGGGCAGTGCCCAGACCCAGGCACCCTACCACGCCCACAGAGCAGCAGCCAGACCTCCCGACCCCACCAGATGCCCCCCATCCTCTCGGCCTCTCCAACCCCCTACCCGGCTGTAAGCTCAGTCCTTTCATGAATGGAATAGGAAGTGAGACAGGGGAGAAAGGACACGGGAGGTGGTGGCGAGCAGGTCACTGGTGGGCAATGGGGGTTTGAGCCTGCAAGACACCCCTGGCAACTGCGCAGGACACATCTCAGAGCTGGGCCACATAAGACGGGAGGAAGCTGCGGCATTTATCCATCCACTCCATTCATCCGTCACTGGCTGGAGCCACTCCTGGGATGCCGATGCCCACACGCCTCCGTGGCTATAGGGAGCCCACAGGCTGAGTCACAGGAACCGAGGGTAAGGTGGCTGGTGTGCAGGGTGGCCGTGCGTGTCCAGGAGGTACAGGGGGCATGCCAACAGCATCCACTGTGTCTCCAGGCAGGCACTTCTGCAGGGCTGAGACAAGCCCCAGTGACAGGGAGGGGGCAGGCATCCCAGCAGGGCTCAGTCCCAGAGAGAAACTTGGGCCTCATTCAAAAATGACCAACAGTCAGCAAGGGTATTGGGGTGCTGCATTTCCTGCAGCCACCATGAGCCTGGGAAGCTGACTGCCCAAGTGGCCTGCCCGGAAGGCGCACTTGCCCCAGAATAGAACTCTCTCCACCACCATGTCCGTACACACTACAGGGTGGGGACACAGACACAATCCACCCTGTTACATCAAGTCAGATAACTCTCTTGCCTGCATCATAATTAACTTTACTTTCTTCAAAGGAACACATTAAGGCAAAATGTTGGGGATCTTTTAAAACAAAGCCATTTTCCTCACTAGGATTATTTTTGATGAGCTAAGTGGTGTTAGTTTTTAAATTGCAATCGAGAGAGAAAGCACGCATGCACAGAGCCATCGACAATTTTCATTTCCAACAATTGCAGTTGTGAATCCTGCTACCAATGCTGCTAATAGCTTCCGTGGTGGTTTATACTGATTTGCCTAAGAGCCAAACCCCAGGCTTCTGTCTTGAAGAATCAAAGGGTGACTCGGGCCAATTAGTGCACATCTTGAACCACACCTTCTCTGGAAAGAAAGCATTCTTGGCAGTACCCACTTATCAGAATCGTGGGGTGTTCTGGAGCCCCTGATGGGAAATGGAGTGGTTTAGAGGAAGAGGTTAAATTTGACCTGTTGGATCGTGACCTCAGTGGAGCATTGGGGGACCCAGTCATTGACTCTCCACCCTCAAGAATACAAAATGCTCCAACATGGAACGTTCCAGTGGACGGCGGCAACCGGCATGCTATGGGCTCCTTTAAAAATAAGCCCCATTGTTCCCCAACCGCCTATTAATAGCTTGAAAAGACATCTGTTCCTAATTTGGTCTTCTCAAACCAAGAAATCTTCCCTTCACTTTCCTCCAGGGCTAGGATGAAATCAATCAAGCTACAAAATTTATTAAGCACCAGACACATTCTGTCCCAGACCTCAGAGCCAGCCCTGCAATGTGGCCCAAGCACTCGAAGGCCCTGGTCTGCACGGAGCATGCACCCTTCCTCCAGCTCAGATGGCACTAAAGAGCCCCCAGGGTGAGCCAGTCCCACCCAGTTCAGTGCCCCAGCTCCCTCTGCTCCGTCCCCTGGGGTCAGCTGTTCGAACAGTTTCTGACTCGAGGCATAGCTCCCTTAGATTCTGCCAGGGACGGGCAGCTCACTGTCTCTCAGATGACCCCTCTCATTCCCAAATATCTGCAGCTGCTAAACACTCCCAAACTCACCTCCCACAATCAGTCCCATCTCTCTGGGGCCACACGCAGCAGGTTGACTCTTCTGATTATGGCAAGCCTTCAGCTACTTGAGTGGAGATGTCTGCCCGTCCCCATGACTCCTCTCCAGCTTTGGTACCTGGGTAGCAGGGGGCTGTTGGGGACCCAATGCCCAGACAGGACAAGCGAGTCCAGGGACGTAAAGCCACATGGACGCCCATTCCTGGCAGCAGCTTCAGCAATCATGTATCCTCCACGCCCCCTGCACCCACTCCTGCAGTCCCAGACGCACAGCTCACCATTTTCAGGGTACACGGTGCTCGCCACACCCCGGGGCCTTTGCATGGCTCTCCCCACTTCCCAGTATGCTTTCCTCTGCTTTCTACAAAGCTGTTCCCCAACCTTGTCATCCAGTCCCCAGTAACGGTCCCTGACCTTGCTGCTCAAGTGCACCCCCAGTCACGCCCAAAGCACACCCCTCTTTCAATTCTCTACTGTCTGATTTTTCTCTTTATTCACATTTATCATCTTTCTGCCCCTCTAGAATGGAAGACCATGAATAAGCACAGGGGAAGGACTCAATAATCAGTTGTCATCTGGATAAAGAAAACAACTTTCCAGGCAGAAGAAACGGCAGCTGGAACCAAGACACCTGGAGCAGCCATGGAGCAGCGGTGGAACCCACTGGTCCTGAGCACATGCTTCGGCGTGAAAAGGACCTGTGGCCAGCTGTGGCCCTGGGCAAGCTGCTTGACCTTCCTGAGTCTCGCCTCTGCGTCTGCACAGTCAGGACTGGCACAGCGCTGGCCTCCTGATGCTGTGTGTGGTGCTGTTTGCAGAGCACTTGATAGAATGCGGGTTCAAAGCAAACCCTTCATCTATGGGCCGAGGAGGAAACCTGGCTCAGTGCACAGGCCAGCCCAAGGAGAGAGATGAGGCAGGGCTGGCCAGTGGGGATGCAGTGGCCTTCAACAGCATGTCAAGGCTTCTGCCCTGGGGACAGCACAGTGGGAGGAGCTGCCCAGCCTCATGGGCTGAAGTCAGAAGAGCCAGAAATAAACGCTACCCTCAAGGCCTAGATGGGGACCTGTCCCTGACTCTACTGTCTCCGTCTGTTCTTCCCCTGTGCACCTATAGAAGAGCCTCAGGCCCCCTGGGGGACTCAAGCTCAGGGAGGGGGCCTATGTGGGGAGCAAATCTGCAGCTGCTTCTCTCTGTGGCTCACATCCCCTAGGAGTGATAAGGGAGCAGGCCCTGCTCTCCGGCCTCAGCCTCAGCCTCAGCCTCAGTGTCCCTCCCCTCTGCCGGTACCAGCCCCCGGGTGTGAGAGAAAGCAGAGGTCTGAAGAAATGGGCTCCCAGAGGGCCCCGCCTCAACCCCACTGGCCCAAGGCCCCCTGCAGCTCCTGGGCCTGAGCCAAGGCAATTCCGTCAGTGCCAGGGTCCCCAGGACACAGCCAGGATTGTGCAGTCCGCGGCAGGCTCCCAGCCACAGCTGAGGGGACAAGGCCCAGCTGTTCCTGCAGACAAGTGGGCAGCTTTCTTCCCACATGAAAAGGGAACCTGTGTCTCTGGGGGAGGGACAGGAGGAGGGAAGAGGCCAGGGGAGGCCCAGGGATGACTGCTCAGGGTCCTGTACAGCCTGGGGTGGGCAGGTGGGGCCAGGAAGAGGGAGGCAGCCCTGGTCCTAAGCAAGCCTCCCAGCCACCAGCTCAACCCATTCTCCACCTCTGACCCCTGTGTGACCCTGGGCCAGCCCCTTCCCTAATCTGGCCTCAGGTTTCTCCATTGAAAAAAAAGAGGAGGTGAAGAATTTCCCCTTCGTCCTAGCAGAGGGACAGCTTCAAGGACGATGCTGCCTGTCTCCTTGAATGGCTGGACTCGCAGCCAGGCACGGTGGTTCATGCCTGTAATCCCAGCACTTTGGGAGGCTAAGGCTGGTGGATCACCTGAGGCCAGGAGTTCGAGACCAGCCTGGCCAACATGGCGAAACCCTGTCTCTATAAAAATATAAAAATTAGCCAGGCGTGGTGGTGGACGCCCGTATTCCCAGCTACCCAGGAGGCTGAAGCAGCAGAATCGCTTGAACCCAGGAGGCAGAGGTTGCAGTGAGCCGAGATCACGCCATTGCACTCCAGCCTGGGTGACAGAGTGAGACTCTGTCTCAAAAATAAATAAATAAATAAATAAATAAATAAATAAATAAATAAATAAAAGTTTGGACTCCCTAAGTGAGGAGGGTAGCAGGACATGGTGGAACAAGGCCAGACAGAGCCTTCAGAACTCCGTCTGATTGGAGGGTAGACCCACGCCCCAGCACGCCCTGCGCGGCCTAGGAAACAGTGTGTGTGGCCACCCACAGTGCGGGTCCCAAGACCCCGGGAAGGCATCCAAGGGGAGGCACTGGAGGCGGAGTTAGGATCAGCTCTGCCCCACTAGAGCCCAAATGCACCATCCCAGGACCCCCGGGGCCCTTCTCTGAAAACTGACAGGACAGAAACTATCTGGAGAGAGTCTCTTTTGAATGACTCCTCTTCCATGGGCCTTATCGTTAATCATACACCTTTCTTTGGAGATGAGAAATCCAGGCTGGGCACGGTGGCTCACACCAGTAATCCCAGCACTTTGGGAGGCCAAGGCAAGAGGATAGCTTGAGCCCAGGAGTTTGAGACCAGCCTGGACAACACAGTGAGATCCCTGTCTCTGCAAAAAATTAAAAAATTAGCCGGATGTGGTAGGATGCACCTGTAGTCCCAGTTACTCAGGATGCTGAGGCAGGAGGATCACCTGAGCCCAGCAAATCGAGGCTGTAGTGAGCCGTGATCATGCCACTGCACCTCCAGCCTGGGCGACAGAGCAAGACCCCAACTCTTAAAAATAGAAATTAAATTAAAATAAAAAATCCACCTATGTCTGCACCAATCTCTACCACACACCCCAGGGCAGCCCAAGGCAGGCCCTCTTCCCACTGACTTCACCCCAGGTTCCAGCAGAAGCTCCCTGCACACCAGGCCCTCCAGGGCTCAGCTGCAGAACACGTGGGACCCACAATCCCAGGAAGGTGAAGTCTGGGCCCTCCAGGAAGGGGCAGATGACATGCCAATAGGGTTGGTAGGTGAGGCTGTTTGCAGATCATTGAGCCCTTCTAGGAGAGATAGGGGATCATGTAAACTGGGTCTTATTAAATGTAGCAGCAGCTGCTATTTAATGAGTGATTTTTAATGGGAGATAAAGACCTGGATAGAGACTGCCAGGACTCTTTCTGTTTCAGAAAACTGAGCTCCAACTGGAGTGTGGAATGCAACAGGAAGGTAGTAAGGTCCACGGAATTGAGGAATGCAGGGTGCACCTCTCTCCCAGCACGGCTGCATCGCGGGAGTCAGCTCTCGGGATCTCTGCTCCGGCTTGTCCCCAAATGGTGCAGAGCCGGCTCTGGCCATCCTCACAGCCCGCCTTGCTGGGGACAAAGGAGTGCCACTTTCCTGGTGACTCTGGCCAAGCTCACCATCATGATGCACGCAGGTCCAGCCGGGACACCGTGCACCCTTGACCCTATTACTGCAGTCAGGGGCCAGAGTGTCCTGATTGGGGAGGCCTGACTCATGGTTCCCTGTCTGAGGTTGTGGGATGGGCCCAGTGAGACAGGCGAGCAGGGGCTTACCTCCACACAGAAAGCCCATGACCTCCCTGGCACACAGGTGAGCCGGCAGGCTGGTCCCCGTTCCACTCTAGGGAAGAATGAGAGCCCAGAAAATTGTCACTGCGCCTTCCTTCCTGGGAGACTGCCTTTTGTCGTGTTGATGAAGAGGTGTTTGCGAGGCCTATTCACGTTGCTGGAGAGCCATCTTTAGGACAGGTGGTGTCCATGCCGCCTCGGGGGACGTCCCTGCTCCAGGGTCACCCCACAGAGCTGTTGATGCCCCCAGCGCCCTCCGACGTGATGAAGAGCCTCCAAGAGCAGAGCGGGCCAAGCCTCAGACATGTTGTAACAGTACGTGGAAGTCATTAGCTTCCATTTTAATTTAAGAAGCCCAATTTTATAAATAAGAGCAAATTTTCCCAGGCTATTATTTCTAATTACGCATTTACATCAATTCACATTATGCGGTTGATGAAATGTTAATACCAAAGGCAATTTTCTGCTGATGGGTGGCATGGAGAGGAGTTTCTTCACATCACAAGTCAATATTTTTGGGAATAATTATCCAGTTGCTCACCAGAGTCTGCACTGACTAACCTAATGGCTGTGTCTACACAGTCCCTAACTTGAGGCGCTAAGAGGGGAAATGCTCCAATGGGGAGAGAAGGTGGAGGAGACCAAGATCACGCTGAGGGGGGACCCTGGACAGCTCTGATGTGGCCTCTCCTGGCTGGTGGGACAGGCTCAGAATCAACTGCACTGTGGACCAGCATCACGTCTTTTGATTATTTTACAAAATGGCTCTAGAACTTAGACTTTCATGTGCAAGGTGAGAATGGTGATAGTAACTTTCTTATAGGGTAAGTTAATATATGTATGCCTTCATTCACTTGTTAATCTAAGAAACACTTAATTGCACACCTCCTCTCTGTCAGGTACACAGTAGGTACTCAATAAGTGATAGTGCATGGAATACTATGCAGCCATAAAAAAGAATGAAATTGTGTCCTTTGCAGCAACGTGGATGCAGCTGGAGGCTATATCCTAAGGGAATTAACACCAAAACAGAAAACCAAATACCACATATTCTCACTTACAAGTGGGAGGTAAACACCAGGTACACATGGACATGGAGATGGGATCAACAGACACTGGGATCTACAAGAGGGTGGGCAGTGTGTGTTGAAAAACCACCTATCAGGTACTATGTTCACTGTTTGGGTTAAGGGGTCATCAGAAGCCCAAACCTCAGTATCACTCAATATACCCATGTGACAAACCCGCATGTGTCCCCCAAATCTGAAATAAATTTTAAAAGAATAAAACAAATGGAAGTGATGACTCTGAGGAGGAGGAGGCACAGACATCCTGGCAGAGTGAGCCCGTGGGAACCTCCTGGGTCTGGGTGGCATCTCAGAGTTGAACGGCACCACGGCAACAGAGGCAGAGAAATCACAGACATCTGTCTGCAGATACAGCCCAAGCCCTGAAGGACACAGTCAGAAGGATGTGTCGTTCAGTGCAGGAGAGCCCCTCCAACTGCTCACAGAGCCTCTTCTATGAGGAAGCGCAGTACTAGGTGTCAGGGCATGGGAGAGGCAACAGGGGCCGGGACGAGGCTGGAGGCTGAGGCGGTGAAGAGAAATAGACAGATCTGAGAGCTGTCCCAAAGGTAACAGCCCAGATCTCAGCAATAGGCCGCAGAGGGTAGGGAGGGAAAGGCATCAGGGATCCCTCATGTTGGGCTATGTGGGTGTCAGGCCAATTACCAAGACAAAAAACAGAAGCAACTACCAGGCTCATAGTAGACCAGCCTCAAGCCCCTGCTGAGAGCCTGGCTTGCGAAGGAAAATCACCAGCTTCATATGAACACTGTGAAGTTCCCTTGTGACATCTCCATGGAAGCCCACCAAGATAAAGGACCACCTCCATCTGGAGCTAGAGAAGAGGGCACGGCACTGAGCTGTGGGGAACCCCTACACTCTGGGGTTTGACAAAGGCGGCCACCAGAAAACTTACAAGGAGACGGAGATGTGTGGCCAGAGTCACTAGAGGAAAGTAAAGAGATCTGGTCACAGAAACCCAGAGCTTCAGAAAGCAGAGCTCAGCCTAATAAGCTAGAAAGTCAAGATGAGGACTAACACGTGCACCTCGAATTTGAGAACACGCCAGCACTGAGGCACCTCAGCAGGAGCCAATTCCGGGACAGGGTGGCCTGGAAGTCCACGCAGAAGACACACTTGTCCAGGAGGCAGGGAGGCCTTGCTGTGCAGGGAAGGAAGATGGGTGGTGGCCCCTGTAGGCCTGTGCAGGAAGACCTGGGAATGGGGCAAGCCCTTTGTCCTCTCCAGCCTGGGACCCTCAAGCCCAGGAGTGAGGAGCTAAGTAGGCAGTGGCAGGGACCTCAGGGCTGGGGCTCCAGCTACTTCTTCTTGCGTCGAGCTCGGTTTCTTGTCTGTAAAAAGGAGAGGAATTCTAGGCACAGCATTGGCATGAGGGTGAAAGGAGAGCACAGAACCTGACTTGCAGAGGTGCACAGCCCTCCCAGGCAGAGCAACGCACAAACGCCTCCCTGCAGCCAGCACCACCTGCCAGATGCTTCCCTGTGACCAGCACCATCCGCGATTATTCCTGGGCTCAAATGCTCCAGTGCCAGGCACAGGTGAGAGGGTAACTTAGATACAGGACTGAAAAAAAGGCCAAATTCAGGGGTAACATCCTCACCCAAACTTGAAATAGATTAAAAACTCAGGTGAGTTTGCGAACCCATGGGGAACATAGCTCACAGGCACTTCAAGTCTCACAAGCATCCCCACAGCTGGCATGAGGGTGCCCAACTCTCCCCCGTCCTCTATCACTGTCCCCACAGGTATTTTTTTGAGACAGGGTCTCACTCTGTCATCCAGATGGAATGCAGTGGTGCAATCATAGCTCACTACAGCCTCCACCTCCCAGGCTCAAGTGATCCTCTTGTCTCAGCTTCCTGAGTAGCTGGGACCACAGGCACGCACCACCATACCCAGCTAATTTTCTGTATTTTTTGGTAGAGACAGGGTCTTGCCATGTTGCCCAAACTGGTCTCAACCCCCTGGGCTCAAGCAATCTGCCTACCTTAACCTCCCAAAGTGTTGGGATTACAGGTGTCAGCCACTGCACTTGGCCTGTCACCACAGGTTTTAATAAGGCTGAGAGGAGAGTGGGCAAGGACACACCTCAGACCCTCTGGTTGGATGCCACACCAAAGTATCCTGCCCAGGGAGCCACAGCTGGGGCTGGACAGAGGAGGCCTAGAGCCCCATGCAGGCTGAACAGAGGTGGCAAGCTGGGCCCTCACATCAGCCTGCAGACCCAGCAGCGTTTATTTTTGCAGTAGAACCAACATATAACAATTAGATTTTACATAAAAATCTGGGTTTCCAGCTTCATCTGAAACACTGGGGCAGCTGGCCACGCAGGGCTTGCTCTCCACAGGGCAGCCACAGGCCAGAGCCCAGCAGCTCCCACCCCAGGAATGCGGGAGGGCAATGTGGCTCCAGGCCCTGCCAATCCCCAGCATCTCAGGCCCGCCCCCCAACACCCCATTCCATGTCTGCCTGTCCCCTGCAGGCCCCTCCACCCATTTCCCTGCTTGTCCTCCTGCCCCTTATGGCCTACAAATCCACATGCTGGGCCCCAAGCCTCTGAGAGCTCTCGGACGCCACCTTCCAGGCAGCAGGGGAGGGAAAGAAGCCCTGGGGCTGCACGGGCAGGGGGTCCCCTCTTCTGCGGCTAGGGCAAGTCCTGGGGAGCAGGTCTTTCTGGCCACCCCAAGCCTGCCTGGCGTGGAGGGGAAGGGTCACCATCCACTCTGCCCTCAAGAGCAGCCCAGCAAGGGAAGGAGGACTGTTCTGAGAAATGAGGAAGAAAGGGAAGTCGGGCCCAGAATTGTGACCCCAGGAGGGAAAGTGTGCCCTTAGAAGAAAGCAGGATGGGGCAGGGTGTGGTGGCTCACACCTGTAATCCCAGTAATTTGGGAGGCCGAGGTGGGTGGATCACCTGAGGTCAAGAGTTTGAGACCAGCCTGGCCAACATGGTGCAACCCTGTCGCTACTAAAAATATAAAAATTAGCTGGGTATGGTGGTGCATGCCTGTAATCCCAACTACTCAGGAGGCTGAGTAAGGCAGGAGAATCGCTCGAACTCAGGAGGTGGAGGTTGCAGTGAGCCAAGATCGTGCCACTGCATGCCTGGGCGACAAAGTGAGACTCCATCTCAAAAAAAAAGAAAAAGAAAAAAAGAAAAGAAAAGAAAGCAGGAGGAGGAGGTGAGAGGAAGGATGGGAGGTGGAGGGAGGAAAAGAGAAGGAGACTGGGAATGAGGAGGAAGGAGAGTGGGGACGAGGAGAAATGAGAGGGGGAATGAGGAGGAAGGAGAGTGGGGATGAGGAGAAAGGAGAGGGGGGATGAGGAGGAAGAAGAGGGGAAATAAGGAGAACAGCGGGGATGAGGAGAAAGGAGGGGGATGAGGAGGAAGAAGAGCGAGGATGAGTTGGAAGGAGAGGGAGGATGAGGAAGGAGAGGGGGATGAGGAGGAAGGAAAGGAGGATGAGGAGGAAGGAGGGGGTGATGAGGAGCAAAGAGAGTGAGGATGAGGATGAAGGAGAGGGAGGATAAGGAGGAAGAAGATAGGGAATGAGGAGGAAGGAGAGCAAGGATGAGGAGGAAGGAGGGGAGAAAAGGAGGAAGGAAAGGGGGATGAAGAGGAAGAAGAGGGAGGGTGAGGAGGAAGGAGAAAGAGGATGAAGAGGAAGGACAGGGAGTATGAGGGCGAAGGAGGGGGGATGAGGAGGAAGTAGGGAGGATGAGTAGGACGGAGGAGGTATGAGGAAGAAGGAGATGGGGATGAGGGGGAAGGAGGGGGGATGCGGAGGAAGGGGGGATGAAAAGGAAGGAGAAGGGGGATGAGGAGGAAGGAGAGGAAGGATGAGGAGGAAGGAGAGGGAGTATAAGGAGGAAGGAGAGGGAAGATGAGGAGGAAGGAGAGGGGGATGAGGAGGAAGGTGAGGGAGTATAAGAAGGAGAGGGAAGATGAGGAGGAAGGAGAGGGGGATGAGGAGGAAGGAGAACAAGGATGAGGAGGAAGGAGGGGGGATAAGGAGGAAGGAAAGAAGGAATGAGGAGGAAGAAGAGGGGTGTAAGGAGAAAGGGGGGGATGAGGAGGAAGGAGGGGGGATCAGGAGGAAGCAGAGGGGGATGAGGAAGAAGGAGAACAAGAATGAGGAGGAAGGAAGGGGGATGAGGAGGAAGGAAAGAAGGAATGAGGAGGAAGAAGAGGGGTATAAGGAGAAAGGAGAGAGGGGATGAGGAGGAAGGAGGGGGGATCAGGAGGAAGGAGACGGGGGATAAAGAGGGAGGAGAGGGGGGATGAGGAGGCAGGAGACAGGAAATGAGGATGAAGGAGATGGGGGAGGAGGAGGAAGGAGAGAGGGATGAGGAGGAAGGAAAGGGTAATAAGAAGAAAGGAAGTCTTGGAGAAGGAGGAAGGAGAGGGGGGATGAGGAGGAAGGAGAGAGGGATGGTGAGGAAGGATAGGAAGATGAAGAGAAAGGACAGAGGGGATGAGGAAGAAGGAGAGGGAGGATGAGAAGGAAGGAGAGGGGCATGAGGAGGAAGTAGAGGAAGGATGAGGAGGAAGGAGAGGGGAGATGAGAAGGAAGGAGAGGGGGGATGAGGAGAAAGGAGAGGGGGGATAAGGAGGAAGGAGGGGGGATGAGGAGGAAGGAGAGGGGGATGAGGAGAAAGGAGAGGGGGGATGAGGAGGAAGGAGAGGGGGGATGAGGAGGAAAGAGATAGGGATGAGGAGGAAGGACACCAGGGATGAGGGGGAAGGAGTGGGGGATGAGGAGGAAGGAGAGGGGGATGAGAAGAAAGGAGACAGGGGATGAGGAGGAAGGAAAGGGGGAATAGGAGGAAGATGAACAGGGATGAGGAGAAAAAAGGGGAGATGAGGAGGAAGGAGAGCGGAGATGAGAAGGAAGAAGAAGGGGGATGAGGAGGAAGTAGAGGGGGCATGAGGAGGAAGAAGGGGGGATGAGGAGGAAGAAGAGGGGGTATAAGGAGAAAGGAGGGGTGGATGAGGAGGAAGAAGAGGGGGATGAGGAGGAAGGAGGGGGATGAGGAGGATAAGGAGGAAGGAGAGGGGTATGAGGAGGAAGGAGGGGGATGAGGAGGATAAGGAGGAAGGAGAGGGGTATGAGGAGGAAGGAGAGAGGGGATGAGGAGGAAGGAGACAGGAGATGAGGAGGAAGGAGAGGGGGATGAGGACGAAGGAGGGGGGATGAGGAGGAAGGAGGGGGGATGAGGAGGAAGGAGGGGGGATGAGGAGGAAGGAGGGGGGATGAGGAGGAAGGAGGGGAGATGAGGAGGAAGGAGAGGGGCGATGTGTAGGAAGGAGATGGGGGGATGAGGAGGAAAGAGAAGGAGGGATGAGAAAGAAGGAGGGGGGATTAGGAGGAAGGAGAGGGGCAATCAGGAGGAAGGAGACAGGGGATGAGGAAGAAGGGAGGGTATGAGGAAGAAGGAGAGGGGGATGAGGAGAAAGGAGAGGGGTGATGAGGAGGAAGGAAGGAGAGATGAGGGGGAAGGAGAGGGGGATGAGGAGGAAGGAGAGGGGTGATGAGGAGGAAGAAGAGGGAGGATAAGGAGGAAGGAGAGGTGTAATGAGGGGGAAGGAGAGGGAAGATGAGGAGGAAGGAGAGGGGGATGAAGAGGAAGGAAAGGGGGGACGTGGAGAAAGGAGAGAGGGGATGAGGAAGAAGGAGGAGGGATGAGGAGGAAGGAGAGGGGGGATGAGGAAGAAGGAGAGGGGGTATGAGGAGGAAGGAGATGGGGGGATGAGTAGTAAGGAGATGGGGGGATGAGGGGGAAGGAGGGGGGATGAGGGGGAAGGAGGGGGGATGAGGAGGAAGGAGGGGGGATGAGGGGGAAGGAGGGGGGATGAGGAGGAAGGAGGGGGGATGAGTAGGAAGGAGATGGGGGATGAGGGGGAAGGAGGGGGGATGAGGAGGAAGGAGATGGGGGATTAGGAGGAAGGAGAGGGGGGATCAGGAGGAAGGAGACAGGGGATGAGGAAGAAGGAGGGGGGGATGAGGAGGAAGGAGAGGTGTGATGAGGAGGAAGGAGAGGGAAGATGAGGAAGGAGAGGAGGATGAGGAGGAAGGAAAGGGGGATGAGGAGGAAGGAGAGGGGATGAGGAAGGAGAGGGCAGATGAAGAGGAAGGAGGGGGGATGAGTAGGAAGGGGAGGGGTTATGAGGAGGAAGAGAGGGATGAGTAGGAAGGAGATGGGGGGATGAGGAGGAAGGAGAGGGGGAATCAGGAGGAAGGAGACAGGGTATGAGGAAGAAGGAGAGGGGGACATGAGGAAGACAGAGAGTGAGGATGAGGAGGAAGGAGACGGTCTCTTCCAAGAGCAAGGTCTCCACTTTCCTGTTGCCTCACACGGACTGCCGGCCTCTTGGCTGGAACACACCTTGCTGCCTTTTCCCTACACACACACATTCTGTATACATACATACCGCCTGCACACACTCTGGGCATGTCATTATACACACTGTGTCATCTGCTCACATCAGCTGTCACTCCTCTATGCCAGCAGACATTATTTGTGTGTGTGCACGCACACACACACACACAGGGGACTCCCCATCTGCACACACGCTCTCTGTCTGCACACAATAGGCATGCCATCCACACACGGGTATACTGTCCGCATACAAGTGTGTGCACACACATACACATCCTCTCTGCATACCTGCTGTCTGTGTCCTGAGGTCACACCCCTGGGACCCCAGCACCTAGAAGAGTTAGGGGACACATAGCCATGGGAAAGGGTGGTGCTTGAGGCTGAGACCCAGGGGTGGCCAACCTCTGGGTGGCCAACCTCTGGGTCCCTCCCCAGGCCCAGAGACAGGGAGGCAGGTGTGGGGGAACTATGCCCCTACCGACCCTCCAGGCACACTCCAGGTGTGGGGGAACTCTAGCCCCTGCCAACCCTCCAGGTGCACTTGCCGCTCCCTTTCTCATCTCTCACCAGGCCTCCCCCAGCTCTGTCACTCATCCCCTGCCCCTCTGTCCCCTCAGCCTGCTCACCCTAGTATCTCTCTGCCCATCCCCCAGCCAAAAGGGCTCTGGAAGCCACGGTGTAGACCGATGGCACCACTGCAATCACACGGGACCAACCCTTCCACAGCAAAGAAGTGAGAGCTCTGAGCCCAGCAAGGCCTGGTCCTCCATCCAGGTGTGCCCCCCACCACCCACCTCCAAGCCAGCACCAGGCCTTTCACACAGCAGGCACTCCCTAGAGACTCGCCAAGCTGGATAAAACCTCTAGATACCACTTGTCTAAAGTGGCATGGGACCAGCTCAAAACTTGACAAAGAATCTTGCACCCATTATCCCCCCTCACCGGCCCCGGGTCCTGGAAGGAGCCGGACAGCGAGTGGCACTTGCTGGTGAGTACAGAGAGCCCAGCCGGAGAGAGGAGGGAAAGGGGGATTAGGGGGCACAAGCCAGTGTGGCCCGGCGCCGGGGCTCTCCCCAGACAGAGAATCTCAATCAATAGGGCTTTTTATTTTTATTTTGAAATGGAAAAATGACATTTTGCAACATTACCGTGAAAAATTAAGCTAGATCTGAAGCATCACAGATGTTTTGCAAATAAAACCAGGGCTTTCTGTGGCTGGTGATTGCTGAATTTAAACCCGCAGGTACCCTGGCCCAGCCAGCAGGCCCCGGGGGAGCAGTCTGTGTCCACCTGACCCTGCGCTTCTGGGGAAGCGTGGTCTGCCTACAGAGCCTAGGGGGACAGCAGCCACATGTACACGAGGCCAGGCAGCCCCAGCTCCCCAGGCACGGTGACCTTTTGCCAACTTCGGACCGGAACACAAATCTACCATCACTCTATATCGGCTTTGATTGGATCAAAATCCCATCGGAAAACAGGGGGAAAGGCAATAAAACCTCCAGAATTGATATTAAACCACTGACATTTCACAAACCGCGCAGCGCTGGCAGCTGCCAGTCTATCAGCAGGAGGGACTCGAAGGGGACAAGTCAGGCATGAAGGTCACGGCAGTACCACAGAGCTCCGCCCAGGCCCCACGTCAGCACCAAGGGGAGAAAGGGCCTAGATGGCCACAGCCCCCCCAGGACCACCCCATCCCTCTGCACCTGGTTGGTCCATTTGCCACATGTGCTCTCTGCAGTGGGGGAATGAACTGACCTCTGAAGCCAAAGATGATGTCAAATCCGGAGGTTGTGACTGTCCTCAAACCCCAGTACTGTGCCTACTGCAGTCCCACAGTGCAGAGGCCACCACCTAGGATGAGACCAGGACAGACCAAGGTTCCTCTGAGAGAACAGCTTGGGCCTGAGGCCCCACCAGAAGATGTGAAATGGCCTCAGCTTCCTGCAGCCCAGCACCCACTGACCCCTGCCATGTGCCAGGCAAGGTGACTAGGCAGGTACGAGGATGACCAGAGCACAGCTCCTGCCCTGGAAGGGCTCAGAGCATGCATCTTTTTTTCCAGGTAACCCCACCTGGGCAGAAGCTGGGAGTGGGCTGAAATGAGACCCTGCCAGGTCCCAGCCCCCTCCCCGAGCACACCGCCTCTCACATGGACATTGGGCCTCCCAGAGCCCATCAACTCTGGCACAGACTTGCATGCGCATAGAGCCAGCCCTGTGCTGGCCTTCGAGGGACAGTGCAAGAAGCCGTTAGCTCCCTCCAGTACTCAGGGAGACCCAGAAAGCCACTCTAGAGGTAGCGAATCCTGCCACCTCCCCCAGCCCCCAAGCCCTCAGCAGACATCGCAACATGGTACACTCTCCTGCTAAGCCCAGGTGCAGCCTCAGACTCTGGGAGCTGGCCTGAGATGAAAGCAGGTCTAGGGCCTTCCTGAAATAAGAGCTTAAAGCCAGACACGAGGGCAGTTCTTCATGTAGGGACAAAAACAAGGGCAGTCCAACATGTTAGGAGGAAGCAAGCAGGAGGAAGTCTTCCTGGAGGAGGAGAGACTGCAGCTGGCCAGAGTCTGCCAGGAAAGCTGTGTGAACAGGCAGGCAAGCAGGTGCAGACCTGAGCCAGGCTGGCAACCACGAGGGTTGTGAAGTGGGACGGAGTCCACATCCTGTGCCCTACCGTGGAGCCCCAGGTGGGGCCCTAGACCTTCAGGGGCCACTCAGCCCAGGACAGTGTTGGTGGGATGGAGGATCCTCTGCTTCCCCCACCCTTCAGAGCCACCCCAGGGCACAGAGGCGAGCCACCAAGAGCCAGGAAACTCCTGTGTCCACAGTGTCACCAGCTGGCCCCAGGACCCATTCTCAGGGATGCTCTGGTCAGAAGCCTCTAGATGGTGGCCCAGGAAGATGGAGAAGGGATGCCAGAACCTTGGGGGTTTGGATCAGAAGCCACACTTTAGTGTGACTGGCATTTCCCGAGCCACTCGGGATCCAGAAATTCAGGGGACACAGAAACATGAACATTGACCTGAGTGCACCCCATGACAATTTGCAAAGCTACTTCCTGGGCATCAGCTGGTGGACCTCACAGCAGCCCTGGGAGCAGGGAAGGAACCCAGTGCCCTCTGAGCAGAGGGTCCAAGGCTCGGTGTGGTGGAGAGACTCAGCACAGATCCAACAGTGGCAGTGTCTGCATCCAGGCTTTGACCACCCCTTCACTGCCTCCATTGCACCGTGCTCCCCGCCCTGTGTTCCTGCTTCCCTGACGACATCAGACCAACCCTGCAGGAGGTTGGTCAGTCACAGGGGACCAAGGCTGGCAGGACCCAGCACTGGGAAGCTGCCACAGATGCCCCAGGCCCCCATAGCATCTCCACTGGAACCATTAAAAGGCATCCTGCCAGCAGGTAGCCTTCTCCATGGGTCTGGAGAGCACAAGGGAGCCAGGGCCCTGACCCTCTGGCCGACCCTTGGTCATGACGAGCTGGCTCCATGATTTCTAATCACCAGCCTTGCCATTAAGGTGAAGGAAGCGCACGGGGAAATAGCAGATTTTATCTCCAACAGATCGATCTGCTGAGATCCATCTGGCCCCAGCCTCTTAATTCTCCATAATGTCAAAGCAATTTTTTGTTAAGTATACAGTCTGTCCTCTACTAAATTAAACTAATAGATCTAGTGGGAAATAAAACCCCAAGTGTATTGAGAATATTAAAAATAAAAAAAATAAACTCTTCATGGGTCTATAAGATTTATCTTGGCAAATGATTAAATAACACACACACACACACACACACACACACACAGGGGCTGTAATAAAATCAATTTGGGGGTGCTCAGCTCCACCAGTCACCTCCAAGTTCTGGCCATTCCTCTCCTCTTAGTAACACCACCCCTCTTAAGCACCTGGGTTCAAAAGTGGCTGGGCTATGCCCTCAAATACCCCATGCTACATCCTCACATCACCAAAGCTAGCAAGGCGTATGCACCAACATGTGGACTGTTGCTGTTAGGGCCACACCCCAGGTGCTGACTGACTGGCTCTCAAAACCAATCCCCCCATTCACCCACTGCAGGCAGCAATGCCAGTACACCCATTTTACAGATGAGAAAAACGAAGCTCTGCAAGGCCAAGGCAAAGCCAGGATCTGAGCCAACGTCCATCAGACTCCATAGCCCTGGACCCCACTCTGCTTCGTTCTGCTTTGCTTTGTTTTGCTTTTTACTTAATTGTCTATTTGGCCATACACAGCCCAGGCCGTGAGGCAGGATCTTGCTTTGATGACACTCATCAGAGACAGCGTCTGGGCTTTCCCTATAGAACACAGAGGCTGGCACCCAAGGGAGGGCAGAGGAACCAGGAAGGGTGGGGCGAGGCAGGCTGGCCCTGGGACTTGGGCACAGGGGCCTGCTCTGAAACCCACCCACCTTCACTGCACCAGATGCACTGCTGTTTGCTGGGGCCAGATCTGCAGGCAAAGGGGGTGGCCAGCAGAGGAAGGTGGGAGGTGAGGACACATTAAATGGTCTCTCCTCAGAGCCAGGACCCAATAAGGAGGGGTCTGTGGCAACCACGTGGCTTCTGCCCTCAGCTCCCAGCCACCGCCCCTCTAGGGGATGGCAGTTTCCCAGCTCCCACTGCCCCCTATGCTGCCATCAGGGTCAGAACTCCTCCTTGTCACCAAGTCCAAAGCCTTACCCTGTCCTGTCCCCCAATGCCACTTCTGCTGATCCTGCTTTCTTGGAGTTTTCTCTTTGTCCCAGTGAAGTCCCCAGATCTCCTGCCTGTACCCCCTTGCATAGGCAGCTGCTTGTCTGGGATGCCGATGTACCCTAACCCCTTCCCACCTAGCTCAGCCAGATTCTACTCTGCACTTAGGCGGAACTCAGGAAGCCTCCCCAGGCAGGACCCACTGCTCACCTCTTCAGGTGGCCCCTGCCAGGGCTGGGATCACTATGTGCTTAGCTTGATTCCCCACGAGGCTCTGAGCCTCATAGCCAGGGCCACATCTTGCTTAGCTCTGAGCCCCGCTCTTCTGGGCACAGGAATCCTTGATGTGGCTGCAAAGCCCCAGCTTCCCTTGTCCTGCCTCCTGTCCCACCAAGCCCCCCTCGCTCACAAGCCATGCTCTACCCCCATGTCTCCTCCCATGGGCTTGGCACTCGTGTGTCCTCTGCCAAAAGCACTCTTCCTTCCCCAGGTCTGCCTGGCTGACAGCCCCAGACCTTCCCCCACCACCAAAATTCCCACTACGTGCGGGTGTGCACCGAGCACTGGGTGAAATATCAGACTTAGTTTTTGTTTCTTCTCTGGGGGTCTGTCTCCACCCGCTCCCGGGTGCAAATCCGAATTCCCTGCAGGCAGGAAGCCTGTGTGTCTTGCTTATGGCAGCATCCCCTGCACCAGCATATCATGAGACACATGCTAGATAAATGATCAGTCTTCGGGACATGTTGGCTGGAAAAATGTCTGGGGTGAAACAGGCCCTGCCTGGAGTTTCTCCTGTGGTGTTCACCTTCTCTAGACCATCCCCAAACCCAACTGATCCTGCCTGTGACAAGGAAGCAAACAGCCCAAGGCTCTGAAGATGCAGTGTGATGGCACCGATGCAGCAATGTCAGGCCAGACCCTGGGGCCTGGCAGCTGTGAGTCCTCTTGCTGCTGCTGGCCAACCCCTGGCTGACCACGAGCAGGCCTGCTTTGCCAAGTGCGAGCGCACACGGGAAAGGGCAGGCTGCCTCCCTGATGGCCCTGGTGACAGCAGGGGGCCCTCTCTTGTCTCCATGCAATGCAGGGACTGGCACCTGCTACCCTCCTCCTGGAACTCAGCACTCCAAGTTGCTGAGGACGTGGGGCAAGCAAGGGCCCCAGGAACCCAAAATGTGAGCCGTTTCACTTGCCCCTCCTTCCGTCTTAGGGGCATCAATCACTGCTTCCCTCTCCAGCAGTACCCAGCAGTCCCTGTCAGGGTCCAGGCAGGGCCAGGCCTCCACCCCTCGATGACCTGATGTGTGCCCTTGGAGGGGCGTCTTCCTGGGACCGGACTTCAGGCCATTATCCCTGACACTGGTGGCGTGTGAATGACTAAACTGGCCAAAAATAAAAGCCCCCATAAATCTCCTATTTTCCTATAAGCTGTCGGGTACACAGAGTGTGCTGGGATTATTGATAGAAAACTTTATGGATGGGCTGCATCTTAAAATCAAAATACATTACCCAAAATCAATGTTGCCGTACATGGTACAGGGAGGACAAGAAAGGTCATCCGAGACAAGAATACTGAAACCCAACTCCAAGAGGACCTGAGCATTAAAATAAATAAATTTTGAAAGTGAGTTCCAGGAAAAACACTCACTTAGGGCTGTAATTTAAGGGTGCTTTCACAAGAGGCTGGGCAGTCTTTTTAAATAGCGCTTTTTAAAGTGCCTCTGAGAGTCCAGTGAATCCATCCACAAAATGGTATTGACAAGCACCCCAGCTCACAGCCCTATAATAACAGCTCATGATAGGTAATGAGTGAGAGCCCCGAGGCTGGGCACACAGTAGCCAGGCCCTGGCAGAAGCAAGCCCCCCGGGCACAGCCAACTGGGCAGGGCAGCCAACCCATGGCCCCATCAACCACATTACAAGAGGATCTGCCTCCAGGTCTCTGTGCACAGCGACCCCACAGGCATTTTATAGCTGTGGATGGAGGGAGGGGAAAACCGTGTTAGTTCCCATTGATGATTAATCAGGACTAGAAACAAAATGATCATGAAATACTCTCAAGTCCATAGCTTCACATAACCACGATTCACTGCAAACAGGTCATCTTTGTAGGAGCCCAAGAGATACCACAGTAGGTAGACCTGAATGGCTGTGTCCGCAGAGCTTAGTGTCCCTTTGGGAGAAGTGACACGCATGCTCCTCCCCAGCCACCTTCTTTAGAGTCTCCAACTGAGAGACCACATCCCACCAGGACTTAGTGAGAAGGAAATGGCTCCCCTGCAGGGAGTGGGGAGCCAGGCTTGGCAGAGACTGGCAGGGAAGGAACCCAGTGCCCTCTGACTGGCAGGAGCTGCAGTCTGGTCTTAGCTCACTAATCCTCCAACTAGCCAAAGGGCTAAGTCGAAGAGACAAAATCCCTGCCCTGCTCACAGAAAACCCACAGCAAAAGGGAGGCAAAGTGCTCCTAGCAGGGTTCCCTGTCCGAATATTTGCTAGGCTCTAACTATGGGCAGGCCCAGCTGGGAGTTAAAGACACAGAGAAAGCCAGTGTGGTGGCTCACTCCTATAATCCCAGTGCTTTGGGAGGCAGAGGCAGGAGGACTGTTTGAGGCCAGGAGTTTGAGACCAGCCTGCACAACACAGCAAGACCCCATCTCTACAAAAAATATTAAAAATAAAACATTAGCTGGGTATGGTGGCGCATGCCTGTAGTCCTAGCTACTTAGAAGGCTGAGACAGGAAGATGGCTTGAGCCCAGGGGTTCAAGACCAACCTGGGCAACACAGCAAGACCTCACCTCTACAAAAAATTTTAAACAAAATTAGCCAGGTATAGTGGTGCATGGCTGCAGTCCTAGCTACTTGGAAGGCTGAGGCAGAAGGATCGCTTGAGCCCAGGCATTCAAGACCAGCCTGGGCAACAGCAAGACCCCATCTCTACAAAAAACATTTTAAAAATTAGCTGGGTATGGTGGCGCATGCCTGTAGTCTCAGCTACTTAGAAGGCTGAGACACGAAGATGGCTTGAGCCCAGGGGTTCAAGACCAACCTGGGCAACAGAGCAAGAACTCACCTCTACAAAAATTTTAAGCACAAAATTAGCCAAGTGTGATGGTGCATGCCTGTAGTCCTAGCTACTTGGAAGGCTGAGGCAGAAGGATCGCTTGAGCCCAGGGGTTCAAGACCAGCCTAGGCAACATAGCAACACCCCATCTCTACAAAAAAAATATATATATATTAGCAAGGCATGGTGGGCTAATCCTCCTGGTGTCAGCATGATAACTCTGGAGGCTGAGGTGCTTGAGCTCAGGACGTTGAGGTGCAGTGAGCTAAGATCGTGCCACTGCACTCCAGCCTGGACAACAGAAAAAGACCGTGTCAAAAAAAAAAAAAAAAAAAACCATAGTGAAGGTGGGTCAGCTGCTCTCATCACAGTCTACAAGGCAGGGCAGAAAACAGATAGACCAAGCTGAACAGACAGGAAAGAGACTACAAGTCTAGCTCAGGCTGCTCCTTGCTCCCATCAGTCAAGGGTAGGGCCTTGCTCTCCACACCAACTCGAGGCATCAGGACCAGGGGCTCACCTGGAGGAGGGAAGAGCTTAGTGTTTTGGTTAAGATCCAGGACCCCAGAGTAAGACAGGCTTTGGGTTGATGCGTCACTCAGCCACTTACTAACTATGTGACCTTGGGCAAGTTCCGTAAGCTTCTGAGCTTCAACCATAAAATGGAGTGAAATCACCATGTCTACCCCTGGAGTTGTGATTGAGGTAAAATGAGCTCATTCATTCATTCCACAAGTATTTACTGAGCTCCTACTCTGTGCCCGACCCTGTTGTAGGCGCTAGAGATACATCAGTGAACAAGGCAGGCACAGTCTTAGAGACCTGCAACAAGACACTCAATAAATAAGGATGTGGTCCCATGTGTTGGAAGATGGCTGGCGAAATGGAAAAAATAAAGGAAGCAGAGTGAGGGCCTGGGAGTGCTGGGTGGTGGGAGGAGAGGCAGTGTAGACTGCAGTGTTAAATATGGTGGCCCAGGTGGGCCTCATGGAGAAGGTGACTGCTTGACAAAAACCAGAGCACAACGGAGTTAGCCAAGCAAGTATCTGTGGGAGAAGCATGTCAACCAGATGGTGCGGCTGGTGCAAGGGCCCTGGGGTAGAAGCATGCCCAGTGTGCTGCATTGTAGGAAGGAGAACAGTGTGGCTAGGGGAGTGTGAGCTATGGAGAAGACAGAAAAGATGAGAAGATGAAGGAAAAGGGTGAGCAGGAAGCAGAAAGGCAGATGGTTTGACCTTGGCAGCCACTGCAAGGCCACTGGTGTTTATGCCAAGTGAAATGGGAGCCACTGTGGGGTTTTTCAGCAGTGGAAGAGGGATCTGATTTCCCTGAGAAGGATCTCTTTGTCATGTTGAGAACTGATGCCTAGAAAGTGTCTAGTACATGGAAAGCATGTGAAAACATGTATCTGTCGCTCTTAGAGTAATACCAACTCATGCAGTGGGCAAGAAACACCCAACCCCACAAGGCGGTACAGGGATAAATTACTTCCAGATAATTCCCTCTAGCTACAGGGATTCTCCCACGGGCATCGCTGGTCTCCAGCATTAGCCTCTGCTTGGATCTGGCATCAGGAAAGGAGACTGCTACCTCTCCAGGTGGGCCACTGCGCAGTGGGCTAGCTCTTTCTTCAGAACCCTGCTTGGAATCAGTCCCCAAATGAGCCTGCTTTCCTGGAACCCCGCTGTGGTCCTGAATCTGCATAGAGCGGTGCAAGTCTGCCCTCTCCCTTCAGAAGCTGAGGACAGCAATGGGGCCTGGCAGGGTCTTACATTCGGGGGTCCAAAGTGGTTTCTAAGGGCACATGGGATTTCCTAGGAAAAGCTCCTGCCATGACAGAAGGAGCTGGCAACTGCCTCTGTGGAGCCCCTAGAGAGGAACTTGAGGGAAAGGAGGAAAGTCCTATAGGACCCCCTTCTTCCCTTTGCCCCCAGCAGGAGACCTTAGAAAACAAGGGCTTGATAGATGAGCCACAGTGAGCCAGGGGGTGGGAGTGACTCCTGGGCCATAGACGAGGAAACTGAAAGGCAGGCACTGGAGGCAAGAAGGGCTGGCCCCGGGCACCCGCTGGCGAGGACAGCCTTGGAGAGGGCCTGCAGCTCCTCCCCTCTGAGCTGTGCTGCGCTGGCCGCCTGGACCAGGGTGGCTGCTGGAGAGTGTTTTCCCTCTGGGTTTCCTTCTCCTTGGCTCCCAGGGAATCCTCTGGCGGTGCCTCCGGGAGGCTGGTAGCCGGGGAAGCAGGCACGTGAATCCACCGGGCTGCCCCACCCCAACCTGAGGTCAGAGCTGAGGCGTAGGGGCCGGGGTAGGGGCAGAGGTGCCGAAACGCACTAGCTGGGGACTCCCGGGGGAAGGAGATAGGAGAGACCCAAGGCGAGCCTTAGGACTCGCCCCTATGACTATGACTACGCGCTGCGTCCGAACCACATGTCCACCCCGCATTTGCCTTCGGGGACCAGACCGCGCTCCCTCAGATGGCTGGGGAGGGAGCAGACTCCGGGTGAAGGCTGGGGGAGGTACCGGGATGCCGAGTACGCCAGAGCAGGCGGGGGATGGGTTCCGGCTTCCTGCCGCCTCGGCATCTCGCTTTGCACCGGGCAAAGAAGGGGCCACGACCGGCGAAGAGCGCGTGGAGACACAGGGACCCGCGATCCAGGGGCAGGAACCCCGCCCCCTCCCGGAAACCTCCCGGGCCCTGAGTCGTGCCCGGCGCTCCCCACCCCACCCCACCCCCGCCGCCCCTGCCGTCACTCACGGCCGCTGCGGGCTGGCTAGCGTGTGCGCTCTCCGCGCCGCAGGCACCTGCTCGCTGGGCGCTGTGCGCTCACTTCTCCCTCGCGCACTGCAGACTCCCGGCGCTGCCGCCGCCACCCAGCGTAGTCTCCGGCTGGGCACAGCGTTCCGCCCTTCTCGCGGCCCCGGGCGCCCACCCATCCGTCATGGCCCAGGCCTGGGCCAAACAGCGGGGCAGCTGGTTGCCCAAACTGGGGTAAGGAGTTGAGGGCTGGGAGCTGCAGAGAGGACCGAGGGACACACGGGGAGCAGGGATGAGCGGCCGTCTCGAGCCGTGCAGACTGGGAAGAAGCCAGGGAGAGTTTGGGTGGGAGGACTCCCAACCCAAGCGGGTGCGGGGCGGGGCTGTACTCCAACCAGAAAGACGGTGGTCCCTCCGAGCGACCCCCGAGGAGAGAGGGGGAGCGCTCTGGGGCGGGGGCGGGGCGGGCTGTGGCAGGAGAGGGGAGGGCGGGGGCGATGCAGCGGTGGAGGCGGCTTGGCGCCCAGCCACTGACCGCCCCCTCCCTTCCCCTCCCCTCCCCCTCTCCCCGCCTCTCTCCGGCTCCGGGTCCGCCACGCCGGACCCGCTCTCCCCGCGCTGCGCTGGGTCGGACGCCAGGTCTGCGCGCCGCGGCTGAGCGCCCACTCGCCCTGCGGAAAGAGCCGCGGAGGAACCGGCGGGGGCGGCTGCGGGAGCCGAAGGAGGTGGCAATCGGGAGCAGAACCAGAAGGAGACAGGGAGGCAGAAGCTCGCGGCTCCGTGGCACGCACTCCCTCGGCCAGGGATGGGTCCCGGCGCGGCCCAGCCCCTGCCCGGCCCGCCGGGCAGAGACTGAACCGCGGATCCCCACCGTCCTGTGGACGACCGGACAGAGAGAGGCACTGACCGATCGCCAGCAGCCTCCCGGTGGGACCGCGTCTCCTGCACACCCCGCGCAGCGCCCCCCGCCGGAGCCGCACCGGGCAAGCCGGCGAGGGAGCGGGGCTGATTGGCGGCCGCCGGCGGCCAGGGGAGGGGGCGCCGCGCGGGGCCATGGCAGGCTCGGAGGCGTCCTAGCCCGAGCCGGAGCCGATCCGAGCCCACGCGGCCGCCGCCTCTCCGCTCCCGGGCCCCCGCCGCCACCGCGCCCCCCGCGGGAGATGGAACAGCGGAACCGGCTCGGTGCCCTCGGATACCTGCCGCCTCTGCTGCTGCATGCCCTGCTGCTCTTCGTGGCCGACGGTGAGCGCGGGAACTTTGCTGCCGCTGTGGACTCGGGGGGGTCTTTGCTGGGGCCGCCACCGAGAAGAAGAAGAAAGAGAACGAACCGGGAAGCTTCGCGGTCTCCAGCAATCCCGCTGTGCAGCCTGGGCCCGGAGGGGTAGGGAGAGGCGAGCGGCGAAGGGTCGCCGCAGCAGCAGCGCCGCGCCCGAGTCGTTCCCAGTCCCGCCGGGGCCCCGGCTGCGGAAAGGATGCCTGCGGGGAGCGGGAGTAGGCGCGCCCCAGCCAGGCTCTGGCGGTGCGGCCAGGGGCGGGGGAGAAGCACGAGTCGCCCCTGCCGCCCCGCCCCATCCGGAGGGAAGCAGTAGGCAGCCGATGGCCGGTCCCTGCCTCGGCCCTGCAGCCGCTTCCCCGAACTTTGCTAGCCCCTCCGGCCGTGCGCCAGGGAGCAGCTGCGGGGTGGGGGGCACAAGGCCAGCCAGCCAGAGACCGACTGCCTCGCTTTAGGTTGCCCCAGGCCCCCGACCTACAGCTGGTCACGCCTCTCTCTCTCTCCCCACCCCCAGCTGCATTCACAGAAGTCCCCAAAGATGTGACAGTACGGGAGGGAGACGACATCGAAATGCCCTGCGCGTTCCGGGCCAGCGGAGCCACCTCGTATTCGCTGGAGATTCAGTGGTGGTACCTCAAGGAGCCACCCCGGGAGCTGCTGCACGAGCTGGCGCTCAGCGTGCCGGGCGCCCGGAGCAAGGTAACCCGCCGCCCACGCGGTACCGGCGCGCGCCCGGCTCGCGCCCGGGGCGGCGAAGGCTAACCCAGGGAGGGAAGCAGCGGGCTTCACTCGCGCAGGGCGCCGCCCTGTGGCGCAGCCCATCTTCCACCTTCGCATCCCAAAGCATCTTCAAAGTCAGCAGTGGTTACCCCCAAACCTGTCAATTATTTTGACAGCATCGCTGTTCCCACCACCTCCCAGAACTCCATTCACGCCCAGCCCCTAAAGAGCCACACCTCAGCCTGGTCGCTTGCTCGTGCTCGCTGGCTGCGGCCCTCTGATGGGTGCTGGGTAGTGAAGGAAGCCCCCTTGGTCCCATCAGGCTCTCCCCGCCCTCTGCCACTTTGAGGACCCCAGGGCTCCCACGGCTGCGTTCCAGAGGCCACCAGAAAACCGAGTACCGGAAAGCCGGCAGGACCTCCAGCCCTCAGGGGCACAGAGGGGCCACTTCTCTGTGGCCGAAAACAGGCCCACGCTGCCTGTCTGCCTCAAAACCCACACTCTCTTACACACTCTAGTGTGCTCGCGTGCACACACACCTACACACACACCTACACCTACACACACCTACATTCTCCCAGGGTCCCACCCAGAGTTACTCCCACTGAGCCTCCCGCTGGGTGCTGTCCAGACACAGCGGCCCTCCCTCCAGTTCTTCACGGCTCCCAGTGAGCTGGGGGAGGATTTTGAGCCACGCGGCAGGGCCTAAGGATGCCCAGAGGGAAGGAGAGGGGCTTTCCTTCCCACCCTGGTGTCCATCCAGTCTCCCCAGTTCAGCCGGCAGGTGTGCACCAGGGCAGCCACCCGTTGGTCAGGCACCATGCTAGCTCCAAAGCCCGCTTCCTCCTGGGAAACTCTTGGAAAGCCGGACGTCCTTTGTGCCCTCAACCCCCATCCCCCGGGCGGTTTCGGTCCTAGCCTGCCGGAGGAGGGTGCCCTTGCCTAAAGGCGGATCCGAGTTCCCCTAGCCAGAAGGCCGCGAGCCTCACGTCTCTCTCTCCCTCTTTGCATTTTAGGTAACAAATAAGGATGCAACTAAAATCAGCGTAAGTGTGGAGCCCAGCGCGGGCCGCGGGAGACCCCTTCTGGCCGCCTCGGGTCCCGCAGCTCCCTCCCTTAGCAAGCCGCGGCGGCCGCGCATGTGGGGCCGCGCAAGTAGGGCAGCGATCGCAGCCTTGCATCGGTGGCTGCTCGGCGTGTCCGGGCGCCATCTGTCGCCGGTTGCAGGGTCGGGTTCTCTTTTGTGTAAATCAAGGGTCCAAGGCTTGAGTCCCCTAATTCGGCTCGGCGCTGACCTGTAAAACTCCCCTTGGTCGGACTGCGCGCTTAGGGCCTCTCGCGCCTGCCAGCCTCCGCTCTGCGGGCATTCCTCCTAGCACCGGGAGCGCGCGGCTGCTCGCCCTCGCCGCGACCGTGGCGCCAGCTTCCCGCCCCCTCTGCCCCGCCCTGAGCATCTGCTCTGCGCCCTCCGCTGCAACCCTTTATCCTCCGCCTGGATTGCGGGTCTGGGTGCGGGGTGTTGCAGGCTTGCAGGGGACGGGGTAGGGGGTGGTTGTGCCAGGCTGCGAGGGGCCCGGGTCATGGGGTTGCTAACTCTGGGAGGAGATGCGCCCAAGCTTCCCACCTGGAGCGTAGAAAGGCCTGGAGATGACGAAGCCTCCTCGTGGGCTCGGTTCAGAGGTGAGGGCTCCCTGGGTGTTTGTTGAGAGCCGTAGAGCAGTACTTCCCGAAGTCCCCACCGGGGCGCAGGGGAGGAGCACTTCGCTGGGGGGCTTCTGGAGATCCCGCGGAAAGGCGGGTTGGTAGCAGGTGGCCAGGGAGCCAGGCAGCAGCCTCAGCGTTGCTTGCCTTCTTAAGAAAGCACAGTGTTAGCTGTAAAGGGCGGGGTCCGGTGACAGGGTGGCTTTCCTTAGGAAGCGATTCGGGCAGGCCCTCCGTGCTCCGGGAGGTGAGGAGGGCCGGCTGGGGCGGGACTGTCGGTTGGAGCGCGTCGGGGCGGGAAAGACGTGGGGAAGTTAAGGAACAAGGAATCCAGCCTGGGGTTTCCTGAAGGTGCAGGAGGGAGGAAGGAGAGGTGGACTCTGCCCTTCTGAAGCGCCAGCTACGGGAAGACAAGCAGTGTTGGTTTGTATGGGCGGGGCAGATGCAAGGTGGGCGTTTGGTTAACGTGATGGGGACGTGGGGACACAGTCCAAAGAGCTGGCTGCCTGGCGTCCACGCAGAGTTGGAAGCCCTATGCCACTGGGTAGACGCGGGTGAAAGGGAAGCCGGATCGTGATGGTGGGCAAACCAGGATCCGGGAAGTGTTGGGGTGCGCGGATGAGGGGGCGCGACGGCCAGGGTGGCCAGAAGAGTAGGTTTGGGAGCTGCCCAGCCCGGCCTCTAACCCTGCTCTCTTGCAGACCGTACGCGTCCAGGGCAATGACATCTCACACCGGCTTCGGCTGTCTGCCGTGCGGCTGCAGGACGAGGGCGTGTACGAGTGCCGCGTGTCGGACTACAGCGACGACGACACGCAGGAGCACAAGGCCCAGGCGATGCTGCGCGTGCTCTCGCGCTTCGCGCCGCCCAACATGCAGGCCGCCGAGGCCGTGTCCCACATCCAGAGCAGCGGCCCGCGTCGCCACGGCCCAGCCAGCGCCGCCAACGCCAACAACGCGGGCGCCGCGAGCCGTACCACCTCCGAGCCCGGCCGCGGCGACAAGAGCCCGCCGCCCGGGAGCCCTCCCGCCGCCATCGATCCCGCAGTCCCCGAGGCCGCGGCAGCCTCGGCGGCCCACACGCCCACCACCACAGTCGCGGCAGCTGCTGCTGCCTCGTCAGCGTCGCCGCCATCGGGACAGGCGGTCCTGCTGCGCCAGAGGCACGGCTCGGGTAAGGGATCGCGGAGAGGGGGCGCACGCGCGGGGATGGCGCAGGGCTAGGGCTGCGCCGGGACGCCCCGGGGGGCTCCGGACCCAGGACCCGCCCCCTGGGCGCATTTGCATATGCATACTCCTTCCTAGTTAGGTCGGGAGCGCCCCCCCCAGGGCCTTCTTCCCGCGGTTTCTCTGTCTTTACTCCTGGCCTCTGGAAGCATTTCTGATGTGCATTTATGAATGGAGGAGGGGGCTGCCCTGCCAGCTACCTCAGGGTACGCTGGAGGCTGTAGTGTGGGGAGGCGACCTCTTTTGGGTTTGGAGAACTGGACCCTGAGGGCTGAGCTCCGATGGTGGCAAGGGGCCAGTACTCAGCCACCACCGGTGGTGGAAATGAGCTATCCCCAGATGGGGGCACTGGCACCTGCTGGAGAGCGGGAGGCGGTTAAAACTTGAGTTGCGTTGGTTTCTATTTTGTGTGCTCGATTGAACAGACTTTGTCCAAGGGTGTGGAGGGGCCTGGCTGTGTAACCTACGCCCTCTTTGGCTAAATGCAGGATGGCCCTAGGCAGCAGCTCTGCACTCTGCTGTAAATCGCAGATCCTCTCCCTTTGGCTTTGGGGTGGGGGCAGTAAGGACTGAGCCCTAAGCCACTGTTAGGAAGGCACCCAGAGGGGAAGGCTTGCTTTCTTAGGGAGCTGAGAGGCTGGGAGAAGGGATTGGGGATGGGGGGCGGGATGTGAGAAGGCAGAAGGAGGAGAAAATGATGGCTTGACTACCCCCTGGTAGGCAGCTCTGGGGCGGTAGGAGCCATTGGCAGAGGCAGGGGTGGGGGCGGTGGGGGGCGGTTATGGAGGGTAGAAAGGCTTGCCCAGTGTGCCCCTCCTCCCAAGGCATCCCCCACTCTCTCCCCCTGCTCCAAGCTGGGCCTCAGAGCCCACCCCAGTGCCTGACTGTGAGCAGGTTGCTCCCTCCCTTGGCCCCTCTCCTCAGTCTTGTTTGATGCAGAGTCCCACAGGGAGCATCTCTCCTGGCCACATGGCCCTGGGAGCCTGGCTTTGGGTACAGGTGCATGTGAAACTTCCTAGATGTGATGGAGCACATTGTCACACCCCTACAGTGGTAGTTCTCAAAGGGTGGTCTTCCTGCAGGCTCCTGGACTACCTGCAGAATCCGCTGGGGCAGGTCTTCATGTCCTTAGTGTCACCATCTCATCCTGCCTCCCTGGCTAACTCTCAAGCCCTCCGACAGTTGAGCCTGCAGTCTGCCTGGCACATCAGTTCAGTTCTGTCTCTCATTTAGCTCTACCCACTGTAGCAGCCGCCTCAGTGCGTCTCAGGCTATTGGCTTGATCCGAAGGCCTCATCCGTCTTGGATGCCACACAGGAGCCCACAAGACTGTCCCTCAGGCTACTGGGGAAGGTAGGGACCTGCAAAGAGCCTCCACAGCCCAGCTGGGAACTTTCCACCCTCTGCACTAAGATATCACTAGGTGCTGTGACAAATAAACCCCAAAAGGCCAGTGGCTTGACACAATTCAAATTTAATATTCCTCGTTCATATCAAGTCCTGCCCTGGAGTGCCCCAGGGCATGTGGCGGCTCTGTTCCATGCAGTCATCCAGGGACCCAGGCTGAGAGTACCAGCCTCAGCAGGAGGCTTCCAAAGTCACTCTGGGCATGACATAGAGCCAGCAGACCAGTGAGGAGAGACAGAAGCAGCCCTTGTCAGCTCACTGCCCTAAGAGAATTAAGCCCTAATACTCTCAGGCATGCATTGTGTATGATGAATCAACTTGTTTCATATGCATTTAGGACGGCCCTAAGTATGTATCATTCTTGGGAGACTGAGAAAACAGCCACTCAAATCTTTCTGGCAGCGCTTAACTCTCTCAGAGAAAAGCTGGTTTAGAAAAATGGCAAGGCGTTTTTTAAGGGCTAGGTCTAGAAGTGGTAAATATTACTTCTACCCTCTTCCATCGGCCAGAACTCAGTCACATGGTCCAACATGGATGTAGGGCCCGCTGGGAAATGTAGTCCTTGGTGTGGCGGCTGCTTTCGGGCCTCATCTCTTCACAGTGCAAGGGGAGCGTGACTCTTCGAGGAGTTAGCCATCTCTGTTCAGCATACAGGCAGTGCTCAGGGAGAGTTCCTATTGACTTACAGAGCCATTGGCTTAACTGATGCTTGTTGGTGAAGAGAACATCCTTCTTCCCCCTCCCCTTGGGCCCCAGCAAGGAAATGTGTGCATTACAGGCTGGGACGTACCTCTAGGATATTCCTGGAGGATTTGAAAGGCAGAAGTTCCGATGTAGGTTGTGCTTCCACCACTTACTGGCTGTGTGATTTTAGGCAAGTGACTTACCATCTCTGAGTCATCTGTAAAATGAACAGGATAATCTCTCTGACCTCAGAGGGAGCTTGGTATGGAAATTGCTGCACATATATGTTCATTATTATCACCCTGGTCATTAGCTGCACTAGCTGGAGAGGAGAGGATGGGCAGATAAAGCTAAAAGGTTGGCAGTTGGAAGCCAGGCTATGGAGGGCCTTGAATGCCAAGTGGAACCAGCAGTTGGTTAAAGACCGGTCAAGACCATGTGAAATAGATCTTTGAGAGTGGACTTGGTTGTGCTCACAAAATGATAATGAGACCAAGGTCATGAGCGCACTCCTGCTTGAATCTCCCTCTTCCCTTGGCCTTCAGCCTGAGTCCCAGGCCCAGCCACAGATGACCTGACTGCCTGCCATAGCCAGTCTGATCTCCAGTCTCGGTGCTGGCCATGGAGGCTGAATGAGAGAGTGAAGATGCTCCAGGACATCTCATCCAGGGAAGGTGGGCCAGTCAGTGCCCTTCTTCCCAGAAGATATGGAGGTCCTCAGGTCAACTCAATGCTGATGGCACAGTGCCCAGTGCCATCCCAGCAGATAGGACCTTGGGCACCCACCAGCCACGGGGCCATATGTTAATGCCCATGTGGGTCACTCTGCCTTCCCTGGAGGGGCTGATGTCCACTGCCATCTAGAAAGCACAGCTTGCCTGGATCCCAGCGGGGCTGACAGCAGCACCCCTGGGATAGAAGTACAGTGGCCTCTGAGGTCTCTGTCACCCCCTAACCCTTGCCAGCTCCTGAACTGGCCAGGAACTGTGTAGACACATCTCAGAAAGAACCTCCAGTCTCTCTCCAAGTCTCCTTTGGGGTGCCCAGAAGGTGGGCCTTCAGCTGGGAGGTCAGAAAACCTGTGTCCCTCACTCTCCAGGTGAAGCTCTCTTGAGAGTGGTTCTGCTCCAGGCACTCTATGTCCCACTCTGGGCACGGAAAATGGATGGCAGACCTGTCATTCACAAACACATCCGAACAGCCTTGATGCCAAGGAGGGAACCATGCTCAGTCTTGTGTCCCACCTCACCCCGGTCACCCAAGGCCACCCAGGCTGTGTGCTGTCAATGTGAAGCCTGCAGACTGTGTTTTGGAGGATGGGCATTAGTAACCTTTCTGTAGGGCTGCATCACCAGCCAGTGCCCCGAGCTCAGCTGCTGGCACCAGGTACTGCTGAGCGCCCTGAGAGGCAGCAAGCCAGCTGCTTTGCTCGGAACCACAGCAGCCTGAGCTGCAGAGGGAGCTCGGGGCAGACGACCTTGGGCCTTGCCTCCCAGCCACTCAATTCTAGGCAGCTTGATGGGGAGGGGTCCAGAAAGGACCGCTGCCTCTTGGTTAATAGTCAAGAGTGTTTGCAGAGGATATCAACCAGGGTGCTGGCAGAGGCACATGGAACATTCAAACAGGGTCACTGGGGGGGATGGAAAGAGCGTATGTACCAAGGTGTGGACAGGGTTAGGGCAGCCAACAAAGGATTGATGCAGGTCCCCGGGGCTGGCATCAGTGGGAGCCATCAGCAGACCTAGCCTAAAGGTCTGGGGGCAGCTGGTAGCACCCAGAGAGTAGGAGGGGAGGCACACAGCCAACCCACAGTCACCCAGCAAGGATCTCACTCCTCCTGCCCTCCATTCCCTGTCTGGGCCTCCCTTTGGCCAAACCCTCCTGGAACCTGAAGGCAGGGGCACCCAGGTGGTGCAGGCTGTAGAGGTCAGCCCTCAGGGGCTCACAGCAGAGTGGAGAAGGGTGGGCTGAGGACCTGGGGGCACTGAAGAGGCTCATGGCCAGGCACAGTGGCTCACGCCTGTAATCACAGCACTTTGGAAGGCCGAGGCGGGTGGATCACCTGAGGACGGAAGTTTGAGACCAGCCTGGCCAACATGATGAGATCCTGTCTCTACTAAAAACACAAAAAATTAGCTGGGTGTGGTGGCAGGCACCTGTAATCCCAGATACTTGGGAGGCTGAGGCAGGATAATAACTTGAACCTGGGAGGCGGAGTTTGAAGTGAGCCGAGATCGCGCCATTGCACTCCAGCGTGGGCAACAAGACTGAAACTCTGTCTCAAAAAAAAAAAAAGAAAGAAAGAAAGAAAAGAAAAGAAAGAGGCTCAGGACACTGGCCATTTCAGATTGGCAACAGCAGGGGCGGTCCCAGTACATCTCCCCAAATAGTCCCCCATTAAGCGATCGTTCCTGGAAGGAAGTCAGAAAAAAAGTCCCTATTTTTTAAGTGAGCCACTTTGGTAATGCCACGAAGGAGAGAGGGGGGACTTCCTCCAGCCCTCATCCATTAGCTACCGCACAGCCAGGCAAGAAAGCCCTTCCCATGCCACATGTGTACCTAATACACCCAAATACATATTTGCACTAAAAGTTGATGTGCAAAAACTCATTCATTTCACGTCTCATTTGTCAAGAGACATTTTGGTATTTGTGCTTAAAAATAAACATGGACTGCATTAGCAGAGCAGAGCAGGCGCAGGAGGCTGGGCCCCGTCTTAGCTGTGTTCATAAATCTGGCTCCTAATTAATCTGAATGCTGACCCATTTTTCGTGAACACTTTGTTGCTGGTTGCCATTTCTAGAAAAGAGAGAGAGAGACCAAGCAGAGTATCTTCCAGACTAACACTTCTAAATGGAAAAGGCACCGCAGTAAAGTCTAGCGCGGCCTCAAAAGAATCCAGTTTGCAACTGAATGGCTGGTGTGTTGGCCAGAGGTTCCCCTCTGCAGGGACGTTGGGATCAGAGCAGTGGCGTGTGAACCTCTAATTAGCCTCAGGGCTCTGGCTCCAAGGAAAGGCACCATGGCCCCCACAGAGAGCCGGCTGGATGTGGCAAGCTGCTGCTGGGTGCCCACACGGAGAACTGGCTCTCAATATTTCAATTAATAATGAGAGAAAGACAGCCAAGGCCATGGGTATGATGGCTGTAGAGAGGCTGTGGCTGCTGGGAGCCGTCAAAGGGGAGCATCCGCGGATGTCGCCATGGCAACCGTAAACCGTGACCAAAGGGGGCCGTGGGCAAGGTGGAGACAGTCACTACATCTCGACCCATGCCCCGGTGGTGATAGAGCTGAAGGAATGGCACACACGTGACCCAGGAGAATCGCGATGCAGCAGAGTCACCAGCAGTACCAGCAGGCCCAGGACCTGTGGGCCCTGAGCAAGCCATTGAGGCAGCCACCTGGTTTTCCCATCTCCCCGGACCCACGAGGACCCAAAGGCCCTCACCTTAAATGAACAATCCACTCTTCCCCCAAGTTCCGATGTGACATGAGAATTATAATTAAGAAGAAAACAAATCTGGCAAGGGATGTCCCAGAGAAGAGAGGGCGAGGCTCTCTGAGCATCCTGAAAAAGAAAATTAAAGGATTTCATAAAGGAAATGGCTGAGCCTCACAGCTGGCAAGCAATGCCTGCTTCATCCCTAACAGCAGCAATCTTACGCCATTATCAGCGACATGGCATCCTCTCCCCCAGCAGCCAGTCACTGGGAGCCTTCTGGGCCCAGCCCCACGCTTGCCATAAGGGGGAACCAGAGATGGCAGTGTGGACCCAAACTTAAAGGAGCCAGGGCACCCAGGTAATTCCAGGACAAAGCAGTCTGTGCTGTGCCAGCACTAATCCAGCTGAGGCAATCAGGAGAGGCTTCCTGTAGGTGGTGTGTGACTTACAGCTTGAAAGAAGCACCTGAGGCTGAAGTCCTCCCAATTAGGTCAGACCTTGGAAAGCTTTCAGATGCCCCCTCTCTCCTTCCCAAGGTTGGAGAAGTCCACACCAAATGGAATGGCCTTTGTGTATCAGTCAGCTCACTGGGCAACCATCCTCTCAGCATCAGCAAGACCCTAAATTCAGGATAAAAACAGCTGCTCTTGGATTATAATAATGATAAATAATAACATTTGCCTTTTACTGAGCACTTACTGTGTGCCACGCTCTCCTCTCACCGGCTTTCCTCCTTCCCACAGTTCTCCCTAATGCCTCCTGCTTCAGTCCGTCCCCCAGAAGACAGAGCGCTCTCTCTGTGCTTATAGCCAGAGCCCACACTCTCTGCCCAGCTGGAGTGGTAGCCCCCAAGAAAAGAGCTGGAAGCCAGCCTTGTTAAATGTCACCGGGAACTAACCCCCCAACAAGGAGCTGCTCATTAAACACGCCAGGTGCATATCCTTAAAGCTCTGAATATTAAGGATTCCCCAAGCATCCGTGGGGATAAATGAGGTCAAGTGCTTTTGTAATATGATATTGATTAGTTCTGCTCTGTGTGGACAGAGCAAGGCCTTGGCTGTGGTCTAAACCCCTGAGCTTTCTGGAAGATGCCAGCATGGTTTTAAGACATTTTTGCAGCACAGGAGAAAAATAAAAGCATTATCTTTTTTATTCCCCCATGCTTAGCTGACTATCACCAGGCATCTCTTGTAAACTTGTATCCAGAGTGGTGAGAAGGCTTCACTTTGCCTTACATAAGGGCTGCAGGGAAGTTTGAGATGGGAAGTCAGCAGGCTCAGCCCCTGTAACTCTTGATTCCTGACTATTCCTGATGAAGAATGACACACCTCCTTCCCTGGGGTCGTGCTTCTAGGGAAATTAGCCTGCTTGTCAGTGGCTTTGGTGCTCTCAGGGAAGATGTGCTATAAATACCAAGATGGAGGATCCAGTCTGGCCTCCTGTGGGTTAGGGTGTAGCTGCTGTTAAACAGCCAGCGGTGGAGGTGGCTGCGGGGGCTGCTTGCAGACAGCAGCACCCTCGGTGACCGCAAAGTATGAGCATAGCCCAGGCCCCTTCTCCTGCCTGCATCCTCCACAGGACGGCCCTTGAGAGACAGACCTTGTGCAAAGCCTGTCCCTGCCAGCAATCCTGTTTCTGGAAGTTATTGGTTGTTCTGTTCTGTCGTTACTGCTCTCTGGGCTAAAATATCAAAGCTACTTTGGACAGGCTTCAGTTGGCTCTGGTTCTTGCAGTTCAAGAGGAACGTTGAGGGGTCCTGGCGTTGGCATGAAATAAGGAGCCAAAGTGGACATTTCGGAAGCTTTTCCCCACAACCACCCGCCCCCACACCCACCTACTCTCCCGCACCCACCTACTCTCCCGCACCCACCTACTCTCCCGCACCCATGGGCCCTGCTCCATGCAGCTCAGAAGTAACCAGCTTGCCAGAAGGGCCACTGAGAGGGACAGAGCACCCCCTAAAAGTCCCAGTTGAGCACCCAATGCCCGCTAGAGACCGAGGCCAGGAAAATTACCTAGGCAGATCAGTCCTCCCCACAGCTGCCCATGCTGGTGGGAGAACCAAAGCATCACCCGAGGGACACTGAACATAGTTCCGGAGGAAGTTACACTCACCACCACTTCCAACCATCGCATTCTCTCCTGACATTTCAAATGTTCCTCACTGTTCAGCATGCTGGCTCACAGGTAAGCCAGGATTTCAATGCCAACAAATTTGCCCCCTTTCTGGGCCTTTACAGGGCTCTGGCCCTGCAAAAGTCACAGCATGTGCTTCTCACTCCTGCCCTTCATACCCTAAGTATTATGCTTGTTTTCCGGATACATCCAACCATTTGATTGGAATCTTGAGTCCATCACTTCCCACTCTCTCTGTACGAGTTCCGTCATCTGTTATCATCAGCACGACACCGATTCCTATGCCAGAGAGTGGTTGGCAGGATCCGGGGGGATAATCCGTGGAAAGATGTTAGCTTAACACAGGGCCTGGCACCTAGAATACACTCAGTGGATGTTGGCTTTGGTAACCAGCGTTATTCACGGGAATGGTGTTAACCATCCAGGATCGCTTACTAAGCTGGACAGGGTGCTCCGATCTGAGACTTCCTTCATGAGACCGCCCTCCCTCCTGCAAATGCTGTGAGCATGATGGAGCTAATTGTGATTGTATTCATCCATTTTGCATTGCTATCAGGGAATACCTGAGTCTGGTCATTTATAGAGAAAAGAGGTTTATTTGGCTCACAGTTCTGCAGGCTGTGCAAGCAAGGCACCAGCATCTACTTGGCTTCTGGTGAGGCTTCAAGGAGCTTTAACTCAAGGCAGGGGAGTAGACATGTCACATGGTGAGAGAGGAAGCAAGAGAGAGAGGGAGGATGTGCCAGGCTCTTTAAACAACCAGCTGTCATGTGAAGTAACAGAGTAGGAACTCACCCATTACCTCATTACCATGAGGAGGGCACCAGGCCATTCGTGGGGGATCCACTCCCATGACCCAGTTACCTCCCACCGGGACCCACCTCCAACACTGGGGATCACATTTCAACATAAGGTTGGAGGGGATGAACATCCAAACCATCTCAGTGATGGGGCTGATGGAGCTCAGAAACAGAAAGGGCCATCAGATTGCAAATGGCTCGGAGAGTTGCTGTTTTTGTAAGTTCTCTGGCTGCACCATTTCAAGGGGGGAAGGTAGAAAGATGGGGATGGTGCCACATCCCCATACTAGTCTGGTTGGGGCTGTTTGCCATAAGTCACGAGCTCCTTGGTGAACAAGGACAGCTTCATCATGGTTTCGTGTGGTCCATCAGCAAATTAAACCCCCAGGTTTGCCCACGTGCCGAGTCCTGGCTGTGCTAACAGGGCTCCTGGGGAAAGCTGCTCCATGTCATGCCTGGTCGTGCTTCTTTGTCATATAGGCTGCTGCCAGTGGCGCGGGCACTGTGATGTGAGGGGGTAGGGCCTTTCGGGTGGCAAGGAGAAGCTCAGAGGAGAGGCTGGTGTTTGCAGCACTGGACAGCTGTGTCTCCAGGGGAGAAGTGGGGAGAAGGTAGAAAGCTCTCTCACCATGTCATATAGCCAGAGAGCCTCCTGGGGTAGGTCTAGACTGAGAGGAGGTGCCCGAAGTCCCCATCACTGGGGCCTTTACAGAGATAGAGTGAGAGAGAGAGTGAGAGCCACCTATGTCAGGGAGTGCCCCACAGGGATGGGCCTTTTGGGGACTCACGCCACCGTTACAGGCTCAGGACATGTGCTGGTTCTTCCACTTGCGTTCCTGCATTTTGCTTTTCATGTTCGCATCCACCCCAGCTTCCCTTTCCGTGGCTCACTGTGCCCAGAGATTGCTAATAAAGGTGCCACTTGGCACCGAGGCTAGTGAGAAGAATGCAGGACAGAGATACCACCTCTGGGATGTGCTGGGAGTGTAAGCAGGCTGCCGGCCAGGCCAGGAAGCCAGGGCCCCTCCTGCCTGTCTCCACCCCTCACGCCCATGTGAGCCTGCCTCCCTCCCAGCACAGACAGCCCACTGCAGACTCCTGCTGGAGGCCCACCCACCTGTAATCGTATAGCTCTAGAGACAGAGAGCCTTCCCTCTGCTGACCCTGGCCTGCTGTCCATCAGCTGCCCTCAGGGAGGAAGGCATGGTTTTCTTTAAGGCAGGAAAGCCCAGCTGCAATGTCAGTCCCCTTAGAGTGACTTTTATTACAATTGATTCTCATACAAATGCCGCTTGGCCCAGAGGAAAGATCTTTAATAAACCCATGGAAGGGGGAGCTGACATCACATCAGGCTCAGTCCGAGTGGGGGGTGGGGATTCCTGGTCTGCTGTATCTGGTCTGGCCCAGGCCAAGGGGCAGGGAGCTACCCAGAGCATCAGGCAGACCTAGCCCCTGCCCCAGGTAGGAGCTCATGGTCTAGTTATGGTGGCCATGCAGGAGGATGAACCCAGGGCTCAGCTCAGGCACAAGAGGGGCTCAGAAATGGTGGGCTACCAGGATGGACTAGTAGTTGGGAAGAACTCAGAAAGGTGGGGCCAGGGTGGGCTGGTAGTTGGGAGAAGACTTCCTGATCCTGCAGCCAAAGGAGTTTCTTTCATTCTGAGCACCTAGATGTGCCTTGCTGCTGCCTCAGGGCTCCCAGCAGTTCTTTCCCTGTCCTGCAGTCAACACCTGGCTGAGTGCCCCATCCAGACTGATGCCCACAGACAGCAGGCCTGGTTCATTCTCACTGCTGTTTCCCCACTGTCCTATATTCATTGGACTTGGTACTAGTTCATTCATTCATTCAATCATTCATCCAGCAAATGTCCATGGAGCATTTTTTTATGTGCAGGAACTTTTCTAGTCACTGAGGGCATAATGTGATTAAGACTAATGAGGTCCTGAGAAAGTGACAGAGGAAGAGACAGATATTGATCAAATAGTCACATAGCAAGTGGAAATTAGCAGCCATGGCTGGTACTCTAAAGGAGAGGCCCATGGGCTATGGGAGCTAAAATAGGGAGATTTGACCCAGTCAGGGAAGGGTCACCAAGAAAGTGACATTTGAGCCATAATCAGGAAGACAGTTAAGAGTTGGCCAGGTAAAGAAAGAAGGTAGAGCTTTCCAGGAAGAGGGACTCACATGTGCAAAGGTCCTGCGGCAAGAGGGATCTGGGGAAATGCAAAGGCCTCACAGAAGCTTACTGTGGTGGGTGCAGAGAAAGCAAGATGGGGAAGCAAAGGGGAAATTAAGTCAAGGTTAGAGTTTACTGGTCAAACAGGGTCAAACTGTAAGGCCTTTTGAAGAGATCAGGAAGCTTTGACTTTATCCTAAGAGCAGTGGGATGGGGTTTGAGTGGCTAGGGCATGATGCCTTCAGAAATGGTCACTCTGGTTGCAATGTGGAGATTGGAGAGGTGGGATGAATTTGATAGATGGGGAAGACCACTTAGGAGGCAGTGATCCAGTCAAGAGATGATGGGGCTTGGAATCATTGGATGGATGGGTTGATGGATGTCTGAATGGGGTGATAAAAACAAGTAGCTGGTGGGTGAGTGAAGGGAAGGATGTGTGAATGGATGGGGGATGAATGGGAGGAAGAATGAATAGATGGGTGGATGATGGAAGAATGAATGGATGGGGAGAAGGAAGAATGAGTGGATGAGTGGATGAATTGGAGAATTAATAGATGGGTGGAAGGAAGGATGAATGGATGGGATAATGAATGGATGGAATAATAAATGGATGGGATAATAAATGGATGGGTGGACAGAAAATGAGTGGATGGGTAGATGGGTACATAGAAGGGAGAATAAATGGGTGGGTAGAAGGATGATAAGTTGATGGGTAGTTGGGTGGATGGGTAGAAGGAAGGATGAGTGAATAGGTAGATGGGTGGATGGTGGGAGAATTATTGGATGGGTGGAAGGAAGGATAAATGAATGGGTGAATGAGTGGGAGAATGAATGGATGGGTAGAAGGAGAATGAGTGGATGGGTAGATGGGTGGGCAGATGGGAGAATGAATGAATGGATACAAGGATGACGAGTGGACGGGTAGATGGGTGGGTGGATGGGAGAATGAATGGATGGATTCAAGGATGATGAGTGGATGGGTAGATGGGTTGATGGATGGGAGAATGAATGGGTAGGTAGAAGGATGGTGAGTAGATGGTAGATGGGTGAGTGGATGGGAGAACGAATGGATGGGTAGAAGGATGATGAGTAGATGGTAGATGGGTGAATGGATGGGAGAATGAATGGGTGGGCAGAAGGATTATAAATAGATGGGTAGATGGGTGGATGGACTGGAGAATGAGTGGATGGGTAGAAGAATGATAAGTAGATGGGTAGATGGGTGAATGGATGGGAGAATGAATGCATAGATACAAGGATGATGAGTGGATGGGTAGATGGGTGGATTGATGAGAGAATGAATAGGTGGGTAAGAAGAAGGATGAATTAATGTGTGAGTGGGTGGATGGATGGGAGAACGAATGGGTGGGTAAGAAGAAGGGTGAATCAATGTGTGAATGGGTGGATGGATGGGAGAATGAATGGATGGATAGAAGAATGATGCGTAGATGGGTAGATGGGTTGATGGTTGGGAGAATGAATGGGTGAGTAGAAGGAAGATGAGTGGATGGGTAGATAGGTAGATGGATGGGAGAATGAATGGGTGGGTGGAGGGATGATGAGTGGATGGATAGATGGGTGAATGGATGGGAGAATGAATGGATGGATGGATGGATTGATGGATGAGTAGATTGGGAATGAGTGGAAAAATAAATAGCTGACGCATAGGTGGAAAGAAGATATAAGTGGGTGGATGGGTGAATGGAGAGTAGAAAGTAGGAGAAATGGGTAAGTAGGTAAAACATGGATGGAAAGATGGGTAGATTTGGGATACAAGTTGAGGCTTGCAGGATGGGTGGGATTGGGATTGCAGGCATGCCTAAGGTTGGAGTTTCCAGCAACTGAATACTGCACACTCATGTCTTCCAGGAAGGAGGCCATAGGAAAAAAGTCTCCAAGTGGTGGTAGGTCCCAGAATTCCATGCCATTCCATGCTTCTGCCTGCAGTCCCTAGGCCACTGAACCTAGACAGAGGGGAAGGGCAGAGTGAGTGGACACAGCCAATCCCAGCCTGCTTCCGACTCCCCTAATCCCTCAGCCTTTAGGGACAGGAGCAGCGGACCTCCTCCCTCTGCTGGGCACTGGGTACTCTGGTGGATGCAGCCTGGCCCAGATTTGCTGATTCTTGTCCACGTACAAATTAATGTAGATATGTTTTTTCAGGCATTTAAGAAATCCCATCTCCAGGTGGGCAGATAAATAACTCTATTTACATTAAAGACTAATGTAACAAAAATACACCAGGCAATAATTCATAATGCATTCTATTCTACAGAGTCATATTTTAATGTGTGACATATCCCAGGCAGCTCCTCTGTGCTAATTTCATTTAATGAGCACATGTTATAGAATTTTCAGAGCACTATCCCTGGGCAATTAAAATATGTTAACCTTTTGGTTAAATTGTGTTTCTAAAGAAAAGTCCTCACTGTGAAACAGAAAGAAATATCCAGGTGTCACTGAGGTGGAACCCAAAGGCGGATTGTAATGGGAAAGGACTGCTGTTAGGTCCTGCATGTGCTGGCTGGAGGGACCTACAGCCTCCTCCCGGACCTCAGGCCATGCTGCACCATCCCTGCCCTTGCATGGCCAGGCCCATTTCCACTGTGCAGGACAAGGAGCTGAAGCCTGGACCCATACAGTGAGCAGCCTTCCTTGAGCAGTCATTAATTGACTACCCACTATTTGCCTGACCCAGGAGATCCAAGGTACACCCTGGCTCCAAGGTTGGGAAGATTGTAGCATGGAGGTGAGGTACCCCCAGACAACTGGGGTTTAAATAGGGCTAGTATAGGAGACTTCAAGGAGGGGCAGGCTCCTCTCTTTCAAAATATGGACAGGTCCCCCAGCTCTGCCATCTACATAATGGGCACACCAGTGCTCCAGCATTCCCAAGTCCCAGAGTTTCAGATCTGGAAGGGGCTCTTAGAGAGCCTAGTGTGAGTGATTCCCAAACTGTGCTCCTTAGAACCCCAGGAGCCCCACCCCAACTTCAACCAGAGCCATTCTGCTTCTAATGGTTTTACATATTGGGGTTCCATGAAGCCATTAGTTGAAAATAGGGTTCTACTGCTTTAAAAGATTTAAAAGCAGTTTATATAGTTCTCCTGTGTGTATATATATACCTATATATATATATATGCACATTATATTAAATATATATTTATGCACTTTATATTAAATATACAAATAGTTTTCATATATATGCTGCCTTCTAAGGGAAGAATTTGAAGTGGCTTATAAAACTGAATGTGCGGCCGGGCGCGGTGGCTCACGCCTGTAATCCCAGCATTTTGGGAGGCCGAGGCAGGCGGATCACGAGGTCAGGAGATCGAGACCATCCTGGCTAACACGGTGAAACCCCGTCTCTACTGAAAATATAAAAAATTAGCCGGGCTTGGTGGCGGGCACCTGTAATCCCAGCTACTTGGGAGGCTGAGGCAGGAGAATGGCGTGAACCCGGGAGGCGGAGCTTGCAGTGAGCAGAGATCGCGCCACTGCACTCCAGCCTGGGCGAAAGAGCGAGACTCTGTCTCAAAAAAAAAAAAAAAAAAAAAAAAAAAAAAACTGAATGTGCCATAATAGAATGAAAAGTTTTTAATGAGCAAATTGGAATAAAAGGAAAATGAAGGTGAATTTGTGAAATCATCTTGAGAAAAAGTTAGACAAAGACATGTGTACTGGCAGTGTTGGGAAGCTGGAAGGTGAGGTCAAGGTCACTCTTGCAGCCCTGGGCTCCCCAGAGGGAACTCGAGACAGGCCTCTCAGCCCCAGCTTGTATCTGAAGGTTAAAAATGCGAGGCCACCTTTGAAGGACCTGGCCCATGTCTGGTGCATTATGGATGGTTAGACCAGCTGGGATGTCTAAGAAAGACTTTCATTCATGCATTCAACAAACATTTTGTGAGCCTGTCAGGGTTCCGGCACCGTGCTGGGTAATGAGGACATATGCAGCTGAGACAGCCATGGTCTCCACTCTCTCAGGCACACCCGCTAGCAGAGAAGACAGGGGTCAGACAGTAACACACTACGGCCATCCACATACAGCCCCGAAGAAATGGAACTTGCCTTGGAGCCTGTAGGACAAAGGGAGCCTCCAGACTGGGTCAGCGAGGGCCCAATGTCTGAAGGAGACCCATGGTCTGAGGAGGACGGAAATGAGTGAATGGGAGGTCTCCGGGGGTCGGCAGGGTGGATTCATGATGGCACTGGGAGGCAGGCAGGGGTGCGGGGAGAGAGGTAGCCAGGCGAGAAGAGTTAGGTCTTCAGCCTGAGACAGAGACTCCTGGGAACTTGGGGAGCAGGAGGAAATTGTGCTTTGCATGTGAAAAGAGTACTCTGGGTCGGGCACGGTGGCTCACACCTGCAATCCCAGCACTTTGGGAGGCCGAGGCGGTTAGATCACCTGAGGTCAGGAGTTTGAGACCAGCCTGGCCAACATGGTGAAACCCCATCTCTACTAAAAATACAAAAATTAGCTGGGCGTGCTGGCACATGCCTGTAACCCCAGCTACTCAGGAGGCTGAGGCAGGAGAATGACTTGAACCTGGGAGGTGGAGGTTGCAGTGAGCCAAAATCATGCCATTGCACGCCAGCCTGGGCGACAAGAGTGAAACTCCATCTCAAAAAAAGAGAAGAAAAGAGCACTCTGTTTCTGCAAAGGACATGGTTTGGTTCTTTTTTATGGCTGCATAGTATTCCATGGTATGTATGCATCACATTTTCTTTATCCAGCCCACCGTTGATGGGCATCTGGGTTGGTTCCATGTGTTTGCTGTTGTGAGTCATGAGTGCTATGATGAACATACAGGTGCAGGTGTCTTTTTGGTAGAACCAACCTGCACATGTACCCCCTGATTCTAAAATAAAAGTTGAAAAAAGAAAGAAAAGAAAAGAAAAGAAAAACGGCACTCTGGGCAGCCACGTTAGAGTGCTGGGCTATCAGTGACTGGCTTGCGGGGGCTTGGTGGATGCAGGGAGGCCAGTCAGGAGCTGCTGCCCCCGCCCAGGTGAGAGCTGATGCAGTGAGGGGGAGGGTTGGAGTGCCAGGGCAGGGTGGGTGTGGGGTAATGGCAGGGGCAGGAAGTAGATAGATTCAGAGCTGTATTGGAGTCAACTTGTGGGGGCCTCTGAGATGGGCCAGAGAAGATGGGTGAGCTTGAAAGAGCCAGAGAGGAACAGGAAAGGAATCTAGCAAAGGGAACAGACTGAGCAAAGGCCTGAATTCAGGAGAGCCTGGGTGCATGCAGCCCCCAGCGCAAGAGCCCCATTTACCTGGAGCTCAAGACACTCAAAGGAGTGTGGAGACAGGCAAGGCGGCACTGTCCACTGGGTGAAAGGGCTTCCAGCTGGCTAAGGAACTTGGACTCATTCATAGGTACCAAGGAGTCACTGGAGATAACCTTCTACCACCTACCCACTGTGTGACCTTAGTCAAGTCACCCAACCTCTCTGGGCCTCACCTATGAACGGGAAAGTGGTTTCTACCTCCTAAGGCTGCTGAGAGAGATAAAGGGGAAAATTCTCTTGCAGGGGCCGAGTGCAGCTGCTGGCACTGAGAATTGTGTGCCTTTTTACAGCCCACAGGCTCAAAGGTTAGCAATCCAGATGGGGCAGGGGCCCCTCAGGTGAGGAATGGGCCCCACACTGAGGGAGGCAGCCTCGCCGTCCCCGCTGGGGAGCCCCCACCCCCACCCCGGTGCTCACTGCAGTCGGGCCGCCTGCGGCCCCCTCTGACAGCAGCTGCCTGACCACAGAGTAAAGGCCTGTTTGCCATTCACATTAAGTGACATCATTAAAGGGCCATTGGGGGCAAGATGTTATCTCAAAAGAGATGGAAAACTGGAGAGGAGGTGGCGGCAAAGTTGGCCACATTAAAAAGCCACCATGAATGTTAACATTCAGGGAAAAATCTCATCCCCCATTCTCCTTCCCTTGCAAGTAGCCAGGGGCCAGGGTCAGGCTGAGGCATTCATGGGGAAGGAGAGTTCCAGCTCTTTGGGCCCGAGAGGTGGTGTGTGTGGCAGTGGTTAGGTGTACACAGGGGCCAGACTGCCTGGGTGCAAGTCCCAGCCCTGCTGTTTATCTCAGTGTGGCCTTGGTTGGGCTGCCAGATTTAGCAAATAAAAATATAGGACCCCCCGTTAAATTTGAATTTCAGATAAACCACCAGTAACATCTTATGAATGTAAGTATGTTCCATGCAATATTTGGGACATACTTGTACTAAAAAGTATCCATTGTTTTTCTGCAATTCAGATTCAATGGAGTGTCCTGTTTTTTATCTGGCAACCCCAGGCCTGGGGCAAATCACTTCATCTCCCTGGACCTCAGTTTCCCCAACTATAAAATAGGAGTAAAAGTAACTCCTGCCATTACAAGGATTGAATTTAACGTAGGTCACATACTTGCTGCAGTACCTGGCCCTAATAAGTGCTGGCAACCTTTGCCTTGTTATCCTAAAGGTGCTGGGTTCTGTCTGCTTGACTGGTCTGGTCCCTGACATCTGCTCTTGACTAGAGGTCATCAGTTGCAACACCAGGCAATTGCCATGTCCTGGTTTTGGGTGGGGCTGCTTGCTGGGGGCTGAGGAGAGAGGGAGGCCCTAGGCCAGCCCTCTGACGCATGGGCTTCCTCCACGACCAGAGAGGTAGGACATGTGAGGAAGGCACTTAGGGGGTAGCAGAAGAGAAGAAGGCAGAGGCAAGGGGCACCTAAACAAACAGCACAGACATTTGTGCCAAGCCCTCTGTGTTTGGGTGCTCAGGGAGGGCTGCCTGGAGGAGGCAGCATCTAGACAAAGGAAAAGTAGGGGGCTAGTCGTTCTGCGGGGTCAGCCTGGATATGCCTGTAGGGAACCAGAGCACATGGCTGCAGCAGGGGAATGGTCAGATTGAAGTGGGGGGATGGGGAATTACGGACAAACCCCAACTGCGGCACTCAGGCAGTGGCTCTTTCTCCTGTGGGCAGAGGGCAGTCATCAAAGGTTCTGTTTCTCAGGGAGAGTGTCCAGGTGCGTCTGAAGGATGGAGTGGTTATGAAGGCAGGAGAATGCTGTAGGGGCCACTGCTGTCATTGGGCATAGTGGAGGCCTGAACTGGGGCTGCAGCAGGGGAGAGAGGGCACAGCAGGGAATGGCTAAAACAGGCGGGGAACAGGCAGTCCAGCCACATTTGCCCAGGAGTACTCAGGCTCCTTCCACGTCCTGGACACGGAGGCAGCCATCTGGGCATCATCACCAAGGGATATGACGTCACCCCCAGGAGGACAGCTTGTCTGCAAACCCAGGAGCTGACTACCCAGGGCCTGGAAGCGAGGGACAGGGCAGGAGGACCTGTGCATGTCTCGTCTGCTCTCAAAGGTCCGCACCCCACACTGGACTTTTCTTTAAAATATCTCGATTTCCTTTAAAGCCCAACTGCATCAGTGGCCCCTTGCTTCTGCCCCAGTTACAGTACACATTAATTTTATGGCAGAAACTAATTCTACCCGAACTCCGTTAGTGTTCAATTATTCCTCGCTGACTGCCTTTGAATAAATATCCATGAAGAGGCTTTTAATAAAACATCAACAAGGGAGGCAGCCTCCTTGCAAGGTGGCAGAGGTTCTCACCCTGCAGCGGGCTGGGCCAGTGCTGCGTCCAGGGGAGAGCTGGGAGCCAGGTTCTCAGCAGGGCCTGGGAGATCCCGCCAGATGCTCCCAGGGTGGGGCAGGCTCAGGAGCCCCATCAGGAAGCCGGGAATGTGGGAGCTAGGAGAGCCAGCCCCCTACATGAAGGAAGGGGTGTGTCTGGCCACACAACTGCATGGGGACAAAGATAGGATGCATACCAGGCCTCCTGGGTCCTGCGCCAGGCCTGGCACATAGAGTGCAAATTCAGGCACCCACAAAGGGCCAGGTTGGCTGAGCAAAAGGGGCCCAACTGCGCAGGAGGCTGGGGCAGGACTGGCAGCTCACCCTGGGCCCAGGCTGGTGGCTAGCAGGGAGGGATGAGGGGAAGGATTTCTGCTGGGAAGAGCAGCCGGCCCCCACCCACCCCAGTGTTCTGTAGCTTGGTGGAAAAGCAGTCCTGGGGTTGCTGATTCTGGGGCCTTTCTAGGAAATACCTGAATCTCTGCTTTTATGTAGAAGTCTCCCAATTTTTACATGCCAGATTATAATTTACAATTTGTAAGACTCTGTGTGCACCAAACTAGACCCTTCTGCAAATCAGACAGCCCTCAGGTGGCCACTTGGTGCCTTTACCTTGTCCCTGGGCTCTGTAGAAGACAGCATTTTGTAACCAGGAAATCAGGGAGTGGGGCAGGCAGGGAAATAAGAAGACTGAAAGGCCAGGCTCTGGGGGAGTCCCAACGCTGCCCCCAATGCTGCACCCATGCTGCCCCAGGGGAGCTCTAGCACTGGCCGCAGTGCTGCCCCAGGAGAGCCTGATACTTCCCCCAGTGCTGCCTCAACATTGCCCCAGGAGAGCCCCAACGCTGCCCCCAGTGCTGCCCCAGGAGGTCCCTGACGCTGGCTCCAGTACTGCCCCAGGAGAACCCTGATGCTGGCCCCAAGGCTGCTCTAGGAGACCCCAGACACTGGCCCCAATGCTGCCCCAGGAGACCCCTGATGCTGGCCCCAATGCTACCCCAGTAGACCCCTGACGCTGGCCTCAGTGCTGGCCCTGACACGGGCCTTGGCATCTGGACCATATATGTCTCCCCACAGGGAAAAGGATGGGGTTTGACTGTAGCCAGGATGGCTACTAGATGCCCTCTCCTACTCTCACTCCACAAGCCCCTGCAAACCCAGAGAAATTCCTTGTACACTGGCCCCAGGAAGCTCGGAGACGGAGGCTCCTCCTTCAGCTGGGGCATGGCCTTCTGCTGCACTCCTGAGCGGGCCCCAGGGCAGGTGATGGGGAATTGGGAAGAGCAGGTCTGCTCCCAGCTGCCCCAGGCAGACAGCCATCCCCATGGCTAAATGGATGTTCAAGTCCAGCCCATTAAGGCCATGATTGCCCCTTGGGGGCTGCCTTCTTGTTTCATTCTTAGATGACAGCAAAAGAGACTAGAAATAGGCTTGAACATCAGAGCTGAGGGGCCCCTATCCAGGACCCTCAGCTTGGCTCTCTAACCTTTCTAGCCAAGAAGCCCTTGTTCTGACTAAAGATCTGTTATAAGCCAGGAGTGGTGGTTCTGACCTATAATCCCAACACTTTGGGAGGCCAAGGCGGGAGGATCACTTGAGGCCAGGATTTGAAGAGTAGCCTGGGCAACATAGCAAGATTCCATTATTACCAAAAAATTTTAAAATTATCTGGGCATGGTGGCATGTGCCTGTAGTCCCAGCTACTCAGGAGGCTGAGGCAGGAGAATCACTTGAGCCTGGGAGTTGGCTGCAGTGAGCTATGATTGCACCACTGTACTCCAGCCTGGGTGACAGAATGAGACCCTGTCAATCAATCAGTCAATCAATCAATGTGCTATGACAGCACAAAATGCAGAACAGACATGAGTGGCCTTGATCTGCTTGACACAGAGGAGGGACCTGTCTGTGAGACCTCCATGGTTGTCCTCATGGTAGAATATCCAAGCTTGCTGTTGGAATGGCTTTGTCTGAAGACGACAATGTCTTCCCTTGAACTAGCTCTTCTCTAGTGGCTGCCTGTACTCGGTGTGTGAATATTCTATGCAATACTGGACAAAGCAAGTGAAAGACAGAAGCACTACAGCGTCAGCCTATGAAATGAGCCTCCACTTAGCCAGGCTGCAAGAGCCAGACCAGCCTGTTGTCCATTTTTGTGTGTAGAGCCAGACCTCAAATGTGTCTTCATTTTACTTACTCTTCTCAAACCTGAAAAAAAAAAAAAGCAGCACTGTTTGCAAACCCCTGACCCCAGATGCAGCTCCCAGGCCACCAGCAGGTTTGCAGGGGCAAGGGACCTGGCCAGGCCCAAAGGATCTCAGCCCCAGTGGAGAGGGCTGCAGCTCTCTTCTAAGCCACGGCCAGAAAACAAGGGCCACAGACTACAGCTGGGGCCCATATTACCCCAAAGGCAGAGGGAAGCCATCCATACTTCTAGAAACATGGGCAGCAGTGGCTGCCCTGGCGAGCTGTGCAGGCTGGTAAGCTGGGAGCCCCCTACTGTGATCCCAATGCCCACAGGGTAGGAGTGGCCCCTCTGCACTCCGTTCCACAGCATAGAAACAGATACTCCATGCCGATGGAAGTCCCAGCCCATATGGGTATTCCCAACCCTTCTCCCCACTCTCCAGGAAGCTAACTCACAGGCTTGGGCAGAGCTTGGGTCAGACGATGGCCTGGAGGAACTTTCACCTTTACTTTTAGCACAAGGCATGAAATGGCTTGAGAGCTGCCATATTGCTTTCTGGCAGGGATTTGGAATTCTGCTTTTGCTTGATAAATTGAAATGAGGAATTTCCCAGACAAGCTGCTGGGCTGGCACCTTTAGTGTGCTTATGGTGGGGTGGGGGGCAGGGGGAAGTAGAGATGCCCGTTGTGTTCTTTGAGGGTCTCTTTCAAATGGCTCCAGCGTGTCTCTTATCCTGCTCACTATCTGAATGATAAAAATTAATATCTTAATTGATATCTTAATCTTGAGCCAAAGAAGCTTTGATTCCTTTAAGAAGAGTGATTAGCAAAATGATGATACTTGCTTAATATAAGGAATGAATCAGCTACTGTTCCATCAGAGGGCTTCCCTCACCTCTCAAGCAGCCTGATTTTGCACCTTAATCATGACAAATAAACTTGCTCATGCTCCAGCGCTATTCCTGGTACTCCTTAGGACAGGAGGGAATAGATAAAGAAACCATTAGCATCCAGTCAATGCATCAGCCTGCATGCCAGCCAGCCCGCTCAGCACACAACCCCCAGGAACACAGATGTCTCCACGCCATGTAAAAAAAGAGGCTACAGGGATGGGAATGAGATCCTACCTCAGTGAGCAGAACGTACCCTCTGGGCCTTGCCTTGTAGGGTCAATTTGGGCCTGGGACCTGTCATTCTGGAAAGCAATGGACAGCAGAGGCCAAGTGCTGGACATTGGAACAGACAGTGTGATCCTGGGCAACATCCTTCACTTCTGTGGATCTTGTGTCACATTTGGAAAAGGAGGCAATGCCTGGGGAGCAGGTGGACACAGGGCTGCAAGACTCCTGAGCTCTGAACCATTGCTGATGTACAGACCCCACTTACTCAGGGTCAGCCTGGAAGCCAGACTTCCTTGGTCTGCCCCGATTCATTTGGGAAACCTAGATTGTTTATATGTCTGATGAATCAGGTAGTAAAAGGTTGCAAATCCTAGGTCCTTCTTTTGCCAAAGATCCAGGGATGTCTCAAAATAAGTGGTTGAGGAATCCTGCATAGGCAACTGGGGTAACCAGGTTCTCTCACTGGTACTGACGTCGTTGGCAAGACCCATGGAGAGCAAGGAAAAGCAGGGTGGTGCGGTGGCCCACCTGGGAGCCGCATGGGGCAAGGGAAGCACCTACCACCAGCCAAGGGAGTCAGTGAGTGATCATGCTACCTTACCCAGGAAACCATGCTATTTCCACAGATCTGTGAAACCTGTGGGTCAGGGGATCTCCCTCATGAGCCCGTGCCACCAGGGCCTTGGGTCCCAAGCACGCCACTCAGCTAGAGACTGCCTAAGACTACTGAGTTCCGGGGAGAGGGGCAGCTGTCATCACTGAGGCTGCCTGCTGCCTAAGATGGCTAAGCTCCCAGGGGGAAGGGCAGCAGCCATCACTGCAGTTCCAGTCTGCTGCTTTTCCCCTGCCAGTACTGGGGAGACTAGGTGGTTTGGACCCAGGAGGAATTCCCCACAGTGCAGCACAGCAGCTGTGGCAGATCAAGGTCAGACTGCCCCTTTAGGCCTGACACTGACCCATCCCTCCTCACCTGGTGGGGCCTCCCTGCAGGAATTTCAGCAACTACAGCCAGGCGTATAGGGACAGAGCTCTGATCTCCCTGGGACTGAGCCCCTCAGGGGAGGGGTGTCTGCGGTCTTCACAGATCAGCAGACTTAGTCTTTTCCCCTGCTGGCTCTGAGGAATCTGGGCAGTCTGGACAAGTGAGATCCCCCCCAGCATAGCACACCCCCTCTGCCAAGGGGTAGCAAAAGTGTTTCATTAAGCAGATCCCATGCCTGCTGACCAAGACCCCCCACAACAGGGGTCACCATACAGGAGTGTTCATGCTGGCATCAGGTTGGTGCCCTTCCAGGATGGAGATCCCAGAGGAAGGAGCAGGCAGCCATCTTTGCTGTTCTGTAGCCTCCACTGATGACACCTCCAGGTATGGGAGAAACCCCAGTGAATAGGGTCTGGAGTGGACCCCCAGCAAACCACAGAAGCCCTACAGAAGCGGGGCCTGACTGTTAAAACAAAAGCAAACAAACAGAAAGCAACAACAACAGCATCAACCAAAAAAGTCCCTGCAAGAAAACCCCATCCAAAGGCCAGCAGCCTCAAAGATTGAAGCTACATAAACTCACAAAGATGAGAATCAATGAAAGAACACTGAAAACTCAGAACGCCAGAGTGCCTCTTCTCCTCCAAATGATTGCAACATCTCTCCAACAAGAGCACAGAATGGGGCAGAGGCTGAGATGGATGAATTGACAGAAGTAGGCTTCAGAAGGTGGATAATAACAAACTTTGCTGCACTAAGAGACATGAGAAAACATTACAGGAGCTGTTAACCAGAATAACCAGTTTAGAGAGGAACCGAAATGACCTGATGGAGCTGAGAAACACAACATAAGAACTTGACAATACAATCACAAATATCAATAGCCGAATTGACCAAGTGGGGGAAAGAATTTCAGAGCTTGAAGACTATCTCACTGAAATAAGACCAGCAGACAAGATTAGAGAAAAAAGAATGAAAAGGAATGAACAAAACCTCCAAGAACTATGGGATTATGTAGAAAGACCAAACCTACAACTGATTGAAGTGCCTGAAAGAGGTGGGGAGAACAGAACCAAGTTGGAAAACACACTTCACAATATCATCCAGGAGAACTTCCCCAACCTAGCAAGACAGGCCAACATTCAAATTCAGGAAACCCAGAGAACCCCAGAAAGATACTCCATGAGAAGATCAACCCCAAGACACATAATCATCAGATTCTCCAAGGTTGAAATGAAGAAAAAAATGTAAAGGGCAACCAGAGAGATAGGCCAGATCACCTACAGAGGGAAGCCCATTATACTAATGGTGGACCTCTTAGCAGAAACCCTACAAGCCAGAAGAAACTGGGGGCCAATATTCAACATTCTTAAAAGAATTTCCAACACAGAATATCATATCCAGCCAAACTAAACTTTATAAGCGAAGAAGAAATAAAATCTTTTCAGACAAGCAAATGCTAAGGGAATTTATCACCACTAGGCCTGCCTTGCAAGAGCTCCTGAAGGAAGCACTAAATATGGAAAGGAAAAACTTTTGCCAGCCACTGCAAAAACACACTGAAGTACAAAGACCAATGACACTATGAAGCAACTATGTCAACAAGTCTGCAAAATAACCAACCAGCATCATGATGACAGGATCAAATGCACACATAACAATATTAACCTTAAATGTAAAAGCTCTAAATGCCCCAATTAAAAGACATAGAATGGCAGGCTGATAAAGAGTCAGGACCCATTGGTGTGCTGTATTCAAGAGACCCACTTACATGCGAAGACACACATAAGCTCAAAATAAAGGGATAGAGGAAAATTTACCAAGCAAATGGAAAGCAGAAAAAAGCAGGGGTTGCAATTCTAGTTTCTGACAAAACAGACTTTAAGCCAACAAAGATCAAAAAGACAAAGGGCATTACATAATGATAAAAAGGATCCATTCAACAAGAAGAGCTAACTATCCTAAATATACATGCACCCAATACAGGAGTACCCAGATTCATAAAACAAGTTCTTAGAGACCTACAAAGAGACTTAGACTCCCACACAATAATAGTGGGAGACTTTAACACCCCATTGTCAATATTAGATCATTGAGACAGAAAATTAACAAGGATATTTAGGACTTGAACTCAGCTCTGGATTAAGTGGACCTGATACATAGCTACAGAAGTCTCCACCCTAAAACAACGGAATATGCATTCTTCTTGGTGACACATGGCACTTACTCTAAAATCGATCACAAAATTGGAAGTAAAACACTCCTCAGCAAATGCAAAAGAACTGAGATCATAACATTCTCTCAGACCACAGTGCAATCAAATTAGAACTCAAAATTAAGAAACTCACTCAAAACCACACGACCATATGAAAATGGAACAACTAGCTCCTGAATGACTCCTGAGTAGATAATGAAATTAAGACAGAAATCAAGAAGTTATTTGAAATCAGTGAGAACAGGGACAATGTACCAAAATTTCTGGGACACAACTGAAGCAGTGTTAAGAGGGAAAATTATAGCACTAAATGCCCACATCAAAAAGCTAGAAAGATCTCAAATTGACACCCTAGCATCACAACTAAAAGAACTAGAGAACCAAGAGAAAACAAACTCCAAAGCTAGTAAAAGAAAAGAAATAGTTAACCAAGATCAGAGTGGAACTAAAGGAAACAGAGACATGAAAAATCCTTCAAAAAATTAATGAATCCAGGAGCTAGTTTTTTGAAAAAATTAATAAAATAGTTAGACTGCCAGCTAGACTAATAAAGATGAAGAGAAAGAAGAATGAAATAGAAAATAAAAAATGATAAAGGAGATATCACTACTGACCCCACAGAAATACAAACAACCATCAGAGAATACTATAAACTCCTCTATGCAAATAAACTAAAAACTCTATAAGAAACGAAAAAATTTCTGGATACATATAACCTCCCAAGACTGAACCAGGAAGAAGTTGAATCCCTGAATAGACCAGTAATAAGTTTTGAAATTGAGGCAGTAATAAATAGCCTACCAACCAACAAAAGCCTGGGACCAGATGGATTTACAGCTGAATTCTACTAGAGGTACAAAGAGGAGCTGTTACCATTTCTTCTTAAACTATTCCAAACAATTGAAAAGGAGGGACTTCTCCCTAACTCATTTTGTGAGGCCAGCATCATCCTGATACCAAAATCTGGCAGAGATACAAAAAAAAAAAAAGAAAGAAAACTTTAAGCCAATATCCCTGATGAACATCGATGCAAAAATACTCAATAAAATACTGGCACACCAAATCTAGAGGCACATCAAAAAGCTTATTCACCACAATCAAGTCAGCTTCAGTCCTGGGATGCACAAAACATAATTCTAAACAGAACGAAAGACCAAAACCACATGATTATCTCAATAGACATAGAAAAGGCCTTCGATAAAATTCAACATCCCTTCATGTCAAAAACTCTCAATTAACTAGGTATTGATGGAACATACCTCAAAATAATGAAAGCCGTTTATGACAAACCTACAGCCAATATCTACAGAATGGGCAAAAGCTGAAAGTGTTCCCCTTGAAAACCAGCACAGGAAAAGGATGCCCTCTCTCACCACTCCTATTCACCATAGTGTTGGAGGTTCTGGCCAGGACAATCAGGCAAGAGAAAGAAATAAAGGATATTCAAATAGGAAGAGAGGAAGTTGAACTGTTTGCAGATGACATGATCCTATATCTAGAAAACCCCATTGTCTCAGCCAAAAAGCAACTTAAGCTGATAAGCAACTTCAGCACTCTCAGGATACAAAATCATTGTGCAAAAATCACGAGTATTCCTGTGATAGACAAGCAACAATAGACAAAAAGAGAGCCAAATCACAAATGAACTCCCATTCACAATTGTTTCAAAGGGAATCAAATACCTAGGAATACAGCTGACAAGAGAAGTGAAGGATCTCTTCAAAGAGAACTACAAATCACTGCTCAAGGAAATCAGAGAGGACACAAACAAATGGAAAAACATTCCATGCTCATGGATAGGAAGAATCAATGTTGTGAAAATGGCCATACTACCCAAAGCAATTTATAGATTCAATGCCATTCCCATTAAACTACCATTGACATGCTTCACAGAATCATAAAAAAAACTTTTAAAATTCATATGGAGCCCAAAAAGAGTCCATATAGCCAAGACAATCCTAAGCAAAAAGAACAAAGCTGGAGGCATCATGCTACCTGACTTCAAACTATACTACAGGGCTACAGTAACCAAACAGCATGGTACAAAAACTGATACAAAAACAGCCACATAGACCAATGGAACAGAATAGAGAACTCAGAAATAAATAAGACGCACATCTGCAACCATCTGATCTTTGACAAACCTGACAAAAACAAGCAATGGGGAAAGGATTCCCTATTTAATAAATGGTGCTGGGAAAACTGGCTAGCCATATGCAGAAAATTGAAACTGGACCTCTTCCTTACACCTTATACAATAATTAACTCAAGATAGATTAAAGACTTAAATGTAAGCTGGGCACGGTGGCTTATGCCTGTAATCCAGCACTTTGGGAGACCAAGGTGGGTGGATCACCTGAGGTCAGGAGTTCAAGACCAGCCCGACCAACATGGTGAAACCCCATCTCTACTGAAAATACAAAAAATTAGCTGAGCGTGGTGGTGGATGCCTGTAATCCCAGCTACTCAGGGCGCTGAGGCAGGAGAATTGCTTGAACCCGGGAGGTGGAGGTTGCAGTGAGCTGAGATGGTGCCATTGCACTCCAGCCTGGGCAACAAGAGCAAAACTCCATCTCAAAAAAAAAAAAAAGACTTAAATGTAAAACCCAAAACTATAAAAACCCCAGAAGAAAATCCAGGCAATACCATTTGGGACATAGGCACAGGCAAAGATTTCATGACGAAAGTGTCAAAAGCAATTGCAACAAAAGCAAAAATTGACAAATGGGATCTAATTAAACTAAAGAGCTTCTGTGCAGCAAAAGAAACTATCATCAGAGTGAACAGACAACCTATAGAATGGGAGAAAATTTTGCAATCTATCCATCTGACAAAGGTCTGATATCCAGAAACTACAAGGAACTTAAACAAATTTACAAGAAAAAAACAACCTCATGAAAGACTGGGCAAAGGACATGAACAGACACTTCTCAAAAGAAAACATTTATGCAGCCAACAAACATGTATATATATGTATATATATATAAAGCTCAACATCACTGATCATTAGAGAATGCAAATCAAAACCTCAATGAGATACCATCTCACGCCAGTCAGAATGGTGATTATTAAAAAGTCAAGAAACAATAGATGCTGGAAAGGCTGTGGGGAAATAGAAGTGTTTTTACAGTGTTGGTGGGAATATAAATTAGTTCAACCATTTTGGGAAACAGTGTGGTGATTCCTCAAAGACCTAGAACAAGAAATATCATTTGACCCAGCAATCCCATTACTGGGTATTTACCCAAAGGAATATAAATCATTCTATTATAAAGATACATGCACACACGTGTTCACTGCAGCACTATTCACAATAGCAAAGACATGGAATCAACCCAAACGCCCATCAACCATAGACTGGATAAAGAAAATGTGGTGTGTATACACCATAGAATACTATGCACCCATAAAAAGGAATGAGATCATGTCCTTTACACGGACATGGATGGAGCTGGAAGCCATTATCCTCAGGAAACTAATGCAAGAACAGAAAACCAAACACCACATGTTATTATTAATAAGTAGCAGCTGAACAATGAGAACACATGAACACAGGGAGAGGAATGACACACACTGGGACCTGTCAGTGGGGAGGTTAGGAGGGAGAGCATCAGGATAAATAGCTAATGCATATGGGGCTTAATACCTAGGTGATGAGTTGATAGGTGCAGCAAACCACCATGGCACATGTTTACCTATGTAACAAACCTGCACATCATGCACAAGTGTCCCAATACTTGAAATAAAAATTTTTTTAAAAAGAAACATAAAAATAAAACCACAATGAGATACCATCTCATGCCAGTTAGAATGGCAATCATTAAAAAGTCAGGAAACAACAGATGCTGGAGAGGATGTGGAGAAATAGGAACACTTTTACACTGTTGGTGGGAGTGTAAATTAGCTCAACCATTGTGGAAGACAATGTGGCTATTCCTCAAGGATCTAGAACCAGAAATACCATTTGACCCAACAATCTCATTACTGGGTATATACCCAAAGGATTATAAATCATTCTACTATAAAGACACATGCACACATATGTTTATTGCAGCACTGTTCACAATAGCAAAGACTTGGAACCAACCCAAATCCCCATCAATGATAGGCTGGATAAAGAAAATGTGGCACATATACACCATGGAATACTATGCAGGCATAAAAAAGATGAGTTCATGTCCTTTGCAGGGACATGAATGAAGCTGGAAATCACCATTCTCAGCAAACTAACACAGGAACAGAAAACCAAACACCACATGTTGTCATTCATAAGTGGGAGTTGAACAATGAGAACACATGGACACGGGAGGGGAACGTCACACACTGGGGCCTATTGGGGGTTGAAAGGCTAGGGGAGGGATAGCATTAGGAGAAATACCTAATGTAGGTGACTGGTTGATGGGTGTAGCAAACTACCATGGTACGTGTATACCTATGTAACAAAGCTGCATATTCTGCACATGTATCCCAGAACCTTAAGTATAATAATATTTTAAATAAATAAGTAGGTGGTTGAAGAGATAGTTTGCCTTGCTTGTTCTAGCTTGGAAAATTTTCCTCTTGAGAGAAGGAAATCCGCAACCTGAGAAAGATTATTCTCCAGCCCTTTTAAAGAAGAAGCTATGTCACCCTTTTCTGTAACATCTATTTGCATGGCACTTGACTCTGTTTGAGGCGCTGTTGTTTACATGTTTGTATTGTTAGCTTTTGATACATAATGAAGGACCCCAAAACTCAATGGCTTTGGCAGAACACCACAGCCGTTTTTAGCTCAGGATTCTGTGGCTCAGCAATTTGGGCTGGGCTCAGTTGGGCGATTCTTCTGCTGGTCTGTTGGGCTCATTCATGTGTCTATGATCGGCTGCTAATTCAATTGAGGCCATGTTGGTCTAGAGGGATGTCCACTAGGACATCTCATGGCTCTTATCCTGCAGCAGGCTGGCCCAGGCTTGTTCATGTGACAGTGGGTTCTAGGAGGCACAAGAGAGAGGGCAAACCTCAATGCACAAACACTTTTCAGGCCTTTGCTCACTTCACACCCGATAATGTTCCGCCAGCAAAAGCAAGTCATGTGACCAAGCCCAGAGTCAGTGTGGGAGGGCACTATGATAGGGATGCTGGGATGGGGAAGGGGGACTTGTAGCCATTTTTGCAATCAACCACTATAATATTGCTTAATCTGGACCCCTGCCCAGTGAGACATGCCATGCACATATTAATTTTATGGAGCCATGCACATCCCATTTTATGAGGTAAAGAATGTTGCCCCGCGTCACATAGCAAGCTGGAAACAGGACTAGGCTTGGAAGCCCATCTCTCCAGTGCCAGCCCACTGCACCATCCCACTTCTCTTGGTTCCCTCCCACCCCAACATCAGTGCCAGGCCAGGGAGAGAATGAAGTGTCATCCAGGAGCCAAACCCTGGCCACCTGTACAGACATCCAGCAACAGAGACATAGCAGACCCTGGGTGAACCCTCCCCAGACATCAGCCTCCAGGAGCCAATGCTGCAGCCCCACTGCCACTGTAGCCCCCACCCTGGCCCAGCACAGAGTGGCAGGCTGGTTATTTCAATCAACGGTGTTTTGAAAATCTTGCAATTTAAAACCTTTTAAACATGAGTAGGTGAGGCTGTGATAGTGCCAATGACTAGTTGGGAGTACTTAGAGGCAATTTTAAATGTCTCCTGAAATCTCCATGCCAACGGTCCCATGGGGCACCAGACAAGGTTCACGTTGCCAGGCTCACCCTCCTGTTAGCCATTTCCCCTGCCGCTGCATACCCTGAGGGCTTGGAGTTCCATGCACAAGTGCATCCACCTTTAAACACCTCATGCAGATTATTTCTGTCTCACCTGCACCTGCCTTCATGTCAGGATTTGCAGAAGCCTAAAGATCAGAGCCAGGGGCCAGGCACAATGGCTCATACCTGTAATCCCAGCACTTTGGGAGGTCGAAGTGGGCAGATCACTTGAGGTCAGAAGTTTGAGACCAGCCTGGGCAACATGATGAAATTCCATCTCTGCTAAAAATACAAAAATTAGCCAAGCATGGTGGCAAGCACCTGTAATCCCAGCTGCTTGAGAGGCTGAGGCAGGAGAATCACTTGAACCTGGGAGGCAGAGGTTGCAGTGAGCTGAGGTCACACCACTGCGCTCCAACCTGGGTGACAGAGTGAGACTCCATCTCAAAAAAATAAAAATAAAAAAAATTTAAAAAGGCCAGGCGTGGTGACTCACACCTGTAATCCCAGCACTTTGGGAGGCCGAGGCAGGTGGATCACCTGAGGTCAGGAGTTCGAGACAAGCCTGGCCAACATGGTGAAACCCCGTGTCTACTAAAAACACAAAAAATTAGCTGGGCTTGGTGTGGGGTGCCTGTAATCCCAGCTACTTGGGAGGCTGAGGCAGGAGAATTGCTTGAACCCAGGAGATGGAGTTTGCAGTGAGCTGAGATTGCACCATTGCACTCCAGCCCGGGCAACAAGAGCGCAACTCCATCTCGATTAATTAATTAAATTAATCAGAGCCAGGAGATCTGTGAGGCCCATGGGACCAGTCTGGCTGTGGGTGAAGTACCCAGGAGGCAGTACCCTGCTCTCCTGGCTGGATCCCCACTTTCCACACACCCGAGCCTCAGGGAACTCCACCCAGGCACGTGGGCATCCATCAGCTCGTCCATCACATCCGCCTGTCGTCCTTCCCAGTAATGCCTGACAGCAAAGAATGAGAGCAGATTGGAGTCTTTGCAGTGACAAACGCAGGACGATTCTTCCCACAAAAGGGGCCCAGAGGCAGAGCACCAGCCTGAGCTGTGCTGCAGGAGGGCCAGGAGGGATGACTGCCTGAAGCATAAAGATCTGGAGAGGAAGGTCTGCACACCTGGAGTTTTGCTGTCCTAACGCTTCTCAGCCGGGGCCCAGAACTGTGTGCAGAAGCGATGGTCTATGGACAATTCACCTGCCCCTCGGATAGCACCACCCACTTTGCATTCGGATGTTTGAACACAGCCTGTGTTTCCCACAGTGGTCAGGTGGAATCCTGGACTTTCAGGCCAGATGATTTGTACAACCTCCTCCTTCTACAAAAAGAGGATGATGGGGGCCAGGACATGAACTCCATGACACAGACAGCTATGGCCAGAGCAGGGAGAATTAAGGAGCAGGAGACGCCTTGGATAGGAAGGACTAAGTGTGCTGCTACCTGGAGAGAGGAGAGCTGTGCATTCAGGCCCAGCCTTGTCAGGGAAGCCTCAAGTCTCTGTTTATTAAGGCTGGAGGGAACCAGCCATCCTGGCTGCAGTGGTGGAGTGAAAGCAGCCGAGCCCTCTGCACTACTGAAAATTGACACAGGGTAGGGTCTCCCACACCCCTCCTCACAGGCACGGGGCTGCAGCCCAGCTGGTGGGGTCAAGAGAAGGGAGGAGAGAGGCCTCCGGATGGTGCAGATGAGCAGGGCGGGGCTGAAAACTGCATCCATTCATGCCGCTGACTCTAAGCAAGTAGTGACGTCCCCCGGGGGTTTTGGCAGCACCAAGGATCGTGCAGGGTGCTTCCACACTTGCTCCTCTCATAACCCTGGAGGGAGCATCCCACTTTCCAGGTGAGAAGCCCAGGGTTTATGGGTGGGCTTTCCCCAGTTGCACGGGAGGCCTTAAAACAGGTGAAGACCCTAAGGACCGACGGGGAGCCAGGCGGGGGACCAAGGCGAAGCAGGGTGAGGCAGAGGTGTTACAGCATCCATGGCAGGCCAGGGGCCAGGTTATGATCACACTGGAGAGACAGGTGGGAGTGACCCAGAAGTTGCTGGGGTCATTTCTCAAAGACCCCAGCCCACTCATCTCCACCAACCTGCAATTTCTCAGCTCCACACTGCAACCCAAAGAGTGGACAGACAAGGTTGCTGTGGAAAAAAGACTTACACACAGCAACATCAGGATGCCCCAGACAGGGTGCGTGGGAGTGTGAAGCTGTGCAGTTTAGGCAGGGGCATGGAGGGGATGCCGGGATGCACAAGGGACAGAATTGTGTGGGATCGTGTAGCCTTCATGGAGGAAGAGGACAAGCAGGGCCAGAAATGATGAGGACATTTCTGTCCTCATGTATCTGGGGAGAAGGAAGCATATTGTCTTTTTTTTTTTTCTTTTTTTGAGACAGAGTCTCACTCTGTCTCCCAGGCTGGAGTGCAGTGGTGCAATCACAGCTCTCTGCAGCCTCCAACTCTTGGTCTCAAGCGATCCAGCCTTCTGAGCAGCTGGGAATACAGGTGCATGCCACCACACACAGCTAATTTTTTATTTTTTGTTGTGATGGGGTCTCACTATGTTGCCCAGGCTGGTCTCAAGCTCCTGGGCTCAAGTGATCCTCCAGCCTCAGCCTCCCAAAGTGTTGGGATTACAGGCATAATCAACCACACCCAGCTCATATCATCTTTTTATTAAAATAAGGTAATGACTTGGACATTAGAGCTGTCACTCCCCACTTCAGGCCAGGCGCTTGTGTCTGATCTCACTAGGATCCTAAAGTGTATGGTCTGTAAATTACAAACTGCAGCAACAAAATGCTTAATCATTAAACCAAGGCAGCCACTATGCACCAGCCTCCAGCTGGGTGCTAAGCGTGAGTGGCCCCAGCCTGGGGAAGCCTCACTGTTCCTGGTCTGCTGTGAGCTCCTAGGTTCTTGAGACTCAGGTGTTAACCTTGCCTGTTTTCTCATCCCCTGCAGGCACCGGCCGTAGCTACACCACAGACCCACTCTTGTCCCTGCTCCTGTTAGCTCTGCATAAGTTCCTGCGCCTGCTCTTGGGACATTGACAGACAAGACCAACCCGAGCATCTCAGAGGCCGCACATGACCTGCCCGGGGCCCTCGGTGAGGACCATGTCGCTGGATGGACACAGAGAGACTGAGAGACGCATGAAAAAGTCCACATGGAAAATAAATAAATCATATTTTTGGGAAAGTTACACAAATGTAGAACACCTAAAATAATGCATCTAGTTTCCAAATAATTTGGAGTTTGGCCCATGCAGTCTGCATGGGAATCAATGATTTCTCTACTTCAATGTAGTTTTCTTTTCTACACTTTCCCTCCAAGTCTTCATTTTGCACGAACTGTTGAGCAGTTATCTTTAGGATAATATGTACAAATGTTGGGGTCAAAGCCTTTTGACAAAGCAAAATATTTTTAGTAGATTATTGTGTTTAGGATTTTTTTTTAATTTACTTTTTTTCTTTGGGGGCTTTTCTTTTTTATTAAATTATTTCTTTTGAGGCATTTTGATTAAAAAAGACACATCTTATCATAATTAAAATTCACTGTCAATAATATTTATTTTTAAATAAAGATTGGAAACAAGGTCAGACACTTGTTTATAAACTGTATTGTATATTGCTGAAGAACAGTTGAATAAAAAACAACTTTGAAATAACCTTTCTACAGCCATGGATGAATGTCAAGCGTTGGTGCCCACTGCAGCCTGGCTGCCTGCCGTTCCCTCCTGTGCTCTGACACCAGCTGCACTTTTGGCTGGGTGTCACCCGGCGTGGAGGACAGCCCAGGGCACCTGGCTAAGACCACGCTGAGCAGATGGGAGCACCTGACAAGCCTCCCCTAGGGACAGGGCACTTCATGGAGGCGGCAGTGAGACGATCCCCCAGCCTGGGTCCTGAAGGAAAGGAGATCGCTAGGAGGAGGTGTGAAATAAGTCAAGAACCACTCCTCCCCCACTTCGTTTCAATGAATCATGCAATTCATTCGCCCACTTGGAGATTGTAAGTCAAGGTGTATTTACTGTGGTTAGCTTTGCTGCTAGTTTGAAGGGGGAATTTGGAGAGAAAGTAGGGCTTGCCACACTCCTTCCCGTGCATCTGAAGATTGCTTTGAGCCTCTGAAACTCATAGATTTGGGGCAGGTTACACATGCCCTAAGGAAACGGGCATGCCCTGGGTGGGGGCTACTATTTATACTTCATTCTAAGACAGCATCTCATTAGATAGCTGGAGCCCATGGATTTGTTTAAAACCCAGCCAGATTTTAACACCTGCAGTTTCAATAAGTGTGGTTGTCATTGATGTTGTTCACCAAATACTTCCGTTCTCCGCTGGCCAGGCCCAGGGCAGGATAACGCTTCCTGGCCTCCTGTGGCGGGTGGGGCCACAGCTCTGGCGCATGAGCTGGGAATAGAAGGGATCCGCATTGCTTCTAGTCCAAGACACAGGATTGCTAGTGCGACGCCCTCCAAAGCACTTGTCCTCTAACGTGACGACTCGCAGCGTTCACATCAGCAAGTGTTCTTCCAGCCTAGGTCGCTGAGTGACTGCGATGAACACAGCCTTTCCTGTGGCCAGCGCTGGATCCTGCGGCCCCATGAGAAGTCTGCCATTGCCGCTTCACCCACTCATCTTCGGGCATTATCGCAGCATAAGCCAGCCTGTCCTGATTGGCTCAGTGTGTAGTTGATTGACTGTATTTAGCTCAGGGGAGGAGTAATTGTGCATTTGGACAGTCCCACGTGTACAGAGACCCCCAGGATGGAGCTGATGTCAGGGGAGGCCTGTGTGGAGAGAACGTCGGGACGGCTGTTTCTGATGGGTACATTAACTTGTTTCACATTTCCTTTATATTGATCAGCACCAATTGAGCTGTAAGTTTAATCACTCTGTCTGGTGGATAGTGATTCTGTCCAGAAGGATCATCTCTTTTTATAGTTAACTCAATACTGCAGCAGCTAATGTCATGTGAAATACTGGCCCAGTGTGCTGGAGAGCAAACCGTACTTCCCAGATACCAGTGGAACGGGGACAATGTGTCAGTAAGGGTGACGTTGTACCAGATCGTTCCAGGGGATGGAGGGCTGGGGAGTCATTCCCCATCACCAAAACCAGATGCCTCTGTACAAACACAGGTAGTCAGGTCCCAGCCTGGAAGCTCCCAACCTTTAGCGTGATATGCACAGGGGAGGGGCAAGTGTGATGGGCACAGTGGAGGGGGCAGGTGTGATGGGCACAGGGGAGGGGGCAGGTGTGATGGGCACAGGGGAGGGGCAGGTGTGATGGGTACAGGGGAGGGGCAGGTTTGATGGGCACAGGGGAGGGGGCAGGTGTGATGGGCACAGGGGAGGGGGCAGGTGTGATGGGCACAGGGGAGGGGGCAGGTGTGATGGGTACAGGGGAGGGGACAGGTGTGATGGGTACAGGGGAGGGGCAGGTTTGATAGGCACAGTGGAGGGGGCAAGTGTGATGGGCACAGGGGAGGGGGCAGGTGTGATGGGCACAGGGGAGGGGCTGATGTGATAGGCACAGTGGAGAAGCTGGTGTGATGGGCACGGGAGGGGCTGGTGTGATGGGCACAGGGGAGTGGGCAAGTGTGATGGGCACAGGGGAGGGGCTGGTGTGAGGAGCATAAAGGAGGGGCAGGTGTGATAGGCATAGGGGAGGGGCTGGTGTAATGGGCACAGGGGAGGAACTGCTGTGATAGGCACAGGGGAATGGGCAGGTGAGATAGGTAGAGGGGAGGGGCAGGTGTGATGCCTACAGCAGAGGGGACAGGTGTGATGGGCACTGAGGAGGGGCTGGTGTAATGGGCACAGGGAAGGGACTGCTATGATGGGCACAGGAGAGGGGCAGGTGTGATAGGCACGGGGAGGAGCCGGTGTGATGGGCACAGGGGAGGGAAGGGGCTGGTGTGATAGGCACAGGGGAGAAGCTGGTGTGATGGGCACAGGGGAGGGGCTGGTGTGATGAGCACAGAGGAGAAGTGGTGTGATGGGCACAAGGGAGGGGCTGGTGTGATGGGCACAGGGGAGGTGCTGGTGTGATGGACACAGAGAGGGGCTGGTGTGATGGGTACAGGGGAGGGGGCAGGTGTAATGGCTACAGGGGAAGGGCAGGTGTAATCGGCACAGAAGAGAAGCTGGTGTGATGGGCACAGAGGAGGGGCTGGTGTGATGGGCACAGGGGAGGGACTGCTGTGATGGGCACAGGGGAGGGTCAGGTGTGATGGGCATAGGGGAGGGGCTGGTGTGACAGGCACAGGGAAGGGGGTCATGTGTGATGGCATGGGGAAGGGGACAGGTGTGATAGGTACAGGGGAGGGGCTGGTGTAATGGGCACAGGGGAGGAACTGCTGTGATAGGCACAGGGGAGTGGGCAGGTGAGATGGGTACAGGGGAGGGGCAGGTGTGATGGCTACAGTGGAGGGGACAGGTGTGATGGGCACAGGGGAGGGGCTGGTGTGATGGACACAGGGTAGGGGCTGGTGTGATGGGTACAGGGGAGGGGGCAGGTGTAATGGCTACAGGGGAGGGGCAGGTGTAATGGGCACAGAGGAGAAGCTGGTGTGATGGGCACAGGGGAGGTGCTGGTGTGATGGGCACAGGGGAGGGGCAGATGTGATGGGCACAGGAGAGGGGCAGGTGTGATGGGCATAGGGGAAGGGCTGGTGTGATGGGCACAGGGGAGGGACTTCTGTGATAGGCACAGGGGAGAAGCTGGTGTGATGGGCACAGGGGAGGGGCTGGTGTGATGGGCACAGGGGAGGGGCTGATGTCATGGTCACAGAGGAAGGAGCAGTTGTGATGGGCACAGGGGCGTGGCCTTGTGTGATGGGCACAGGGGAGGGGCTGGTGTGATGGGCCCTGGTGAGAGGAACAGGTGTGCTTTGGAGAAACCAGCTTTTTCTGCACAAAGAGGATTCCCCTCAAACACAGAAAATTATTCCTAATATCTGCCTCCTGGGGACAGAGAACTTCCAGGTGGGAAGCCGAGCATGAGGCTAAGCATGTTCCCTGAAGGGGAGGCTGAACCCGGCCTCCAGCAGAAGTTAATGGAACTGAGACTGGGGCTGTCGTGGGGCTGGAAGCCAAGGCAAATCTCTGGACCCAGGCTTCCATGGAGTGGCTACCAGCATTCCCACTGGTCCAGGGCCCCGGACACAAAGAAAGGAGAAGTTAAGTGCACCCCTAAGTATCCGCAGTGCCGATCCATGGGGTCTGGGCTCCTGTTTTCTGGGGTCTCACGCACTCCGAGAATGAGGACAAAGAACACTTAGCCTGCACTGTGTTTTATGGAATGCATACAAACCAGAAGAGAGAAGCGCCCTCCAGAAACAAAAACCGTGGCGTGGTGCTCACTCCCAAAACTGCCTTTCCCTTTGGAGTTTGCTTTCAGCCTCGGCAGACATGGGCTGGGGTTGGAGAGCAAGACAATTTATTTCAGTTTGGGAAGAATGCACTGTGGGCGGCCTCGGGAGCTCGGGTGCAGGCTGACAGGACCCCCGCCTGCTTGAAGGGACTGTGGAGCTGTGGGTCTGTGTAGCAACTAAATCCAAAGTGAGGGACAGGAGTCCAGAGGGAGTGCAAACTCCACCCCAGCCCAGAGCTGAGTGACAGCAGGGAAGAGAAGGAGGGCAGCCAGGGTAGGGGCACGTGGAGACCGAGCCAAGCCCAGACCCCTGTGGAGGAGCCCTGCTCTGCCTGGTGATGAGGATTGTCCCTGATTCTAGCCCCTCATGTGGTGCTGACCCACCTGCGCCCTCCAGGCAGCGGCCAACATTTAGGGGCATAGCCTGGAAGGAAGGACAGGAATTCCCAGAATTTGACAGGAGGTGGTATGAGCAGAGCTGCAGCATTCTGAGTTTCAGTTCTGTTTCAACCCCACACTCCTGGTTACAGCTCTGGCTCAGAAAACAACAGCTCTGTCGGATCCAAGCCTGCCGTTGGTTGGAATACAGCAAACAGCCATTTGTGAGCTGCTGAGCTCCTGGCTAAAGGGACTTCTGCCCCTGCCAGCCAGGGGAACAGTTTTTTTGTTTTGTTTTTTTTTTTTTTTGAGATGGAGTCTCACTCTGTCGCCCAGGTTGGAGTACAGTGGCGTGATCTCGGCTCACTGCAACCTCTGCCTCTGGGTTCAAGCAATTCTCTTGCCTTGGCCTCCCAAATAACTGGGACTACAGGCACCCGCCAACACACCCGGCTAAATTTTTTTGTATTTTTAGTAGAGACAGTGTTTCACCATGTTGGCCAGGCTGGTCTCAAACTCCTGACCTCACGTAATCTACCCACCTCGGCCTCCCAGAGTTGGGATTACAGGTGTGAGGCACTGCACCCGGCGAGTTCTTGCCTATTTTTGCACTGCTTCTTCCAGTGGGCCCATCCCCACTTTGGGTGACACTGGGCATTCATTTTGCCTGCATTTCAGAGGATGCAACTCCTGCTTTTCCTGGGGGACAGGTGGCCAGAGGCTTTGATGCATTTGCCCCTATATGCATGCACACACCTGTATGTAGCAGCCTGCTGCTTTAGAACACCATTTCTTTCCTTCTCACTAAGGCTGCAGCAGCAGGAGTGGTGCAGCACTGGTGAAACCTCAGCCAACTGGGCGCCCGGTCTCCCCAGAATGGAGCTGCTGCCCCTCAGGGCTCCCTGCCTTCATCAGCCAAGAAGAGCCTGCACACCCTACCACAGCATAAATACACCTTTTACCTCATGCCAGGGGCCCTAGAAACACATGGAAAACCCACGACCTTTATGAGGGACCTGCCCCACTTTGTGGCTGCAGACACAACATGAGGTAGAGTCTGGAAACACCACCAGGGGTGACCCCTTTTAAATGACAAAGACCCAAGGAGCACCAAAAATATATTTCAAGTCACAGAAAACATGACTTCACACCAAGCCTAACTTGCCACCAACTAGCAAAGACCCAACAAAGATCACATGTGTTCCCTGTACCTGATTGTTTAAAAGGGAGAAATGGTAAGTGGACTCTTAGTAGAAAGCATATATGGTCTCGTTTAGATTTTGAAGTTAGAAAAGATTTTTTAAATGAGACTGAAAAAGCGGTAATTATAAAAGAAAATATGGACCGGGCATGGTGACTCATGCCTGTAATCCTAGCACTTTGGGAGGCCGAGGTGGGTGGATCATGAGGTCAGGAGTTCAAGACCAGCCTGGCCAACATGGTAAAATCCCATCTCTACTGAAAATACAAAAATTAGCCCAGTGTGGTGGTGCGCACCTGTAGTCCCAGCTACTCCAGAGGCTGAGGCAGGAGAATTGCTTGAACCTGGGAGCCAGAGGTTGCAGTGAGCTGATACTGTGCCACTGCACTCCAGCCTGGGTGACAGAGCAAGACTCTGTCTCAAAAAAAAAAAAGAAAGAAAGAAAGAAAGAAAATATAGACAATTTTGACTACATTATAACAAAGAGCACTCGTTTACCAAAAACCATCACAAAGAAAGTGAAAAGAGACTTACAAAATACACCCAAGAAAGGATTACTATCAAACATGTACAAAGAATTCCTAGAAATCAATAAGAAAAGCAAAAACAGGCTGGGCATGGTGGCTCACACAGGCGAGGCAGGTGGATCACCTGAGGTCAGGAGTTCGAGACCATCCTGGCAAAGATGGTGAAACCCCGTCTCTACTAAAAATACGAAAATTAGCCAGGTCTGGTGGCACATGCCTGTAATCCCAGCTACTCGGGAGGCGGAGGCAGGAGAATCGCTTGAACCCAGGAGACGGAGGTTGCAGTGAGCCGAGATCGAGCCACTGCACTCCAGCCTGGGCGACAGAGCAAGTTGACTCCATCTCAAAAAAAAAAAAAAAAAAAAAAAGAAATGCACAAAAAGTACAATGGGAAGATGGACCAAGGATGTGAACCACCATATCATGGGAGAGAAAATATGGCCAGAAAAAAATATAAAAGGTTTTCAGCCTCAATAGTTACAAGAGAAATGCAAATCAAGGCCACAGTGATTATGCCCACTTAATTATCAAAAATTTAAGTCTGACAAAGGCCGGGTGCCGTGGTTCATGCCTGTAATCTCAGCACTGTGGGAGACCAAGGCAGGAGGGTCACGTGAAGCCAGGAGTTCCAGACCCTGTATTAGCATGACAGCAAGACCTCATCTGTGTTAGTCCATTGTTACTGCATTGCTGTAAAGAAATACCTGAGTCTGGGTAAATTATAAAGCAAAGAGGTTTATTTGGCTCATGGTTCTGCAAGCTTTACAGGAAGCATGATTCTGGCATCTGCTTGGCTTCTGGTGAGGTCTCAGAAAGATTTCACTTGTGGTGGAAGGTGAAGTGAGAGCCAGGGAGGGGAGAGCCGTGAGGAGAGAGACGAGGAGGGGATGGGTGCCACACTCTTAAAACAACCAGATCTCAAGTGAACTAACTGAAGGAGAGCTCACTCAACACCAAAGGGATGGCATGAAATCATTCATGAGGGATCCGCCCCATGACCCAAACACCTCCCACCGGGCCCCAACTCCAACACTGGGGATCACATTTCAACATGAGATTTGGAGGGGACCAACATCCAAACCATATTACCGTCTTTGCAAAAAAAAATTAAAGATAGCCATGCATGATGGCAAGCCTGTAGTACCAGCTACTCAGGAAGGTGAGACAGGAGGATCGCTTGAGCCCAGGAGTTCAAGGTAGCAGTGAGCTGTAGTCACGCCACTGCACTCCAGCCTGAGTTACAGAGTTGGACCGTATCTCTAAAAAACTAAAAATAAATAAGATTCTGACATACCAAGTGTTAGAGAAGTTGTCCATCTCCAAGATCACCTAAGCATTGACTGTGGGTGACTGTGGGAGTGTAAATCGATACAACCTCACTGGAAAACACTTTGGCACTAACTGTTAAAAGTGAACATTCACATACTGCGACCCAGAGATTCCAATCCTTAGTAGCAAAATCTCTTTCTCTTGTGCTCTGGGGAACATTAAAAAAAAAAAAACCTTCAAGGCAGCCCCATTCAATACCCTGGAAACAGATGAGTTCCCATCTATAGGAGAGATGATGCAGATGCTGTAGACAGTTCTCACAATGATATGAACACGACACCAGCTACTCCATCAAGGGTCAACGTGAATGAACTGCAAGGAACATGCAACAAAACACTGAGTCTTAGCATCTATTAGTGGGGAAAACCCCCAAAAAGGGCAGAGTGCTCACGTCTGTAATCCCAGCAGTTTGGGAGGCTGAGGTAGGAGGATCGTTTGAGCCCAGGAGTTCAAGACCAGCCTGGGAAACATAGAGAGACTCTGTCTCTATTAAAAATTTTAAAAATGTAGCCAGGTGTGGTAGCATGTGGGAGGCTGACGTGGGAGGATTACTTAAGCCAGGGAAGTCAAGGCTGCCGTGAGCTTTGACTTGATAGCACCACTGCACTCCAGCCTGAGCAACCTAGTGAGACCATGTCTCAAAAAAAAAAAAAGAAAAGAAAAAAGAAAAAAGCCCTGAAGATGACATACAGTATAATACCTTTGTCATAAAGTTAAATCCAAACTAAAACCAACAGATAGAGGGAGGATGGATGGATGGATGGACAGATAGACTTCTTAAGAAAACACGTAGCTAAGATAAAACTGTCTTCAAAGGAAAGCAATGGAAAGGTGAAGATGGATACAGGATCGTGGTTACCTTGGTATGGGGAAGCAGAGGTATAAGGAGCCCACAAGTGGATGAAGGTCGTCATCAAACTCTTAGTTTTCAAACTGAGTGATGGGTTAGGGTACATCTCGTGTTATCAAAAATGAATGAATGGCCAGGTGCGGTGGCTCATTCCTGTAATCCCAGCACTTTGAGAGGCCAAGGTAGGTGGATTAGTTGAGGCCAGGAGTTCGAGACCAGCTTAGCCAATATGTTGAAACCCTATCTCTACTAAAAATACAAAAATTAGCTGGACGTGGTGGCGGGTGCCTGTAATCCCAGCTACTCGGAAGGCTGAGGCAGCAGAATCACTTGAACCCAGGAGGCGGAGGTTACAGTGAGCCAAGATCACATCATTGCACTCCAGCCAGGGGGCCAAGAGCGAAACTCTGTCTCAAAAAAAAAGGGGAGAGGGGAGAGGAAAAAATGATACAGTCCTATCCAGGACTTATATTAAAACAAAAACAAAGTACCAACTTTTCTTTTCCACAGTCCCCAAGACAAATTCACATCTAACTCCATCTCCCACCCAGAGGTTGCAAACTAGCACTTCTCAAGCTGCATCTGGCTGCAGACATGCTATGTTTGACGTTCACAGGGATGTTTCTTGTTATTTTACAATATCGGAAAGTCTCATGTAAACATCCAAATTTCTCCTGTCCTCTGCAGCAACATGGATGGAGCTAGGGACCATTATTCTAAGTGAACTAATTCAGAAACAGAAAATCAAATACCACATGTTCTCACTGATTAGAGAGCTAAACAGTGGGTACATACATAACGACATGATGAGAATGACAGACACTAGGGACTCCAAAAGCCAGGAGAATGGGAGGGAAGTGAGGGTTGAAAAATTACCTATCAGGTAGAGTGTTCACTGTTCGGGAGGTGGGTTTGCTAGAAGCTCAATCCCAACCATTACACTATATGCCTATGTAACAAACACACACATATACTTAAAATTTGTTTTAAAAACCCAAATTTCTGGCTTCTCCTGAAAAAAATATAATATGCAGCCACACGGGGCCCATATTCCTATGTGGTGACAACTGGTGGGTGCCAAGTAACAGCTGCCCCCATGATACTCCAGGAGGTCCTTCCCTGGCTCTACTCTGCCTTCACCCTCTGCAGCCTCGGCCAGCTGTGGTCACTGTACCGGCCTCACGGGGCCAGAAAACATTGCCGCCATTCAGAGTGTTTCTCAAAGAGAGCTGAAGCAAAAGAAGTTTTAGGGTTAACCAGAATCCCATTCCTGAAGCGGTAATTGATGTTTTCGAATAACATGTATCCAGTTTTTTATTTAAGAACACCACAAAGAAGTTAAATTAGATTGCAGATAACCTGCGCTTTCTTTTTCTGTGCAAGATTTTTCTGTGCTTTTTTATTTTGGTAAATTATAGTATACAAAATGTTCTGGTTTTGCTTTGAAAGAAGGTCTGCTGTGTGTCTAAAACACAATCTACTAACATACTCTTATCTGCATAACCGATTAACTCCCTGTTTGTGACCAGACATCTTTCTACTCCCTAAATACCAAAAGACGTGGCCATTATTGTTTAAGCCTCCTTCACGGACTCATTTCTAAGCCCTTTGATGGTAAAATTTTGCTCCCCGCCCCTGCACCTCCACCTGCCATGGTTTCTCCAAACTGTGCCCTAATGAATTGGTGCTTTTAACTAAGACAGACCACGGTCACTTTTCAAAACGTTAATTCCCATAAAATGGGATGTCAGTTTTACAAGGAAGGCTCTCCTTTATCAGCAAAAACTGATTCCATTTGACTGATTAATTGTCCTTAGAACTGTCAAAGGCTTCCAGACTAGGGAAGACGGCTTGGGAGGAGGCAGACATGCAGCCTTGCGATGTGGGGCACTCCTGGGCTGGGGAAAACAGGAGATTACAAATGCACAAATAATTAATTCAAATCAATACAGCGAGGGGTTCAGGCTGAGAGACATTCAATTAAGTTGCTCAAAGAGAAGATGCTGATCTTCAGCTAGTCCTCTCCATGCTGCAAATAATAGAGCATTTTTAATTTGTGCAGCAGGGATGTTAATCTTTTGCCATGTAATCCAGTCCTTGGGGAATGCCATAAATATGTGGCACTGCGCATGTGAGGCTCCCTGAGGAGGGCACTCAATCAACCCAGCCCTGGCTTTCCTGCCTGTCTGTATGTCAATCTCTCAACACTCAATTAGGAAATATATGATAGGCTAATAGAGGATGGATGGATGGATGGATGGATAGATGGACGGATGGATGGATAAATGGATATAGAGGCAGAGACAGACAAATGTTCAAAGATTATCAGACATCCCTTACCCGCCTCCCCCACCCATAAACACTTTATGACTTCTGGATTTTGCCTGAACCAACAGCACAAATAAATCCCAAGGAATTATTCACATTTCAAAAGGATTCACTTCAGAATGCCTTTAAATAGCAAGCTCCTATAGCATGTTTAAAATAGGATCTGAATCCCAATTTTATTATACAGAGAAAGAGAAGCACACACATACATATGAATAATGATTTAGAAGGTTAGACACCAAGGTGTTAAAAGTTTATGTTTCTATGTAAGTAGTATTGTAGATACTTTAATGTCTGACTGCGGTCTGGCTTCTCTGTGATTATTACTTCTGTAATAAGATAAAAGCAGTAAAGTATTTTTAATTTAACAAAAGACAATTCCACCCCCCAAAAAATGTAAGCTTCAATTTATAAAGATGTAACTCTCCACCTGTTTTCAGAAGAACATTTGCTGTGTAAAAAGAGGCTCTCCAGGAACATGCTATTTAGTCCTCATTCTTCGATAACTGAGCATGGGGGCTCTGAGTACATCACTTGGGTGGGGAGCTTGAGGCACCTCTGTGGTCCCCTACCACACCCACTACACCAAGAGATGGCCCACCAAGAGTTGTCCTGGTGGCAACCAGGACTCAGGGGAAGGAGAGGCTGGAAATGTGGGGTGCCTCTGGGACCATGGACCTCCAAAGCTCTGCAGCACCTGGACATTAACTACGTTTATTCATTCAGCAAACACACATTGATCACTACTCCATAAACAGCCCTGTATGGGAGAAACAGATAAAGTATGCAAGGATCACCCCCTAACCCCCGGTAAGGGAGCTGGTGGTCTGGTAAGAAGAATCAACACCTCCACAGCTAAGTGGAATACAAGCTGGACTGTGAGACCCACAGTAGGGATCTTAGCAAGGGACTCAGGAAGGGAAACAATTCATTGTAATGGGTGGGGGTGGGGGAGATAGCAGGGACTTATCAAATGTTTGTGGAAATGAGCTCAAGTAGCATTTGAGCTGGGTCTTAAGAGGCCTCCTCGTCTCTCCCTGATGCTCGGAGAGTCTTATTAGACACAGACAGCTGGATCTCCCCTACAACCAGAGCCACTGTCGTTTGGGCAAAAGTCAATCCTTCCTCGCCAGCGGCTGTCACCAGAAGTGGCAGCCTCATTGCATCTCATTCTGAGGCGTGAGAGCCTCAGAAACAAGAGCCAGTGAGTCTTGGGGTATCTGAGCCACAGGCAGCCCGTGTGGGAGTCTCGGAGCCCACTCAAGAGCGTGGATAAACCTCGGGACAGGATTGTGACAGGCAGCATATGCAGAAAGTTGAGTCAGCCCTGGAGAGTGGTGCATCCTGAGCAGCTCCAGCAGGCGGTGCCTGGGAGAGATGGGCTGCACCGCGTGAATCAGAGGGCACCTGTCATGATGGAGACAGATGTGTGGGGTAAGCCAGCCACACCACAAATCAAAAATAACAAGGAAAACTCTGGGCAAATGAAACTAGAGAAACGTCAGCTCTTAGCCTTGCCAAAGCCGGGCTGCTCTGTGCACAGAGACTCACCCGAGACAACAGAAACAGGGCTGGGTGGACGTTTTGCAAATGAATAGTCAGAGAGAGCCATGGGTTGCATTTGTTGACGGTGTCAGAAAACTAAAATCAGTCAAATAAATGAGAAATTTGCCATTTCCCCCCCAAATTTTATGAGGCGGGGACTAAGAAAATGATCCATCAAGCAGGAAATATTTTAGCTGTTGGTTTTTATTTATTAGAGAGGTGTACAGAGTTTGGCATGCTACAGTGTACATTTTCTACAAAATAGAAATCCATAAAAGCCAGAGAGAAAGTTGAGATTTTGTCCCTGCTTGTTGCTGTGAAGTTCTCCGTTTCCCAATGTATGTCACTGGTAAAGATGAAAAGGGGAATTTTCACTGTAAGATCATATGCAAATGACCCTCGAGATGATTCAGCCACTCCAATGTGGAGGCGTCTACTATCTTCCCACAACCTGGCTTACTCAGGCTTTCAGGGCTAGAGATGTGAACTTTAGCTGTATCCTGACTATAGCAGAATCTTTTTGCACCATGCATGACATTCCCGCAGCCCTCCCCGACTTCAACCCCTGCTGGGGTGGAAGCTTCTAGGATTGACCCAGGCTCCTGTACAGGAGAAAGAGATACTCAAGGGGGAAACCCGCGCCTCTCTGATTTTCCCTCCAGGGCTTCCTCTAAGCCATGTTGCCTGTTTGGCTCAAGATCAGGCTCTGCGGAAGCACACTGCAGTTGGATGGCTCCTGGAGGGTCCCACAGGTGAATGTCTGCATCTCCCTGTCCGCAGGCAGGTCCTTCCGGAAGGCGTTGTGCCTGCTCCTCAGTGTACAGCCACACCCCTGTTGCCCAAGCAGCAAGCTCCATAGCACATCCTTTCTTGGCTTTTTCTTCTTCCAGACTCACACTCTCTGCTCCTTCTCTCCCACTTTCTAGACTGACCCCCAAATAAATGACTTCCCCCTCTGTCCTTGCCCCAGGCTCTGATGAGAACACAGACTGTGCAGATGTGTGATACCAGCATCCATTTCCCTCACTGGGGCATAGACTCGGTGTTTCCTTGGGGAATTACCATGCTCTTGTTGTGCACAGATTTGAGGGAGGCAGATCCAGGAGGGAACCAAAGTGGCCAGATGCTCACTTCCCCATCCCCGAGGCCACCTCTGCGACAAGAACTGACTCATGCCCGAGCCACCAGTTTCCCCTGGAGGGGAGCAAGGATGAGGGGAGCAGCTCGCTGCCGGTCCCCAGGGACAGGGGCTTGGTTTGCTGAACTGTCTCTGCTGTATGGCCCTGGCTGTGGCTTCTCCTGCCTGGCCCACCCAGCTCCCTTGGTGCCACCCAGCTCCCTTGGTGCCGCCTACCTCCCCTGAGCTCCTGACACCCCTTTCCACTACCACCACCAAGAGATTCTCCCCAGTGGAAGGGAACGGGGCAGGTTCTGTGGGTGCCACCCAGATCCCCAGCTGACATGGTTAGCTGCAGTGACAGAGCCAGCTCAAGCCAGCCTAGGCTAGCCAGGGTAGTATATCAGTATATGGGGGAGCTTCATGGAACCCAAGTGTGGAATTTCACCTGCGCGTCAGGGTGGGGTTATGATCTGAATGTTTATGTCCTCCCAATATTCATATGTTGAAATCCTAACCCTCAAAATGATGGTACAAGAAGGTGAGGGCCTTTGGGAGGTCATTATGTCATGAAGGCTCTATGGAATTAGTGTCCTTATAAAAGAGACCCCAGAGGGACCCTCACTCTTTCCATCAAGGACACAAATAGAAAGCACTGTCCATGAACCAGGAAGCCCTCACCAGACACCAAATCTGCTGGTGCCTCCATCTTGGACTTCCCAGCCTCTAGAATGGTGAGAAATAAATTTCTGTTGTTTATAAGCCATGCAGCCTATGGGATTTTGTTATAGCAGCCTGGATGGACTAAGACACCATCACTACCCAGTGTCTAACACATCTGCTTCATGCCCCTCTCTCTACCTACCGGCTTCCTTCACTTAGGGCCGCGCAGCTGGTGAAAAATGACCCACTCCCAAATATTCGTGATACTTGCAGCTACCCAAAGAAAGGGCGTTCACCTCTTTCTCCCACTTTCTCTCTCTTTCTCTCTCTCTCTTCCTCCCTCCCTCCCTCTCTCCCTCCCTTCCTTTCCTCCATTTCTCTCTCTTTCTCTCTCTCTCTCTGTCTCTCTCATGCATACAGAGAGAGAGAGAGAGAGAGAGTCCTAATTCAAATTCCCAGAGAAGCACTCAGATTGGCACAGCTCGGGTCAGACAACCACCCTTAATTCATTCAGCCAACGATGACAAGGCACGAGGAGTTATCCAGTGAGACTGCCAGCCCCAACCCCTAGGACTGCCAGCCCCAACCCCTAGGACTACCAGCCTCACCCCCACTGTTGGAGGGAACAGAGAGCCACCGGGATCTGGGAAGATGCTCTAAAGGATGTTCACCACAGCAGCACTTTTCAACAGTCTCCATGCATACGAATCACAGGAAGACCTTATTAAAAAGCAGGTCTTGCTTCACTGGGCCTAGGGTAAGGCCTGAGGGTCTGCATTTCTAGCAAACTCTCGGAGGCTGCTGATGTGGCTGTACAGGACCCATACGTTGAGTAGCAGAGCATTCCAGATTGGGCAAGGAGGACATACTCACCCCTCTTCATCTCACCAAGGAAGCCACCCACCCCTCCTTCCTTCCAATGAGAGAAATCTGTTTGCTTAACTGCAAAGATTAAAAGGAAGCCTTCTTGCTTGTTGAGATATGATAAGGGGTGAGTTGTCACTGACATTTTGATGAGGCTTTTTTTACACCGGGACATTTAACAAAGCCTACAAACCAAACCATTAAATGTTCAGCCAAGCAATTACTTTCACCAAGTAGTGAGCAAATCAGATCAAATCAGACCCCAGCCCTAAGCCTCACCCCATCATCTGCCAGGGATGGTGATGGGAACATCACTGATAAATTATAAATGGTAATTCTACATCTGGACACAGTACTTTTGCCTTGACCACATCAACTGGCCACGTCAAAGTGGTCTGTCATCTGTCCCACTTGCCCAGTCCCCAGAGTCCTCAGCTATTTACCCTGCGCCCCCAGCCTCCCGTAAATCTCACCCCCTGCAGTCGTGGTGTCTTCTGCCTTCTTTCAAGATGGATCCTGATCTGCAGAGACCCTGATCTGCACTCATCATAATGTGCTTTCCCCTCCCTGGTCTCCATCTGCTCTTGTCCTGTCCTGTTTGTGATCTCGATTGCCACAGGTACCAGCCTTCCCTATTCCAACTGCTCTTTGTGGCTGCAGCCAGTGTGGCCCTTCAGAGACCTTCCCTTCTTGCTATCAGTCTGCAAGTGGCCAAGGTCTCTGCACAAGGCACCCCAGGCCTGGGTCAGGGACCATTTAGGGCAGCAGCACCATCTTACCGGTGACCCTACAAACTGAATGCTACAGTGCCTGCTGTGAGGCTGCCAGGTGGTGGAGGTCCATATGTCCCTTTACTCAGAGCCTCAGAAACAGGCATATGGGGGCCCTGGGGGGCCACATGGCACTGTGTTCCGGGGACCACCTTCTAAGGGGAATCCTGCCAATGCAGAAGCAACACAGCCATGCATCAGGTACTCAGCACTTCACACGGCCACTGTACCCTATGTTTTGGCCCACCCTCTGCACAGCTGCCTTCTGGAAAAGCAAGTTTCCCAACACTATCCAGAGCCAGAATTGGGACCCAGAATGTGCCTGTGGTCTTCACGGAGGTTAATCTTGGATGTAGGCCTGGCTCCGGAGCCAAGAGTCTTCTTCTGGGCATCCACGCTCGCAAAGTAGCTTGCAACCCTCATTAGGGAAGCAACTTCTGAGAAGAGAATTCTGCATCCCTGACCTCCACCCAGAGAACCCCCCTCCTCAATTCAGCAGCATGGTCAGGACTGGTTCAATCGCGAGTAATAGAAAAACAACTCATGTGACTACAAAGTGCAGGCATGGCTGGACCCAGGGTGCAAGCATTATCAGGCCCAATTCTTCTCCTGTCTCTTGGTTCTGCCTTCCTTGGACTGACCTGGCTGCAAGGCAGGCTCCTCTCCATGTCTTGACTCCAAGGGCTCCTGCCTCACATATTCCTAATTTAGCAGCTAGTGGAATGGGTCCATTGGTCTGGCTTGGGTTGTGTGCCACACGGAGCCATTCACGGTGGTCAGGGAGACATGGTGCTCTTCTTGGCCAGGCATGAGTCATAAGCCTAACACTAGAGCTAAGGACTGAGGGTGGGAGGTGGGGCTCCCCAGAGAGAAGTTGAGGAGCTGCTAGCAAAAGAAGGCAAGCAAATCACAATTTGGCTAAAATAACTAAACTTTTGGGAATAACACATAGCATTTTGACTTGCAATTACTACAAATAATATTACATTAAGCAGTTAACCAACAGACTCAAGAAATAGCATGTCCTGGATAATTCCATATTTCTAGTTAATGTAGTTAAGCCCCACACACCATACTCTCAGATTGCTGAAATTCTTAATTTGGGTTGACCCAGATGCAGATCCTGAGATTAGGATTTGAGCAAAAGTAGTCTCTTTGGGAAGTCATGAAATATCTGCAGGGTAGAGGGAAAGTGAGACAGGGAAGGGAAGACACCCTAAAAAGGGTGTGCTATCAGGCCAGTTACCACTACGGGAGATTAGAACTAATCCAACAGGGGAACTGTATTCACCTGTTCCTACGCTGCTAATAAAGACATACCAGAGACTGGGTAATTTATAAAGGAAAGAGGTTTAATGGACTCACGGTTCCACATGGCTCAGGAGGCCTCACAATCATGGGGGAAGACAAGGAGAAGGAAAGTTATCTCTTACATGGTGGCAAGCAAGAGAGTGTGTGCAGTGGAACTCCTATTTATATAATCATCAGATATTGTGAGACTTATTCACTACCATAAGAACAGTATGGGGGATCGCCCCCATGATTCAATTATCTCCACCTGGCCTGCCCTTGACATGTGGGGATTATTACAATTCAAGGGGAGATTTGAGTGGGGACACAGCCAAACCATATCAGGAACACTGGGGAGACTGGAACTAATCCTACTGGGGAATCCAACTGGGGAACTCCAATCCTGGGGGAGATTGCAAAACACACCTCAGAGCTGTCCTACCCAAGGGATGAGGGAGGTGGGGTATTGATACTCCCACTGCTGTCTGTCATTATTGAAAGCTGTTCTTGGGGCTGCTGACTTCCTGGCACTTCTGGCTTGCTGCTCCCATTGACGAAGGAGCCCCAGGCAAAGAGATGCAGGTTCTGGCCATTGGAAGTGGGAGTGACATGCACAAAAGTGGGAAGGGTGAGAGGATACAGACAGGGAGCCAACCACATCCACTACACCAATTTCCAAAGAATAACTATGCTGAATTACCTTGCCATGGAGGCCCAACAGTCACTGGAGAATCATGTAACTCCTCTAGGGCTATCACAGGAATATCATTGTCTGCTGTGTCAAGCCCTTTACAAAAATATAGTTAATAAAGATTTTTGATAGACCATTGAGTGAAGTCTCTTTATGGTGTTTAAATGTTAGAAATGTCTGCTTGGAGACTGATACTTTATTTCACTTTGGTATTATTCTCACTAAGAATTTTAAAACATTTTATAAATAACATGGTCTCTAAGTCATCCTGAGAAAAGAAAACTGAATTTCAAGTGGGTTTTTTTTTTTTTAGTCAATTTCTTTTTTAAAAAGATCCAAACCAGTTGCATAACCTTCTGGAAACAAAGTCACTGACAGATTGATTTTTGCACATTTCACTCAATTGTTCTGACTTTTGACTAGAAACCGCCACAGCAAATGTAAACACCAGCCTCTGGTGGGTTACTGTGGCCAGTCCACAGAGCTTGTCCCCACTTGTTTTCATCCCAAAGAAATAAAAACAGAGGTTAAAGAAGGAACACTTTGTTCTGGGAGAGCCCAAGCTGAGGATCTGATCATTACACATAAGAGTCATCCCAAATGCAGGCCATTAACCTGACGTTCACAGGGCACTTTACCGTTTAAGAGGCAATTTAATGTCCATCATTTCATGTGACCCTGTGAGATGGGAAGGACATGGGTTATGAGTTCCACTCCACAGACGAGGGAACCAGGCCTCACCAGGCGGGGAGTTCATGAGGTTGTTGGAAGAGGTAGAAGCCAAACGAATCTCTAAACTCACCACGTTCTATGGTGAAGGTCTTTCTGCTACCCTGTTGGTCCCAGATGTTAGGTTTCTCATGAATTAGTAAAAGTATTTGATTGAACCATCTGGCATTGCCATTTTTATGGGTCACAATGATCAAATACAGCAAATTTGCCATTTTATGGGTCAAAAACAGTCAAACGTTAGCAATTTCACATGGTCTGACCTAATATGAAACAATTGGAAAGCTGGTTTTGGTGAGCAAGAACACTGAGAAAAACTTCACTATTAATGCCATTTCAGACGGGAAGGACATTTTAACCAAAAAGATAGGAAGGTTGCATCTTGGCACACAGGACCTTGTGCTTTTGTGCTTGCTGTGCTGTCCACGTTGTGCTCATTGGACCAGGTTTGGGAGCCAGGGAGCCATGTCACTCTGGAGTCTTCCGGGCTGACTTTCTCCCTCATGAAAAGAAAATGCTAGGGGAGCCCCTCTTGGGGCCACCGTCATGGAAACTCTGTGCTCCAGGGATAGGGCTCTGATTCCGGCCCCCTCCTTCATCCCATTGACCTGCCTGCCAGCCCCACTGGCCCCAAGAAAGGAAAGAGGGTGGCAGGTAGGAGGCAGCTGTCATCTGATCCTCAGGTAAGGCATGGCAAAGCATAGGAGGGCTGCAAAAGTGGCAAGCAATGTCATCTGCCTGTGGAACCACCCCCACCAAATAGTGAAGATTAGATACACAAGGGAGCAACTCCTCCAATGCATCTCACAGCAGAAAGCTGCAGGCTGAGTAAGAGTGATGACTCATAATGCACAACTGTTTTAAGACAATACATTTTTATGTTTTTAAAAAAAAAAAATTTGTGTGTTTAGTCTTCCCCTGCACCAAGCTCAATATTCAAGTCAAGCATTTTCAAGAATGGGCCCCACAGATCATCATCTTCACTGCATTATTTCTAATTGCATTATTGCTTAATTGCAGAGCAATAGAGTGTGTAATTTGAGAGCTGTGATGCCTGGGGGGCCAGGGATGATTTAACTTTCCATGCAAAGCCCAGAGCTGGGGAAAACTGGCCTGAAGACAGCAGCAGGGGTACAGCTTCCTTTTCCAGCTGACTTATTGAATATCTCACCTCTGCCACATCAGAGAGGCAGCTGAGAGCAAAGACCCCTTGCTTGGATCACACCTCATGCTACCCTTGCAGCAGAACAGCCTCATGAAGAGACCTGAAGTTCAGAAATGATGCATCCAACAGTCATTCTATGCCTGCCACTGGGCTGCATGAGCACCAGGAATGCAAAGAAAAACAGAGCTTGGTTCCTGGCAACTGGAGAGCCAGAGTCTAGCAAAGGGGAAACAGAGCTGTCAACAGAGCCACTCGATGATGGAGACAAGCTGAGGAGGCTTCCTTGAGAAGGGGAGCCTAGACCTAGTCTCTATTAAAAAAAAAAAAGAAAGAAAGAAAGAAAGAGAAAGAAAGAAAGAAAGAAAGAAAGAAAGAAAGAAAGAAAGAAAGAAAGAAAGAAAGAAAGAGAAAGAAAGAAAAACAGAAGAAGAAGAAAGAAAGAAAGTTAGGTAAATAAGGGACTGTGAGACTAGGTGCTGACCAGACCTGCTTCTTTTGGATCCCATCGATTGGTTGAGTGCTGCCAGAAGGAGCCAGTAAGTGGGGCGGGGTCGGTGGGGGGTGCAGATATAGAGAAGGGGAGAAGGAAAACAAAGGTGTGAATTTGGATGAAGTCCCAGACTCAGCCTAACCCCGTGGGAATCTCTGGAGTATAATTGCACCTCAGAGTTTGACCTGCATGAAGGCAATGATGCTGGGCTTTTTTTTTTTTGGAGACGGAGTTTCACTCTTGTCACCCAGTCTGGAGTGCAATGGCGCTATCTTGGCTCATTGCAACCTCCACCTCCCAGGTTCAAGCGATTCTCCTGCCTCAGCCTCCCGAGTAGCTGGGATTACAGGCGCCCACCACCACTCTTGGCTAATTTTTGTATCATTAGTAGAGACAGGGTTTCACCATGTTGGCCAGGCTGGTCTCAAACGATGCTGGGCTTTTCTTCTCCCAACCAGTCGTTGACTATGGGCTGCTCTGAGATACACAGGTACTTCTCTGCATGCGTGGGAGGAGGCTCTAGTGCCCAAGAGCAGCGTACAGGAGGTTGCAGGTTGCAGGTGCAGTCTATTAGCAGAAAGCACACAGATGCTTGGGGATAGCTGCAAGGAGTTGATAAAAGTGATCCAAGAGGATCAAGGTGGATACGGCCTCCAATCTGTAAATGCCATGTGACTTGACCCTGACCATAAGATGTGGATGGAACAAGATTTGCCAAATTCAGATCTGCACTTATAAACCCCAGCACAATTAGCCACTTGACCTGCTCTCTTTCCAGTTAGTGTAAGTCCTCTTAGTTCTTCCTTTTCAAAATCATTTTAGCTATTCTAGATTATTTTACTTGCACATAAAATCTTTAATTAGCTATTTTCGATTCTTTTAGTTCCACATAAATTTTTAAACTAGCAGATCAGTTTCTGAAAAAAAAAATTTTTTGAATTTTGATTGGGATCATGTTGAATCTGTAGATCAAGTTGGAGACAATTAACATCTTAATAAAACTGAGTCTTCTGATCCATGAACATGGTATATTTCTCCCCATTTTTTTAGATCTCTTTAATTTCTCTCAACAATGTTTTGTAGGTTTCAGTCCACAAGTCAGGTACATCTTTTACCAAATTTATCTCTAGGTATTTCAAATATCTGATGCTATTTCATTATTCTAAATTTAAATTTCTTATTGTTGATCATATATAGAAAGACAATGTACTTGTGCATACTGATCTTTTTCTTGCAACATTACTGAACTTATTTATAAGTTCCATAGGTTTTTTTAGATTAATTCCTTAGGATTTTTTCCATAGGTGAAGATGCTATCAGCACTATCAGCAAACAAAGATGGTTTTGCTTCTTCCTTTTTTAACTGTATGCTTGTTTTTTTTTTTTTCTTTTCATGCCTTATTCCACTAACTAGAGACTCTGGAATAATGTTGAACAGATGTGCTAAGAGTGAACATCTTGTCTTGTTACTGGTCTTATGGGAAAAGCATTTTGCTTTTTACTGTTAAGTATGATGTTAGACTTTTCACAGAAACGTTTTATCAGCCTAAGAAAATTTCTCTCTATTGCTAGTTTACTTAGGATTTTTATCATGATTGGATATTGGATTTTGTCAAGTGATTTTTCTGTATCTGTTGAGATAAGCATATGATTTTCCTTTTTAGCCTGGTAAAAGTGAATCACACTGATTTATCATCAAGTCTCTCCTTGGTCATGATTTTTTAAGTTCTGTTGGAACCAACTTGCTAAAATTTTGCTAAGAATTTTTGCATCTGTGTTTATGAGGAATCTCTGTAGTTTTCTTTTCTTATAGTGCCTTTTTCTGGTTTTGAGATTAGTGGTAATGCTGACCTCATAGAATGAATTAGGAAGTATTGCCTCATCTTTAATATTCTGGAAGAGTTTGGGTAGAATTGACATTATTTCTTTCTCAAATGACTCAAGCCACCTGGGCTTGGAATTTTCTTTGAAGGAAGATTTCTAACTCTAAATTTAATGTCATTAATAGATATAGGGCTATTTGGGTTATCTATCTTTTTTTAATAAGCTTTAGTCATTTGTGTCTTTCAAAAACTTTGCCCACTTCATCTAAATTGTGGGGTGCTGAGTGTTTTTCCTGATTACCTGTGTATTACAAGGTCTCTCCATTCTGACTATTGGGAATATGACCCAGCCCAGCCCTTGTGATTTCCAGAAATTGTTCTACCTTTTTCTTTCCAGCGTTTTTTCACTGGCCTCAAGCAGCTTCCTCATATGCAGGCATTGATGGGTACTCAGCAGAAGACCTGAGTGGGACCAGCAGATCTCTGAGCACTCTCCACACCACACTGTCTCTGCAACTCAAAGAAACCACTAGACTCTGTCTGGACACCCAGGCACACCCCCATCCCTGTCCTGGAATCTCGCTCCAGACAGTGAGCTCAGGCAATCCAGGCCTCATCCCATTTGTTTCCTTTCTCTCATGAGTCACTGCCTTATGCTGCCTTTTGATCAATGTCTAAAAAGAGTTGTTTCAAATATTGTATCTGCTTTTTTAGTTGTTTATGATGGGCAGGTAAATCCAATGCCTGTTACCTTATCACAGCCAGAAGCAGAAGGCTACTCTGGACATTTTGAATTTGAGGTTCCTGCAGAATACCAAACTGCAGATATCTAGCAAACTGTTGTAAGTAATGAGAGAGGTTGCGACCAGAGATAAATTTTGGAAGCAAATGCATAAAGCTGTTAGCTAAAACACAGCTGGAGGGAGCTTCTAGTAGAGGAATGATGGCATCTTAAAGACAAAATCCACTGGAGCAGGGTAGACACAAAGGAGAACATGATGTGGGAAAGCAGAAGAAAGTGAGAAATACATGAGAACTCACTGAAGAAGGAGGTCGTGGAAACCAGGGCTTGGAGAGTTTCAAGAAGCTGAAAGTATCCACAGTGCCTAATGCCCCAGAGACTATGGGCATGATGTTGGGAAGGCAGGCTCCAGGCACGATGCCATCATGCTGTGAGTGCACCTGTACTGTTGCTTCGTGTGTGCTGGCCCCACTGGTTTTGCTAATGTGACAAACTGGTCCCCTCTGCCAGAGAAGATTGAGGTGGGGTGAGTGAATGAGATGGGAAGAATGGCACAGACCATACTTTCACAAAGCTTGGTTGAGAAGGGAGGGAGAGTAGTAGCTAGTAGTAGTACCAGAAGACCAGGGCAGGCAGTGGCAAAATTTCTTAGTTTCAAAGTCTTAAGCCTGTGAACAGTCTAAGGAAGAAAAGGGAATCGTCAGATAGAGCCTGGGACAGGGAAGGAAGAGAGTTGATGGGGCAAGATACCATGAGATGGGAAGGGGAAAGAGTTTTGCCCTGGGCGGGAGAAAAGAAAATGAGTGCCAAAGTAGAAAAGGTTTCAGATGAGATAACAAGTCTGTGATCCAACCACCACTCTCCCTATTTACCAAGAGAGTTTGACAACACACAGGCAGGTCACATGCTAGCCTGAAGGCAGCCTAGCCACAGCCTCAGATTGGTTCCCACTAGCTCAAGCCTGCAATGCTGAGAACTGTTTTCATAGCTGGTGGCAGGAAGTCCCATAAATGCACTGAGGTCACAGGCATCTGTGCACAGTGCTCAAGACCACAGTTTAGGGCTGCCTTGAGTCACCCAAGTGTTGTGACTCATACAAGACACTAAAGAAATCCATCTTCCATAGCATCTGTACCTGAAGCATTAGGTTCCACATAGCAGAGGGGGAAACATCTCGTTTCTTTTTCTTTTCTTTTTTTAACTTTTATTTTAGATTCAGGGCGTACACGTGCAGGTTTGGTACATGGGTATATTTTATGATGCTGAGGTTTAGGATGTGATTGATTCCATCACCCAGGTAATGAGCATAATACTCAATAGGTGGTTTTTCAGCCCTTGCCCCCCTCCTTCCCTGCTGTAGGAGTCCCCAGTGTCTATGTTTGCCATCGTTATGTCCATGAGTCCCCAGTATTTAGCTCCCACTCATCAGTGAAAACTTGCAGTATTTTGTTTCCTGTTTCTGAGAAAATTCACTTAGGATAATGGCCTCCAGCTGCATCCAGCTGGAGAGGACCTAATTTTGTTCTTTTTCATGGCTGCATAGTATTCCATGGTGTATATGTATCATATTTTTCTTTATCCAGTACACTGTTGGTGGGCACCTGGGTTGATTCCATGTCTTTGCTATTGTGAATAGTGCTGCAGTGAACATACGAGTGTATGTGTCTTTTTGGTAGAATGATTTATATTCCTTTGGGTAGACACCCAGTAATGGAATTGCTGGGTTGAATGGTAGTTCTGTTTTAAGTTCTTTGAGAAATCTCCAAACTGCTTTCCACAGTGCCTGAACTAATTTACATTCCCACCAACAGTGTACAAGCAATCAGTTTTCTCTACAGCATCATCAACATCTGCTATTTTTTGACTTTTTAGTAGTGGCCATTCTGACTGGTGTGAAATGGTATCTCATTGTGAGAACCACATGATTTCTACAAAGTATATCTACTAGATCTCTCACGGTTGACAGAACTTGGCAATCTGAACTGCTTTAAGCCAAAGGGGGATTTATAGGGCTGGATGCAGCTGCAGCTGTATCTAGAACTCAGAAATTCCAAGTCCTGGCCTCTCCCTCCATCTCTCAGGTCTGCCTGATGCACAGGTGGCTACATATAGTGGCACGTCCCCCAGCTTTACAACAGTTTCAGAGTTGGCTAGGCATGGTGGCTCACATCTGTAATCCCAGCACTTTGGGAGGCTGAGGTGGAAGGATTGCTTGAGGCCAGGAGTTCAAGACCAGTCTGGACAACATAGCAAGTCCCCATCTCTACTAAAAATAAAGAGGTTAGCCAGGTGTCGTGGTGCCCACCTGTGATCCTAGCTACTTGAGAGTCTGAGGTGGGAGGATCACTTTAGCCCGGGAGATTAAGGCTGCAGTGAGCCATTGATTGTACCACCACACTCCAACGTGGGTGATAGAGTGAGACCCATCTCTAGAAAAGAAAAGTTCCAGAGTTGATCCATCCTGGCTCTGTGTACCAGGGGGTACAAGGTACAGGTACAGATGCCCTGCATGGATCATCCTGAACCAATCACCAGGGTGAGAGAGACTGAGTGTGCTGACTTGGTGAGCCCAGGATGGAATAAGCCTCACCAGATGCATCTGGGCTGAGAGTGGGATGGGCAGATCCTCCCGCAAAAATCAGACAAGCTATTATTGGAGAGGAAGCAGATGCCAGGAGGCCAAACTGATGTCCCCTGCAAGAAATCTGCAGGGGCCCACCCCAAGGCAACAGCTGTGGGAGGACTGCCCCAGGATTGGAGCACACAGACCCAAGGAAACTTGGCCCAAATGTGCTTTTGTCTTGGAATTTCATCTTCACAGGGTATCTGTGTGAAGGAGAGACATGGCGAGGCTCAAGCTTGGAAGATGTACATGTCATTCTGGAAACACTTGTGCATCATTATATTAGTCTGTTCTAACACTGCTGTAAAGAACTGCCTGAGACTGGGTAATTTATAAAGGAAAGAGGTTTAATTGACTCACAGTTCCACATGGCTGGGGAGGCCTCAGGAAACTTACAATCGTGGTGGAAGGGGAAGCAAACATGTCCTTCACATGGCAGCAGGAGAGAGAAGAATAAGAGCTGAGTGAAGGGGGAAGCCCCTTATAAAATCATCAGACCTTGTGAGAACTCACTCAGTATCACAAGAATAGCATGGGGGAAACCGGCCCCTTGATTAAATTACCTCCCACCGAGTCCCTCCCACAACATGTGGGGATTATGGGAACTACAACTCAAGATGAGATTTGGGTGGGGACACAGCCAAACCATATCAATCATGTATGCTGAGAAAAACCATTTTCATTAGCTTCCCCTCGACCTTCCATGTTGCTGCAAATGAACCCACAGTTCCATCTCGAAAATTCAACTGGAACTATTCCCTTTGTTAAATAAACTTCATTTAAGGGCTGACTGCCTTGGGCCCTGGGAGAAAATGCATCTTTGCTTTTGCTGAGACCAATCTAGGTCAGCAAAGCAAAAGCTTTGTATTTTTTAGAGACATGAACTGCAGCTTAGATGAAGACCAGGGGAAGCATCCACTCTGAAGGTGCAAAGTGGAGAACCGCAAGTAGTCACAGTGGGAGCAGGCTCCAGAGGCCTCCTGCCGCCTCCCTTGCCCCTCAGCCAGGAAAGCCCTTTGAAACAGAGCATCCTGCTTTTGCAAGCCGCACCAGCAATGTCTTCAGGGCAGTCTCAGAGTGCTCCCTGCTGCCTGGGGCCTGAAGCAGCGCTTTCCAAAGTAGTTTTTGCAGAGGCTGCTAGTTTGTTCAGGAGGGAGAACAGACATGGGGGAATTGAGGTCTCTGTTCTCCACCCCTGTATCCTTTTGCTAGCAGGAGACAGCCATGCAGTAGCCACCTCCAAAACGGTCCCCAGTGACCCCTGCCTCTTGGTATTGTGGTCCTCTCCCACAAGGAGTAGGACTGGCTCATGCAACAATAGAACATTGCAGAAATTGTGGTGTCTTTGGAGAGTCGTTCATGAAAAACACTGCAGCTCCTGCCTTGCTAGCTCTTGGATCATCCACTCTGGAGAAGCCAGCTGAAGATATACTCAAAACCATCCTCAAATCATGGCAAGGAACTTAGGACTCCTACCCACATCCCTGTGTAGGGGCCATCCTGGGACTGGATGCTGCACCCACAGCCAAGCCTACAGATGAACAAACCTCTGGCTGACATGTGGACTGCAAGTTGGAAAACCCTGAGGCAGGACTACTCAGTTAAGCCATTCCCAACTTCCTGACCTGCAGAAACTGAGATAGGAAATGTCCTTTTAAGCCACTACATTTTAGGGTAATTGGTTGTGCAGTAATAAATGGTAACACTCCACTTCCAGATGCAGGCGAACAAGTCTTGTCTCCTCATTATCCCCCGGTACTTGAAAGACTTGCTCTCACTCACTGCCCTGATCTCACCCTGCTGGGCGGAAGCTTCCTGAAGGCAGGGACCAGGTTGTAATTAATCATTCTTCCTATGTCTATGTCCCTAATATCCCCACACACTGTAAATGCTGCATGGACACTTACTAGATTCACTTGAATTTCTGTCTTTCTGGATGAGAGAAATCCTGGGAGCACAGCTGTGCTTCTTTCTCCCAGAAATTTCCTTCCTCAACTCAAGATGAGAAATACAGCTTTTTAATTAACAGAAACTATCTCAACCCAGATCTCAAGTCATTTGATGTGATTCGGGGACTGCTTCTTGCAGAGACAACAGTTACTTGCAAAAAAAGCCCACAAGTCAATGCAACTGATTTCAGGAAATTGGGTCCAGCAAGCAGCCTCCACATCCAGGAGGGACCTCACTGCAGCACGGATGGGCAGCACATGTCTGCTCAGCCAACTCACTGTCCCTGCTAAGCCACAGGCTTCCAGCCACCTGCTGATCAGCAAGGACTTTACATGTGTCCTCTACCTGCCTGCCACTCTGCCGAGGTGTCCAACACAGAGCCCCGGTCCCCAAGAGGCTTTCATTCGGCTAAGCAAGATGTTCATGCAGAAAGATCAGCTACACTTAAATCTGAATTCACCCAGGATTGGTTAGTGTGTCATTGACTAAATGGTCTTGGAGAACTGAGAAAGGGATCTTTGTTCAGGGAAAATATACCACAACCTCCCCTCAGGGCACAGGAACCTCAAGGGGTTCATGGTCTAATGGGGAAAGCTTTCCACAGAGGGAATTTCAAAGGGTGTGCAGGGAGTGGCTGGAAAGGAAGAAAGGATAATCCAAGTTGTTGAGTCTTCATGAACAAACAGCCCAGAGAGACAGAGGTGACAAGGAGTCTGTCATGACCCAGCATGAAGTGTAAGATGGAGTGACGAGACATAAGGTTGGGGCACAAGCCATGGGGATGTTGGTAGATAATTCATAAGTGTCTCACATTTCTGCATATCTCATGAGCAGAGGCACTGTTGGCCCTTGTGGTAGACTATCTTTTCAAGGCTATTTATACAGTGAACAGCTTTGGAAGATAGAGACAGATTTGCAAAGGGCAGGCACACTGACAGCCCACTATTTAAAAAGTAAGGGACACTAAGAGTTCCTTGCCTGGAACGAAACCCCTACATGGGAAGTTTCCCTCAGCCCTCTGCATTGCCCTGGGGAGTTAGAACTCAGAGAATCAGTACACAAAAATGCTGGTACTCTACTGCTTTTGCTGTGAGAATAAAGCCCTTTGTTTCTGACCCAGGAGCCTTGTGTCTTCCGTCAGCATCCATGAAACTGTGGCAGACTCACCTGTCAGCTTGCAAAAAGGGTACAATCACAGATCTGTCTCAGCTCCTGATAGGAGAACCCTGAATTCCAGGTTTTATCCTGCTGGTCCTTGAGTGGAGAAATTACATTTGCCTTTAGCTGTAGAAGGGTGTCATTGGCGCCTGTAATCCCAGCCTTTGGGAGGCTGAGGCAGGAGGCTCACTTGAGGGCAGGAGTTCAGGTGAAACCCCATATCTACTAAAAATACAAAAATTAGCCAGGCGTGATGGCAGGTGCCTATAATCCCAGCTACTCACGAGGCTGAGGCAGGAGAATTGCTTCAACACAGGAGGAGGAGGTTACAGTGAGCCGAGATCACACCATTGTACTCCAGCCTGGGCGACAGAGTGAGACTCCATTGGAGGGACATTTGTTGGATTTTTTCTTTTTTTCAAAATGTGCAGAAATCTGTTAAGGATAAAGTTAAATTTCTCTGACCTTTTTTTCTGAGCAGGAATTGAGTGAGGAGTCTACAGGTTAGAAAGAGGAGAAACCTGGTGTGCCTAAGAGAAACTAGAGAAGGAGAGCCCGAGACTCAGGGCCCAGGGCCACTGCCTGGAGGGCTTGGCCAAACTTGCCTCTCAGCTATAGCTGACAGCCTCCTAGTCTAGATCATCACCTTCCTCTGCGGACATGGGGGTCTGAACCTCCCTGGAAAATGTCTTAGGAAGCTCAGGAGGCCACAATAAAATACCACAGACAGGGGGCTTAAGCAACAGAAGTTTATCTTCTCACAGTCCTGGAGGCTGGAAGTTCAAGATCAGGGAGCCGATGGCCATTGTGTCCTCCACGGCAGAGAGAGCAAGCACACACTTTGCTGTCTCTTTTTTTTTTTTTTTTTTTTTGAGATGGAGCCTCACTCTGTTGCCCAGGCTAGAGTGCAGTGGCATGATCTTGGCTCACTGCAGCCTCTGCCTCCTGGATTCAAGTGATTCTCCTGCCTCAGACTCCCACGTAGCTGGGACTACAGATGCCTGCCACCACGCCCAGCTAATTTTTGTATTTTTAGTAGAGACAGGGTTTCACCATGTTGGCCAGGCTGATCTCGAACTCCTGACCTCAAGTGATCCACCTGCCTCAGCCTCCCAAAGTGCTGGGATTACAGGCATGAGCCATCACACTGGCTCTGCTGTCTCTTCTTAAAAGGACACTACTCTCATCATGAGGGTCCCACCCTCATGACCTCATCTCAACCTAATCATCTCCCAAAGACCCCATTTCCAAACACCACCACATTAAGGACTAGGGCTTCAACATAGGAATTTGGGGAAGGGGCACATTTCAGCCCATGGCGGGCTGTCCTGATGCCTAAAAGCTCCCAGGACACTCACACCTACTGACTTATCCCACAGCCCCAAGGGACTCCTTACGTCCTCAAGCCAAGGGGAACCTCCAGCACCGGCAGGCTCAGCCTCCTGCCGCTGGGTGGGGAATGGCAGCATTATTGAGAGTGCATGAAAAATCGCAAGGAGGCAGAAGCCCACCTCACCTCTTCCCTCAAGCACCCAGTGCACCCTGAGGGTCAAATTGGTGACATCATCTGAACACATTCCCTTTTGAGCTCATCTAAACCTAATGTCTTACCTTTTTGGTCCCACTACAAATAACACCTGGTTATTACAACAATAATTTCTGCTGGAAAATCCCCTACCCTGTTGCAGTCAAACGGGCAATTGGAAAACGAAAATGTTAGGGTGCCCTAGACCCAGGAGTCATAGATATTCTTCCAAGACAATCAACATCAGACAAATGTGGTAAAGAGGTGAGTTGTCACGGGTACGGGATCTCCCCAACTTAGTGTCTGATAATCTAGAAGTTTCAGCAAAAACCTGCTCCTAGAAAAGCTGCCAGAGCAATGGCCATGCTGGACTAGAGTCCGTGATTCCAGCTGGACCCACTGTCTGTGGCGGCCACTCCTCGTCTGAAGGGCATTGTCTTGGGTCAATGCGGCAAACTCCACAGCAGAGGCGTTGACACCTGAGAATCCTACAGCCCAGCGAGTGAGGCTGTTCCGATCCACTCTTCCTGGCCAGCTGTCAAAACACTCTGCACCTGCTCTCGGACCATAACAAGTATTACTCATGAAGGTGACAGTTCCTCAGGCCCACAGTAATAAAGACACACACACACACACACACACACACACACACACACACACACACACAGGCATTTAAAAAAATGCAATAGGTCAACAACACTCAATCTAAAACCCTAGGGGCTGGGCACGGTAGCTCACGCCTCTAATCCCAGCACTTTGGGAGGCTGAGGTGAGTGGATCACTTGAGGTCATGAGTTCAAGACTAGCCTGGCCAACATGGCTAAACCCCGCCTCTACTAAAAATACAAAATTAGCCAGACATGGTGGTTCATGCCTGTAGTCCCAGCTACCCAGGAGGCTAAGGCATGAGAATTGCTTGAACCCAGGAGGGGGAGGCTGCAGTGAGCCGAGATCACACCACTGCACACCAGACTGGATAACAAAGCAAGACTCCATCTCAAAAGTAAATAAATAAGTAAATAAATACATACAAATAAAAAATAAAACCCTGGAAGCCTTTGCCGTTGGATTATTTCTGCCTCTCTCTATATTTGATATAGTCAATTTCCATCTTTCAATTTAAAGTTTTCTCACAGTGGTGATAAAATATTGGGTTTGGGAAAGAAAATGCCTGCTGCAGGGGAAGAAGGAGGAGGCTGTTCTCTGGAGCACAAGGAGCCGAGGCTGCTCAAAGTTCTGCTGTGTCATTTTTCCTCCTCATTGCCGCCCAGTGAGCATCAAGCATCACTGGTATTAGGGGATAGGAACGGCTTTTAAACCTCTGTCTTCAGGGCCCGTCTGCCAGGTGCAGTTTCTGGCTTCATGTGTTGAGTAGGTTGGTCAAATCAAATCTCCTGGACCCCCTCCGAGGATGTGGTTGCCCTGGGCCCTACACAGTGATACATCACACAGCTTCATCCCTTCCAATTAGCGCCCGGTACGCGAATTGATGTACTGAGAATTAACATCATTGATCTTCATCCAAGAATATGGCCAACAAGGCATAATTTTTTTCTGATCAATGTTGCTGATCAATGACCTAATATAAAAAAAGGAAAAAAGGAAGGGCATCCCCAGGCATCAGGGTGGATTGATGCGCCTCTATGCATGCAGTTCCAATAGACCTCAGGGCCTGTTCTCTGCTGGGGATTCACATTAATAACAGACAGTCTTTCAAGCACAATGAGAAACTTGTGCTCCATGCTTCCAAGGAAATCCCATGTTTCTCCAAGAGAGAGGGGAAATCAGGCACCTCCTATGGCAACCAGCCTCGGGGCAGACAGAACTCAGTGCCTGCCACAGCTAGGTAAGGCCCGGTGGCCCACTTTATAGAAGTGGCAGGAACCAGTGGGCTCCCCACGTCCACCCCCTCTAGGCCACTGTCTTTGTGCCACAGTTTATTGGGATCCTCTGTGGGAGGTGGACCAGGGAATAATAAGGAAAGAAAACAATTTACTTCTCCCCAGTTATATCCAACCGAGGTAAGTCAAGCTCTCTGGGAGTCTGTCCACGGCAGAGGAAATTCTAGCTCCAGGTTTCCAGTGTGAAGGCAAAAGGGTGAAATTGTCCACGTGTTACCAATCTCAAGTCTCCCTGCTTTTTATCTCCTCCCAGGGCTCCTACTGCCCCCACCCCCTGCCCCCAGCGCGACTCCATTAGTCATGCCTCAGCTGCCCAGCAAGAGGCTCACCTTGTCACACTGCAGGGTTTATTTATTACCCACGCTGGGGGTATTTGCATTTCAAAATAAAACCCTGCAGAAAGCAATGGCTCCATCTAAAAGAATGACTCTCCATTGTTTGAATGTCAAGCACTGTGGTTCACTGGAGCAGGGCCTCCCAGCTTGGTACACCGTTGGGGTTGGGGGACCAGCATTTATGATACCCTGGAATGACACTGCTTAGGAAGCCACCTTTTTGGTGCCTTTCAGTTGATTTCAGGCAGTCATTCATGCACTGTTTCTCGAACACTGTCTGTGCATCTGCCCGGCACCCACACTACGGATGCACGATGGTGACAGGCAGCACTGTGACAACAGCATGGCAGAGTTTACCATTCCTGCCGTCCCCTCTGCTTTTGGCCTCTCCTCCACAATTACTTGCTTTTCCTTGATAAGGAGGAGGGAAAATTGCAATCTAGTCTCCTAACCCAGATGTCACCAACAAATATCACCAGATAGTCACTAACCTCAAAAAATGAGGCTTAATTGGTGGCAATTTTGCTAAGTAACTTCAGTTCCTTTTGTCTCAGTTTCTACCTTTATATGGAAAAGGACACTTGTCACATGAAATTCATGAGCTCATGTCTATACCTCACTGCCCAGTGTTGTATTATTTACTCTGCGGTATGAGTGTCTCTTTCCATTGTAATAACAAGGTCACTGGGCAGAAAATCACTTCATAGAGAAAGGGGTAAAGGACACCTCCAAAAGAAAAAAAAAAAAAAAAAGACAGGAGTGGAAATCAATCCCTCACCTTCCTCAAAGCAGCCCTGTCTCGTAACTGCCACAATCTAGCTGTGAATCCTGCCATCTGGAAGCACCCCCACACCCTCCTTCCGCCTCGCTGACACACCATCAATTTCCAAATGTAACCGACAATCCCACCTCTTCCCCAGGGTCTCGTAATTTCTCTCTCCTTTTGCCCTCTATCTTATTTAAACCACTTGACTCTGTCCTGCCTATTCTGGAGGTGTTGATCAAAAACCAGTTACATTGTTTATAGAGAAATGCCCTCAGCTTCTGGATGTCTGCAGTTTCTAGTCACAACGGCTGTGATTCTTTGAAGTGGCCAGTAAACCAGATTTTTGACAGGTGTGGAGGGAAATAATTCCCAGACTGAGGAAAGAAGCTGCAAGCCGTTGTCTCATTCCTTGTGTTAGAATGCCATCAAGTGACAGACCAGAGAACACCGCTGCAAACCTTGAGCACCTTTTATGTCTAATATTCCAAGACCTCCCTGGGAGAGAAAATATGTAAACCAATAAATATAAATGCCAAAATAACCCGTCACGGTCCAAATGGCCAAATTAGTATTAAAGGCAGTTCTTGTCCAGGTGTCAAGAAGCCTTATTTATTTGTTTATTTATTTATTTATTTATTTAGATCAAGTCTCACTCTGTTGCCCAGGCTGGAGTGCAGTGGCACGATCTCAGCTCACTGCAACTTCTGCCCCCCAGGGTCAAGCAATTCTCATGCCTCAGTCTCCCGAGTAGCTGGAATAACAGGCGAGCACTGCCACACCCGGCTAATTTTTGTATTTCTAGTAGAAACAGGGTTTCACCATATTGGCCAGGCTGGTCTCGAACTCCTGACCTCAAGTGATCTGCCCGCCTCGGCCTCCAAAGTGCTGGGATTACAGGCGTGAGCCCCTGCACCCGCTCAGAGTTCCTTACATTCTTGAATAGAATATAAGATGGTAGAAACCTAACAATCTGAGAATTATAACCCAATTTTCAGTATTGCAATGCTGGGTCATGTTTTACCATTTGGTTCCCGATGGGAAGAAGCCAGGGGCAACCCTCAAAGCCACCAGTGCTCCAAAAGGAAAGGCCAACGGGGGCCGCCAGGTGGGTGCTAAAGCTGTATCCTCCATCCAGAGGCTCACGGCTTCTGGGGATCCTCAAGAAGCCTAAAGACCCAAGAGAAACAGGGGAACTTCCTCAAGCTCACAAAGAGAGCAGCTGCACCCCAGCCCCGGCCCCTGCTGCTCTGCAGATAAGTGCCAGGTATGAAATGAGGGCCGGTCCTCGGAATTGTGCATTGACAGGCAGGGTTGAAGCCTCAGGAATGAGGTAATGGTAAATGCCTGCACACACAGATTTAACATTTTTCATTTTTTTTCCCCTCTTAGAGACAAGGCTCACTCTGTCATCCAGGCTAGAGTGCAGTGGCTTAATCATAGCTCAATGCAGCCCCGAACTCCTGGGCTCAAGCGACCCTCCCGTCTCAGCCTTCTGAGTGGCCGGGACCACAGAACTAGTGATAGCATGGAGAAGATGGAAATGACACTGTGTCCAGACCAGAAAGGGGGCATTCTACAAGCTGACAATCTCCATGTCCCAGCACTTCAGACAGCTGAAGCCCCTGAAGCCTCAGACAGCTGAGGGCTCCTGGCAGTGAAGCAGCCTTCAGGCCCCAGAGCACCCAGAGAGCTTCTCCCAGGGTCCCTCTCTCTCTAGCACCAGTGGTACCTGGGCTGCAGGGAGGTTGGTAGGGGTCCCCAGGGATTCCTTCATGTGATAAGCTAGACACGGGGCCCCAAAGAGGCTTCAGGGCTTGAGGAAGATAAATATTTATCAGATCATTACAAAGGAAGAGTGTGGCTGGGCAAGGTGGCTCACGCCTATAATCCCAATACTTTGGGAGGCCCAGGCAGGCAGGTCACTTGAAGTCAAGAGTTTGAGACCAGCCGGGACAACATAGTGAAGCCCTATCTCTACTAAAAGTACAAAAATTAGCAGAGTGTGATGGCGCATGCCTGTAGTCCCAGCTATTCGGGAGGCTGAGGCAGAAGAATCGCTAGATCCCAGGAGGCAGAGGTTGCAGTGAGCTGAGATGGCATCACTGCACTCCAGGCTGGGTGATGGAGCAAGACTGTCTCAAAAAAAAAAAAAAAGCTAAAAACAAAAAACAAAAAACAAAAAAAAAAACATAGGAAGAGGGTATATGGTCTGGGGAAGTATTCTCAGTAGTTACAAAAGTGTTAAGTCGGCCTGGGTGCAGTGGCTGATGCCTGTAATCCCAGCACTTTGGGAGGCCAAGGTGGGAGGATTGCTTGAGGCCAGGAGTTCAAGACCAGCCTGGACAACGTAGTGAGACCCCCAATTTTACAAAAATGTTTTTAATTACCCAGGCGTGATGACATGCACTTATGGTCCCAGCCACTCAGGAGGCTGAGGCGGGAGGATTGCTTGAGCCCAGGAGTTCGAGGCTATTGTAAGCTATGATCAAGCCACTGCACTCTAGCCTAGGAAACAGAGCAAGACCCTGTCTCTAAGGAAAAAAAATTTGTTAAATCGGAACATGCAGGTATTTACCATCACAGGGAACATTGAAAGTATTTTTTAGCTTTGAATTTCCATGCCTCTGCTGAAAATTCCTCATCTGCTCACCTGTTTGACCCATCTTTCCCTCTAAGTTTGTTAATCTATTTATAATAGTATTTTAAAGGCCTCGTCTTCCAGTTCAGCGTCTGGGTCACCTACGCTTCTGCTCTAGTGACTTTCTTTCCATGATTGTGGGTCACAGTGTCCTGTTTCTGTGGGTGTCGTATACACTGTTTTTTATATTTCAAGCTGGATGTTGTATATTAAAGAACAGCAGAGACTGGAGAAGACCAAAGGGTCTTTCCATCTCCCAGAAAAGGCACCCCTTTTCCTTTCAGGAAGCTTTGCTGAGGGGTTGACCTCTGCACAGAATCAGGTTTAAATAGCTTCAGATCCCCTCTGGCTTCAAATCATTTTCGTTTTTTGAGACAGGGTCACACTCTGTTGCCCAGGCTGGAGTGCAGTTGCAATCATAGCTCACTGTAGCCTTGACCTTGACCTCCTGGGCTCAAGCAGTACTCCTACCTCAGCCTCCAGAGCAACTGGGACTACAAGTGTGTGCCACCACGCCTGGCTAATTTTTTATTTTGTTAATTTTTTTGTAGAGATGGAGTCTCACATGTTGCCCAGGCTGGTCTCAAACTCCTGGCCTCAAGTGACCCTCCCACCTCAGCCTCCAGAAGTGCTGGGATTACAAACGTGAGCCACTGCTCCCAGCCTGGCTTCAAATATCTTGAAGGGGAGGTGTGTCCCCTGCCCGCAGCATGGCTTTGGGATTCAGGCACCACAAAGCCAGATCTCTGTGCTTCCCTGCTGTGCCCCAATTCCAGTTTGGGTGATTTTACATCAGGTCCTTTCTCTCTTACTTTCCCATATTTTGACCTAAACAGACTTATACGAATATAAACACATAGCCCCTAGGTCTGGAGTCAATGGCTGCTTTCCCAGAGTTAAGCACAGGTCAAAATAGGTGGCAGGAGGTGCTAGCTACATGCACACACTCCCATGCAGCCTGCAGTGACTTTCTGCAAACCCTTCAAGTGTCTCAGCAAACCTGAGAAATGCAGTGAAGAAGCTCTCTTAGGACACAGAGAGCCCTACGTTTATCCAGACAGACACTCCATTAGCCGAAACTATGCTTTCCTCAGTGCAATCAGCTCACAGAGTAACACCGGGCCAGGGAGCTGGAAGAAATCTATAGTTGCATTTTATACATTTGGGATCAAGCTAGCCTTAAAGAGTGACTTTTGGAGGCTGAAAGACTAGAAAACTTGGATTTCAGAGACTGATATGTGACCAGACACACGAAGTTTTAAGAGTCCCCGCTGTCAGAATTCCAAATGGTTAGTCTTAAACTGACTTAGGGCGCAGCGCTGCCTCTTTACAAAGAGCTGATACGCTGTCTTCCGGCAAGCACCAGTTCTTTGATTCTTGTAGACAAAGTGCCTATCACCCAGCAGGAGAGGGTTTGACCAGCAGAAGTGTCCAGTGTTAGCGCTGGCACCTTACCGCCTATCTCTGTGGCACTATTAGGCCTGAGGAATGATTGAGGGCTGATGTCGCTGTGCCCAGGCTCTCCACCACCACCCTCACCAGCCCTCCTCGTCAATACACAACGTCTGGATCAAGGGCATAGCAGAGCCAGGGGAGCATGTAATCTTGAGCCTCAGGGACTGTTCTGTCCTAGTGAGGACACAGATAATGATGGCTACCATCTCTCAAGCTGTATTACCTGTGCCAGGCCCTGTTTAAACATGCATCATCTTGCTGAGTGCTCCAGGCCACCCTGGGAAGAAGGTGCTGTTAGCAACCCATGTTATAGACAAGGCCTTCCTGTAGAAAAAGCATACAGGCCTCATCCCTCTCAAATGTACCTGATATAGATACCCAAAAAGCAAGAAAAAAACTGTGTATATTTATATACACACACAAATACACACAAACAGATGTGCATACATGTACATATATATACTGACTTCATTGACTTGGTGGATTAAAATTTTCACTGACAATGAAGGCTTCCATGTTCTTATTGCAGGTTTGCTGGTATTCAGGATCATGACCTTTCAGCGGTAAAAAAAAAAAAAAAAAAAACCTACTAGAGGCCAGGTACGGTGGCTCAGGACTGTAATCCCAGCACTTTGGGAGGCCGAGGCGGGTGGATCACTTGAGGTCAGGAGTTCAAGACCAGCCTGGCCAACATAGTGAAACCCTGTCTCTACTAATAGCAAAATTATAGCCGGGCGTGGTGGCAAGCACCTGTAACCCCAGCTACTCAGGAGGCTGAAGCAGAAGAATCCCTTGAACCTGGGAGGCAGAGGCTGCAATGAGCCAAGATCGCACCACTGCACTCCAGCCTCGGCAACAGAGTAAGACTCCATCTCAAAAAAAAAAAAAAAAAAAAAAAAAAAAAAAAAAACTAGAAATAATGTTTTTCTTTAATCCGAAAGTGGAGGAGAGGGGATACACAAAAAAATACTTCTCCACTATATTGTCAGAGGCTATTAGATAAATGGTTTCTGTAAATTTAGTTGTGTTTATTTACAGAAGTCCTAATTTTCGTGGATACCCACTTACTTAATAGTTGAGGCTTAATCTTTTTGAGCTTACATATGAGATTTTTCTTGAATACTCAGAATAGCAGCCTGAATGTCTCAGAGCAACAATCAAAAGGAACCTGTACAAATACAACAAAGTGTGAATTGTAGAATCAAAAAGCATATGGGTGTTCACTGTTTAAATGTTTCCATTATTCTGTATATTTGAAGTTTTTCATAATAAATTGCTGGAGGTCGGAGGGGAGTCACCTGCAATGATTCCATCAAACATTGACTTCTCGTGGAACTTTCACAAAGCCACTACTGGGAAAACACATGTGTATCCATGTTTGAAAGTTTATCATTTATAGCTATAAAAAAGAAAAAAATTAAAGTCTTTTCACCAAATGCAATTTAGAAAAGAGAAACAAAAGGAAAAATCTCCCATAACTTCACTTACCCGGTTATACAAACTTTTAGTATATTCATGTAACTATTGTGTATATATTTGGCTTTATTAGTTTGTAACCTTTTTAAAAATTGTATGTAATTTGTTTAATGGCTGCATGGTAATCCATCATGTTATAGAAATGTGTTAGCAGTGGCAGAGAACCGAGTTACCCCAAGTAACTGGAGACGAATCCGTACGCGTTCGCAGCAACTTCAATCTTTGCCTTGTCAAAAGAAAGAATTTGACTGAGGGGCAAAAAGCAGAAAGAGACCAAGGCAAGTTTCAGAGCAGGAGTGGAAGTTTATTAAAAAGCTTTAGGCCGGGCATGATGGCTCACACCTGTAATCCCAGCACTTTGGGAGGCCGAGGCGGGTGGATCACAAGGTCAGGAATTCGAGACCAGCCTGACCAACATGGTGAAACCCCATCTCTACTAAAAATACAAAAATTAGCTGGGTATGGTGGTGTGTGTCTCTAATCCCAGCTACTTGGGAGGCTGAGGCAGGAGAATCGCTTGAACCTGGGAGGTGGAGGTTGCAGTGAGCCAAGATCGTGCCACTGCACTCCAGCCTAGGAGATAGAGCAAGACTCCGTCTCGGAAAAAAAAAAAAAAAAAAGCAAAGCTTTTGAACAGTAAGGAAAGGAAAGAAAAGGAAAGTATTATACAAGTTGGAAGGACAAGCAGGCAACTTGAGAAACCAAGAGCGCAGCCTGACCCCTTGACTTGGGGTTTTACACGTTGGCCTACTTCCAGGATCTACTTCCAGGATCTTACATTACTTCTCCCCACTCCTGAGATCTTACAGGAAGCTGCTGATCAGTTTCAGGTGTTTTCTATCTGTTAGGCGGCTGCCTGTTCCCTAGCGCCAGCTGTGGCCAATTACTTTAGAGAAACAGTTAACAACCACCTGACCATCACCTGATGGTGGCCCAACACCCCTGGTGTGTGTAGCGGGGAGCCTTCTCCTGCCCTGCTCATACCTGACTACCTACCTACTGTAACAAATGTGCCATACCTAGGAACAGTTTATAAAAACAGATTACTGGGACCCACCTTATAAAAACAGATTATTGAGACCCACTGGATAAAAACGAATCTCCAGGTATGATACCAAGAAATTTGAAATGAAAGCTTACCCTGTGATTGTGATCCTGTATTTGGTCTGTGGATCAAGCAAATTAAGTGTGTGCTAACTAATCAGGTAAATTAATGCATTTAATAATGCATTAATTAGCATACCTAATTACCTAATTAGCACATAGTTAATTTGCTTGATCCACTATGATCAAATATAGCATTGTTTTTAAGTTTTTGCTATTATAAACAAAAATCACAAACATCCTCACAGGTATCTCTCTGCATACAGAAACATTTTCTGAGAATAATCAAGTGGTTTGTTTGCTTTTTATTTTTTTTGTTTGTTTGCTTTTTAAAAAATATTTTAGGCTGGGCGCAGTGGCTCACCCCTGTAATCTCAGCACTTTGGGAGGCCGAGGCGGGTGGATCATGAGATCAGGAGTTCGAGACCAACCTGACCAACATGGTAAAACCCTGTCTCTACTAAAAATACAAAAATTAGCTGGGCGTGGTGGTGTGTGCCTGTAATCTCAGCTACTCAGGAGGCTGAGGCAGGAGAATCACTTCAACCTAGGAGGCAGAGGTTGCAGTGAGCCGAGATCACACCATTGCACTCCAGCCTGGACAACACAGCAAGACTCCGTCTCAAAAAAAAAAATATTTTAATGATGAAGGAACTATGTTGTAATTGCAACTCAAGGACGACCCACCCCACCACCATCAGGGAATTCGAGGGGAGACTGGCAGTTATCCAGGGATCCCAGAAGGAGTCAACTGGGAGTTAAGAGTCCTAACAACCCTAGAAAAAAACTTTCAAAGACACAGGTCTTCTCATTAATCTCCATAATCACAGAGGTCTTGCCTAAAAGGGCCCCCCTTGAGTACACAGCTCTGAAACTGGCTAACATCTTCTGCTGTCTCATTTGATTTTAAAGTTCACATTTGTGAAGGGCTCTATTGTACAACATGGTGACTATAGTTAATAACAGTGAATTTCAGTTAATAACCTGAATTTCACTGAGAGTAGGTCTGAAGTGTTCTCATCACAAAATGAGTGTATTAGCATCGCTCATAGCTCATTTAGCCATTACACAATGTATACACATTTCAAACCATATTGTATACCATAAATACATACAATTCTTATTGGTTAATTTTAAAAATAATAAAAGTTCTCTATCAGTCCCATAAATTACAATTTTCAGGCATCTGCAAAGGCAGCATGTTTTGGTTTAAATGTGGTCTTTCCAAATTTTATACGTATAAAATAAATGCATAAGTGTACTACATATGCAAAAACTAATACATAAATTTTATAAAGTCAATGCACGCGGGGTCACTGGGATGAACCAATTTCAGTGCCTGCAGTCTAATGTTTAAAATCAAAATGGTACAAGGTCACCACCAAAGAAATTGTTTAAGCCAATGTTTCTCAAACTAAAACCTTTGGACATACTCCCAGAATCCCCTGTAAAGAAATGTATACTGTACTCAAAGTTGAGAACCACTGACTTAGCATAAAGGGACCGTATTTCTTTTCTCTCCCACCCAGCACAGGCCCAGTGCTCAGCAGAAATTGGGGCTCCACAGTTCTGCCCAACACTGGGTCACTGCTGAGAAGTCTGCACCAGGCCTTCCTGCACCTTTCCACTGAGCAATGGAGTTTGTTTATTCATTTATTTATTTATATGGAATTTATTTATTTATTTTGGAGACAGGGTCTCACTCTGTCACCCAGGCTGGAGTGCAGTAGCGCAATCCAGGTTCACTGCAGCCCTAAACTCCTTGGGCTCAACTGATCCTCCCACCTCAGATACCCGAGTAGTTGGGACTACAAGCACGCACCACCACGCCTGGATAATTTTTTTTAAATGTTTTGTAGAGATGGGGTCTCCCGATGTTGCCCAGGCTGGTCTCGAACTCCTGGGCTCAAGAGATCCTCCCGCCTGCGCCTCCCACGGTGTGAGCCACCTTTGATCTTATTGCTATGATTTTTTTATTGATAAAAACTAATAAATATTCTGAGTCTCAAGAAAGCTTTCTGAAACTATCAAAGGGACCCAGGCGGCGCATCACTACCTGTGAGGCCGACCCCACTCACAGCACAGACTGCAAGTGAGGCTTACAGATGGGAAGTGCCCTAAGCGAGGTTAAACAGCTAGTTAGCAGCAGACACGGAACTAGAACCTAAGCCTGCTGTCCCAGCTTCGGTGCCCGTGCTCACAGCGGAAGCTGCCTCGGCTCATCCGTAAGGGCGCTGATTAGGGACGACAAAGACCTCACCCCACCGTCCCCGTCCCATTTCCGCCCTCCCAGATCCCCAACCTCCTTCGAGTCCTCTCCAAGTCGCCTCGCCTCGCTCCACTCCAGGCCTTAGCAAGCATTCCACATGCCTTTACCCCAACCCTACTGCCTGTCCCCCAAAAGATGCAGGCGGAAAAGACCCCAGGAAGCGAGCCCACTCCTCCCCACTGCTCAGCAACACCGCCTACGACGTTCTCAGTAGCCGAATCCCTTTCCAGGCGCATGCGCCCCCGAGGTGGGCGAGCGCCGGTGATGTCACGCATAGCGCCATCTCCGAGCTCCGAGAGTCTGCGACAGCAGCTGCCAGTGCGTCATCAGAGAGCGCCGGAAGCGGTCCGAGAATGAAGAGTAAGCGGGGCCGCGAAGTTGGAGAGGGTTGGGGACGTTAAGGGTCGGGGTCTTGGTACTGGTGGGTGAAATGGGTCCGGGCTACCTGTTGCTGCGGAGTCCTAACAGAACCGCTACAGGAATGGGCCCACCCTACCTAAGAAAAACTGAGGGCTGGAGCACGGGTTAGCCTGGCTCGACCTCTGAGCTAGGGAGGGATGTCAGGGCTGGAGGCAGGTTCTCCCGGAGGCTGCTCAGTGGTGTGCGATGCTAGAGGAGGGTTCCAGGCCTTGGCTCAACTTGGCCACTATCTCCCGGGGTGACCGCGGTCAAGATCCTGCTCCTTTCTGCGAGCTGGTTTCACACTCTTAACCTGATGCAAAGCGCCGAGAGCTGCTGGGGAATGATATCACTAACCCAAAGCTTTGGTCCTTAGGGGTAGAAGACATGTGCCAAGGAGGGGCGTGTAGACACCGTTAAGACTGGGCCTTCAATCAGAATTTTTATTTTTCATCTCTGCCACTTTCTACCTATATGATCAAGTAGATTGTCTCGGCATGTCTGAGCTTCAGTTTGCTCATGCACATAAGTGTAATGAGAAAAAATATGTGTACCTTGTAATGAGGTTTCTGGCAAGTAATGGATGTTCAGTAATTGTTAGATGTGTATTGTTGCAGAAAGACTTCCAAGTCTGTTACTAAGCACCTGTAACAGATGAAGCAAAGTTATCAGGCCCCGCAAGTTGCTCTCTACAGTTTATAATCCCCATCTTCCATTTGAGGGAGAACTAGATGCTATATATAAAACTTGCAACCACATTGGTTTGCTTGATCAAACAAACATACCTGGCTGGGTGTGGTGGGACACGCCTGTGGTCCCAGCACTTTGGGAGGCTGAGGCAGGGGGATCACTTGAGGCCAAGAGTTGAAGACCAACTTGGGCAACAACATAGCGAGACCCTGTCTCTACAAAAACTGGAAAAAAAAAAAAAGAATTAGCCAGGTGTGGTGGCACACACCTGTAGTCTCAGCTACTCAGGAGACTGAGGTGGGAGGATCACTTGAAACCAGGAGGTCGAAGTTGCAGTGAGCTATGATTGTGCCACTGCACTCCAGCCAGGGCAACAGAGCAAAACCCAGTATCAAAACAAACAAACAAACAACAAAAAAAAAAAACTTGTAACCACCTTGCATCAAACATTCTCAGGGAAGTACAAGAAAGCTGGAATTAAATTTACAGAGTATAGTGTAAATTACATTTTCTAGCTATTTAGCTCATAAACCAGGCCTTAGTAGTCCCATTCTTATTCCATTCACACCTGTACTCTGTCCCCAGTGCCATGGTTTTCTTCTTTCAAAAAATTAAGAAACAGAAGTGTGGAATTTATTTTAGAGGTTGAAACTTTATTGACCAATGTATATTTTGAGTTTAAAGGAAAAACTTGTATTTTATCAGTTCAGGACACCATCGATTATGTGACACATTATAATTTCATATTAAAATGTGAAGAATCTTTTTAAACATCTTACAGTTAACAAAACCTATTTCTAACCATCTACATCCTAGACAGCTATATCATATAACTTTTAATGAGTTACCTTGTTAGCAAGTGCTCAAGCTTCTAACTTGGGGTATTTTAAACCAATGCAACTCAAAATGTGATTCACTGACCTGCAGTAGTATCTGGGAATATGTTAAACACTCAGGATCTAGGGTAGGAGACCAATAATCTGCATTTTAATAAGATCCCAGAGATTTTTACACACGTTAAATTTTGAGAAGCATTCTTTTTAAACCATGTGCTTGGAACTTCTAGCATAGATGTGGCCAGAGGGTGGGATAAGAGGCATCCAAGAAAGCTTTGCTCTTAATACCAACCTCATCTTCTCCTATCTCTGAATAAGCAGTTGTTCTGCTATAAGTGTAGAAGTGTAGTTATTTTCTTTTCTTTTCTTTTCTTTTTTTTTTTTTTTTTTTTTTGAGACAGAGTCTCACTCTGTCACCCAGGCTGGAGTGCAATGGCACGATCTTGGCGCATTGCAGCCTCTGCCTCCCAGGTTCCAGCGATTCTCCTGCCTCAATCTCCCATGTAGCTGGGAATACAAGTGCAAGCCACCATCCCCGGCTAATTTTTGTATTTTTAGTAGAGACGGGGTTTCACCATGTTGGCCAGGCCGGTCTTGAACTCCTGACCTTGGGTCAGGATCCGCCCGCCTTGGCCTCCCAAAGTGCTAGGACTACAGGTATGAGCCACTGCGCCTAGTGGCGTAGTTATTTTCATAGTTAGAAAAGTCTTGGGTCTTACAGCCATACCCAACAAGAATTGATCATTTCTTTTTTTTAATCCCCCAGGTGTGATCTACCATGCATTGTCTCAGAAAGAGGCGAATGACTCCGATGTCCAGGTCAGTTCTTGGCAGGGAGTCCAGGAGCAACAGAGGTGATGGCAAAGATGGCTCAGTAGCTTCTGAGCCCCCAGCACTGATTGAGATGTCCTTTCCCACATCATACTCCTCATTTTTCTGGCAGACATCTAAGGCTGGATCAAAGTCTGTAGTTCTCATTACCTGTTCCCACGTGCCAGCCTCCTTTTCTGTTGTGCCAAAGTCAAGTTTGGTAAAATGAGGCTTTCCTTAACCTTTTATCATTTCCCACTGTGTTGGGGACACCAGGCTGTGCCCACGTGGTGGGCAGCATCATTCAACCTTGTCACTGTGCCCTCTGCACTTCTGCAGAAGGTGTGCAATCACATATCATAAGTGAAATTTACAGATTATATCTGAATGCCTCGGCCTGCTTTGTCAGTTTTGCAAAAGTTCCTCTTGTGGCTCATAATGAGAGCATTACCTTGAAAGCAAGATTTTGAAAGACCAGTATACCTTTATTTTGCTTCTCCATGAAAGATGAGCCACTCAGGTATTTAAGAGAATCAGATCATTGTCCTATTATAGTCACAATGACGAGAGTGAATTAATTTTTAGTTAGCATCTACAGGTGCAAAGCTGAAGCAGAGTTCCCACCATCATACTGTGAGCTCCCTCGAAGGCTATATGTACCCTATCTTCCCATCCCCATTGCTCTCCCACAGAAGGAAGGCTGCGTTACTATTGACAGATCAGCATCAGTCTGTCAGCCTCAGTCTTAGCATTTAGCACCTGGCTAGTGCAAAAAGAGCTCAGGAAACAGCCCAGCCAGGAGACAGGCCCTCAGGAGAGAGAACTGCCCAGGTCTGTGGCAGGCATGAGGGCAGTGGCATTGCCACCAAATGAGGAATCCGTTATTGGAACTCCAACCTGAGAGGTAGTGAGCTTGGAGGGTTTCTTTGTTTGTTTGTTTGTTTGTTTGTTTGTTTGAGAATTGCACACAATTACGACAGTCATTTTTCCCAGAAGTCCTCTCTAAGAGCCTGTGCTCATTCATGGTAAGTTGACGCCCTGCTCTCAGTGACACCCTTCAGAGAGAGCGAGCCTGGGGCCTGAGATGCTCTCGACGGTACCTTCCTCCAAGTGATGGTCTGCGGGGCGGGAGCGGACCTTTTGGAGAGTGGCCACACCATGCCCACAGAGCTGGAAACCCGGTTAAGGAGTATTGTCCTAAGGGCACAGTGTCAGGGTCCCTGCGCCCTGAGGCTTGGCCGACCCTGGAGCCCTAGTTTTGCTGTTTTCTGTAGTGTTAGGATCACTTCCTCCATAGCTTAGTGCTACTCTGAGCTCACTTTCATCTGGTCATGCCTGGTTGAATATATTTGTTATACATTTCTCAAGCTTTCTCTTCTGCCAAGGATGAGAGAATTCTTCTTCAAGATAGAAAGGTTTTGGTCCTTTCAGAATAACCTCAGAAAAGCAGGGCCAGAGCAGGAAGTGAGCGTTTGACACGCTGTTGTGTGTGACAAACGGTCATGAATTGGTGTGTGAGTGTGACTTACATCTCGGCAGCTGTGGGTAGCAGATGCATGGCGGATGAGCAGGTTGAGAGCCTCAGTAGGTAAAGGGATGGGCCCCATTTGCTCTTGCAGTAGCTGCCGGGAATGGCGGGCGGGATGCCTGGGATCCTGGGCTGCCCAGACCGGAGCAGTGAGCGCCGCACCCCCTTGTCCGCCTGCAGCCTTCAGGAGCACAGCGGGCCGAGGCCTTCGTGAGGGCCTTCCTGAAGCGCAGCACGCCCCGCATGAGCCCGCAGGCCCGCGAGGACCAGCTGCAGCGCAAGGCGGTGGTCCTGGAGTACTTCACCCGCCACAAGCGCAAGGAGAAGAAGAAGAAAGCCAAAGGCCTCTCTGCCAGGCAAAGGAGGGAGCTGCGGCTCTTTGACATTAAACCAGAGCAGCAGAGGTAACCCGAGCTCCCCACGTCTTTCTGCCCGCGGTGCTTACCCTTCTTGGTGTGTGAACTTGGCTGAGTGGCTGGGGAGGCAGCCTGGCTCCACCTAAGCTAAGGGGGCCTCTCTGTCGTCTGCCACAAGAGGGCAGCCTTCCTTTACCAATCTGGGCTGTGTTCAGCGAGGCGGGTGAGACAGGACTCATTGTCTGGCCTCTCTCCTCACCTTCAGGAGTAAGACCCGTGCAAGTACATCTGTTGCCCATGGCAACAGGCTGTTTGTCCTTCGGCTTTGTTAGACAGAAAAGAGGAACTGATATGTTTTTAGTGTGTATTACTTTGTAGCTTTTGATAGAGCCAGACAGTCACCCACTCGGGTTTCATTGCCAAAGCAAGATGTTGCCCACACGTTTCAGAAGTTTCCAAAAGGAATGCATCACTGTCCTGTCCTGTGGGAGGATGTCTTCCTCCAGCCGACCCGCCATCCCTCCTTGGTGACGGGTCTGAGTGTGGGTGTCTTGGGGCTGTCTGTAGGCTTTTGCTTGGAGATCAACGGCCAAATAGCCTCCCACGCTCCAGAAGACGCTTAAAGTATGCCATGCTGTTCCCGGCCCCACTCAGGAGATCAGCTGGGCCTCAGGTGGAGAAGGGGCTGCTGCCTCCCAGGGTTTGCCTCCCGGGTGGAGCCCAGGTTGGGTTTGAGCTTAAGGTCCTCATTTCTCTAACCTAAGGCTTTGTGGTAACGGATTCCCCACAGGATATCAAGACTGGAGATAATGGCCCAGAAGAACGCTGTTGGGGTCCTTGCCCCTGCTCCCCGCTTCTTCTCCCCACCACTTGCTTGCCCACCTTCCAGACCAGCCTGCTGCCTCACATGAGGACCTGCGTGACAACCAGCAACCCCTGCTTTACTGGGGGCTTACTAGGTTCAATTTCACGTAACAGAAAACCTCAAAATAACAGTAGCTTCAACAAGACTCACGTTTATTTCTCTCTCATGAAAAGAAGTCCAGGTGGACACCGCCCTGGGCTGGTGTGGTCCTACCAATGAGGAAACTGAGGTTAGAGAGGTGTAGGTTCTTGGTCTCGGTTATCAGCTCAATTGCTCATCGTCGGATTTGCACATAGTTCCTAATGATCCCAGGTTGCAGTTGTTGGCATCAAGTCAAGCTCTGTGCTATTTGGACATTGTCATCCCAAGCTCATGTTGTCTAACTTTTTCCCTGTTTCTGACTTTGCTGCAGATACAGCCTTTTCCTCCCTCTCCATGAACTCTGGAAACAGTACATCAGGGACCTGTGCAGTGGGCTCAAGCCAGACACGTAAGTTGCATTCCTGAAGCTTTGCTCTTTGGGGTGGATCTCAAGCCTCTGATCATTGTAAATGCGGCTTCAGGAACCAGCGTTGGTATTGCCTGGCTGCAGACGGTTAAAGACCTAGTTGCTTCTTTTGGAACTTTTTATCATGATGTAAACCAAGGGCTTCTGTTTACCCTGCAGGCAGCCACAGATGATTCAGGCCAAGCTCTTAAAGGCAGATCTTCACGGGGCTATTATTTCAGGTAATTTACCTAAGAGCGTGTAGCACATGGCCATCCAGAGGTTCACTCTGTCACTCTGTGGAGACCCAGGGCGTGTGTTCTGTTGGACACACTCTTTACCGTGTGGATTCCCTGAGATGGCCCCCAGTCACCATCATCCCCACGCTAAGGGTGGGAGATGCTTCTCGCTGGCTGTCTTAGCCAGTCCGGCCATTTGCTGGACACACCCTAAGTGGTCTCTGTGTACCTTCTCCACACAGGGACCCCTGTTGGTACCCTAAAGGGCACAGTGGCTGCGAGCACTCACCCACGGCCTGGGATCTTGAACACAGAATCCCTTTCATCCAATGCTGTGGTTTCAAATGTCAGCTACACCTGACAGCCCCCAAGGTGACATCTCCAGCGTAGGCCTGTCCCCTGAACTCCAGGCTCAGGCATCCAGCTGCCCACTTGACATAGCCACCTGGATGTTCAGGGGGCATCTCAGACTTTACATAGCCAAAGCTGCCACCGATTCTCCTCACAGCAACCCCTCCTGGTCTTTTCCATCTCAGTTAATTACTCAGTTATTTACACTGGTTGTTCAGACCAAAAACCTAAACAGTGTCTATGTTTCTTCTTTCCTAATCTCCTCGAATCCTTCGGAACATCCTACTACTTAAATTCAGCCACTGTCATTCCCCAGATTACCTCAGACACAGCTCCTCACCGCACCAGGCAGCCAGAGTGCCGGTTACGTAGAAATCAGAGCACGTTCCTTCCCTGCTTCAAGTCTTCTGGCAGCGTCCCATCGTATGGGAGTAAACCTGCCTCCTTGCTGTGGTCTAAGGCCTCCCCGCTCCCTGGGGCAGCAGGCCTCCCACACTGCCTTCCTCCTGCCCTGCCTCAGGGCTTCGCCTCTGCTCCTTACCTCTACCCGGGAGTTCTCCTGTGTGTGCACAGTCCAGCTTCTCATTGTTCAGCCCTGCTCCAATGCCACTCCCCTCAGGGTCTACCATTGCAAACCATGACCCTCCACACATTGCCCTGTCCCTACTCTTCATAGCACTCGTTGCTGTCAGAAAGTAGAATGGTGTGGTTCACCGTGCATCACCCTGCCTTGCTAGAACCCGGGCTCCGTGAGAGTAGGATCCAGGACCGCCTCTTTCCGTGCTGTGTCCCTGGCATCTCCTGAGGATGGTGCAGGCATTCCACAGCTGCTTGGTGACTCTGTCCGCTACACTGAGGCTCGGGTCAGGACGAGGGAGGGGCTGCTGCTTGTGATGGTGGCTCATCTCGCAGTGCTGGCTGCTGGGCAGCTCTGCAGCCACACTCACGTTCCAGCCAGCATCCTGGGCAGTGCATGGTGGTGTTTGTGCAGATCCTGCAAGGGAGACCTGGCTGCATCAGAGCAGCCAGCCCGTGGGCCCTGATGGTGCTGGGCACATATGTGACCTTTAATTCCAGAATCCTGCCCAAGACCCCTGTGGCCACAGACCCTCCGAAGGACACCTCATAGGAACAGTCCAGAGGCTGCAAAGCCCCAGGGGAAGCCTGGATTCTTGTTGGTTACATCAGGGCCCAGCTGTTGAGCCCCCACCCCCTGGGTGCTCTGTTCTTTCATCTGCTAGCTCAGAGGGTGGGATCAGCACCCCCAACCCCTGAGGCCTGCTTCTCTGTGGTTCCCCCAGCACCACAGAGGCCTGAGCCTGGAACTGTCCTTTTTCTTTGCAGTGACAAAATCCAAATGCCCCTCTTATGTGGGTATTACAGGAATCCTTCTACAGGAAACAAAGCACATTTTCAAAATTATCACCAAAGAAGACCGCCTGAAAGGTATGTAGGTGTTTCTGAGGGCATTGCTTGCGGGCTGTGGCTCCCAGCTACTGCGTTAGCCTTTTCCTCAAGGCTCCAAGAGTTTGATTTGACCCCTCAAGTCAGCGCAGATTGCAGATACTTGCTGAACCTGCATTAAAGCCTGCAGAGACCATCCCCTGCACCCGTGGCTCCCCCAAGAGGTGTGTGTCAGTGCAGCCTGCAACCCCGGCCAGAAATGGCCAAGGGGAAGGAAGACCTGCTCGGCTGTGCCTCAGGGGACCTGGGTCTGTTTAGGCCCCAGGAGAGGGCCTCCACCTGCCCCAAAGGCTGCTGCTCCCAGAGGAATGTAGCCAAACAGGCAGCAGGGTAGAAACAGGAGTGGCGCCTGTCCCTGGAGTTCTGAGCTGTGTCCTTGGCGATAACACTTGGGTTCCATCCGTGGCCAGCATTGCTCTAGCAGATACTTTGGGTCAGCCAGGATTTCTACACCCCGCCTTACCCACAAATCCAGAGATATCAAACCATAGTTAGAAGGTTTTGTTCCTTTAATTTTTCTTTTTTTTTTTTTTGGAGACAGTCTCACTCTTCCACCCAGGCTGGAGTGCAGTGGCACAATCTCGACTCACTGCAGCCTCCACTCCCGGATTCAAGGGATTCTTCTGCCTCAGCCTCCCAAGTAGCTGGGATTACAGGCACGCGCCACCACGCCCGGCTAATTTTTGTATTTTTAGTAGAGGCAGGGTTTCACCATGTTGGACAGGCTGGTCTCAAACTCCTGAACTCAAGTAATTCACCTGCCTCAGCCTCCTAAAGTGCTGGGATTATAGGTGTGAGCCACCGCGCCCAGCCTTCTTCCTTTAATTTTTGAGCTTGGTTTTTCTTGTTGCTTCCCTTATTTTCCTACATATCCTTCTACCTCACATTGTAAACCTCGGAAAGTGGTGTAATAGTTTCTCCACAGAGCATAAGGCCAGGAGCCCATCTGAAAGTTAATGTGGGAAAACCAGTTTCTGGCAGGTGTTCTGGGACTTTCTGGTTCTGGGAATTTGGTGTATAGCCTTTGACCCTGAAGATTAGGTGCCAAGCTACATTTAGCATGTGACTAGATTGACCTGTGGCAGAATAACCACAGGCAACCCTAATGCCCCTCCCCTTGTGGGTTTCCCGTTTCCTATTAGCTTATTTTTTTCATTCAATGTGTTCTGAATAATATTCTACCTAAAAGTAAAATATTAATAAATATTTTTCCTCATCTTTTTTTCTCCTGCCTTTTTTTTTTTTTTTTTCAGTTATCCCCAAGCTAAACTGCGTGTTCACTGTGGAAACCGATGGCTTTATTTCCTACATTTACGGGAGCAAATTCCAGCTTCGGTCAAGTGAACGGTCTGCGAAGAAGTTCAAAGCGAAGGGAACGATTGACCTGTGAATTCTTTGCCGTCTAAGGCAGTTGTTTATGACAGCTGAAAACTGGACACTCCCTAAATGTCCACCTTTCAGTGAAGAGATAGTTAAGCCAATTCCATTTATAGACCACCTCCAGCCAGTGACGCTCCGAGTTGAGGATGTTGAACAACATGGGAAGGTCGCAGCGTACTAAGTGAAGAAGTCAGAGGACAGAGGAATTTCTCTTTCTAGGAGATTTTCATTTTGTGTGACTCCCATGGGGAGGAACAGACTGGCAGGAAGCACACCGGGGTTAACACTGGTTGACTTGAATAGGATTATTCGATTTTTAAAAATACTTTTCCATGTTTTCTGAGTGCTCTATGATAAATCAGTTGCATCTGTGATAATACAGTACATATGTGGACATAAACAGGGATCAAATAAAGGAGGTATTGCTGCAGTCCAGCCAGGTTGAAAGGGAAGGGGGGTCCCCAAAGGTCCATTGGATGGCAGGTGTCTACAGAGGCTCGCCTTTGGGTGGAACTCTGACCCACCTAAGGTTTACTTTGCTATTTCAGGAAGGTTGAAGAGGATTGAAGGGTGAGTTGCTAAGTGACTTAGGGTTTATTCACTTCAGGAATCATAGCTGGGGTGGACCCCAGGAGCAGAGTACTGCATGCAGCTGTGCCCATGCATGGTTGCCCCAGCGTAGTGAGATGGGACCTGCCGCAGCATGCCCACTCCTGAGCTGCCAGGCTGAGCCATGGAGGACTGAAAGGAGGTCGCCCGGCATCACCTCCCGAGGTGAGACCTGCTGCAAAAGCCAAGCCAGCAGCATTGACGCCCTTTGATATCTTCGCCATTTTTGCTGCTGAAAGACTTGGCTTTTCAGTCTGACCCTGGCCCTCTGTGACCATGTGTCTGTAAAGCCAGTGGGTCAGGCCCTTCCATGCAGGGCCAGAGGAAAAGCGGGCCCAGGGCTGCAGTGAGAGCGGGGCAGGGGACCAGCCTACCAGATGGGTTGGAAACATGGCTCAGAAGGACCAACTACCCCTTCCCTTTGAGGAGCAAGTCTCTGCCGATCAGCAAGGCAAGGCCAGGAGCCCTCCTGGCGAAAGGCAGGCCACAAATCTGTTCTCCCCCAGGAGAAGTAGCAGTGCCAGGGCTTTGCGTTTCTGGTAACTTCCACCCAAACCACACCAGAGAGAAACACCGTAGTGGAGAAGGGAAGTGGGAGCGCTGACTGCTGTGTGCCAGGAGAGTAGAAAGGCCCAGGTCTGTGCCACCACCCCTCCCCAAAGCTCAGTGCACCCAGAGTCTCACAGGGACCAACACGGTGCCTCGGTCCTGCTTCCATCCATGCAAGTGTCCTCCGCTCACCAGGGTGTTCTGAGGCAGCTCAAGTGCTCTCCCCCAAGCAGCACGCAGTCACCGCTGCCAGTGATGAACACACGCACGGGCTAGGCACATGGAGCCCAAGCACACTGCCACCTCGGACACGGGCCCCGGCCCAGCGACTGCCTTGTGGTGTGGCCGTCCTCATCTGCCACAGGAAGACAGACTTCGAGGGACCTCTTGCCTAAGGCCTCGCTGACTCAAGGGTAGATTGAGATTTGGACCTAATAGGCTCCAGAACTGTGCTTTGAGCTACAGGGTGGCTGCAGGATGAGACGGATGCAGTTCAAAGTGCAGGATGTGCTGCCTTTATTACCTGCTTTCCCGCTGAGCAAATCCCTGTCTTGAGTGGGAAGTGGCATCTATTCCCCCAGCCATCTGAAAATGCTGTGTTCATAACCAAATAGGTGCTGTAGCTTCCTAGCCATCCCGCTCTTACCCGCCCCTCTGCAATGTAAAAGGCGTCCACTGTTGTGTAAATACACAGTTGCTTTCCAGAAAAGTTGTAGGTACCACTTGCCATGTGAAATCTGTTTTTCATTTAGCTCAGACTCAAGTTTCTGTGTGAGTGGCGGTTTAATTTGTAGATACCTCTCCCTCTCCCCCAAGGAGACATGGTGAGGGTGCTCACCGGCCACTAAGCTGCCGCTGTGCCTGCCTGTTTCTAGGATACACTGTTGCCCTCATGGCCCACCCAGGGGTCATATCTCCCAGGTAGAGGAGGGAAAGGGGAGGGCCCAGCTGGGCGGGACATGGTTCCTGATGAGGAACAGCTGCAGAAAGCATGATCTGAGGCCCAGGGGCCGTGGCAGGGGCCAGGGCTGCCATGTCTCCACAGGCTGCGGCACAGCTTGTCATGGAGGGTAATGTGGTGCTTTTTGGCCCGATCTCTCCCATGTCCACTGTCCAAGGAGCAGGACCCTGGCAGAGCTGAGGCCTTGGCCATGTGGTCCCACGGGAGACAGAGCCACATTCGACTTGTGTAAGCCTCCATGCACCAGAGAAAGTGCCAAAGAGGAGAGAGTGGTTAGCAACTCAGGACAGGACCCAGAGGCTGCAGGACTGGGAGACATCAGCCCAGCGACCCACTGCTCAAAGAGTGGGGCCCAGGGGCCCTTTACATCTTCCCAGTGCCCAGCTGCCACACAGGGTCTGCAGAGGATAGGCCAGAGCCTCGGGGGAAAGGATGAGGTTCTTGGAGGAGAAAGGACAGCGAAAGGACAGCGTGGGCCATGGCTGATGTATCCATCTGCTCTAATCTTCATAACAAAATGCCACACACTGGGGCTGCAGCATTTTCTCACAGCTCTTGAGGCTGGAAGCCAAAGATCAAGGTGCTGGCAGGGCTGGTTTCTGGAGAGGCCTCTCCCTTCTTGTCCTCACATGGCCTTTCCTCCCTGTGTGCAAGGAAAGTGATCCCTCGGGTCTTTTCCTTGTAGAAGGACGCCAGTCCTATTGGATCAGGCCGTGTTCTTATGAACTCGTGAAAGTCTCCAGACAGTCACAGTGGGGGCAAGGGCTTTATCATATGAATTTGGAGACCCAAGTCAGTCCACAGCCACCCCGAAGCTTTCCCAGCCAGGACAGCCTGGTTGTGCCTCCCAGAAAGACTCCAACAGCTACCTGACTCCCAACCTCAGACACTAGCCAGGCCTTCTCTTTCCCCCATATGGGCTGCTTGGACCACTAGCCAGTCCAGCCAGCCCCAATGCTGGCCCCTGAGCTGCCATCACCACTGGATTCTGTGACATGCTCATACAGGAACTTGGGTCCAGGGCTGCTCCCTCCAGTACCCGGGGCCCCTGAGCTGCCCAGTTCCCCTTCACTTTTGCAAACAGCTGAACTCCTCCTCCCGCTGGGGCCAGGCACAGTCTGGATGGGGGAGGAAATGCGTGTGCAGGTGGGCAGGATGGGCAGAGAAGTCTCCCTGGAGCAGGGGCTCCGGCTCTAGGCAGCTGTGGGTGTGAAGAGTGTATTCACACCAAGGCTCAGGGCAGGAGCCCGCAGAAGCATTGTGGAGGACCCAGGAAGGCAGGGGAAGCCTGCGAGGGTCTGCCCCCTGGGCTCAGGCAGGCAGGAGGAGAGGCCGGAAGGGGTATATGGCTGCCAGGAGTGGAGAGATGGCAGAGATGCTGGAAAAGCCCTAATCCATGGGGCAGGAGGTGGAGTTCTGCTGATCCATTCACGCAGTTCTGAAGTCTTGGGGACCTTGGTGCCGCCATCTGTCAAGTGGGGCCATTAGACTAGACCCAGCGTTCCTGGAATGGCATCCTGGAACTTCCCATATCAGAGTTAGTGGGTGCACATTCAGAGCAGCCAGACCCTGGGCTGCACCTCAGACCTACTGAATCAGCCTCTGGCGGCGGGACCCAGATAGCTGTGTGTTTACCTAAGACCCCAGCTGATCACTGATGTTTGAGGACGCTGGGCTCCAGATGGTGTCTAAAGTCTCTTCCAGCTCTGAGGTCTGGACTGTGATTTCAGACTTGGGACTCTCAGGCCAACGTTTTCTGGAGGCTGGGAAAGATCATCAAATGACTGATCTCCCAGGTTCCAAAGAGTAAACAGGAACATCCCTCCACAAAGCCGTAAATTCTGGTAAAAAAGCTCGCTTTCTGGACAATGGCTTTAGCTTTAATTTAGTTTGCATTTCTTAGCTATAATGTCTAATTAAGACATCTGTTAAATGTCTACAATATTAATAGAAGGGGTTCTAATAGAACTGTATTGGAATTGTCCATTTAATTAACCTCGTGAGCCTTTAATGGATGTCTTAAATAGACATCATTAACAAGAGTGCTAGACAAATTAAAATTAGAGTCAATAACATTCTTGGTAATTTTTCCTGAGCTGTAAAGGACAAGCCTTGCTAACTAGACAGGCGCAGAGATAGGCTGTGTTCACAGGAGGGTGGGCGCTGCTGTCCTAGAGGGCATCTGAAATGGACAGGCCCCAAGTGGGATTCAGCTATTCTGTGTCTTGGTCCACTTTGCCCATAAAAGATAACCTCCAGCCATAGGAGGCAGGTCTCAGGAGCAAAGACCTGCCCTTCCCTATGCCTTTTACAGAAAACGTTTGCTGGGCCAGGCGTGGTGGCTCACGTGAGCCTATAATCCCAGCACTTTGGGAGACTGAGGCAAGAGGATTGCTTGAGTCTGGGAGTTTGAGACCAGCCTGGGCAACATAGCAAGACCCCATGTCTACAAAAAAAAATTTAAAAGTTGAGCTACACATGGTGGCATATGCCTATAATCCCAGCTACTCAGGAGGCTGAGGTGGGAAGATCACTTGAGCCCAAGAGGTTGAGGTTGCAGTAAGCCATGATTGTGCCACTGCACTCCAGCCTGGATGACAGATGAGACCCTATCTCTAAAAAAAAACAAGAAAGAAAGAAAAAGAAAAAGTGGCCTGATCCATCAGAGCTCCTGGAGGAGGGACTGGCTTAGGAGGGAGATGGAGGAGGATATAGGACCTCACCCAGAGACTCACAAAACGCCAGATAGATGCACAGACTGGGTGAAATGCAACAGACTGGGATAGGGAAGGATTTCCTGGGACAGGCCGGGAGCAGGATGAAATGGAAAACATTCCATTCTTTTGCCTCCACCGCCCCACTAAGCCACTCTCACTCAAGTGACTGCGTCTCTCCAGAGCCAGTGGTCGGTTCTCCGCCTCTGCCTTGCCTGGCCTCTCATCGGCATTTAACAGGTCATCCCTTCCTTCCTCCTGGAACACCTCTTATCCCCACACTCCCAACTTTCCTCCTGCCTCCCTGGCTACTCCCTCTCACTGTCCTTTGGGAGCTCCTCTGCAGAACTTCTCAGTGTTAGAATGCCCTGAGCTCTGCCTTTGGACTTCTTTCCCCATTCCCTCCATAGCTGTCTCGTCCACCACTTCAGATCCACCAGACCCACATGTGTAACTTGGTTTACCATCTGCCTCCTGCCAGCTAGAACGGAAGTTCCTAAGGACAGGACTGTTTTCCTCACTGCCATACCCTCACTCATCCAGAGTGTATCTGACTGTATTCAGTGTTCTGTGACTGTTGAGGAAATGAGAAAGCTGCCCACCAGGCTCCACCTGGAGATCTAACAGGCAGCCCAGCATGGTGGGCTGCACACAGCATGACGGACTTCCCTTCTCTTCCCTTCCTTCCACCCGCGCTTCTGCGGAGGCCCCTCGCCTCTTGGATGCTCACACGGGAAACCAAGGAGCCATCCTGATTCCTCCCTTGCTTTCACGCCCCCACCAACCTTTCATCACGACATGGTGGCCCTCCTTGCAACCCTCCCACCACCTGCTGCTCCAGCCCCCTTCCACCCACCTGCCAGCACCCAGCCACAGCCACAGCCCCCCGCTGGCCTCCCTGCATCCACGCCTGGCCTCACTGTAGCCCGGGTGACCTTTGTGAAACATGACTCGGGGTGCCTCTCCCGCTGAAAACCCACAAGCGACTTCCTGCTGCACGCAGAATGAGAGCCAGCCCCTGATCGGCATCATCAAGGCCCTTCCAGATCAGACCCCAGCCCACCCCTGCCATCGTGGTCCACCTTCCCGCTGCACCCTGTGCCTCTCTACACCCCCAAGCATGCGATTGTCCCCGTGCACATCTGTGCCTGCCATTCCTTCCTCTCGAGCTTTCTCCTGACCCCTCAATCTGCAGGCAGCCTCCCTGCGTTCAGCTCTGCACACAGGGAAGGCCCCATCATCCTAGCTCTGCAGCCCCCACCCCAACCAGTCACTCTGTCACATTACTCTGTCTGATATTTCCTTTTCCTTTTTTTTTGAGACAGGGTCTCGCTCTGTCACCCAGGCTGGAGTGCAGTGGTGTGATCATAGCTCACTTCAGCCTCAACCTCCCTGACTTAAGCGATCCTCGCACCTCAACCCCTCAAGTAGATGGGACCAGAGGTACATGCCACCATGCCTGGCTAATTTTTGTTTGCTTGTTTTTTTGAAGAGCTGGGGGTCTTGCTGTGTTGCCCAGGCTGGTCTCAAACTCCTGGCCTTAAGCAATCCTCCTGCCTCAGCCTCCCGAAGCGCTAGAATTACAAGCGCGAGCCACTGCATCCAGCAGTCTTATGTTTTGTGTACCACTTCTCAGTCCCCAGTGCAACCATATCTGCCTGTTTCATATCATTTTCTTCCACTGGAATGTGAGCTGCTCGGACGCTGGGACACTGCCCATGGTGTTCGCCGCCATAACCATTGTAAGCCCCCTGCAGGGGAGAACACTGCCTTGCATATAATAAGTGCTCAGTAAATATTTGTTTTCTGACCCAAAAAGAAAAAATGAGCCCAGGATGTGCCTCTAATAATGTTGAATAAGGGTTGGCACACAGCAACTGCAAGTGGTGCTGGTCAGTGACCCCTGTCTGGGCCAGATGAGCCCGTGTGGCTTGCCCAGGGCAGGGCAGCTGCACATCCTGAGTCCAACGTGCCACCCCCCCTTCCTTGTCGGTGGGCACCCCTGGTAGCAGGAGCCGCGGGTGAGAAGGCAGCCCTGTGCCACTGGGCCCTGGCACCCCAGCTATGCAGACCGAGGAGGTTATGCTCCATCAACAGCTGTGACGTGCAGCAAGTGTGGCCCGCGCTTCTCTGCCCCTTTCAGTTTCCCCCATGAAGCCCCAGGGTCTGGCGGGAGCAGCTATGGCTGGCGCTGCATAGCCTGGCCTGGAGAGGCTGAGCCCAGCAGGAAACCCGAGTCAGGAAACCCAAGTTCAAGGCCCAAGTTCCCCGAGACCTTCGGTTCCAACCACAGAGAACGTGAAGAAAGGGAGTGTGGTGTTTATTGCAGGCACATTTAATCTACACAAATTAAACTGTATCCTCTACCAAAAGAGAGGGAGGGAGGGGAGGAAAGAGAAAGGACGCTGTAGAGAGTGCTGCCAGTGGCTCTGTCCTGCCTGTAGAGTGCTGCCAGTGGAGGCTCGCCTTGCAGCGAATGTGAGACGGAAAGCATCCTCAGTTGCCCTGCTCTCCCAAAAAAGTGTGCGATTATAATGCTTTGTATAAAAAAACACAGGCCCCAAACAGGTGCTGTGCCACAGGGGCTTGTGCTGGCTCATGAGAGCTGATGTGTGCACCTCCTGCAGACGGCACATTCATGCCGGCACCCTGCAACCCTCATGGTGGGAACATTTACACAGCAATTTACACTATGCTACAAACCAGGGCTTGTTACACATGTACCAGCATCCCATCACTGCCCTAAATGCAAGCTGGCTGCTCTGTGTGCAGAACAGGCTGTGTTAAGTCATCTTTAGGGGGCTACCTAGCCCCATGGAAGATGGGGCTCCGTGGCCTGGGAGCTGGAGACAGAGCGCTTGCTGGCTAAGGCAGGGGAGATTGCAAACAGAGGATGTGTGTTTTCTCAGGGCATATGTTATACTTCAATTTAAAATGTTTGTAGAAGAACCATTTGGACTATTATGTGGGTGCTTAATAAATATCTGAAATCATTTGAGCATCTCTCCAGCAGTCTCATTTCTTAATGGTAATGCCAGGCCAGGCATGATGGCTCATGTCTGTAATCTCAGCACTTTGGGAGGCCGAGGCGGGTGGATCACTTGAGGTTAGGAGTTCAAGGCTAGCCTGGCCAACATGGTGAAACCCGGTCTCTACTAAAAATACAAAAACAAGCTGGGCGTGGTGGCAGGCACCTGTAATCCCAGCTACTCAAGAGGCTGAGGCAGGAGGATTGCTTGAACCCAGGAGGCGGAGGTTGCAGTGAGCTGAGATAGCACCATTGCACTCCAGCATGGGGGACAGATCGAGACTCTGTCTCAAAAAAAATAAAAATGGTAATGCCCAGGTTACCCTAAGTGGCTCTTGCTTGAAAAATCACAGATTTAAAGCAAGGAAACCCACATTCCTAAGAAATGCAGTATGTCACCAAACTCACAATTTTAACAGCTCCCTCCTTTCAAAATACGGGCTCTTCCGCTACCCCAGAACTCCAGGGACCAAGTGCTCTGCAGCCCTGTCACTAGGGCGTGGTTGCCACAGCCCTCCTGGTCCCGCCCTGTGAGGTTTCCAATTGAGTAGTGAGAGAGTGAGTGGTGATGACAGGACCCTGGGGCCACAGGGTGCGGTGGGAGGGGAACAGGGCCTGTGGCAGAGGCCCCTGGCAGGTCTGAAAGTAGGCTGGCTTCCCTCAGGACCTGAACTTAAGACAAGCCGGAGGGCTGAGCTGGAGTCAGGCAGGCTGAGGCCTCCTGCAGAGGAGCTGGGGTAGGAAGTGGGGCCTGCAGGGGCATGGCGCTGAGGAGGCTGGAGGCTTCAGGCACCAGGCAGGGCAGCAGGAAGTGAGGAAGACTGGCAGTGAACTGGAGAGGCCAAGGGCCGGAAGACCAGCTAGGAGGTTGTGGCCGGTGCTAGACGTCTGCAGCTTAACCAGGGTGTCGGCCTTGGGGATGCACGGAAACAGGTTTGAGAGGTGCACACAGCACCCACGAACAGGGCCTCAGGGACACAGCCCCTCCAGCCTCGGTCTGGGTGTCTACTCACAGCCCAGTGCCCTGAAGGGTGGCAGCCCCACTAGGCGAGTGGAGATGGCTCCAGCCGTCCAAGCTGCTGAACAAGGGGCTGTGGACAAGGCCAGCGTGGCCAAGGAGGCAGGGGCTGCAGCTGAGGTCTTCTCAGGGGAAAAGGGAGCAGGCAGGTGGGGAGACACCCTTGGGCAGACAGAAATAAGGAGGAAGATGGCAGAGCTGGGTCGCAGGGGTGGGGAGCCGTGTGGGCATACCTCCGGGTGTTGGGCAGGCTGCAGCCTTGTCTGGCTTAGCTTTGTGAGTTCAGTCAAGGGTGAGCCTCCACCCATGCCTTGGCGTCCTCATCTGTAAAATGAGCATCAGGAATAAAGCACAGCCAATAAAGTTTGTGTGTGTGGTATCACCCAAAAACTCAGAGGGTTCTGACAGAATACAGTACCATCTTCCAAACATAGGGGTCGGGCATTCTCCCAAACTGTCCCCTTGGGCCAGGTGTGGTGCCTTATGCCTTTAATCCCAGCACTTTGGAAGGCTGAGGCAGGAGGATCACTTAAGCCTGGGAGGTTGAGGCTGTAGTGAGCTGTGATTGCACCACTGCACTCCAGCCTGGGTGACAGAGCAAGACCCTGTCTCTGAAAAAAAAAAAAAAAGAAAACCCACCCACCTGTCCCCTCCATGGCTGCATTCTCAGTAGGACCCCAGAATACCCCCAGGTAGTCAGCACTGGTGGCTGGCTGAGGACACTGAGATGAATTATCCCCGGATCACATGGCCAGTGGGTGAGTCACATGGCAAGTCCCCTCTCACCAAATCAGCTATTCTTCCAGAACTTGAGGAAGACTTCCTTTCACCATAAATGTAAAGCCCCGTTGCCTGCCAGGGTGGGAACAGGACTATTTTTTGCATGGCATGAACCCCTGCCAGCTCCTGCCTCCTGGCGGTGCTTGCCGCAGAATTTACAGAATAAAATAACTATTGAACACCCTATTATCCGGCTGCCTAATTAATGTAAATGATAGTTATGGTCCCCACACCGTGGCATATGTTTCTCGGAGGAGGCCCTGCCAGCCGCCTGGGCCCCATTCCAGGGGTTTTTATGGTAGCAGCCCCATTCTGGCTCCATTGAGTAAAAGGTAAGTTGTGGCCCTAAATAATGAAGACAGAAGAGCTAATGGGCTCGGTGAAGAAGGGCAGCTCAGGCGCTGGTCTCCGAATCAGGTGACAGACCCTGCACTAATGTGGCAGGCCAGGTCTCACTAACGCAGGCCTCTGTAACACCTGTTTCAGCATTGACTGAGTGGCGAAGTTAAATATTAAAAGCTGATAGAGCCAGTGCCCTATACAAAGGCTGGAGTGTAACAAAAGCCCACCAGGAGTTTTGCCCAGGCCTTTCCTGGGCCTTGAAGCATGACAAAGTAACAAAGGAATTAACAGGACCCATTTTAAGATTAAACAAGTTGTATCGGAGGCCTGAAGAAACTCCCCAGACCTCCACAAACAAGTTTACTGGGGATCTGAAGGAACTCCCCAAACCTCCATAATTTAGCAGGAGACAAAATAAGGGTAATCGCCCCAGCACCTGGACCCATTTAGATTAAGTAAATTTACTGAGGCTTCAGAGGAAGATCTTCAGGACTCAGATCTTAGTTCTAGATTAAAAGAAGTTGGGCTGGGCGCGGTGGCTCACGCCTCTAATCCCAGCACTTTGGGAGGCCGAGGTGGGTGGATCACGAGGTCAAGAGTTCGAAACCAGCCTGGCCAACATGGTAAAACTCCGTCTCTCCTAAGAATACAAAAATTAGCTGGTGTGGTGGCGTGCGCCTGTAATCCCAACTACTCAGGAGGCTGAGGCAGGAGAATCACTTGAACCCGGGAGGCGGAGGTTGCAGTGAGCTGAGATTGCACCACTGCACTCCAGCCTGGGTAACAGAGCAAGACTCCGTCTCAAAAAATAAATAAATAAGTTAATCACTTATGTCTTTAGATGAATGTACACTTACACATAAACATATAGCTTAGAAGGTATATAAACTCTGAAACCCGAATTTTGAGTTGGTCTGGTGACATTTCCTAGGCCTTCTTCCCCATAACTGGTTACAGAAATAAAAACTCCCTTCCTCCCCAGTTCATCTGCATCTCGTTACTGGGCCGTGAGAAATAGCAGCCCAACCCTCAATTTGGCCTGGAAACGCTAATAGACGGGGTCTTTCCTTGCAGACCCGAGTGCTCCACGGACCCCCGGTGCAACAGTCCCTAGGACTCTGGAACAGAGACACAGAGGAGGTGTTTCTCCCAGAGCGCTATACACAGAATAAAATCCTATGAGGCCCATGTGGCCTGGCCCCTGCCCTCCTCCAGCCTCACCTCATGCCAGGCAGCTGCCTCCTCTCCTCTGGCTCCCAGCGAGTGGCCCATCCTGGCCAGTCTTGCCCTGGCCTTCCCTAGTTTTAGCACAAACCAGAGCAGCTGGTCACCCTACTCCAGCCCCACCAGCTAGGCTTGGTCTCAGGGCATGGGCCCAGGATGGTCTTCCCCATTCTATGTGTCTTAGTGCACTGGGGCTGTTATAACAAAAATACCAAAGACTAGATGATGGATAAAGAATAGAAATTTATTATTCACAGTCCTGGAAGCTGGGAAGTCCAAGATCAAGGTTCTGGCAGATTTGGTGTCTATCAAGGGCTCCTTCCTCATAGACACGTCTCTTCTCACTGTGTCCCCACTGGGTGTGGCACACTGGGTGTGGCAGAAGGGATAAGAGAGCTCTCGGCCGAGCGTGGTGGCTCACGTCTATAATTCCAACACTTTGGGAGGCTGAGGCGGGTGGATCACCTGAGGTCAGGAGTTCGAGACCAGCCAGGCCAACATGATGAAACCCTATCTCTACTAAAAATACAAAAATTAGCCGGGAGTGGTGGGTGTGCCTGCGGTCTCAGCTACTTAGGAAGCTGAGGCAGGAGAATTGCTTAAACCTGGGAGGCAGAGGTTTCAGTGAGCCAAGATTGCCCCATTTCACTCCAGCCTAGGTGACAAGAGCAAAACTCCATCTAAAAATAAATAAATAAAATAAAATAAAGAGAGCTCTCTGTGGCCACATTTTTTTTTTTTTTTTGAGACAGAGTCTCACTCTGTTGCCCAGGCTAGAGTACAGAGATGCAATCTTGGCTCACTGCAACCTCTGCTTCCTGGGTTCCTGGGTTCAAGCGATTCTTGTGCCTCAGCCTCCCGAATAGCTGGGATTATGGGCATGCACCACCACACCTAGCTAATTTCGGTATTTTCTGTGGTGATGGGGTTTCGCCATGTTGCCCAGGCTGCTCTCAAACTCCTGACCTCAAGTGATCCGCCCACCTCGGCCTCCCAAAGTGTTGAGATTACAGGTGTGAGCCACTGCTCCCGGTCTGGCCTCTTTTATAGGGCGTTAATCCCTATAAACACTCCATCCTCAGGACCTAATCCCATCCCACAGCCCCCGCCTCTTAACAGCCTCACATTGGGCATTTGGTTCAATATATGAATTGGTGGTGGACACAAAATATTAAGTCGATAGCAGACTGTTAGCTCCTCAGGGGGCAGACCGATGTTTTAGGCCTTCCCAGACCACCCTAAGTCCACCAGTCACCATCTCCACAGTGCTGGAGAGAGAAGCTGACTCTGCATGGCTGGTCTGCTTCCGTCCTGTGGGAGGAGGCTGGGCCCTGCGTTGGCCGCCCACCCCAGCCCTCCCTCTGTCACAGTAGCACTTGCAGGAAGAGGTGGGGCTGGCCTTTCTTAGAAAGAGCCTGTGTCCAAGGCCAGGCACAGTGGCTCACGCCTGTAATCCCAGCACTTTGGGAGGCCGAGGTGGGCGGATCACCTGAGGTCAGGAGTTCAAGGCCAGCCTGGCCAACATGGCAAAACACCATCTCTACTAAAAATACAAAAAGAAGCCAGGCCTGGTGGTGGGCACCTGTAATCCCAGCTACTCGGGAGGTTAAGGCAGGAGAATCACTTGAACCCAGGAGGTGGAGGTTGCAGTAAGCTGGGACTGTGCCACTGCACTCTAGCCTGAGACAGAGTGTCCCTCTAGACAGAGGGAGACTCCATCTCAAAAAAAATAAAAATGAAAATAAAGCCAACAAAAAAGAAATAACCTATGTTCAACTCGGTGCTGCTCAATCCTGGCTACCTGTTACAATCACCTAGGGAGTTTTAAGAACACCAAAGCCCAGACTTCACCTCCCAAAGTTAATCCAGAATCCCTGGGGTGGGGCCTTGCCATCAGTATATACATATATAGACAGAGAGAGGGACAGGGTCTCACTCTGTCACCCAGGCTGGAGTGCAGTGGCGTGATCTCGGCTCACTGCAACCTAATCTTCCCGGGTTCAAGCGATTCTCGTGCCTCAGCCTCCCAAATAGCTGGGATTACAGGCATGTGCCACTACACCCAGCTAGTTTTTGTATTTTTAGTAGAGACGGGGTTTCGTCATGTTGCCCAGGCTGGTCTCAAACTCCTGACCTCAGGTGACCTGCCTGCCTCAGCCTCCCAAAGCGCTGGGATTACAGGTGTGAGCCACCGTGCCTGGCCAGCATCATATATTATCGGTGTATTTTTAATCTACGTGGCCTAGGGCAAGTCACCTCTGGGAGCCAGAGCTTCCTTGCTGTAGAATGAGGAGTATCCACCCTGTGCTGTGGGAGTAATGGGGGCCGGGCACAGGGTAAACACGTGCCATTTGCTGTCCTGGTGCTTTCTGTTGTTGAATGGACAGTTCAGAACCTCCAGAAATCACCCTGAGAATCTCAGGCTTTGTAACAGCAGTGTCTCACCCAGGTCTCCGAGGTGACCACGGCCACTCACAGGGCTGCAGGCTAGGCCAGGTGCCCCTCCACCAAGGACCCAGACACCAGGAGCCTGGATTTGCCACCACTTTCTATGCTGTGTTATAAACACAAACATGTGTCTGCCTCCTTGACTATAAGCTCTGATGAATTCGCCCCTGAGTCCCAGGCTCAGCGCAAAGGCCAGCTCGATGCAGGGGCTCGGAGAATGAGTAAGTGAATCAGTGAATGTGCCCGCAGCTGGTGTGATCAGGAACTTTTGGGTCATTTCAGGGCCGTCTCTGGGGCAGGATGGTGCTTCTGAGAAGGGTCCCTGGACCAACCCACCCAGGAGCCATCACAGGCCAGGTTTCTGTCCCAGCATGCCTTGCAGGGTGTGCCTCGGACTCACATTTCCATAGAAATGAAAAGTAAAATACCAAAGTGCATCGCACATGTGTCAGGTCGCTTCTATTTCCTCACATTTTATTTTAATTATATGTGAAAAATGGAGGTCTTGGCCAGGCGCGGTGGATCATGCCTGTAATCCCAGCACTTTGGGAGGCCAAACTGGATGGATCGGCTGAGGCCAGGAGTTCAAGACCAGCCTGGCCAACATGGTGAAACCCCATCACTTCTAAATGTACAAAAATTAGCCAGGCTAATTTTACAGGAACTTGTAATCCCAGCTACTCGGGAGGCCGAGGCAGAAGAATTGCTTGAACCTGGGAGGTGGAGGTTGCAGTGAGCTGAGATCATGCCATTGCACTCCAGCCTGGGTGACAAGAGCAAGACTCCATTTCAAAAAAAAAAAAAAGAAAAAGAAAAAAGAAAAATGAAGGTCTCTAGACAGCAAGGGGACTGCACTGGTCTATTCCAGGAAGCTCTGCAACAGCACCAGGCCTGAGGGACAGTGACAGGTAGATAAATAGAAAAATGCTGCTTAGGAGCAGGGTTGCAAGCCCACAGGATCAGATTGTCAAGTTTGGAGCTGAACTCCAGCCTAGGGGTATTTTTTGTTTTTTCATTTTCTTTTGAGACAGGGCCTGGCTCTGTTGCTCAACCTGGAGCGCAGTGACCCAATCATGGCTCACTGCAGCCTCAAACTCCTGGGCTCAAGCAATCCACCCTCCTCAGTCTCCCAAGTAGCTGGGACTACAGGCACACCTGGAAAATTATTTTATTTTTGTTAAAGAGGAGGTCTCTGTTGTGCAGGCTGTTCTCAAACCCCTGGGTTCAAGCGATCCTTCCACCTTTGTTTCCCAAAGCGCTGGGTTTACAGGTGTGAGTCACTGTGGCTGGCCCCAGCCCAGGTTTTCCTACTCCACTGCCTTGTACCTGGCTCACCCCCCTCTATAGAAGCCCATGATCTCTTCTGGTTCAGGAGCACCATGGTGGTGTGTGGCTTCTCTACACTGTGGTCCCATGTGGACACGTCTCAGAGCTGCCACTCCAGGAGACACTGACTTTGGCCTGTGGCCATCGAGTGCATCTGTTGGAAGGATTTTGTTTGCAAGTGACATAGAACCGAATGTAAACTGGCTAAACAAAAAGGGAATTCAATGAACCCCGTAATTGAAGGGTCAGAATAGAAAGTGCTACCTTCAGGAATGGTTTGATCCAGAGGATGAAACAGCATTCCAAGACTGCTTATTTCTCTCCATATCTGGCTCTGTGTTGCCTCCTTGCTCAGCAGGTTCTCTCTTCATAGTGGCAAGATGGTAGCCCCAGCCTCACATTCTCTCAGGCTAGCTGACAGCTGGCTGGGGAAAAGAGAAATGTTTTCTCCCGGTAGCCCTTCCTCCAGTGTCAGAATTTCTTCATGCTGGTTGGATCTTTATGATCAGTTCCGCATTCCTGCACTGCTGCTGGAGCCCCAGGGCACTGATTGGCCACATCTGCATCATAGGCTTCTGTTCTGGAAACAGAGTTCTGGAAAGTGAGTGTCAGGAAGGAGGCTGTTCCTCTAAAGGAAATCAAGGTACTTTTTTTTTTTTTGAGGTGGGGTCTCACTCTGTTTCCCAGGCTGGAGTGCAATGGCGTCATCTTGGCTTGCTGCAACCTCCGCCTCACAGGTTCAAGCAATCCTCATGCCTCAGCCTCCCAAGTAGCTGGAACTACAGGTGTGCACCACCATGCCTGGCTAATTTTTTTGTATTTTCAGTAGAGATGGGGTTTCACCACGTTGGCCAGGCTGGTCTCGAACTCCTAGCCTCAAGTGATCCATCCACCTCAGCCTCCCAAAGTGCTGGGATTACAGGTGTGAGCCACTGCACCGAGCCAAGGTGCTATTTTTTAAAAGGAGGGAGCTGGATGCTGGGTGGCAATAATAATAATAATGTATCCATTCCTCTGAGCTCCTGAAGTAACAGGTGCAGCCTAATGAGGGGTCCTTGGGGAGGATTGGTATTGTGTGGACCCACATGAGCTGCAGCTGCATTTCCCAGCATGTCCTTCCCTATGCAGTTCCCAGTTCGCATGGGTTGGGCCACAAGAGACATTCCCTGAGATTTGGGAGGCGGAAGTGACGCAGCAGCCATCTTCTCAGCATTCTGGAGGTCCAAGGCCTCCCTGGTACTCTGGGAGACTGCATAAAACACCCATTCCATGATCCCATCTGAGGTGAAGGAGTTGGGGTATTGATCCACCAGTGCCACTTGGTAGGGGCCATCCCAGAAGGTGTTAATCCCCTGGCATTTCCTGATGACCATGAGGTAGGCACAGTTGCACACTGGAGCTTTGCAGAATGCCCTCAGGTAAAAAGATGCAGAAACTTTAATTTGCAGGCTATGGGCAGGGCACCAGCAGTGCCTCCTACAGAGCACTGATTAAGTCACTACTGAGTGCTCTACAGGTAACCCCTTCAAATCTTAGCAACAGCTTCAAGAGGCAATTAGGAACATCCAGATTCACCCGTGAGCCTCAGGAGCTTGTCCCCCCCTGGGAAGATGGAACAGTAGGGATTTGAACCCAGGATGTCTGAGCCACTGCTTTCCCCAACAAAACTACACAAATTCAGTGGGGTCATTCCAGGCCACCACCAGGCCCTGCTAACTCCTCAAAGAAGAAAAGCCAGGCTGGGCGCAGTGGCTCACACCTGTAATCCCAGCACTTTGGGAGGCCGAGGTGGGTGGATCGCCTGAGGTCAGGAGTTTGAGAGCAGCCTGGCCAATATGGTGAAATCCCATCTCTACTAAAAATACAAAAATTACCTGGGCCTGGTGGTGGGCACCTGTAATCCCAGCTACTCAGGAGGCTGAGACAGGAGAATTTCTTGAACCTGGGAGGCGGAAGTTGCAGTGAGCTGAGATCACGCCACTGCACTCCAGCCTGTGCAACAGAGCGAGACTCCATCTTAAAAAAAAAAAAAGAAGAAGAAGAAGAAGAAAAGCCGAGAGACCCCTGGACCACCTGCCTTTCTGTGGTCACCCTCTGGGAGTCCCTGCTCCGGTACCCTTTGGGTGCCCACCGTGATCAACAGTCAAGTCCTCCCCTTCTGCGACAGTGGCTTTTTGCAGTCTCTTCTCTGGAATGTTTTTCTGCAGATACTAATGAATGACCCTTCAATTTCCCAGGAAGGGCTGCCTTTTTTTGAAGTGGTTTAAGATCTCTGCTCTTGATTGCAATCTTCCAAGAGCTGATTTTGGCCACTTGGCTCTCATTTCTGAAGTGATGATGGGGATGAGAGGGGAGGAAAGCAAGTGGAAGAAAAGTGTGTGGGCTCAGCTAGTCTATAGGAATTGTAATCCCAGGAGACAATTGAGAATTCTAAAAATAGAGAAAAGAACTGTTTTCTTTTCAGCTCTGTGAACAAGTTATCCCTGGTTTGTACCCCAATATCAGCCACACTCATCTTGCACAAATCATGACTTCTCATGTAAAGGTTTGCTACTTTTTCCCAGTGGTTTTTCATAATTTCAAACAAAATTATTTCTAGAAGACTCATCACTTATTTTTAATATTAAAGTCTGTAGGATGGCCGAGCGTGGTAGTTCACACCTGTAATCCCAGCACTTTGGGAGGCCAAGGCAGGCAGATCATTTGAAGCCAGGAGTTCAAGACCAGCATGGCCAACATGACAAAACCCATCTCTACTAAAAATAAAAACTAAAAAAATCAGCCAAGCGTGGTGGCACGCACCTATAATCCCAGGTACTTGGGAGGCTGAGGCACGAAAACTGCTTGAACCTGGGAGGTGGAGGTTGCAGTGAGCTGAGATTGTGCCACTATACTCCAGCCTGGGCAACAGAGTGAGGCTTTGTCTCAAAAAAAAGAAAAGAAGAAGAAAAAACGCTATGGGAAGCTGGCTATGGTGTGCACCTGTGGTCCCCACTACTCAGGAGGCTGAGGTGGGAGGATTGCTTGAGCCCAGGAGTTCCAGGCTGAAGTTAGCCATGACTGTGCCACTGCACTCCAGCCTGGATGACAGAATGAGACCCTATCTCTAAAAAAAAAAAAAAAATTTAAGTCTATTAGAAAATGTGACTTGAGTTGGACAATTTCATAGCACATGTAATTTTTAAGAAGTCCTTGCTTCTAAATAGCATATACCTAGATAAAGGCATAATTGAAAAGTGGAAAATAAAAGAATATATCAGCCAAAAATCTCACTGTGTATTTCTAGTTTGACTTAAAAAATGTATTATCCAACATAAAAGTTAAGAACTTAAAAATTAAAAACTTTTTTTTTATCAAAACACTGCCTTAAGTGAGAGAAAAGTCAAGCCATAGAGTGGGACAAGATATTTACAATATACATATCCAACAATCAATTCATATCCAGAATCTATTTTTTAAAGTCTTACAAATCAATAAGGAAAAAGCAGATAAGTCAATGGAAAAATGAGCAAAAAGATGCAAATGGACAATAAACGTAGGAAGAGAAGCTCAACCTCATTTGTCATTAAAGAAATTCTATTTAATCACCTGTCAAGTCAACTCAAAAAAATAAAAAAGAAAAAAAATTATAACCAAAACCACATTACATTATTATAAACCCACAAAAACAGCTAAAACGAAAAGGAAAAACAATGCAAGGGCTAGCAAGAATTTGGAGCAACTGAAAGCCTCATACCCTGTGGGTGGACTGGCAAATTGGTACAACCACTTTGGAAAACTATAGCAGTATCTATGAGAGCAAAGACATGCATTACCTCTGGCCCAGCAATTCTGCTCTCAGATATTTACCCATCAGAAACAGGTCCCTATGTTCACCCAAAGACATGGGCCAGAATGTTCCTAGAGCATTATTAGTCGTGTCCCATGTAAAGTGCCTGGATGTTCAGCCTGGACATATAGACAAATGGAGTGTAGTTCATTTATGAATGGAAATTGATAATGGAATATTCACAAACAGAAATCCATACAGCCATGTGAATGAACAAGCTATTGCCTCACCAACAATGTGGACAGTTCTCACAAACACAGCATGGACAGAAAGAAGACAGACACACAAAAATACACACTCAATGGTCCCATACACATAAAGTTCAAAAATGCGTGGCATGGTAAAGGGAGGCAGAGAGTGGTAATCCCCAGGGAGCTGATGCTGGGGAGAGTGCCTGAGGGAGGCCTCCTGGGCGGGTCAGAAGGCTCTGCTTCTTCCTCTGTGCATGGATCTATGCACATTTTAAAGATAAATAAATACAAAACCGTACTGCCTTTAAGGCCTCTTCTGCTAACCTGGAAAGCCCAGCTGGGTTAGTCCGGGGGGGGTGCAAGAAAAGAAGCCCTAACTTGCAATTCAGAGCCAGGAATCACACTTATGGCCACCCTGTGTCTGACCTTAATGAGAGAGGCTGTGGCTTTAGGTCCTTAGCAGCTCATCTCAGGAAAGAGAACTTGTTGTCCTGTGTCCCAGCTATCTTGTCACACCTGGGCTCTCACGCAGCTCCTGCTCCAGCTCAGTTTGTTCCCTAGGTCAGAGCTTTGGTGACTGTCACCCAGGCCCCTGTCCAAGTTCTGGCCTCATGGCACTAATCCCCCACGTAGCCAGTGGCTAGCTGTGCAACCTAGAGCCAGTTAGAAATGTGGCTTAAGGTGATCTGAATCCTTCCAGAACATTAGCCCTGCCCCCTGTGGAGTCCCTGAGAAGAGAAATGCCCCACGAGTGACAAAGAAGGCAAAGTATCTCCTCACTGTGTGCTGGAGTCAGGCCCCAGGCCCTGGCACAGAGAGCTCTGATCCACCAAGCCAGAAGACCTAGGGCCCAGTGGAGGCCAGGGCAAGTGCCTGCCTGGGGTGTGAGTGTCTTCCACACCATGCAGGATTCCCTTCAGGTCCTGGGGAACTGTCAACAGAGCGGAGGAGCTCCTATTCACCCACAGACACACACACACCCCGTAACACACACACAAGTGCACACCCATACACATCTGCAGGCATAGATACAGGTCTGCTCATACACACATGCACACACGTACACGAATATCCTTTACACTAGACACACATGTGCTCACAGACACCCTTGCAATGGTGTGCATGCACACACGCATGCACTTAGAGATGCACACACACTCACGTAGCACTTGCCAGACACTATTCTGAGCACTTTCCATATATTAACTAATTTAATCCTTATAACCACTCCATGAGGTCCAGATATCAATCCCACTTTGCAGATAAGAAAATTGAGGCCCAGAGAGGTTAAGTCACTTGTTCAGAGTAATGCATTTGAAGCCTGGCAGCTTGGCCTTAGAGTATGTACCTTTTTTTTCTTTTTTTCTTTTGAGTCTCGCTCTGTCGCCCAGGCTAGAGTGCAGTGGCGCCATCTCAGCTCATTGCAAGCTCCAACTCCCAGGTTCAGATTCTCCCACCTCAGACTCCTGAGTAGCTGGAACTATGGGAGCCCACCAACACGCCCTGCTAATTTTTGTATTTTTAGTAGAGGCAAAGTTTCACCATGCTTGCCAGGTGAAACTCCTGACCTCAAGTGATCCACCTGCCTCGGCCTCCCAAACTGCTCGGATTACAGGCATGAGCCACTCATACCTGGCTGAGTATGTGGTTTTCTATGCGAATCTCCATTCACAGACAAATGCACAAAGACACTTGGGCCTTTGGACACACACACTCCCACATGCATGTACACACATGCACAGACACATGTGCACACTTGCGATCAACCCTCCCACACATATAAGCACACACACTTCTTTCTGCTGCCTCCCCCCTCACTTCCTGGCCTCTCTGCCTCCCACTGACTCCTGGTAGAAGGAGTGAGAGCCCCTCTCCCCCCGGCCTTGCCAGGCAGCTGGGACTCCTGGCTCCTTGTCTGAAACAAACCCAGGGCCAGCACTGTCTTCCTCGTGCCCTGCAAGTGGGAGGGAAGCCCCAGCTCATCCAGCTCTGTTGGCTACTCTGGTTCCCTCATCACCTTGTGAGACAAATAAGACCTGTTCTCCGTGTTCAATGGGGAAACTGAGGCCCGGAAGGAAAAACGAGTGGCCCAAAGTCACCCTGAGTCATGGCAGGGCTGGGCTGTGGGTATGCAGGCCCCTGGTCCCAGGCCAGGCTCTCCTAGGGCTCAGACGATACCTTTGAAGAGCCAAGCAGGGGTGGGTGCAGCCCAGAGAAGTGGGCCTCCCTCTGACTCTCTGGCCTTAGGCACTAAAGCCTTCCCCAGGAGCCCAGAAAGATAAGTGCCTTTCTACCTGGCAAGGCCCCAGTGGGAGTGGTGGCATTCTGAAGGGGCTGTCACAACTCTCAGCAGTCATGCTAAAGCCCCAGGTCAGGGGCTGAGGGATGACTTCCTGCCTGACGTGCCCCTCTGCCACATCCCTCCCTCTCTAAGAGTTCCCCAGGGTCTGGCCCCACGGGAAGACTTTCTATTTCACACCAGCCTAACCCCAAGTGGCACAGCGGCCGGCACAGCGACTGGGGCCATACATCTCAGCTTCCACTCCTGAGTTCTGGACTTCTCCCACACCCTTTGTGTGGCTGGAGGTTTTATGAGAAGGCCAAAAAAGAAAAAAGAAAAAAATGAAAAACAAAAAAAAATAAATTACTTGGGAATTTGTTTTTAATTAAGCAATAAGCCTCGATGGGGCTTGGCTGCTGCCTCATAAAACTGCTCCCGGGGTGTGGGGAGGCATTTGGTCCAGATGAGTGCCTCAAATCAGCCCGGAATGTGATGAGATGATTACTCCCCGGAGTTCGTACAAGATGAGCTTCTCCAGTGCTGTCTTATTGCTATTATAAAAAGTCTGCAGGCAGTGGGGGAGAAAAGCTGTGGTGCTGCTTGGAGAAGAAGAAAACACCAATGCTGGCTGTCAGGGCCAGAGCTCAGCCCCCCACCCTTCCTTCACCACATCTGCTCACATGGCGGAACCCATGGGTGGCCCACAATGGAATGGAGGCTGACATCCTTAACAAAAAATGGGTCCCCGTACACAGCGAATGGGATGTTTCAGCAGAGACACAAACAAGAAGGATGCGAGGGACCCTTACTTGGAGATATTTTCTCCTGTCCTGCCAGGAGCAAGCAACCACGCTCACTCCCAGGGCAGCTCAATTCATCTCACTAATGCTACAACCTACAAGCATGCATGGCTAGGAATTCTGAGGCTTCTCTCTCTCTCTCTCTCTCCCCCCGTCCTGCCCCCAGTCAGCTTACCAGGGGAAGGAATTTTTGCTTTCTGGGTCATGCGCTGGCCTAGCCTTCACTGTGCTAGGTCTGGATAATAAATGAAGGAAAAAGAAAACCCAAGACACTAGAGAGGTGAAATTGACCTACGTAATAAAACGGCTGAGATGGAACAAGATGAGAAGGTAAGGAAATGGTAAGCCGCCCTGGCTGAGCACTGGGGAGAATTTGGGAAACTGGGAGACAAGAATGGCGAAGAAAAGGAGTCTCGAAGATCCGTCACCATCAGCTAGGAGGATGGAACAAGCAGATGGAGAGGAAGGAGTTTTAAACATTTGCTGAGCCTTAAGAATATATGTTTTCTTGTGGCATTTCTTCAAGAAACAGAGTACAGACTTATAAATACTTTCAATTATTTTGTGATGTAGATCGATCCTTCTCTGACTATGATACACACAGGGACTAGGCTATTTGAGACCCTGGTTATATTTGAATTAAATTAGCAAGCATGGGCCGGGCCCGGTGGCTCACGCCTGTAATCCCAACCCTTTGGGAGGCCGAGGCGGGGGGATCACCTGAGGTTGGGAGTTTGAGACCAGCCTGACCAACATGGAGAAACCCCGTCTCTACTAAAAATACAACATTAGCCGGGCATGGTGGCACATGCCTGTAATCCCAGGTACTAGGGAGCCTGAGGCAGGAGAATCACTTGAACCCAGGAGGTGGAGGTTGTGGTGAGCCGAGAGAGATCACACCACTGCACTCCAGCCTGGGCAACAAGAGCAAAACTCTGTCTCAAAAAGAAAAAATCTAGCAAGCATAAAGACAGGAGTAGGAAGATTTAGGGAATGCAGGAGGGTAAGGGGGTAAGGGATAGAAACCCCTATGAAAAGCTAAGGGCCGGGCGCAGTGGCTCATGTCTATAATCCCAGATAATCTGGAAGCGGAAGCGGAAGGATCACTTGAAGCCAGGAGTTCAAGACCAGCCTGGGCAACATAGCAAGACCCCTGTCTCTACAAAAAATATCAGTTATCCAGGTGTGATGGCACACACCTGTGGTCCCAGCTACTTGGGAGCCTGAGGCAGGAGGATTGCTTGAGTTCGAGGCTGCAGTGAACTATGATTGCGCCACTGCACTCCAGCCTGGCAACAGAGCAAGACTCTGTCTCTCTAAAAAAAAAAAAAAAAAAGAATTTGAGATGATGTCCAGACAAAGACAGAACATGAATGAATGACCATATAGGAACTTGCCAGAGAGAAGCAGACGTGCCCCAGGTAAGGTGAGGCCTGGTTCATGCACATGAACAGCCCAGGGCAAGTGCTCTAGAGTCAGACAGCCCAGATGCGAGTGTCAGCTCTGCCACTTGGGAAAGTCCTTAAAACTCTTCTCATCTGCGAAGAGATCAACCATGAGATTGGTCATAGAACTAACTTCACCGGGATGTTGTAAGGCTTGAGTGCACTGTCTATGGAAGCACTTAGCACACTGCCTAGCACATCGCAAATGCCCGGTAAGTGACTGGTATTGCTACTTGAGTGGAAAAAACACAAACTATTTTTCCTCTGCTCTCCCCCACGATAATCAACACAGAAGACTGACCAAATATGAGGGGGTTTTCCCCGCACACCCAGAAAGCAATCGGTCCTGCAGCGGACGCTAACAGGGTGTCCTTTACTTCAATTCTGACACCATCTACCTGGAGATCCCACAGGTGAGGGGTCCATCCCCAACACTGCCTCCACTTCTGGGGCCAATTGCAAACTCCAGTTATTCTTCCTGTGCTGCTGCCCTGCTGACTATAAATCGGGGTTCCCACAACCCCTTCCTGGGGTTCAATTAATTTGCCAGAGCAGCTCACAGAACCCAGGGAAACACATTCACCAGTTTATCACACAGGCTATTGTAAAAGAATAAACAGCCAGATGAAGGGGTATGTACAGCCAGGCTGGGAAGGGTCCCCAAGCACAGGAGCTTCTGTTCCCGTGGAGTTGGGAGCACCACCCTCCCAGCTCATGAATGCACAGTATTAATGAATATATAGAATATCAGCTTTCAATTAAGCTGACTTCTGCCCGTAGAGCTCTTTAAAAAAAAAAAAACTTTTCAGAGCTCAGGCACAGTGGCTCATGCCTGTAATCCCAGCACTTTGGGAGGCTGAGGCAGGTGGATCACTTGAGGTCAGGAGTTCCAGACCAGCCTGGCCAACACGATGAAGCCTCGTCACTACTGAAAATACAAAAATTAGCTGGGCGGGGTGGTGGGCACCTGTAATCCCAGCTACTCGGGAGGCTGAGGCAGGAGAATAGCTTGAATCCGGGAGGCGGAGGTTGCGGTGAGCCGAGGTGGCGCCTTTGCTCTCCAGCCTGGGCCACAGACAGAGCGAGAGTCTGTCTCAAAAACAACAACAACAAAACAAACAAACAAAAACGTTTCAGGTCAGGCACGGTGGCTCACTTCTGTAATCCCAGTGTTAGTAGTGGAAGTTATCCGTGTTCCCCAAAATATGTTACCGGCGGCGAATCCGTACGGGTCTGCAGCAGCCTCAATTCTTGCCTCCCCAGCAGAAAGAATTCGAATGAGGGGCGGAAGGCAGAAGAAAAGACCAAAGCAAGTTTCAGAGCAGGAGTGGAAGTTTATTAGAGCAGGAACAAAAGTAAAGAAAGTACACTTGGAAGAGGCCCAAGCAGGCGACTTGAAGGACAAGTGCGGGGTTTCACCTTTTGACTTGGGGTCTTACACGTCGGCATACCTGTGGGGTCTTACAGCACTTCTCCCCTGATGTTGCCGGTGGGTTGGGCTGTCCACAGGCACCGTGGCCTGCTAGCGCTTGGGAGAGGAGCATGCGCAGTGTGTTTACTGGAGTTGTACGCATGCTCACTTGAGGCGTTCTCCCCATAATCTAGCCTTCCTAGGCGAAGGCCATAGACCAGTTAAACACCACCATTTTGCCTCTTAATGTGCGTGATTGAGCCCAGCTGCCCAACTCCTGAGATTTTTTTTTTTTTTTTTTTTAATGATGGGGGATTTCCAATCCGCCGTGCTGACTCTTTTTTCTTTCTTTCTTTCTTTTTTTTTTAAGAACGGAGTCTCTCACTGTCGCCCAGGCTGGAGTGCAGTGGCGTGATCTCGGCTCACTGCAACCTCGACCTCCCGGCTTCAAGCGATTCTCTTGCCTCAGCCTCCCGAGTAGCTGGGACTACAGGCACATGCCAGCACGCCTGGCTATTTTTTTGTATTTTTAGTAGAGATGGGTTTCACCGTGTTAGTCAGGTTGGTCTTGATATCCTGACCTCGTGATCTGCCCACCTCCCAAGGTGCTGGGATTACAGGCGTGAGCCACTGCGCCCGGCCCCAACTTCTGGGATCTTATCGAGAAGCTGCTGATGACCAGCTTCAGGTTTTTTCTATCTATAGGGAGACCGCCTTTCCCTGGCACTGGCTGCGACCAATTATTATTTTAGAGAGACAGTGTAACAACTGCCTGACCATCACCTGATGATCGCCTGACATTCCTGGTGGGGTGGGGTCCTCTTTTGCCCTGCCATCCACTGTAACACCCAGCACTGTGGGAGGCCAAGGTGGGAGGATCACTTGAGCCCAGGAGTTCAAGACGAGCCTGGACAAGAAGGTGAGACCTCCATCTCTTAAATAAAGAAAGAAAGAAAACTTTTCAAATTTCTAATTATCAGTTTTTACCCAAGACAAATTCCTGGCTTTTTCACTTTTTTACCAAAGGTACCCTCCTACTTCACAAGATCCAGAACCACCCCAAAAGACATCTCAAAGAAAAGAAACGGCTGGGGACAGTGGCTAATGCCTGAAATCCCAGCACTTTGGGAGGCCGAGGTGGGAGGACTGCTTGAGCCCAGGAGTTCGAGACCAGCCTGAGCAATATAGGGAGACCTCATCTCTACAAAAAAAAAAAATTAAAATTAGCTGAGCGTGGTGGTGTACACCTTTGGTCCCAGCGACTTGGGAGGCTGAGGTGGGAGGATCACTTAAGCCCAAGAGGTGGAGGCTGCAGTGAGCCATGAGTCTGCCATTACAATCCATACTGGGCAACAGAGCAAGACGCTGTCAGAAAAGGAAGAAAGAGAAGCAGAAGAGGAGGAGGAGGAGGAGAAAAGAAGAAGGAGGTGAAGGAGGAGGAAAGAAGAAAAAGAGGAAGAAGAGGAAGAGGAGGAAGCAGAAGAAGTGGAAGAAGAAGATGGAGGAGGAGAAAGAGGAGGAGAAGGAGAAGGAGGGGAAAGAAAGGAGAGTTTTGGTAGCTGTTAGGGTCTCAGCTTCTCAGCTAACCATCTACACACAAAGGCTCTAAAGTCCCGTATCTCCCCACAGACAGGAAATCAAAAGCTATCTGTGGAAAAGGATCAATAACAAATGGATACCCCCAAAGTCAAAGGTCATACAAATGTCAAACTAAAAGGGACTGATTCCCTAACTGGAAAGCAAATCCAGGCCATGGCAGAGGGAGCATGGAATTTTAGCTAAACTACAAGGTGGAGCAGCCTTCACTGTGAGTCCCACAGGGGACCCACCGTGGGTGGTTTAGCAGACAAAGGATTGTAACTTTGTTTTAAGTGAGATTTTTACTCTTTAATTGAGCTGAGAGAGTTGCTAAGGCTAGCCGTGACACTATATTCTTCCTTTCATTTAATCTTCCCATAAATACAAATAAAGCAATTGTTTAGAATGAGAGATCTCTAATTTTTTTAAGATTTAGGAGTTTTTCTCATTGAAAGGATCCATCTTTTGGCCACTAATGAGAATTTCCTAGGGTGTACTTCTTCCGATAGTGACTCAATCCAATAGCCTCTTCATGGAAACCCCAGGGTGTGATTTTCCAGGTTTAAAACAAGTTGTTTCCTGGAGAAGGCAATATCAAAGATTTCCTCCAAAAAAATTCACTCCTAGGAATAGTCTAACATAGAAAAAGACTCTTTTTTTTTTTTTTTTCCTGTGAGCCAGCATCTTGTTCTGTCACCAGGCTGGAGTATGGTGGCATGATCATAGCTCACTGCAGCCTCAAACTCCAGGGCTTAAGTGATCCTCCCACCTCAGCCTTCCAAGTAGCTGAGGCCACAAGTGTGTACCACCATGCCTGGCTAATTTTTTTTACATTTTGTAGAGTCAGGATCTTGCTATGTTGCCCAGGCTGGTCTCAAACTCCTAGCCTCAAGTGATCCTCCCACCTCTGCCATCCGAAGTGCTGGGATTAGAGGCATGAGCCACCATACATAACCACAAAAGACTCTTGTTGCCACAGATGGTTAAGGATGATGTTTGCACGTAAGATGCCTCCAGTAACCCACAAATTTGTGGAGAGCCACCAGACACAAACTCGTTAATCTGTGAAACCAGGCAGGCCCTCCTAGGATTGGGTTTTCCCAGGACTAACGAGGCAACAAGGGTTGAGACAACAGAAGTCACCTAGGATGAGATCTCTTTTTTTTTTTTTTTGGTGGTGGGGGGTGCAGGGGGGAACAGGGTCTCCCTCTGTCACCCAGGCTGGAGTGCAGTGGCTCAATCTCAGCTCACTGCAGCCTCCACCTCCCAGTTTCAAGTGATTCTCATCCCTCAGCCTCCCATGTAGCTGGGATCACAGGTGTGCAATACCACGACCAGCTAATTTTTGTATTTTTAGTAGAAACGGGGTTTCGCTATGTTGGCCAGGCTGGTCTCGAACTCCTGGCCTCCAGTGATCTGCCCACCTCGGCCTCCCAAAGTGCTGGGATTACAGGCATGAGCCACCGTGCCCAGCCAGGATGGGATCTCTTAAGATAAACTTTCCTGAGAGCTTGACACATTCAGAACAAGATATGTGCTGCTTAAAATCTTAACATGTCTCGGACTTCCAGCCATTTTCAGACTGGCCACCTGACATGACCTATTAATATCAGTCCCCAGAGGCAGAGACAAGAGAGTGTTCCCACTTGGTCATAAGTCAAGCTCTCAAGAACATAAAACAAGATGAGAAGGAACCTCATCTGGTTTTTATTTTGGGGACCAACAGTGAAGTTTATATTCCAGCCCAACCAGAAAAACAAACTGACCAGTCTGCAGGGCTGGCTGGAACAACCAGCTTGAGAGCGTTCTGCATTGTGTCCCCCACATTGGCAGAGCGACATTTGAACCAGAGTGACTCCATCTTGAATAGGCTCTCTAGGTAAAATAAGGCTGAGACCTACTGGGCTGCATTCCCAGGAGGTTAAGGCATTCATAATCACAGGATGAGACAGGAGGTCGGCAAAAGATACAGGTCACAAAGTACTTGCTGATAAAACAGCATGCAGGCCGGGCGCAGTGGCTCACACCTATAATCCCAGCACTTTGGGAGGCCAAGGCAGGCGGATCACCTGAGGTCAGGAGTTCGAGACCAGCCTGATCAACATGGTAAAACCCCGTCTCTACTATAAAATACAAAATTCAGCCGGGCGTAGTGGCAGCCACCTGTAATCCCAGCTACTCGGGAGGCAGAGGTAGGAGGATCGCTTGAACCCGGGAGGCAGAAGTTGCAGTGAGCCGAGATCGAGCCATTGCATTCCAGCCTGGGCCGCAGAGCAAGACTCCGTCTCAAAAACAAAACAAAACAAAACACCAGCATGCAGTAAAGAAGCCGGCCAAATCCCACAAAACCAAGATGGCAATGAAGGTGGCCTCTGGTCTTCCTCACTGCTCATTATACGCTAGGTATAATGCATTAGCATGCTAAAAGACACTCCCACCAGCACCATGATGGTTTACAGATGCCATGGCAACGTCAGGAAGTTACCCTATATGGTCTAAAAAGGGAAGGTGCCCTCAGCTCCGGGAATTACCCAGGCCTTTCCTAGAAAACTCATGAATAACCCACCCCTTGTTTAGCATATAATCAAGAAATAACATAAAAATAGGCAACCAGCAGCCCTCCGTACTGCCCTGCCTACGGAGTAACAATTCTTTATTCCTTTACTTTCTTTTCCTTTCTTTCTTTTTTTTTTTTTTTGAGACAGAGTTTCGTTCTTGTCACCCAGGATGGAGTGCACTGGCGTGCTCTCAGCTCACTGCAACCTCCACCTCCCAGGTTTGAGCGATTCTCCTGCCTCAGCCTCCTGAGTAGCTAGGATTACAGGCACCTGCCACCATGCCCGGCTAATTTTTGTATTTTTAGTAGAGATGGGGTCACCATGTTGGCCAAGGTGATCTTGAACTCCTGGCCTCAAGTAATCCACCCGCCTCCCAAAGTGCTGGGATTACAGGCATGAGCCACCACGCCCGGCCTTATTCCTTTACTTTCTTAATTACTTTCACTTTACTCTATGGATTCATCTTGAATTCTTTCTTGCGCGAGATCCAAGAACCCTCTCTTGGGGTCTGGATCGGGACCGCTTTCCGGTAACACTATGGGACCCCTTGTTATGACAGAGCAACAAAAAAAGACAAAAACAAAGGAAAGGACTATTTCTGGGAGGAAAAAAGATCAAACAATAGTAATATTCCTACCAAAAAGTACACCAGAGTTGCCACACCCAAGACTAGCCACACAAATCCTTTTCTCCCATCAATCAAAATTTTGCAGAGAGAAAAACGACAGTCATTTTTACTATTTGCTTGACTGGATTTTACAGAGAGAGGCTGGGAGCCCGGCTGGTAAGAAATTCTTACCCTTCTGCCAGTTTGTCAGGTCCTGGGTTTCCTTCACTGCAGCTCCCAGGAGAGCAGAATGGTGTCAGTCTCCTGCTCACAGTGCCAAAACTGTAGGGGCCGAGGGACAATTTCTCCTTCTCCCTCTGAAGGTTTGCTGGAAAATCAACTGAACAAGGCAGATTAATTAGAGAAAAGGCATGCACATGTATTAACATGCACGCGGAGGAGAACCACAGAGTGATTATCCTACCCACCGTGCTGTACAGAAGCTTATATGCCATGTTGGGGTTACAGAAAAAACAGGCAGAGGGGGCACTCAGAGCACGTCCAAAAATGGCTTATGGCAGCAAATCAGGTTATAGCGGCAAATCAGGTTATAGCGGCAAGGAGGGATTGGAGGGGAAGAAGAGAAGTCCTGGCTAGCATAGGTGGGCTTGTTATGCAGATGAAGCCTCCCAGGTAGCAGTCCTCAGAATAGATGGTGTTTCCTAAAGACTTTTAAAGGCGTCAGATTCTTTCCTAGATCTGGACAGGGAAGAGACTCAGAGAAAACCTGGCTGCATTAGTGCAGATGTTTTTTCTATAGATGCAAATCTCCCACATAAAAGACAGCTTTGCCACTTCTGTTCACAGGCCCTCTGAACAGTCATCTCAGAATATGTCAAAGAAGTGTATTTTGGGGTGAAATATTTTGATTTCCTTCACCCCTAAAGAGAAATTCAACCCAAATCAGCCAAAAACTGTGTTGAGCCACTACTGTGGGTGTGCACAACGGGAACGGAGCCCAATTTCCTGTCCCCGGGCCTGATAGCCAGGGAGCCAAAACCACAGAGAGAAATTGTATCGTGCCAAGAGATAGAGCAGGAACACGAAAGAGCATGGGCACTTCGGAAGTGTGTGAAAAGAGTGAGAAGTGTATCCAGCTCGTGCAGCCTAGGAGATGCAGCTTGCCAAGTGGAGTGAATGCTGCCTTTCAGTGCTCTCACCTCTGCTGGGCATGTTTGTGCAGTGGCCAACTTGCTCAACCGTATGCAATGACCTTGAAAAGAAGTCTCCTCTCTGAGCTTAGAACTGAGTAATGTCTCAAACTGAAAGAGAATAAATACATGCTGGATTTGAGTTTGATGAGACGCTGCCCATTGAGAAAATCTGTTCTATGCCTTATGGGATTAATTCAGGAATAAGTAAATTGAGTAAAGAGATTTGAACTCCAGATATTCAAAGAGCTCTTGACAAGGTGAAACCCTGCCTCTGATTGAGACTGACTAGAGCCGGGGTCCTGTGTGACCTTGATGCTGATGTAGGGGATGTGGGATAGGACAGGGAAATCAGGGCAATCTTAATACCAGAGAAAGAAAACAAGGGATTCACTTTTTTTTTTTTTTTTGAGACGGAGTTTCGCTCTTGTTGCCCAGTCTGGAGTGCAATGGTAGGATCTCGGCTCACTGCAACCTCTTCCTCCTGGGTTCAAGCAATTCTCCTGCCTCAGCCTCCTGAGTAGCTGGGATTACAGGCATAGTGCCACCACACCTGGCTAATTTTTTTTTGTATTTTTAGTAGAGATGGGGTTTCACCATGTTGGTCAGGTTGGTCTCGAACTCCTGACCTCAGGTGATCCACCCACCTCAGCCTCCCAAAGTGCTGGTATTACAGGTGTGAGCCACTGTGCCCAGCCTGGGATTCTTTTTTTTTTTTTTTTTCTTTTTTGAGATGGAGTTTTGCTCTTGTTGCCCAGGCTGGAGTGCAGTGGCGCAATCTCGGCTCACTGTAACCTCCACCTCCTGGGTTCAACTGATTCTCTTGCCTCAGCCTCTCTAGTAGCTAGGATTACAGGCGCCCACCACCACGCCCAGCTAATTTTTTGTATTTTTAGTAGAGAAGGGGTTTCACTATGTTGGCCAGGCTGGTCTTGAACTCCTGACCTCAGGTGATCTGCCCACCTTGGCCTCCCAAAGTGCTGGGATTACAGGCATGAGCCACTGCGCCCGGCAGGCATTCACTTTCTTAAACAGGATATAGATATTCCAAAATCACACCCTGGTCACAACACAGGAAACAGTAATAAGAGTAACTGATCCTTACGCATGGTTGCTATGTGCGTATGCTGCCTTAGACAGTTCCCAGGTGTTAATTCATCCACTTGGAGCTCTGCCCATCTCTACCTTGAAGAAGCTGCTGTTCAGTCTTTCACTTCATGCCCAGTCCCCTGGGCCTCCAGATGCTCAGAAACCCTCAGTCCTGTCTGAGGCAGACTCCAGGCTTTTAAAAACCCTAGATGGCTAAAATGAAATAGCTAAAAGAGATCCCAGTGCCTGCCTCCGGGACAAGAAGAAAGGAGAGGTGAAGGCAGAGAATTCACAACAAGCCTTTGGGGACCGATGTTTCATTTGGTTTTTTTAACTTTCAATTTAATTTGATGGAACATCTGAGGATTCCTTGTTGCTGTTGTTTTTTCTGTTGTTTGTTTAGAACAAGTTTTTTATTATTTATTTTTATTTATTTATTTTTTGAGACCAAGTCTTGCTCTGTTGCCCAGGCTGGAGGTGAGAGGTGGGGGCCGTGTTAAGAACTAGGCTCAGGCAGGTGCAGTGGCTCATGCCTGCAGCCCCAACACTTTTGGATGACGAGGTGGGAGGATCACTTGAGCCCAGGAGTTCGAGACAAGCCTGGGCAAGATAGTGAGATCCTGTCTCTACAGAAATAAAAATAAAAATAAAAAAATTAGCTGGGCATGGTGGCACACACGTGTAGTCCCAGTTACTTGGGAGGCCAAGGTGGGAGGATCGCTTGAGCCCAGGAGTTTGAGACCACCCTGGGTAACATAATGAGACCTCGTCTCTACAAAAAATTTAAAAATTAGCTAGGTATGGTATGTGCCTGTAGTACCAGCTACTCGGGAGTTTGAGTCAGGAAGATTCCTTGAGCCCAGGACTCAACCACAACTGTACCACAGCACTCCAGCTGGGGCAACAGAGCAAGACCCCATCTCTTTTTAAAAAGTTTAAAAAAGGAAAAAAGAAAAGAGGACCAAGCTCATTTCTGGAATCTTGTTTCTCTTAATTCTAGTTGCCCCTTTTGAAAGATTTTTAGCAAGATAGTTTGCCCTTGCTTTGTGGGGCAATTTCTATGCCTGGGTTGTTTCTTGTTTTGTGTATTTTTTCTAGTTTCGCTCTATTTCTTTTGATATAAAAGGTTTGGGAGTTTTATTGTTTGGGTGGGTTATGTTTTTTTATTTTTGTCTTTGATTTTGTGATTTACTTGTTTTTACTTATTCAGGGTCCTCTTTGGGAAGGTTTAGGAGAGGGAGGCTCCGAGGTTGAGCTTCCTCCTCTGCCTTCTTAGCCAGGAAATTCCCTCTTGTGACTTCAGAAAAGAGAAGGGAAGTTCTGACCCCCAGCATCTCAGGAAAGCTGAAGAATCCCTTAGGAGGGCATTAGAGGAACTTGCCCAAAAACATATTAGGAGAGAGAGAGGTTCAGGCAATGACAGATTGTGCTTCCTTTTTTCTTTTTTTTTTTTTTAGATGGAGTCTCGCTCTGTCGCCAGGCTGGAGTGCAGTGACACTATCTCAGCTCACTGCAACCTCTGCCTTCTGGGTTCAAGCGATTCTCCTGCCTCAGCCTCCCAAGTAACTGGGACTACAGGCACGCACCACCATGCCCAATTAATTTTTGTATTTTTAGTAGAGACGGGGTTTCACTATGTTGGCCAGGCTGGTTGAACTCCTGACCTCGTGATCCGCCCACCTCGGCCTCCCAAAATGCTGGGATTACATGCATGAGCCACCGCGCCGGGCCTTGTGCTTGCTTTTTTTTTCCCCCTCTTGTAACAATAGGTAACTTGGAAGATTTCCAGTGTGACCTTCATTCGTGCCTAGGTGGCCACCAAACCCCAACTCCAAGGCCTTGCCAGTTTTTTAAAATTCTAACACATTGAACGAAATAATGGCATTCCCAGCAACCTGGATGGAATTGGAGACCATTATTCTTTTTTTTTTGAGACGGAGTCTCGTTCTGTATCCAGGCTGGAGTGCAGTGGCGCAATCTTGGCTCACTGCAACCTCCGCCTCCGGGGCTCAAGCAATTCTCCTGCCTTAGCCTACCGAGTAGCTGGGATTACAGGTGTGCGCCACCACGCCCAGCTAATTTTTGTATTTTTAGCAGAGACGGGATTTCATCATGTTGGCCTCGATCTCTTGACCTCGTGATCCACCCACCTCAGCCTTCCAAAGTGCTGGGATTACAGGCGTCAGCCACTGCTCCCAGCTATTATTCAAAGTGATCTAACTCAAGAATGGAAAAGCAAACATCTTATGTTCTCATTCATAAGTGGGATCAAAGCTATGAGAGCACAAAGGCATAAGAATAATTCAGTGGAGTTTGGGGACTCATGGGAAAGAGTGGGATGGGGTGAGGGATAAAAGACTACACATTGGGTACAGTGTAGATGGCTTGGGTGAAAGGTGAACCAAAATCTCAGAAATCACCACCAAAGAACTTATCCATGTAGCCAAACACCACCCGTTCCCCAAAAACGATTGAAATAAAAAAAAAACCTTAAATACTAAAAATAAAATATAAAATTCTAACACATTAAACTTTTGAAACATATGTGCACACACACACACACACACACACAAATCCTAATTAATCAGCAACCATGTAAAGAACAAATGTGGGAAATGCTGTATATGCTATGAGAATTTCAATTACAAATGACAACGTTATACATTTTACTAATATTTGCTTTTGCTTTAAAAATTTTAAAATTTACATTAAATGTAATTCTTTAGTGTACAATTCTATTTGTTTTGGCAAATACATAAAGTAGTGTAACTACTCTGTCAACAAAGAGTCAAACTTGGCCAGGTGCGGTGGCTCACGCCTCTATCAGCACTTAGGGAGGCCAATGCAGGCGATTACTTGAGGACAGGAGTTTGAGACCAGCCTGGCCAACATGATGAAACCCCATGTCTACTAAAAATATAAAATATTAGCTGGGTGTGTTGGCGTGTGCCTGTAATCCCAGCTACTAAGGAGGCTGAGGCAGGAGAATCACTGGAGCCTGGGAGGCAGAGGTTGCAGTGAGCTGAGATCACACCACTGTACCGCAGGCCTGTGTGACAGAGCAAGACTCCATCTCAAAGGAGTTTAAAAAAAGAATCAGACTCTGTAAAATATTTTAACAGATTTATTCTGAGCCAAATATGAGTGGCCAGTGGCCTGTGACACAGCCCTCAGGAGGTCTTGAGAACATGTGTCCAGGGTGTTCAGGGCCCAGCCTAGTTTTGTACATTTTTAGGAGACAGGAAACATCATGCAAGATATACATTGGTTCAGTCCAGAAAAGTGGGACAACTGAAAGTGGGGGGACTCGAGCTTATAGGTAGATTTTTAAATTGTCTGATTTGCAATGGGTTTAAAGAGTTATTATCAATAGAAAGGAATGTCTGGGTTACAAAAAGGGGTTGTAGAGATCAAATTTTATCACGCAGAGGAAGCCTCCAGGTAGCAGGCTTCAGAGAAAAGAGATTGTAAATGTTTCTTAGCACACTTAAGGTCTGTGTTGATGTTAAGTAGGTACAAAAGTAATTTGCCATGACCTTTAATGACAAAAACCACAATTACTTTTGTAGCAACCTAATAAATGCTGGTCAGCTTTTCCTGAATTCCAAGAGGGAGGAGGGTATAATGAGGCACGTCCTCTCATCATGGCCTGAACCCGTTTTTCAGGTTAATTTTGGAGTGGCTTGGCTGAGAGGAGGGGTCCATTTAGACTGTTAGGGGGCCTTTGAATTTTATTTTTGGTTAACAACTCCCACAATCAAAATACAAAAGAGTTTTCCATCATCCCAAACTCCCACCCGCTCCCCCCCCGCACCCCCCCACCGCCCCATGCTACCCGTTGTGGCTACCCCACCCCCAAGCAGAAGCTACTGCTGATCAGTCATCCATCCTGACAGTTCTGCCTTTTGAGAGTGCCATAGAAATGATAACGTAGAATATGTAGCCCTTGGAGTCTGGCAGTTTTTCTCTTAGCATAATGTGTTTGAGATTCATTCTTATTGCTGGGTTAGTAGTTTGTTTCTTATTATGGTTGAGGTCCTCTTCATTTCATTGCTTGGATACCATATTTTATTCATCCATTCCACACTTGACGGCTATTTGGGTCATTTCCAATTTTTGCGGGGTTTTTTTGTTTGTTTTTTGTTCTTTTTGCCCAGGCTGGAGTGCAGTGACATTATCTTGGCTCATGGCAACCTCTGCCTCCTAGGTTCAAATGATTCTCCTGCCTCAGCCTCCCTAGTAGCTGGGATTACAGGCGTGTGCCACCATGCTTGCCTAACTTTTATATTTTTAGTAGAGACGGGGTTTCACCACATTGGCCAGGCTGGTTGGTCTCGAACCCTGACCTCAGGTGATCCACACCCCCTCAGCCTCCCAAAGTGCTGGGATGACAGGCATGAGCCACCGTGTCTGGCCTAATTTTTGTTTTTTAGCCATAAAGCTATTAAAAGCATTGGTTAACAGGATTTTTTGTGTGAACGGAAGTTTTTATTTATCTTGAGTAACCATCTAGGTGTGAGATTGCTGTATCATCTGGGGAGAGTAGGTTTAACTTTGTAAGAAACTGGCAAACTGTCTCTGAAGTGGTTGTGTCCTATTGTGTTCCTAGTAGCAATGTATGAAAGATACAGTTGTCTTGCATACTGTCCAGAACTTGGTATTCGCATTATGGGTTTGGTTTGGTTTTTATAGCCATTCAGATAGATATGTAGTATAATAGTATCTCATTGTGGTTTTAATTTGCATTTTCCTAATGTCTAATGATTTTGAGCATTTTTCATGCCTTTATTTGTCATTCATATATCTTCTTTGCTAAAGTGTCTGTTGAAATATTTGCTCATTTTGTGCTGTTTTTGAGACAGGGTCTCACTCTGTTGCCCAGGCTGAAGTCCAGTGGTGCGATCGTGGCTCACTGCAACCTCTGCCTCCCAGGCTCAAGTTGTTCTCCCACCTCAGCCTCCCGAGTAGCTAGGAGTAAAGATGTGTGCCACCATGCCCAGCTAATTTTTTTGTATTTTTTGTAGAAATAGGGTTTCACCATGTTGCTTAGGCTAGATTTTGTCTGTTTTTAAATTAAGCTGTTTTTTCTTTTTGTTGGGTTCTTCATATATTCTGAATACAAGCCCTTTGTCAGATATATGATTTGCAGATATTTACCCCTAGTGTGTGGCTTTTCTTTATTTTAACAGTGTCTTTCACAGAGCAAAGTTTAATTTTGATGAGGCATAATTTATCTTCTTTTTTCTTTATGGATTATGTTTTTGGTGTCTAAGAACACTTTGCCTAACCCAAGGTCATGAAGATTTTCTCCAATGTTTTCTTCTAAAGAATTTATAGTTTGATGTTTCACACTCAGGTCAAAAATTCATTTTGCGTTTGTTATTGTTTAAGTGTCTTAGTTCATTTGACCACAAACGGGGTAATTTAGAAATAATGGAAGTATATTTCACATCGTTCTCAAGGCTGTGAACTCCAAGATGCAGGTACAAGCATATTGAGTTTCCAGTGAAGCCCCAGTCTGTGCTTCCAAGATGGTGCCTCAAACACTGTGTTCTCACATAGCAGAGAGTGGAAGGGTAAAGGGTCTAAGCTAGTTCCTTCCAGCCCTTTTATTAGGCACTAATACATTACTGAGGGTGGAGGCTGCGTGACTTAATCACTTCACAAGAGATCCCACCTCTTAGTTCCACCACAGTGGGGATTGTCTCAACACATGAATTTTGGGGAACATCCAGAACATAGCAATAAGGCATGAGATGTAGGTCAAGGTACATTTATTTGCATATGGATGTCTAATTATTCCAGGACCATTTGATGAAAGCACTGTTCTTCCTCCATTAATTCTGTTTGCACCTTTGTTAAAAATCAATTGATCATATTCATGTGGGTCTATTGTTGGACTCTATATTCTGTTCCATTGATCAATTTGTATATCCTTCGAGAAATATCACATTGTCTCAATAACTACAGCTTTATAGTGAGAAGTAGTGGGTGTTGCACTTTTGCTCTTTTTTTCTGAAATGTTTTGGTGATTCTACTTCCTTTGCCTTTTCCCACAAAGGGTGTGTGTGTGTTTGTGTGTGTGTGTGTGTTTGAGACAGGGTCTCACTACATCACCCAGGCTGCTAGAATACAGTGGCATCATCTCGGCTCATTGGACTCTGCCTCCCAGGTTCAAGCAACTATAGGCATGCACCACCATGCCAGGCTAATTTTTGTAATTTCCGTAGAGGCAGAGGTCTCCCTATAGTGCCAAAACTGGTCTTGAACTCCTGGGCTCATGCAATTTGCCTGCCTCGGCCACCCAAAATGTTGGGTTACAGATGTGAGCCACCGCACCTGGCCTCCCATAAATTTTAGAATCACTTTGTCAATATCTGAAAAAAAAAAAAAAAACCTGCTACACTTTTGATCGGGATTGTGTTGAATGTATATACACCAAGTTAGGGAGAAGTGAAATTTTAACAATATCAAGTTTTCCAATCCACGTATGTATTATATGTCTACATTTATTTAAGTTTTCTTTGATTTCTTTATTTTTCAAAATTTTTTTGTCTTCTCCGGGTCAGAGTTGAATTATTTGATTTCTTTAGTTCATGTTTTGTAGTTTTCAGCATACAAATCCTGCATGTGTTTTGTTAGACTTATAGCAAAGCATTCCATCTTTTGGTGCTGTTGTAGATGGTACTGTTTTTAAATTTGTTATTCTCAATTTTTTATTGCTACATATAGAAATATAATTGGGTTTTGCATATTGACCTTGTTCCTGTGTACTTGCTAAGCTCACTTATAAGTTCTGGGAAGTACTTGTAAATTCCTTGAGATTTTCTATGCAGACCAGCAAATCATATGACAATAGAGAAAAATTTATTTCTTTTTGACTTATATGCCTTTTATTTCTTTTTCTTGCTTTATTGCACTGGCTAGGACTTTAGGAACAATGTTTAGCCTATTGATATGGTGAATTACCTTAATTGATTATTTAAAATGTTGAATCAACCTTGAATTCCTAGTATAAACCCAACTTGGTCACCTTGTGTTATCTCTTAAAAATATTGCTAGATTTAATATGCTAATATTTTGTTGAGGATTTTTGCATCTAAGTTTATGAAGGATGTTGGTCTGCAATTTTCTTTTCTTATACTGTCTTGTTCTGGCTTTGGCATTAAGGTAATGCTGGTCTCATAAAATTTTCCGGAAGAAATTTTGTAGCATTGTTATTAATTTCTTCCTTTAATGTTTGATAACATTCACCAGTGAGATCATCCGGCATGGAGCTCTTTGTTGTTGTTGTTGTTGTTGTATGGCTTTTCCATACAAAATAAACTTCTTTAATAGCTATAATGTTTTTCAAGTTATCTCTTTTTTCTTAAGAAAGTCTTAATGGTTTATGTTTTTCAAGGAATTGGTTCATTTCATCTAAGTTGTCAAATTCATGGACATAGATTTATTCATACTATTTATTTTTTAACGTCTATAGGGTCTATAGTAATATTGCCTCTCATTCCTGATATTAGTAATTTGTGTTTTCTCTCTTTTTTCTTCATCAGTCCAACTAGAAGTATATCAATTTTATTAATCTTTTCAAAAATCCTGATTTGGGATTTCTTTGCTGTTTTTTAGTTTTCCTATTTTATTTATGTCTACTCCAATTTTTATTATTTCCTTTCTTCTAAATACTTTGGACTTAGTTTGTTCTTTTTTATCCCATTTTTTTAAGGTGGAAACTCAGATAATTGATTTGAGGCCTTTTTTCCATTCATTGTGGAAGCGTTTACCTTCACCTCCTGGAGAATGGTATAATCATGGGGACATTTGCTCCCAAGACAGAAGTTTGCTCTCTTTATCCATTTTCTCAGAATAAAAGACCTCCCCGCTTCTGTCTTCCAAGGATTATAAGCAAGGAGGTTTTATGGGGCGTTTATGAAGATGCTGCTGGAGTTTGTCTTAAGAAACAGGAATAAAATGCATCATGAAAAAGATGGTGATTTTTATGTCTCAAGAAAACATCCCTAAGATGTGAAAAGAAGACGTATGAAAGCTCTCCCATCACTTCAGCTGGAGAGGAGACAGTGAGGGTTGGGGCAACAGAAAGCAAAGTGGGGAGGAACAAAGGTGGGGGATCTAGAGACTTAAAAGCTGCCTAGAGATTGGAGTCTTGAGTGATAGGAGAAGTACCCACTGGTGTCTGTGTCTTAGTCAAGGTCTTCCTAGAAGCAGACACCAAGACAGATGGACTTGGGGACATCAGTGAAGGATAAAGAAGAGGTAGTCAGAAAAGATGGAGAGACCCTTCAGATGACTTTGCCAGCCTGACACCAGGAGAAAGGAAGAAGAGTCTCAAACTGCAGTACAGTTCCAAGAAAGTGTCAGTCAGGCCAGTGGGGAATCCCTGAGTCAAGGTAACCCAAGGTCCCACATCTCACAAAGATGGACCAGTCTCAGCACCCATCATGCTCAGACATTGACTGGCAGCAGCCTGGAGGAAGTTGGGCGCTGGCACTAACACAGTGGTAGGTCCCCAAAGAGAGCATGTGGGGCTATCAGTCAACCACACTCTCACAGCAGAAGGGTGAGCCATGCATTTTCATGGCTGCCACCACAGTATGGGGACAGGGAACAGTGTGGGGGTAAAAAGCCTAATAATGCATGCTCTCCTTTGTCCTGAGCTGCTCAACCCAACCCCAACTCCAGGGGCACTCTGGAAAAGGCACCTGGGCCCCTGCTTCGGGAAAAAGAGGAAACATCATGAGAGGGCACCTCCTGCAGGAACTGCAAATGCAAGGCAAACTTGTCAGCCTCCAGAGGCCTCAGGGAGGGCAGCCAAGGTGGGTGACAGCAGGGAGCCGGGGGCTGTGCAGGAGCAGGATGGGCACATCCTCTAAGAGCACTCAAGCTCAGATTTTTGGGTAGGGGGGCTTTTATCCTATTTTATTTTATTGATGTATAATATACATACAATAAAGTGCACGAATCTTATGTGTATAGTTTGATAATGTTTTTTTTTTGAGATGGAGTCTTACTCTGTCACCCAGGCTGGAGTACAATGGCATGGTCTCAGCTCACTGCAACCTCTGCCTCCCGGGTTCAAGCGGTTCTCCCACCTCAGCCTCCCGAGTAGCTGGGACTACAGGCATGTGCCACCACACCCCGCTAATTTTTGTATTTTTAGTAGAGACGGGTTTCACTATGTTGGCCAGGCTGATCTCAAACTCCTGACCTCGTGATCCACCCACCTCAGCCTCCCAAAGTGCTGGGATTACAAGCGTAAGCCACCGTGCCCGGCCTTAGTTTGATAATTTTTTTACACATATTGTCAGCATTCATCATTTTAGCAATTCTGGTGAATGTCAAGTTTAGATTTATTGATTGATTTATTTATTTTTGAGACAGTGTTTTGCTCTTGTTGCCCAAGCTGGAGTGCAATGGTGCGATCTCGGCTCACTGCAACCTCCGCCTCCTGGGTTCAAGTGATTCTCCTGTCTCAGCCTCCCAAGTAGCTGGGATTACAGGTGCACACCACCACACCCAGCTATTTTTTTGTATTTTGAATAGAAACAGGGTTTCACCATTTTAGCCAGGCTGGTCTTGAACTCCTGACCTCAGGTGATCCACCCACCTCGGCCTCCCAAAGTGCTGGGATTACAGACGTGAGCCACTGTGCCCGGCCCAAGTTTAGATTTTTAAAATCCAGCATGCTAGCCAAGCAAAACGGAACTGTGGGACCTGCAGGCAGCCAGTGTGAAAACCTCACACCTAGGAGTTTTTCATTGCCTGTACAGGTGCCCACAGCACACACACATCTGGAAGTCAGGCCTCTCCTCCACTTCTCTGAATACTCAGGTGCAGTCCCTCCAGAGGGCAGGGCTCATTGCCCTTGCAGTGGATCCCATCTCTCCAGCCCATGTCTACACAGTTTTAATATTCCCAAATTATCAATCACACAAGGTGATGGTATGTATTAGGTTATTGTTATCATCATCATCATCACCACCACCACTGTTAGGATGCACAAATGCAAAAGGTACAAAATTCAAAAGACAGAACACGATGTATGAGTTATCGGTTGCTGCCTAACAAATTACCTCAAAATGTAGTGTCTTGAAGCCTGGGCAACATAGTAAGACGCTAAGACACTGTCTCTACAAAAAGTAAAACCAGCCAGGTGTGGGGGCATGCACCTGTCATCCCAGCTACTCAGGAGGCTGAGGTGGGAGGATCACTTGAGCCCAAGAGTTTGAGGCTGCACATGAGCCATGATTGCACCACTACAGTCCATCCTGGGTGACAGAGCAATACCCTGTCTTTAAAAAGAAAAAAAAACTAGTTGGTGGCTTGAAACAATACATACTTATACGGTATCACAGGGCTTCTGCAGGGCAGGAGCCAGGGAATGGCCCAGCTGGATGGCTCTGCCTCTAGGTCTCCCATGAGGTTGCAGCTAAGATGCTGGTCTAAGCCATGATCACCTCAAGGCTTTCTGGGGCTGAACAGTCTTCCAAGAGTCTTCCTCACCCCTAGCAAGGGGTTGGTCGCTGTTGGCTGGAGGCCTCAGTGTCTCCCATGGGCTTCTCCGGAGGGCTGCATGGACCTCTTCATGACTCAGCAGCCAGCTTCCCCTGGAGTGAGTGATCCTAGGAAGCAAGGCAGAGGCCACAATGTTCTTTATGACCTAGACCTGGAAGCCACGCTCTGTCATTTCCACAGTATCCTGTTGGTTACAGAGGTAAATCCTATTCCCTGTGGAAGAGAACTATACCAGGGCGTGAATACCACAAGGGTGCCAGGCATGGTGGCTCACACATGCAATCCCAGCACTTTGGGAGGCCGAGGCGGGCAGATAGCTTGAGCCCAAGAGTTCCAGACCAGCCTGGACAACATGGTGAAACTCTGAATCTACTAAAATAGAAAAATTAGCCAGGTGTGGTGGTGTGCACCTGTAATCCCAGCTACTTGGGGGGCTGAGGTGGGAGGATTGCTTGGGCCCAGGAGGTAGAGGTTGCAGTGAGCCATGATCGTGCCACTGCACTCCAACCAAGGCAACAGAGCAAGACTCAGTCTCAAAAAACAAAAACAAAAACAAAAACAAAACCACACACACACACACACACACACACACACACATAACAAAACAACAGCAACAAAACAAACAAAAATACCACAAGTGTATACAGTAAATGGGAATCTCCCTCCCACCCATTTTCCCTTCCAGAGGCAAACCCATGACCAGTTTATTGTGAATTCTGCCAGCAATACACACACACACACACACACACACTCTCACACACTCACACTATGCGTCCACTTGTATACCTTACTTTTTTTTACTCAGTATATCCTAGAAATCCTTGCATTTCAGGACATGAAGACCTGCCTTATTTCCTGAAACTGTGGGAAGCCATTCCATTGTATGAATGACTCGTAATTTCTTTGGCCGGCCCCTGTCAGTGGATATTAGGGCTGCTCCCTGCATTTCCCTACTGTAAGCAATGCCACAATAAATGAATGAGTGTTTATATCCTTTTGCACAAGGACAGGAGTATTTAAGGATAAATTCTGGAAGTGGACCAGCTGGAGAAAAAAGAGCCTGTGCTTTTTTTTTTTCTTTTTGACAGAGTCTTACTCTGTCACCCAGGGTGGAGTGCAGTGGCATGATCTTGGCTCACCGCAACCTCCATCTCCTGAGTTCAAGCAATTCTTCTGCCTCGGCCTCCCAAGTAGCTGGGACTACAGGCACCCGCCACCATGCCCACCTAATTTTTTTTTCTTTTTAAGACGTAGTCTTGCTCTGTTGCCCAGGCTGGAGTGCAGTGGTGCGATCTCAGCTCACTGCAACCTCCGCCTCCTGGGGTCAAGCAATTCCCCTGCCTTAGCCTCCCAAGCAACTGGGATTACAGGCATGCACCATCACGCCTGGCTAATTTTTGTATTCTTAGTAGAGACAGGGTTTCACCATGTTGGCCAGGCTGGTCTCGAACTCTTGACCTCATGATCTGCCCGCCTCGGTCTCCCAAAGTGCTGGGATTACAGGCATGAGCCACCGCACCCGGCTCTTGCCCAGCTAATTTTTGTATTTTTAGTAGACGGGATTTCGCATGTTGGCCAGGCTGGTCTCGAACTCCTGACCTCAGGTGACCCGCCTGCCTCAGCCTTCTGAAGTGCTGGAATTACAGGTGTGAGCCACTGTGTCCGGCCAAGTCTGTACATTTTAAAATTTGATCGATGTTGCCACATTGCCCCCCATGAAGGTTGGTTGTAAAAATTTATGCTCTCACCAGCAAGAAAATGGATTTATGAAGGCTTGGGTGGTAATGGCCAAAATGTAGGGCATTCCCTGGGCAGTTCAGTAAGTAATTAAAAATGGAATATCACCTGTCCGGGTGCAGTGGCTCATGTCTGTAATCCCAGCACTTTGGGAGGCCAAGGCAGGAGGATCACTTGAGACCAGGAGTTTGAGACCAGCCTAGGCAACATAGCAAGACCTGTATCTCAATAAAAAATTTAAAAATTAGCTGGGAGTAGTGGCGTGCACCTGAAGTCCCAACTACTCAAGAGGCTGAGGCAGGAGGATTACTTGAGCCCAGAAGTTCAAGACTGCAGTGAGCTATGATTGCACCACTGTAAGCCAGCCTGAGCAACCAAGCGAGTCCCTGTCTCAATAAAATAAATTTTAAAAAGAATAAAAAGTAACATGGAATATCACCCATCCCTGTTCTTTGAAGCCTTTCCCAGCCCCATTCCACAACCAGAGAGCCTCCCTGGCCCTCTCTCACGCCATGTGCTGGACTTTTTCTCTCTCTGGCTTGCTTGTTCCTGGCCCCTGGAATTTCTGTTCTTGCCTTAAATGCAGCAAGTGAGGAGGTATTTGCCAGCCAGACCCCAAAGGCTGACACTGAAATGCCAAATGGTTCTCCAAGATGTGTCATCCAACCAAGACAGCTTCTCCTGCACAGACCCCTGCCCTCTACTCGGGGTGGGCAGCCTTCTCTCCTCATGGATAAATATGACGTGTTCATGGGTTTGCCCCAATGGACTGTGAGCTCCCCAAGGGTAGAGGCAGTGCCACATTCATCCCTGGATCCACTGCCTGGGTAGTGGCACAAAGAGGGATCCAGTAATTGCTGAATGAATGAATGAATGACCCAGACAGAACTTTGTCAAACCAGTGCTGTCAAAAGCCTCTTGGATGTACTCCATTGACATTAGGTGGGTCTAATACTCTCAGGTTATATTGGCCTGCAACATTTATTTCACATCTCGAAGGCATTTTTCAAAAAGCATTGCTTCTGTTTTATTTATTTATTTTTAGAGACAAGGTCTTGCTCTGTTGCCCAGGCTGGAATGCAGTGGTGTGATCTTGGCTCACTGTAGCCTCAAACTCCCAGGCTCAAGCGATCCTCCCTCCTCAGCCTCCTGAGTAGCTGGGACTACAAACACGCACCACCATGCCCAGCTAATTTTTGATATTTTTGTAGAGATGGGGTTTCACTATGTTGCCCAAGCTGGTCTCGAACCCCTGGGCTGAAGTGATCCACCCGCCTCAACCTCCCATAGTGCTGGGATTCCAGGTGTGAGCCACCACGCCCTGCCTGCTTCTGTTTTCTTTTATTTCTCCTTTCCCCCTTTGGCCTGGTTGGAGCCTCAAGGGGAAAATCCATGCTGGGAAACAAAAACAATAATGCCCGTGAACATGAAGTGGATGTGCAGACAGCTGGAATGATAAATGCAGGGCATACACACACACACACACACACACGCACATACACACACACAGAGAGAGAGAGAAAAGAATAAACAGGCAGACGGGCAGGGCAAGTGGGTGCGGGGGCGTCAGTGTCATCTCATGGTTCCGTAGAGTCGAGATTATCTCAGCTTCAAATCCAAGGCCCCTGCAGCAAGCCCGCCCTCAAGATTCTCTTTTGAAGTCACAGTTTGCCAAACATCTCTGGGTTTCCTCCTTTAAAACTAATCTTCTTAACCATTTCAGTAAAAATCTTTTCAAAATGCCCCACATTTTATGGCTTTGAGACTCAGTGTCTTTAGTATGTTACGGTATCTATAAAGAAAGCAGCATTTAGGCCAAGTGCGGTGGCTCACACCTGTAGTCCCAGCACTTTGGGAGACTGAGACAGGAGGATCACTTGAACCCAGGTGTTCGAGACCAGCCTGGCCAACATAATGAGACCTGGTCTCTACAAAAGATTTTTTAAATTAGCTAGGTGTGATGGGTTGTGCCTTTAGTTCCAGCACTTTAGGAGGTAAAGCTGGGAGGATCACAAGGTCAGGTGTTCAAGACCAGCCTGAGCAACATAGAGAGACCCCCCCCGCCTCCCCTACATCTCTACCCAAAATTTAAAAAGTTAGCTGGGCGAAGTTGCATGGGCGCATAGTCCCAGTTACTCAGGAGGCTGAGGCAAGAGGATCGCTTGAGCCCAGGAGGTAGAAGCTGCAGTGAGCCATGATTGTGCCACTGCACTCCAGCCTGAGTGACAGAGCAAGACCTCATCTCTAATAAATAAATAAATTGAAATAAAATAAAAATAATGTTTTAAAAAGAACACAGCATGTAGTAGTTTGGGAATCAGACAAATTTAGGGTCAGTTTGAGGATCTACCCAAGCTAAACAGTAGGACCTCTGTTTCCTTTGTTTTTCTTTAATTTGTTTTCCCAATTTTTTGTTTTGGAAACTTTCAAATCAATAGAATAGTTATAAGAAAAGTTCAACGAATAGCCAGAGATCAGGGACTGGTAAACTTCAGCCCACATCCTGGTTTTGTATGAGCTAAGAATGGTTTTTAATTTTTTCAAATGGTTGGAAAAAAATTTTTAAAGAATTTTTCATAACACACGAAAATTACATGAAATTCAAATATCAGTGTCCATGACGTTAACTCTCTTGTTTAAGTATTGTTTGTGGCTGCTTTTGCTTTGCAACAGTGAAGTTCAATAGTTGCCGTAGAGATCCTGGCTCTCAAAGCCCAAAGTACTTAACATTTGGCCCTTTACAGAAAAAGATTGGAGACTCCTGACCCCAATTTACCAATTGCTAATATTCTGCCTCCTTTGTTTTCTCTCTCTCTTGCTGGAATGTTTGTGTTCATCCTTAAATACTTCAGTGCCTATTTCAGTTTCTTATACTGAAAGCTGGGAATGACAGCTTTAGTGTGGGAAGAGATAAGATAACATAAAATGTTTAGCACACAGTGCTTGGCCTGTAGACAGAACTTAATAAACGATCCAAAAAAAATTCCTGGCATTGAGCACAGAGGTGGTTGCCAGAATCCCTAACCTGAAAATGCCGAGCCCCACTGCTTTTCTGAAACCCGGGTTCCCGCAGTCTGGAAGCCAGCTTTTCCTCCAAAAGGGCTTCTTTCCTGAGAAGTAGCAAACGCCTCGGAGAAACCTCATTCTTTCCACAGCTATGTGGCTTGGCTGACTCAACTTCTGCCTGCCCCTGAGTCACGAGTTTTTCCTCTCTTATTTGGAGGAGCGAGGCCCTCCACCCTCCACCCAGCTGTCCCCACGCACAGCCAGCCCCGCTGGGAAGTGGATGGACAGCTGGGAGACCAGTGCGTGCTGCCTCCAGGGCGTTTCTTGGAGCGCCATTCAGATCCATAGTTGGAAGGAAGGACAGAAGAGGAGACTGAGGTCCAAGTGGGCCCTGGACCACCAGCAGGACAAGGCTAGGAGGAACATCCTCCCTCTAGTTTCCCAGTCATGAAAAGGCTTCCTTCTCCCGAGGCCTCCTCTGTACGGACAAGGTGTTAGATGCCAGGACACTGTTATAAAGAGACAGCCCTGCCTTCCCAGGGGACTGGCTCCCTTCCAAGTCTCACAGCCACCTCCACCCCAGCCAGGGCCTACCCTCCATGAGAAGCAGCTCCTTGCCAGGGAGGTGGCGGAGCTGGCACTGAGCAGTCATGGATCGCAGCCTTGAAGGCTCAGCTTGAAGTCCCCCTCCACCCGCTGGTGACAAGCAGTGTGTACACAGGAGATGGTGTTTCCCAGCATCCCAATGGCCCCACTGACCCTCCTGGTTATTACTCTGCCTGTGGGATCTCAGACCTTGTGTTTTCTGCTCTCTGTGGTATAGAGGCCTGGCTGCCCCTTCAGGACTTGTAAACCCAAACGTATATTCATCTGGAGGTGCAAAAGGGGGTAAAGTGCCCCAAGGGGGAAACCAGAGGGAGTGTGGGGACCATAGTGGAGGGGAGAACACAAGGCCCCTCTAAAGAGGACCCGCATTCTCAAATCTTCTGATTTAAGAGAAGCTGAAGATCCTGATTTTTATGTGAACTCTCCCCATATGAAATGTTCACAGCAATGCATTTTAAAAATGTTTAAACACTTTGAAAGCAAACAGACATTATTCGGGTCTTGTGGGGTTCAGGGTTACTTACCAGGCGGTGACTTCTGTTGAATGCTCATAAAAGCTGTCCTTGCTGATGAGGGCAACGGTAGTGGGTGGGCGCCATGAAGTGGTAGTGGGGAGGGGGCTCCCCAAGGCCACAGCTGGTGGCCCTCTCACTTGCCTGTCCCCTCTCCCTCCCCCTCCGTCACCCCCTTTCCCTTCCCTTCTCAGCTGGGAGAGGACCGTCTCCAGCACTGGGCCCACCTCACAGCCTCGCCCATAGCCCCCTGCCAAGAGAGCAGGCACCTCTTCTAGCTCCAGCCCCACAGCCCTACAGCCCATCAGCCCTCCCCCCGCTGCTCCCCTCTCACCTGGTCCTGGCCCAGCAGGCCTGCCCCGGCCTGAGCCACCCCTCTCAGGGTGCCCAGGTGGAGTTCTATTTGGCAAGACAACCTGCATCTATGTGACAGGTAGGGACTGCGTTCCTCCTATGCGCTGCCCGTTCTCAGCACTCGGTATGCAGGGGTGAACCAGAAGAAAGTCCTGTCTGAACACGAGAAGAAATTACTGTCTAGCCCGTGGGGCTCACAGCCTGGGTGGGAGGCAAGCCACCAGCATGACTTGTTTATGAGCATTCCACAGAAGCCACAGCCTGGTAGGCAGCCCTGAATCCCACGAGCGGCCTCAGGAGAGGACTCTGGGTTGGGAGATGCTTTGCAAAATTACAAACACGGGTGACTGTGGAGGGAGATGGGGTGGAGACAGGGAACCGCTTTGGGTGGCCAGGGCAGCCTCCCTGAGGAGGTGACAGTTTGAGGTCTGATGGAGGTAGAAGCAAAGGCCTGAGGCTTTAAGGAACAGGAAGAAGCCCATTTGAGAGGACCTGTGGGGAGGAGGCCAGGGAGGGCCAGGAAGGCCTCCGGGCACTGAGGCCTGGGAATTTCCTTCTGAGCCGCACAGGAGGCTCAGGTGCGGTTGAGTCAGGGGTGACATAACTTGCTGCTAGTGTTGGACCTGGGTGACGGGCACCAGGGTCCCCTGGACTATTCTCTTTCCTTCAGTTTGAAATTTTCCACTATAAAAAGCTTAAAATAGGCCAGGTGCGGTGGCTCACTACTGAAATCCCAGCACTTTAGGAGGTCAAGGCGAGAGGATGGCTTGAGCTAAGGGGTTCGAGACCAGCCTGGGCAACATAGTGAGACCTCCGTCTGTACAAAAATACAAAAACTAGCCGGTCCTGGTGGGCTAATTCTCCTGGGGTCAGGATGATTTCTGTGCAGGCTGCAGTGAGCCGTGACCGCGCCATTGCACTCCAGCCTGGGCGACAGAGGGAGACACCGTCTCAAAAAAAAAAAAAGGTTATAAAGTGCTGCTGCATTTTCATATTACGATTATTGACCGCTGAGGGTGACTGTGCTGTGAGGCCCGCCGGAGGCACCAGAAGGCACAAGCCTCCCACTGCCCCTTTCCCCGCCAAGTCCCGCAGGTCTCGCAGTCGCGGGCGCCCCCACCCCACCCCTGCCCAAGGCCAGGGTCGCAGTCCCACCGGGTGACGGCAGTCGCGCTCCGCGTGGGGCAGCGGCGAGCGGAAAGGGAAGCCGGGCGGGGCCAGGGGGTCAAACACGGGCGACAGTCCCGCCCAGCCCCGGACCTGCAGCGCGCACAAGCTCGGGCGCCCTCCGAGCGCCGCGCCCAAGCCCCGCCCCTCCCGCTTCCCGGGCTCCGATTGGCCGAGCCACCGCGGGGGCGTGTCCGGCGGAGCTGGCCGGGACCCGGGCGGAGCGGGCGGGGACCCGGGCTACTGCGGTGTGGACTCGAGGGCTGGGCGCGGGGCCGGCGCAGAAGGTGAGTCCCCCCACCGTCCCCCGGCCGGGCTGCGGGTCGCGGGGCAGGCGCATGAGGCGAGTCTCCCATCACCACCCCCGGACAAGCGAGCTCTCTCCCGCCGCGCGGTCTTGGCGGCTCCTGGGCCGGCGGGGCGCAGTGCCGCTGACTCCAGCCCAAGAAGAGGCCTGGGAAGGGCGCTCCTGGGCGGCTTGCGGGGTGAACCTGCAGGGAGCCTGGGGAGAGCGGTCAGGGGTCAGAGCGTCCGAGGCGGAATCCCCGGGGAAACGCGCAGATGTAAGCTGGTGGAGGTAAGGGGGTCGCGGGCCACCCGGGACTGCAGGGGTCTCAGCGCACCCGGTCGCTGGTGGTGTTTCCGGGATCCTGGCCTCGTGTGGCCGCCGGGACCTCTCTTCTCAGCCCCAGTCTGCAGTCTGGAGGCCTGGATGGGACCACTGTCCCCCTGGGCAGGGGCGCGGCGGGGGGCGCTGGGGTCCCAGTTCCTCTGGAGCAGTTGAGTTTGTGATTCTTGGTGGGAGCTGCCAAGGGAAACAGGGTCGGGCACTGCTCCCATCTCAGAGAGGAAACTATTGAGCAGGCCCGCAGAGAGAGGCGGCCTGGAATCTCCCTCCTTTCTCGTTTCCCCAACACCTGGCGGGCCGTGTAGGGCAGAGGTGTGGTCAGCCTCTTTGCAGGTGGGAAAGCAGAGAGGTTCCGAGCCACGCTGAAACTTGATCTCTGCAGCCCAAGGGGAGCACTCCTTTGGAATTTGAACACCTCTGGTATCTCCTGGCCAGAGAGGGTCAGAGGCCAAGGAGGTGGGGAGGTAGTCCCCTAATGCGCTGGGATCGTCCCTCTGCACAGCGTCGTTCCCACTGGAGTCTGTTGTGAGCTGAGATGACTCTCTGACTTCGGCCTGCGTCCCTGCACACGTCAGCCCTCCGGGCTGCCAAAACACAGGCCAGGCAGCCCTGGGTGAACTAGGGGACCTGCCCAACCCAGCCCACCCCGAGGAAGGAAGGGGGATTGGCCAGTGTGGCCTGGAGGGTGGGACAGCCCAGCCAAGCTGACGGACCTGCTCGGGATGGGGTGGGCATCAGGCATTTGGAGCGCAGGCAACACCCGCTGGACTCTGACTTCTGGAGTTCTGATTTGGTCTCTGGTTGAGTGCAGCTTTCCACAGCTCATGGTTATTTTGGAGCCGAGCTTCCTGATCACTCAGCAGGGACCTTGGGCAGTGACTTTGATGTGGTGGAAGTACCTTCCCCAAGGGGGCTTTTGTGAGGATTAAGTGAAATAATGAACGTAATATGCTTAACTTTGTGCCTGGTGAGCTCTAAGTGCTCAGTCGGCGGCACTTCCAGTTTTGTTTTGCTTTGTTTTTCATTACCGGTCTCTTCCCGGAGGAGGGCCTTCCAGGAATCACAGGGCTGGACAGAGCCCAGGGGCGGCCCCTCTGGAGGGAGAGGAGGCTTGGCGCCTGATGCTGCAGTCTCAATGCACATGGAGAAAACCTCACATCCTCACGCTGGCCTGGGAGCCTGCAGGATGTCTCCTGCCGGCACTGCAACCTCATCTGTCCTCCTTGCCCCATCGCTCCTTCCTCCGCAGCCTGACTTCACCCATTCCACCTTGAGCTGCTCCCCAGGACCGGAGCTCTGCCCCTAGATCTTTGCACAGCTGACTTCAGGCTGGAGTGAGTTCACTTCCTCCCAAGGCCTTCCTTCCTCGACCTCCACCGTCCTCCCAGGCCCTGCCCTGCTGGGCGCACCAGTCTTTTTCTTCACAGTGTTTAGCACTGGCTCTCAGAAAAGACCCTGTGAATGTACTTCTAGTCTCACTGGCAAGAAGTGTGCATTCCTGAAGGGCCTGGTCTCCAGCTCCCGGCTGTAACCTCGCACAGTGTCTGGCACACAGTGGGACTCATAAATATTTGGAAAATGAAATCAGGCAGGCATGGAAGCAGGGTGGGTCTGCGTGCGGCCCAGGTCCCTGCAGGGAAGGAGGAGCCCCGATCTGGAAGTCAAGGGAAAGTCCAAAGGGCTGAGCTGCCCCCAGAACTCTGATTCCCTTGGTGACCCTGGCCCTGCACGTCCCTGAGCAGGTTCTCCACCTGTAACCCGAGGCAGAGCAGTTACAGCCCCCACCCCATCCCCCACCGCTGCCCAGCTCCTACTTTCCAGGGCTACCATCTTGGGGCCCCACGCATCTCTCATTTATCCAAAATGCTGTGTCCGGAGTAGGAGAGAGGACAGGACGACTCCCGTCAGGACAGTACCTTGTGTGGCCTGTTCAGCGTGCCCTGCAGTGTGTGCATTATACATTTTACAATGTGGCATGGTGTAGATCAGGGGTTGGCTAACCTTTTCTCTCAAGAGCTGGTAGCAAATAGTTTAGGTTTTGCCAGCCATACAGCCTCTGTCCCACATGGCTGTGTTTGAATAAAACTGGATTTAGAAAAGCTGGCAGTGGCCCAGATTTGGTGTAGCTCTCCAGCCCCTGCTGTTGATCACGTATCACACCTGGGCTGCCACATACAGAACCTGGCTTCATGGCTTCTGCAGCCACACGGGGGCTCTCAGGATGTGGCTCCCAAGCCGCAGTGCTCACATGAGCACCTCCAGCCCCTGTGCAGGCAGCAGGATTGCTGAGCCTGAGAGCCCCCACCCCTCTGAACCCTCAAAGAAAGATGCAGGTCTGTTCGTTGCCTGGTCTCCCAGGCTTACTGAGCCTGCGCTGGGGTCACCCCTCTACCAGCAGCCCTGGGGCCACACTGGGGCCAATACAGGCACTCAGGGCCCAGAGGCTGCCAGGAAGCTCTGTCACCAACATCTTCCCGAGGCAGGCCGGCCCCAAATGAGTAAGGACAGGGCTCAGCTTTTTTCTCCCCTGTGCTAAGCAAGGGAGGTTCACTTCCCTAGTGAGAACAATTAAAAAAAAAAAAAGGATTCCCAGCTGGGCTCAGTGGCTCATACCTGCTATCCCAGCACTTTGGGAGGCTGAGGAGGGAGGATTGCTTGAGGCCAGGAGTTCAAGACCTATCTAAGCAACAGAGTGAACCCTCGCCTCTAAAACAAATTTAAAAATTAGCCAGGCATGTTGGTGCATGCCTGTGGTCCCAGCTACTCAGGAGGCTGAGGCGGGAGGCTTTCTTGAGCCCTGGAGTTCGAGGCTGCAGTTAGCCCTGATTGTGCCACTGTACTTCAGCCTGGGCAACAAAGCAAGACAATGTCTCAGAAAAAAAAAAAAAAGAAAGAAAGAAAAAAGCATTCCCCATCTAACTCAGGGCTGCTGTATTTGCCAAGAAAAACCTACAGGCAAGGTCAAACCAGGATGTGAAGTTGTGGTCATGTAGAGAAGGTGAGCATGCCGGGGCAGCTCCCAGGAGGATGTTGTCTGCCCCGCCCCTCGCCCAACCTGGGACCCTCTGCAGGTTCACAAAGGAGGGCACATGTGAGCCCCTGGCTTCCCCAGTCAGTGTGTGGGGTCAGCTCTCAGCCCAGCCCCTTTCATCGCCACCAGATGCCCCTCCTCGCCCTTCCTGGTCCACATTTTACCATCAGCAGCTGGACACTAGCCCTAAGAGCCTAGAGGGGGTCTGTGAGTCATGGGTGGGGGCAGAGCAGCAAAGGGGTCCCATGTGGAGTGTTCTGCACCCCCTCCAAGGGCTGCAGAGACAGCGTCATGGACTCTGCCCTCTGCTGGACGGGTCCAGGGTGGATTGGGCACCCCTGCCTGCAGCTCTCTTCTGCCTGGTGCTGCTCCTTCCCTTCCTCCATGCCATCCACTTGGCTGGCCCAGTCTCCAGAGCTCAACAAGCCCCCAGGGTTGCGGGAGGGCTACCTGCTCTCTGGGCACAAAGCCCACCTGCCTCAGCTACTGAATGTGGAGGCTTTGGTCTGCAGTCTCAGGTTTGGGTTTTCATCCCGTTTCACCAGTGGCCTGACTTCTCAGCACACAGCTGGGCTGGGGGCACACGTGGCCTTGCTTCTTCGGGGCTCCTGACATCCCCTGCAGGTGCCCAGGCCTGGATGCCATGTGGTCACCCTATCAGGCCCAGCCAGGCGTCCCATCATGAGACATGCTCAGCGGCCCCCAGCCCATGGAGCCCAGGACCCAATCCAGACACTGGCCTGTAATTCTTTTCCTTTTGAAGACCTTAAATTAGAAGAAGCAACACGTGTTCCCATTTCTTGAAATTGGCAGATATTCGGATTTCATCGTGTTTGCTGCTGCCTTTTTTTAAAAAAACTTTTTTAAAAATGAAACCTTATAGACGAAAGTGGAATCCAATCTGAGCCCTCCATTCCTGGTCACATCTATGTCCTCTCCCCAGGCTACTTACTCCTGACTTTCTCCTTCCTATCTTTTATTTTTACCATTCTAACCACTTTCAAGTGTACAGTTCAGTAGTGTTAAGTATATTCCCATTGTTGTGCAACAGATCTCCAAAACTTTTTTTTTCTGAGACGGAACTCACTGTGATGCCCAGGCTGGAGTGCAGTGGTGTGATCTTGGCTCACTGCAATCTCTACTTCCTAGGTTCAAGTGATTCTCCTGCCTCAGCCTCCTCAGTAGCAGGGATTGTAGGTACATACCACCATCCCTGGCTAATTTTTGTATTTTTAGTAGAGACAGGGTTTCACCATATTGGCCAGGCTGGTCTCGAACTCCTGACCTCAAGTGATCTGCCCGCCTTGGCCTCCCAAAATGCTGGGATTACAGGCATGAGCCACCACACCTGGCCTCTAAAACTTTTTAATCGTTTAAAACTGAAACTCCATACCCAGACAACCTCCGCATTCCCCTTCTGGCAGCCCCTGGCAACCACCATTCTATTTTCTGTCTCTATGAATTTGATCAGTATGTATATCTCATATAAGTTATTACAGTATTTGTCCTTTTGTGATGGGCCTGCTTTACTTAGCATGATGTCCTCAGGGCTCATTCGTGTTGTAGTGTGCGTCAGAATTACCTTCCTTTTCGAGGCTGAATAGTATTCCATGGTATGTATGTTCCACATTTTGTTCATCCATTCTCCCATTGACAGACGTTTGAGTTGCTTCCACCTCTTGGCTATTGTGAATGATGCTGATATGAACATGGGAAAGCAGATATTTATTTTAGTCCCTGCTTTCAGTCTGGATATATATCCAGAAGTGGCATTGCTGGATCATATGGTAGTTCTGTTTTTAACCTTTTTTTTTTTTTGAGACGGAGTCTCACTCTGTCGCCCAGGCTGGAGCACAGTGGCGCGATCTCGGCTCACTGCAAGCTCCGCCTGCTGGGTTCACGCCATTCTCCTGCCTCAGCCTCCCGAGTAGCTGGGACTACAGGCGCTCGCCACCACACCAGGCTAATTTTTTGTATTTTAAGAGACAGAGTTTCACCGTGTTGGCCAGGATGGTCTAGATCTCCTGACCTCATGATCCCCCCTCCTCGGCCTCCCAAAGTGCTGGGATTACAGGCGTGAGTATTTTTAACTTTTTAAGGAACTTCCATGCTGTTTTCCTTAGGGGCTGCACCAGTTCCTATTCTCATCAGCAGTGCACAGTTTCCAGTTTCTCCACACCCTCACCAACACTTGTTATTTATTTTTTGTTTTGTTTTTTTCCCCTCCTTTTTTTTTTTTTGAGATGGAATCTCACTCTGTCACACAGGCTGGAGTGCAATGGCGCCATCTTGGCTCACTGCAACCTCTGCTTCCTGGGTTCAAGCGATTCTCCTGCCTCCGCCTCCCGAGTAGCTGGAATTACAGGTGTGAGGCACTGTGTCCGGCCTTCCTCCTACCTATTTTTATTCATAGATATAGTTCTTGAACACTTTCAGAATGTTATGTAATTCCTGCATAAGTGGTGTCACTTTACATACAACATTCTACAGGCTGTGTTTTTCCACTCCACGTTTGTTGTTTGCCGTCAGACCACATTGATCTGTATCTCTCATTGCGTGAGTAGCCCCGGGTTTTTATCCTTTTCCCTGCTGGTAGGCATTTTGGTTGTCTCTGCTGGGCAGTCATTGCTCTTTGTGGAATGCAGTTCTGGTTTTGTCAGATTGTCCCTCAGCCAGGTACTCGGTGATCAGTCATGGTGGGACAGGTCAGTTCTGTCACTGGTAATCCCCTAGGTTTGCAGTATACAGCCAAGATCAGCAAGCTAAAAATAGCAGTTCTTACGTAAGGTAGTGTGGGCAGCCCTTCTCAGGACACTTGTGATCTGCAGGGGCAAGTGGAACGGGACTCGAGGGCCCAGCATCTTCTGTTCTGCAATGCATCCACCCTCACACTGGGGCCCCACTCTGGCTTTCTACTGGTGGCCAGGCTCAGAACTGCAGCTCAGTGACCCAGAAACACTATGGGTGTGATCAGCTCAGCCCCAGGCGTGCCGTGTGTACCGGAATGCATGTGTGCACGTGGTGGTGGTGGGGCCAGCTCTCACCTCTTCCTCTGTAGAGGTAAGAGCTGAGTCATGCATGGTGGGCCTTGGGACCTGCTTGGAACCGTGCCAAGCTACTTATGAAGCATCTAGTATGTGCTTGGCATGGCTCCAAGAATTGTGGACACAATGAACAAGAAGAAGCTCCTGTTCTCATGGAGCTAAGAACTGAGCAGGGAAGCAGAAAACACACAAGCAATGAATAGACAAGCAAACAGCAGGTCCTGTTAAATCCCACAAAGAAAAACGATTGAATCCCAGAGAAGTGGCCAGCAGACCTTTTCTACAAAGGGCCAGGTGGTGAATATTTTAGGCTTTGTCACCATGTAGTCCCTGTCACCAACACTCAACTCTCCCATTGCAGTGTGGAAGCCACCAGAGACAATAATAAATGAACGAATGTGGCTGTGTCCCAATAAATCTTTAACAAAAGCAGGCTGAGGGCCGGATTTGACTCTCAGACCTTGGATTACCAATGCTTGTCCTGGGTGTGGGAAGAGGCTGCCTGAGCTGGGGTTGTCAGGGAGAACCCTTTCAAAAAGGAACTGAGAACCCGTTGCAGGAAGGAGCTGACCCTGGGACAGCCTGTCTCAGGTAGGACACAATGGCACCTTGCCACCGATATGGTGGCGGAGTTATGTGCTGAGAAATGGGCAGGCTAGATTTGAGAGGTAAAGATGATGAGATTTACTCATGGCTTGAATATTGGAGGTACAGGAAGGGGGAGATTCAAGGATGTGTCCTAGGTCTGGGGTTTGAACTCCTGGATGAATGGTGGTGTCACTGAAGGAGAGGAAGAGGTGCAGGTCTGCGGAGGTTTGTTGTTGGATGTGTTGAGTTTGAGGAGCTTATTAGACAAGCAGGTGAACATCTATGCTGACAGCCCTCCTAGAGCTTGGAGAGGCCAAGACTGGAGGCTTGGAATGGGGAATCTATGGCATTTATGGGGTCTTCAAGGTCGTGAGTCTGGTGGGCTGGTGTGTGTGTGGACCAAGCAGGGGGCGCCCGGCATGAGCTCTGAGTTAGTGCTTAGTGCTTAGGGCACCAACAGAGGGGCCTGTGTGGCCTCACACTCCACTCGGGACGGCAGCATAGTGCGAGCTCCAGGGCCCCTGCCTCCTAGCATCGCCTCAGTTCCCCTCCTGTAAAGTGGGGATTCTGCCTTCTGGGGTTGGGTGGGAACTAAATGAGATAGTCACGCTTGGCTGACAGGAAGCACTCGGCGCCTGTGCTTGTGATGGTGGTGGTGACTGCTGCACTTCCTGGGTGGTTGCGTGGGTTGCAGGGCCTGTGACAGCTTGGTTTGGTGGATGGCAGAGTCAGGGTTGGGTTGGGGGTAGAGACACCCAGGTCTCCTGGCACAGACCGTTCTGATGTCCCGTTGAGGCCTGTTCCGCCCTGTTTTTCAAGGCTCCCCAGCGGGGCTGAACCTCTGCCCTCTGCTGCCCACAGTAGTAGCCGGCTCAGTAGCACTTTTTTTTTTTAAGAGATAGAATCCACTCAGTCACCTAGCTAGAGTGTAGTGGCATGATCATAGCTCACTGTAGCCTCAAACTCCTGGGCTCGAGCCTCCTCTTGCCTCAGCCTTCCAAAACGCTGGAACCACAGGCATGAACCGCTGCACCTGGCCTAAGTAGCACACTTTATCACTGCCTTCCCATCCCTGTCTGGCCTCCACATCCCCTTTACTGGGAAATCCCCCTTCCCTCCCCGTAGTTCCCTGTACTCCCGTCTAAGGGTCAGCTTCCGAGGTGATGCTTCTCAGTGCTGGGCAGGCCTGCGGGTTACTGTGCGTAGTCAGTGGGCTGCCTGGCATGGTGGGTTAGTCAGTTGGGGGTGGGCAGCGTGGTTCTGACACCCCCATGCCTGAGCCTGGACATACTCCTTGTCTGTCTCCTCCTGCAGCCGCCAGCTGGAGACGATGGTGGACCACTTGGCCAACACGGAGATCAACAGCCAGCGCATCGCGGCAGTGGAGAGCTGCTTCGGGGCCTCGGGGCAGCCGCTGGCGCTGCCAGGCCGAGTGCTGCTGGGCGAGGGCGTGCTGACCAAAGAGTGCCGCAAGAAGGCCAAGCCGCGCATCTTCTTCCTCTTTAACGACATCCTGGTGTATGGCAGCATCGTGCTCAACAAGCGCAAGTACCGCAGCCAGCACATCATCCCCCTGGAGGAGGTCACACTGGAGCTGTTGCCGGAGACGCTGCAGGCCAAGAACCGCTGGATGATCAAGACGGCCAAGAAGTCCTTTGTGGTGTCGGCCGCCTCCGCTACGGAGCGCCAGGAATGGATTAGCCACATCGAGGAGTGCGTGCGGCGGCAACTGAGGGCCACGGGCCGCCCGCCCAGCACGGAGCACGCGGCACCCTGGATCCCCGACAAGGCCACGGACATCTGCATGCGCTGCACGCAGACGCGCTTCTCTGCCCTCACGAGGCGCCACCACTGCCGCAAGTGCGGCTTCGTGGTCTGCGCTGAGTGCTCGCGCCAGCGCTTCCTGCTCCCGCGCCTGTCCCCCAAGCCCGTGCGCGTCTGCAGCCTCTGCTACCGCGAACTGGCCGCCCAGCAGCGGCAGGAGGAGGCGGAGGAGCAGGGCGCGGGGTCCCCAGGGCAGCCAGCCCACCTGGCCCGGCCCATCTGCGGAGCGTCCAGTGGAGATGACGATGACTCCGACGAGGACAAGGAGGGCAGCAGGGACGGCGACTGGCCCAGCAGCGTGGAGTTCTACGCCTCGGGGGTGGCCTGGTCTGCCTTCCACAGCTGACCCCCGGCCTGCAGAACATCTGTCCCCAAGCCAGCTCCACTGCCCAGGCCCCCAAGAGGGCAGCTCCAGAAGCTGCCCAGGGCTCCGGGACCCCATCCCATGGTGGCAGGTGCAGCGGTGGGGAGTGGCTCTTTCTGGACTCCCAGTGCCTTTTTGCTGGACACTGTGTCCTTATGGCTTCACTGCAGGTAATGCCTTTCCCTTCAGGAAGCCCCAGAACACCCACAGGTCTTGGTAACAAACGCCACCTTACACTCTGCAGGCTGCAGCGGCAGCTCCAGATGGCCTCCTGAGCTGGACGACCCCAGGTCTCCAGACATCTAGGGACCAGAGCAGGTTTGGGAACACAGAGGGAAGACAGGATGGGAGTGTAGCCACAGAACCCACCTGCACCCTGACAGGCACACCCCACTGAAGAGCCTGAGTCCCAGGAGGCCTCCTGGAAGCCCAGGACTGCCCACCCACCACGCTGGTGCCCACCGCCTGGCCAGCCAAGCCCTGCCGATCAGACATGTGGGCTCCCCGAAGCCCAGCCAGAGACTGCCGTGCTGTGGGTGCCACCAGGCCCAGGGACTGCAGCCTGAGCTCCCCGAGGCCCAGGGCAGCCGGGTGAGGACTCTGTCCTGTGTCACCTCTCTCCAGGTGTCCAGCTGTCTCATGCCTTTTTGTCCTGTCCTCAGCTCTCCGTGTGGTCAGCGAAACCATTGTTTTCTGTTAGGACTCAGTTGCAAGAACAGAAACCCTGCCCCCACTTAATAATAAAAAAGAAAGTTTATTGATGGGTGGTTGCAAAACAAACCCAGGAGTGTCCTTGCTTCAGACATGGCTCTGTCCATGGTTGAAAATGTGCTAGGTGGCAAAAATCTACCACTGTCCCCCACACTGGGAGTTCTTGTGTATGCTGGCTGCCTGAAGGAGACAGACGCTCATGCTGTGCCTTGGCTGGGCTCCCCCAGGACACAGGTCTGTCCGGGTGCCATGACCGTGGCCTGATGCCTGCTGCCCTATTCACTTTGGTGTGGGCGATCTCAGTGGATGGAACTGAGGAAACAAATAGCCATTTGTGTGGCTCTGCCGGGCCTCCCAGGCTGAGAGCTTCCCCGTGCAGTCCTGCCTGGCCCTGGGGCTGGTGCTATGGAGAGGGAAACTGGGCCCCAGGTACACCAGCCTTTCTCAGAGTGAGTGTGCATTGGGCCTGGGGCTCGAGGTCAGCCTCCCAACGCCTGGCCCCATGCTGGCCATGGAACTGGGGATCCTTTAACAGTGTCCCACGAGTGCTTCTGCACTAGTCTTTCCCAGCGCCTCAGCCTTGGCAGGACTGGGGCATGGACTGGGGTTGCTGTCAGCTAGAAGTGGTGACCGTGGGGCTGGGAGTTCCCTGCCCACGCAGTACAGCATCTGAAACCCCACTGACAGGGCCTCTCCCTGGCCTAGCACCATCCTCCTGGGGCCAGTTCTCAGAGGTTCACGTGCAGACAGAACCCTGGAGGGTGCAGTTCGAGTGCAGATTCTGATTCGGCAGGTCGAAGCCCAGCTCCCAGGGCCTGCCGCTACCACCACCCACAGACCACCCTTGAGGTGACAAGGCCTGCTGGTGGCCTGTGGGCACCCTGTGAGGGAGGCGGGAGGGTCAGTATTTTTGTTTGTTTGTTTTTGAGACAGAGTCTCACTCTGTTGCCCAGGCTGGAGTGCAGTAATGCGATCTTGGCTCACTGCAACCTTCACCTCCCGAGTTCAAGCAATTCTCCTGCCTCACCCCTGCCAAGTAGCTGGGATTACAGGTGCCCGCCACCACACCTGGCTAATTTTTGTATTTTTAGTAGAGACGAGTTTTCACCATGTTGGCCAGGCTGGTCTGGAACTCCTGACCTCACGTGATCCGCCTGCCTTGGCCTCCCAAAGTGCTGGGATTACAAGCGTGAGCCACCACACCCGGCCAAGGGGTCAGTATCAAAGCGCCTTCGACCTGCCATGCTTGGCAGAATGACCAGTGTGGGAGGCCCACTGGCCTTCCAGGAAGGACCTATTTGTTTACAGTCCCTTTCTCTCCCTTGGCCTCCCTGAACCACACAAACTGGTTCAGGCTGGTTCTGCCTGGGCAGAGGGCACAGGGTGAGACAGGTCACGGAGCTGGGGGTGACTTCCTGGACAGATCTAGTGCCCTCTCCAAAACCCAGCCCGGGCAGCCCTGTCCCTGCACCCTGGGACTGAAGCCAGGGCAGGGTGTGTTGGCTGCCACCGCTGGCCTCTTCTCACAGCACACTCCCCTGCCTGAAAACCCTCAGAGCCTGAAAGGCAGCGTTCACTAAGATAGGAGAGGGGACCACGTGCAGCTGAGCCCGGCCACCACCAGCCTCCTCTACAGCTTCCTGCCAAGGGGGTCCATGCACAGGACCCCAGGCTGACTGAGTGCAGTGTCGTCCTCTCCAGGTCATGGCAGGCAGCGCCCTGGGGTCTGGCTGAGTAGGTGATTCTCATCCCTTAGCCCAGGACTCAGGTCTGTGTCCCTCTCCCCTGCAGGGCTGGAACAGAACTGCTGCTGCCCCAAGTCCCAAGGTGTTAGGGCCTGTAAGGGCCCACGGCTTGGGGTGGCCCAGGACCTTCGCAGAGCCTTCACACCTGCGGTCTTGCTCCCGCACCAGCTGGGCCATGCCAGCTGCTGGGGACACCGCTGGGAGTGAGACAAACAAGGCCCGCACAGCATGGTGGGGGAGACACAGGTGCAGAAGCCAGGGTGGAGGGTGCTATGATGGGGACGGGCTGAGAATGAGTGAGCCACGCCTGCCTGGTGGGGAGAGGACATTCCAGCAGAGGGAACAGTCAGTACAAAGGCAGGAAAGGGACCCCTGTGACCTGAGCTGCGTGGCTGGAGCTGGGCCCCCAGAGGCACGGGGCAGCCACCTCGGGTGCCCCAGAGCTGTCGGAGCCTTCTGCACGCAGCAAGGCTGATCTCGGCTTTTGAGAATTTGTCCTGACTGCTGTGCATGGGTGGCTGGTGGGAGAGGGGGTCTGGCAGCCATGGAGGCCGGCAGCTGTCCGCTTCCCTGGGATCCCCAAGGGCGGACCTGCGCTTCACTGAGGCCACATCTGCCTCCGATTTTGGCTCTGGCTGTGGACTGGAAGCCTTAGCTGCCCTCCTTCCCATCCTCAGCTCCTTCCAAGGGGCAGGCCCCCTCCCCTGTTCTGCTGAGAAGTTTTTTGTTTGTTTGTTTGTTTTTTTGAAACAGAGTCTTGCTCTGTCGCCCAGGCTGGAGTACAGTGGCACAATCACGGCTCACTGCAGCCTCGACCTCCTAGGCTCAAGCCATCCTCCCACCTCAGCCTCCCAAGTAGCTGGGACCACAGGCACACCCAATGGCACCCAGCTAATTTCTTATTTATTTATTTATTTATTTATTGAGACAGGATTTCCCTATGTTGCCCAGGCTGGTCTCGAACTTCTGGGCTCAAGCAATCCTCCCACTTCAGCCTCCCAAAGTGCTGGGATTATAGGTGGGAGCCACCACACACCCAGCCTATGCTGAGACATCCAACAGGCACTGAGTGTCAGCTTCCAGGCTGACAGCCGAGGGGGCGCCAGGAAGCAGAATGACCCCCAGGACTGCATGGTGTTTGGGGCCAGTGTGAGTTTGAATGAATCGGGGTCCCTGGCCACTGAGGCACAGAGGGGAGTATGCTGGGAGAGAGCAGAGCCACCCAAAATGGAAGATGTGGGCCTGGCCAGTGGGCCCGGGAAGGGAAGGTGCTGCCCTGGAGGCCCTGTCTCCAACTCCTATCAGGTTTATTTTCCACCAGAGATGGCCTCCTGGGCCAGGCTCGGGTCGACAGGTGAAGCTAGGCCAGCTGCCCAGGCAGTCCCCGGAGAGGGCCCTGCCTCAAGGAGCAAGCACGGAAGGGGAAGGCCAGCCTGTAGAGCTTGCAGCCGTCTCTCCTGCTTCGCCACAGCACCGCTGCCAGTCCCCTTCTTGGGTGGGGAAGCTCCTTGGAGGCTCTGGAAGTTGTCTTCAGTCCCAGCCATGCAGCTGAGCTTTGCTCATTGCCTGCACTCCGCCCCCACGCCTGGGAAGGTCAGGAGGCCTCGGGCCGAGGCCTCTGCTGTTTGCAGATGCTCCCTTTCCCCAGAGCTGAGCCTGAGGTCTGGCAGGAGCACGGGGCTGCTGGGCCAGGGTCCAGCCTCACGCTCCTGCCTGGGGCTTTGCTTGCAAGGCCTGGCAAGGACACGGGAACCAACTGTCCTGCCAGCCGAGTGCTGCTGTCCACCTCTCAAATCTTCCTCCCAGCTGTGCCTGGACTCCATGTCCCTGCCAGAAGCCGGTCCTTCGCACAGGCAGCATGGGATTCCTGGGAGGCGCCTGCCTCGTCCCCTGCCTCTTCCTAGGAGGTGCAGAGGGGTGAGGAGAGGGTCCGAGAACAGGCCCATGCATTTGAGGGGCATCAGAACCCCACCACTCCACCCACAGGGGCAGGCCAGAACCGCTCCTGCAGGAATCAGCCCAGAGCAGTGCAGCTCAAGATGGCAAGTACAGTCACAGCTGTGACCCCAGGGCTCTTTGGGATTGATGACAGCCCCTTTATTTATTATTATTTTTTTTATTTTTTTGAGACAGAATCTTGCTCTTGTCGCCTAGGCTGGAGTGCAGTGGTGCGATCTTGGCTCACTGCAATCTCTGCCTCCCGGGTTCTAAGCGATTCTTCTGCCTCAGACTGCCGAGTAGCTGGGATTACAGGTGCGTGCCACTACGCCCGGCTAATTTTTGTATTTTTAGTAGAGGTGGGGTTTCACCATGTTGGCCAGGCTGGTTTCGAACTCCTGACCTCAGGTGATCCACCCAACTCAGCCTCCCAAAGTGCTGAGATGGCAGGCGTGAACCACCGCACCCAGCCAGCTCTCCCTTTAGAGCTCTGCAGGATGCAGTGTTCCCACGGGACCCAGAGGCTGCAGACACTAAGGAGACTTTCACAAAGGTCAAGTAGCCCCTACCTGTGGGCTTTGGTGGTTGGGATTTTTCCATGCCAAGTTTTCTTAAAGATGGGCCCGCCATCATGTATGCTGGTAACATTGGGGTGTTGCCTGCCAGAGGCCAGGGAGCCAGGCGGGGGGTTCACAGGTCCCCAAGAATTTTGTCCCTCCTTGATGATGATGGGGTGCAGGTGCTGATGGTGGCAGCGACTGCCACTTACTGAGGCCCACCCATGCGCTGGTTCCAAGGAGGCAGAGACAGGTCACGTGAGGCCATCCTAAGGCTAAAGGAGATATGTCATGAGCCCTGAGAGAGGGATAGACAAAGCCAGAGAAAGGAACTCCCAAAACAGCTGGGTGGGCTTCCTGGAGGAGGCGGTGTTTGGTTGAGCCTCAGAGGATGGTAGGACTTTATCAGAGGATTGTAGTCTCCACGAGGACTGGGACTCTGGGCCTTTTTGGTAACTGTCTTTTCCTGTCCTTGGCACTAAACATATGTTGAATGAATAAATGAGTCAGGTAGAAAATGGGGCTGGGGGCATCGGGGTAGAGAGGATGATAATGAAAGCAACTGAGCTTCACCCTGGAGCCTCCAGGCCAGGCTGTGGATGGGAACTGGTGTTCCTGGTGTATTTCTACAGGAGCAGGGCCAGCAGGAGGGCTCAGCCTGGCCCAGGGTTTAGGGAACAGTCCCCCTCCAAGACGCTAAATGTGAGTGGCCTTCTCAGGTGGGGACAGGAATGCCCACCCCACCCCACCCAAGTAGCGCTTTCTGGAGCTGGGTCTGACTTGATCACAGGCCGGGCTCCAGGCTTCCATGGGGCTGTCGTCCAGGCTGGCACCAGAGGGTTTCCGCTGGCCTGGCCACTTCCCTGCCCAGCCTGTTCTTTGAACAAGGCCAGAAAGAGGCCTAGGAGAAGGCAAAGCCGCTCCTGGGCTCAGCCCCTGGGATGGGGCCTGGAGGTGACTCGAAGGCTGACCCAGTTCCCAGCCAGGATCCGCTGCCACCCGGGCCACACGCGCAAACCAAGGCAACCACTTCCGCTGGGGCCGTCTCTGAGGAGATGTGCAGGAAGTGAACTTCCTGGGGCTGAGGGCAGGGGAGAGGCCGCCTCCTAACACCTCATGCCCGCAGGCCCAGGGCTGCCCCTCAGCCCTTGCTGGCTGGGAGAAGGAGGGTCCTCTGCCTCTGTCTGCATCTAGGCTCTTCACCTGGGAGGCGCCCACACCGTCCATGCCCGTGCTCTGCCTCTGCCCTCAGCAGACTTGATGGAACCGGTGCCCAGGAGCAAAACCTCAGGCAACGCAGGGGCCCAGAGTGGGCAGAGGGAGGGGTCTGCCTCGACGGCCCAGCAGATCTGGGCTCCGGCCTGTCCTGGGCTGCTTGCTGACCCCATACCCACCATTTCCCCAGTCTGCCTGTGAACTTTGGCCCGGCCCTTCCTGTGAACCTGGCACAGAAGCCACCTCCTCTCTGAAGCCTTCCTGGCTTGCCCCAGGTAGTGTGGATCACCCATCTGTGCCCCCAGAGGCCCGGTGGCCCCTGCTCCAGCTCTCCCACCTCCACTCTCTACAAGGAGCCTCAGGCAGCCTGTGCCCCCCAAACCTGGCCTTGGCATCTGAGCTCCTTGAAAGCACAGGTGTTTCTCATTTGTTTTTGGCCTCCATGGCCCCCAACCCATGGTCCTGCACCGCTGGGCATCGCACAGGTGCTTCCCTTGCAAGGAGGAATTGTCAACTTCCCTAGCTCCTGGAGGACACTGGGAAGATGTCACAGGGATCTCAAAGCCCATGTGTCCCAAAATGACAGCATTGGCTTTGCCCAACCCGCTTGTCCTGCCTCTGCCAACACCTACACCTGGGCAACCCAGCCAAACCCTAAGGTGTCTCTCGACCCTTTCTTGCTCCTTCCACCTCCTCCCCTACGCCTTCCAGGGCCCCAGGCCCAGAATGGAGGCATCTGTGGTGCATTCAGGCACCTGAAGGAGTAGCCCTGCAGGAGTAGCTCAGGCGAGGCCACAGAGGCAGGTGTGGGCCAGTGTAGAAGGGAGGACAGGGAGTGACCCCAGGGAGACTCCAGCCTCCTCTCCATCATCCCCTTTGGCGTCAGGGCTGGAAACTGGGCCCAGAGGGTGGGCGCACCCTGCACTTGTGTGTCAGGGTCGGGCCAGGAGCAGAGCTGCGGCCAGCTGTGTGGCCTCTGGCCTCCCAAGCCCCCTCTCCTGCTGGCTTCCATCACCACCACCAAGTCCAGCTCCGAATGGAATGTTCCAATGCTCAGAGCAGAGCAGCAGGCAGGGAAGGAATGGGGATGTGGGCAGGCAGAGCCAGACATTTCTGGGCAACAACAAGGGGAAATTTCAATCCTTGGAGCATCAGCTCAGGGTTCCTGCCAGACATTCTGACCCTGAAACACAGGCTTTCTGGAGAAGAGGGCCTGCCCACTGTGGTCCCAGGCTGGGAGGCAGAGAGCCTAGGGCCTGGGGCTGGTCATCTGGGCTGCCCAGAAGTGCCCGAGGCAGTCCCTGTCTCCCGCAGCAGCACAGCTACGCCCATCATGCTTCCTCTAGCTGCCCACGGCAGCACCTGGGCTATGGGGACCTGGGCTCCGGGATTCTGGAGCAGCACACTGGGACACTTCGTACAGTTTGCAAATTACTAATACCCTTAAAATACCAAAATGCCTTTGGATTTCAGCAGCCACCAGACCTCCTGGGGGCCCCCACCATGAAGCAGAGGCCTTTGAACCTCGCCTGCCCCAGCCATAACCACTTGCTGGCACAACCCAATCCCTGAGGGTTTCTTTCCCCCACGCCAGAGCTGGAGTTGGTACAGAGAGAGCAAGAGTCAAAGCACAACTGCTCAGCAAGTTTTGGGGGTCGGGGGCGGGAGGGGGGACTGGGCTTCTAACAAGACCGTTTCGTGGGGGCCGGGGGTGCTGGTCATACACCCCGTGGCAGGCCACAGGCTCCCCAAGCCCCCTCTATTCTGCGTTCATGCTGTTTCTGCACCTTGAAACCCGGCACATTCATAGCTCCATGCCCACGTGTGGCTGGGAGTGAGCTCCCAGGGTGGCAGCTGCCAGTGGCACAGCACTTCTCCACCCGGAACCTCCTCTTCCTCACCTTCTGCTGCACAGCCTGATACGGCTGACCCCACCCATATCCTGGCTCTAGAAATGGGCACAGGACAGGGGTCTAAGCAGCCAGTGCACCCATCCCCCGACTATAGTCTTTGAGGGTCAAAAGCCTCTACTCCCACTGTGCAGAGGGAGGGGTGGTCCCTGGAGCACACCAGCAGGTGAGTCACGGTGCAGGGCTCTCAGGAGAGTCCAGGGAAAGGGATGGAGGTGAGGATCTTGGGGTCTAGATTCATTCCCAGAATGAGCCTGTCCGTAGTTGGGGAGCACTGCACGGTTTTAAATCAGTTACAGAGAAAACCACCCAGCAATGAGCAACTCCAAGATGTGAAGGGGAGCATTCAGTAGCACAATGGACACAGTGACTGGCGCCTTTGTGCAAACCCAAAACAATGGACTCTCACTCAGCAGGTCTCCCCCTCACGGCTGATGAACATGAGTCAAAGCCGGAGGAGGCAACAGAATTCAGAGACAAACCTCAACTTAGAGGACACTGATGCGGAAGAACCCAGCGGCTTCCAGGGCTTACTCTGTTAAAGCGCCCGTGTCCCTACTACTAGGTCCAAGGTATTTCTGCATATTGGTGTCCTCTCCAAAGGTCAAGGAGCAAGCGGTTAGGGAAATCAGTAAGTCCTCAAAGGAGTACTGGGAGAAATTAGCATGGGGGCCGGACACACAGTTCAGAGAGTGGGGACAGCCAGCCATGTGGCGATGGGTCATCCCTGCCTTGGGACTTTTGTTTTCTTTTCTTTTTGTTTTGTTTTGAGACAGGGTCTCGCTCTGTCACCCAGGCTGGAGTGTAGTGGTATGATCACAGCTCACTGCAGCCTCGACCTCCTGGGCTCAAGCGATCCTCCCAAGTAGCTGGGACTACAGGTGTGCACCACCATGCCTGGCTAACTTTTTAATTTTTGGAAAGCTTGGGTCTTGCTCTTGCCCAGGCTGGCTTCAAGCCATCCTCCCACCTCAGCTTCCCAAAATGTTGGCAGTACAGCCTTTTCTTTCTTTTTTAAATCAAGGTAAAACCTACACCCAGTAAAGTGCACAGATCTTAAGTGTGCACCTCAGTGAGATTTTGCACAAACACGTAAGTGTGTAAGGCACCATCCAGATCTCCAGCAGTCCCAGAAGTCTCCCTCTAGCCCGTCCCCATGGTACCTGCCTCCAAAGGTTACTTGGTGTTCTGATTTCTATCACAAGTTTTTCCTGGTGTTTTGTTTTGTTTTGTTTTATTTTGTTTAGAGACAAGGTCTTGTCACCCAGGCTGGAGTGCAGTGGTGCAGTCTCGGCTCATTGTAGCCTCCCAGGCTCAAGCGATCCTCCCTACTCCTCCTGAGTAGCTGGGACTACAGGCATGTGCTACCATGCCTGGCTAACTTTTTTTCTAAAGATGAGATTTCAGTTTGTTGTCCAGGCTGGTCTCAAACTTCTGGCCTCAAGTGATCCTTCTGCCTTGGCCTCCCAAAGTGCTGGGATTACAGATGTGCACCACCATGCCTGGTCCTGTTTTTTTTGTTGTTGTTGTTTTTTGTTTTGTTTGTTTTTTTTTTTTTGAGATGAAGTTTCACTCTCGTTGCCAAGGCTGGAGTGCAATGGCGCTATCTTAGCTCATCACAACCTCCGCCTCCCAAGTTCAAGTGATTCTCCTGCCTCAGCCTCCTGAGTCCACACCTGGCTAATTTTGTATTTTTAGTAGAGACTGGATTTCTCCATGTTGGTCAGGCTGGTCTTGAACTCCCGACCTCAGGTGCTCCACCTGCCTCAGCCTCCCAAAGTTCTGGGATTACAGGCATGAGCCACCGCGCCCGGCAACCTGGCCCTGTTTTTAAAAAACGTCATATAAATAGAATCACACTGTGTGCATTGTGCTGACTTCTTTTTTTTTGTGTTTTTTTTTTTTTAGATGGAGTTTTACTTTTGTTGCTCAGGCTGGAGTGCAGTGGCACGATCTCGGCTCACTGCAACCTCTGCCTCCCGGGTTCAAGCAATTCTCCTGCCTTAGCCTCCCGAGTAGCTGGGACTACAGGCATGTGCCACCACACCTGGCTAATTTTTGTATTTTTAGTAGAGACGGGGTTTTACCGTGTTGTCCAGGCTGGTCTCAAACTCCTGACCTCATGTGATCCACCTGCCTCAGCCTCCCAAAATGCTGGGAGTACAGGCGTGAGCCACCTTGCCCAGCTATGCTGACTTCTTTTGCTTAAACTTATGCCTGTGAGATTCCTCCATATTGTTGTGGGCATCTGGCATTTGTTCTTTTGCATCGTGGTAAAGTATCCTGTTTTATGAACCTTCCACAGTTTCTTACCCACGCACTGTTGATGGACATCCAGGTGGTTTCCAGTTTGGGGTTGTTATGAATAAAGCTGCTACAGGCATTTCTGTAGATGTCTTTTGGTGGACAGAAACACTAGGTACATAACTAGGAGTGGAACTGGCCCACCGGGTATATGCATATCTGATTGAGTAGAGGCCGCCAGTTTTCTGTAGTAGTTACATGAATCTGCACTCCACTGGTGTGTATGAGGGTTCCAGTTGCTCCACGCCCTCACCAGCACTTGGTGTTTTCAGTCCTTTCACTGTGATCATTCTGGTGGGTTACTTGGAATACAGGTCTCAGACACTGTCCTGGAATCGGAGCTCGCCTCACCAGTTTCATGGGGTCGGTCTGGGGACGGGAGGGGCAGCTGTTCCTCCAGCATTCAGGCAGAGCGGGTGCCTGAGACTGACATCGTGTGGGTGTTAGGCCCAGTTCCAAACCAAAGAGGCAGTCAGCATATTTATGGCATGCACAGGTTGGCATTGGTGCAAAAAATGAAAGAGGAGAAAACTGCCCGCCAGCTTTTAAATATTTTATTTATTCATTCAGCAAATATTTGAGTACCTACAAGCACTGGGGCTACAATGGTAAATAAGACAAAAATCTCTCCCCTCTGGGAGTCCACTCTAGTGAAGGGAGACAGACAGTAACTACAACTGAAAGTGTGTTAGAGTGGCCGGGCACGGTGGCTCAGGCCTGTAATCCCAGCACTTTGGAGGCCGAGGTGGGTGGATCACGAGGTCAGGAGTTCGAGACCAGCCTGACCAACATGGTGAAACCCTGTCTCTACTAAAAATACAAAAATTAGTTGGGTGTGGTGGTGCATGTCTGTAATACCAGCTACTCGGGAGGCTGAGGCAGGAGAATTGCTTGAACCTGGGAGGCGGAGGTTGCATTGAGCCAAGATCGCACCACTGCACTCCAGCCTGGGCGATAAAGCGAGATTCCATCACAAAAAAAAAAAAAAAAAATGTGTTAGAGTCTCTCATATCTGTGGCATCTGCATCTTTTCCAGCACTAGGAAGATTCCCAGCAAAGAGGGGCCACACTGTTTGGAAATACACGTGCCTGCCCTTTTTAGTTCAGCTCTGCTGAGGGGCTTGTGTGTTTGCTGAAAAGATTATCTCAACATTCTTCCCCTTGCTATAGATTGTCTCATTTGGGGAAAAAAACATATAATAGAGTGTATTAGCGAGTAGTAAGTGCTATGGGTAATGACAGAGAAGGGAAGAGACGGTGAGGGCTGGGTGGCTACGGTTTCAGATGGAGCAGCCAGACATGGCATCACTGGAAAGGTGAAATTGAGTCAAGACCTAAAGGAAGGGAGGCAGAGGGCTATGCAGCTACTTGGGAGAAGAATATTCCAGACAGAGGGAGGAGCAGCTGCAAATGTCCTGGGGTAGGAACCTCCTGAGCCTGGAGGGGCCTAGAGCAGTGAATGAGGCGGAGGGTGCCAAGATGACTGCAGAGAGGTGAGGGGGAGAGGAGATGGCGGAGGGCCTGGGATATGCCAGGAGCCACAGCGTGTGGCACACACAGTCTTACTTAGCTTTTTTTTTTTTTAGACAGGGGCTTGCTCTGTCACCCAGGCTGAAGTGGAGTGCAGTGGTGCCATCATAGCTCACTGTAGCCTCAACCTCCTCGGCTCAAGCAATCCTCCCGCCTCAGCCTCTAGAGTAGCTGGGACTACAGGTGCACCACCATGCCCGGCTAATTTATTTTTTATTTTTTTGGAGAGGTCTGGCTATGTTGCACAGGTGGGTCTAGAACTCCCAGGCTCAAGCGATCCTCCTGCCTTGGCCTCCCAAGTAGCTGGGACTACAGGTGCACCACCATGCCCGGCTAATTTATTTTTTATTTTTTTGTAGAGGTCTAGCTGTGTTGCCCAGGTGGGTCTAGAACTCCTGGGCTCAAGCGATCCTTCTGCCTTGGCCTCCCAAAGTGCTGGGATTACAGCTGTGAGCCACCATGCTGGGCAGGAACTTTGTTTTTTAATGACAAGGTGGAGATTCCTACTAGATATGGAGAGGCTGAGTGGGCCAGAGGAAAATCCAGGCTGCCCAAACACATTTGGGAGTCACCAGTGAGTAGGCAAGTCAGGGGCTGGGTGAGTGTGGATAGGAAGAGAAGGCTCCAAGAAATGAGCCCTGGGACACCCCAGGGTCTGCAGGTCAGCTATCGGAGGTCGGAGCAGCAGAGGAGATGGAGAAGGAGCAGCCAGTCCCGCTGCAAGGGGAAGGCCAGGAGAGCCTGGGGCCAGAGGCGCAGCCAGGAGGGAGGGACCAAGGAAGGGGAGGACTGGAAACTGACCTCGGGCTTAGGAACGTGGAGGTCAGTGGTGCCCTTGATGAAGGATCTTGGTGGGGTGGTGGGAGCAGATGCCTGCGGGAAAGGAACGAGAGGACGGAAGAGACAGATTAGCAGCGGCAAGCACAGAAACTCACCGGAGGAATGCTGATGCAAAGGGAGAGAGAAGTGGAACCAAAGCGAGTTTGGGGTTTTGAAAAAATAGCATTTTTGAGATATTGTTCACATCCCATAAGATCCGCCCCCTCTTTGGAGTATCCAACTCAGTGGTTTTTAGTAGTCACAAGATTGTGCAGCCATCACCACTATCCAATTTCAGAACAGTTTCATCACCCCACAGAGAAACCCTACACCCATGACGAGTCACTACCCGTTCCTCCCACCTCCCAGCCCCTGGCAACGGCGAACCTACTTTCCACCTCTGTGGATTTGCCTTTTCTGCACATTTCATGTAAATGGAATTATACAATACATGGTCTTTTGTGACTAGTTTCTTTCACTCGGTATAATTTTTTTTTTTTTTTTTGATGGAGTCTCACTGTGTTACCCAGGCTGCAGTACAGTGGCACGATCTCGGCTGACAGCAACCTCTACCTCCTGGGTTCAAGTGATTCTTCTGCCTCAGCCTCCCGAGGAGCTGGGATTACAGGCATGCGTCACCACGCCCAGCTAATTTTTGTATTTTTAGCAGAGACAGAGTTTCACCATGTTGCCCAGGCTGGTCTCGAACTCCTGACCTCAAGTGATTCACCCGCCTCGGTCTCCCAAAGTGCTGGGATCACAGGCGTAAGCCCCGTGCCTGGCCTTAGTATAATATTCAAGATTCATCCATGTTTAGCGCGGATCAGTATGCAATTCCTTTTTATGGCTGAGTAATAGCCCATCCTATGTTCTACACATTTTGTTATTATTCACCAGATGATGGACATTTAGTTGTAATGCTTTTTGGCTATTGTGAGTAATGTTGCTTGTGAACACTGGTGTGTGTGTGTTTTTGTCTGGACATATGTTTTCCACTCTCTTGGGTATATGCCTAGGGGTGGAATTGCTGAGTCATGCAGTCACTCTGTTTAACGTTTTGAGAAGCTGTCAAACTGTTTTCCAAAACGGCTACATCATTTTACATTCCCACCAGCAATGTACAAAGGTTCTGATTTCTTCCCAACCTCATCAATACTTGTTATTCTCTTTATTTTAACCATCCTAGTAGGGAAAAAGTGGTATATTGTGGTTTTGACGGCTGATGGTGTTGAGCCTCTTCTCATGCGCTTAGTGTCCACTTTTAAATTAGGACATTTGCCTCTTTTTTTGTAGCGATGGAGTCTCATTATGTTGCCCAGTCTGGTCTTGAACTCCTGGGCTGGCAGAAGCAATCTTCCTGCTTCTGCCACCCAAAATACTGGTATTATAGACATGAGCCACCAAGCCCAGCCACGTTTGTCTTTTTATTGCTTAGTTGCGAGCATTCTTTATACATTCTAGATACTAGTCCCTTATCAGATACATGATTTGCAGTTATTTTCTCTCATTCCATGGTTTGTTTTTTTCACTTTCTTGATAGTGCCCAATGCACGTAAGTTTTAAATTTTTGATGAAATCCCATTAACCTATTTTTTCATTTGCCACTTGTGTGTTTATGTCATATCTAAGAAACCACTGCCTAATCCAAGGTCATAAAGAGTTATTCCTATGTTTTCATCTAAGGGTTTTATAGTTTTAGTTGTTACATTTATGTCTGTTTAGACTTAATTTTTTTTTTCTAACAGGAAAAAAAGGAGGATTGCTGGATTCAAGCAATCCTGTCACCTCAGCCACCCAAGTAGCTGGGACTACAGGTGCATGCCACCACACCTGGCTAATTTTTCTATTTTTTGTAGAGTCAGGGTCTCACTATGTTGCCCAGGCTGGTCTTGTACTCTTGGCCTCAAGTGATCCTCCCAACTTTGGGTCCCAAAATGCTGGGATTACAGGTGTGAGCCACTGCACCTGGCTTTGACATAATTTTTTTACATGGTATAAGGTAGGCAGTAGACTTCATTATTTTGCATGTAGTCATGCAGTAGTCCTAGCACTACTGGTTGAAAAGACAATTATTCCCCAACAAAATTGTCCTAATACTCATTGACATTTTGGTTGTTTTTAATATTGGAGAACAAATGTGCGTGTTCATGCTAATGAACCTGTGGAGGCTGTGGAGAGGGGGAATCAGTGACACAGAGAGGAAGAGGAGAATGACTAGAGTGGCATCCCCTGATGGGAGAGGGGGTGGACCTGGTGTCCAGTGGAGGAGGTGGCCTTAAAGCAAGGTCAGTTCACAGTAACAGGAAGAAAGATGGTTGCCTGAGTGCAGGTGGAGATGGTGGGCATTCTCTTCTGGAGGCTTCATTTTTCCTAGGGAAATGGGAAGCAAGGTCACCACTGGAGAGAAAGAACAGGAGAGGAAGGGTTGGGAGCCCAAGAGAGAAGAGGTTAGAGGGAGAGGAAATGAACTCAGAGGGGGCTGCCATGTTGCTGGCAATTATCCCGTATTTTCCTGGGATAATTGCCAGCAACATGGCAGCCCCCTCTGAGCTTAGTGATGAAGAATTGAAGGTGAGAGAAGCCCAGGCATGGTGGCTCACACATGTAATCTCAGCACTTTGGGAGGCCGAGGTGGGTAGATCATCTGAGATGAGGAGTTCAAGACCAGCCTGGCAAACGTGGTGAAACCCTGTCTCTACCAAAAATACAAAAATTAGTTGGGCGTGGTGGCGGGCACCTGTAATCCCAGCTAGTAGGGAAGCTGAGGCAGGAGAACCGCTTGAACTCAGGAGGCAGAGGTTGCAATGAGCCGAGATCTTGCCACTGCACTCCAGCCTGGGCAACAGAGCGAGACTCTGTTTAAAAAAAAAAAAAAAGGCCAGGCACAGTGGCTCATGCCTGTAATCTCAGGACTTTGGGAGGCCCGAGGCGGGGGGATCACATGAGGTCAGGAGTTCAAGACCAGCCTGGCCAACATGGTGAAACCCCATCTCTACTAAAAATACAAAAATAAAAATTAAAAAATTAGCTGGGCGTGGTGGCAGATGCCTGTAATCCCAGATACTTGGGAGGCTAAGGCAGGAGAATCGCTTGAACCTGGGAGGTGGAGGTTGCAGTGAGCTGAGATCACTCCACTGAAATCCAGCCTGGGTGACAGACGAGACTCCATCTCAAAAAAAAAAAAAAGTGAGAGCAGTCAATGTGGTCAGGTGTTTTTCTTCAGCCATATCTGATGAGGCAGTTGGAGGGAGAGGGGATAGGAACTTGGGGATGCCATCATCCAAGGCCTCCACAGCAGGGCTGCCTGTTCCTGGGGCAGGACAAGGCTGGTGCCCAGTGGCTGCAGTAAGTGACCCTCTCACTGGCGATGCTTGGAGTCACTCAGGTAGGTGGTCTCACCCACACACCAGGTCTATTTGACATCTCAAGGGAGGGGGAAATGCCCCTGCCTTAGGTCTGGTTAGAGAGCACAGATTAGGGAAGCCACCAGTAAGCCCTCAACTCTCCCAACTCCCAACCTGTCAGCTTGGGCTGCCATGACAAAATGTCATTGATTGGGCAGCTTAAATTTATTTTCTCACAGTTCAGGAGGCTAGAAGTCCAAGATCTGGGAGCCAGCATGGTTGGGTTCTGGGGAGGGCTCTCTTCCTGGCTTACAGACGGCCACCTTCTTGCTGAGTCATCACATGGAGGAGAAAGAGCAACAGAGCCCTCTGGTGTCTCTTCTTATGAGGACACTAATCCCAGGATGAAGGCCCCACCCTCATGGCCATATCTAAACCCCCTTACCTCCTGCATCAAGTCCGCTTTCACACTGCTAATAAAGACATACCTGAGACTGGGTAATTTACAAAAGAAAGAGGTTTAATGCACTTGCAGTTCCACATGGCTAGGGAGGCCTCACAATCATGGGGCAAGACAAAGAGGAGCAAGTCACATTTTATGTGGATGGCAGCAGGCAAATAAAGAGACCCTGTGCAGGGAAATTCCCATTTTTAAAACCATCAGATTGGCTGGGCACGGTGGCTCATGCCTGTAATCCAACCACTTTTAGAGGCCGAGACGGGCGGATTACCTGAGGCCAGGAGTTTGAGACCAGCCTGGCCAACATGGTGAAATCCCATCTCTCCTAAAAATACAAAAAAGAAAAATTAGCTGGGCGTGGTGGTAGGCACCTGTAATCACAGCTACTCGGGAGGCTGAGGCAGGAGAATCACTTGAACCCAGGAGGCAGAGGTAGCAGTGAGTCAAGATCAGACCATTGCACTCCAGCCTGGGCAACAAGAGTGAAACTCCGTCAAAAAAAAAAAAAAAATCTGATCTCGTGAGACTTATTCACTATCACAAAAACAGCACAGGGATGATCCCCCCGCCCATGATTCAATTATTTCCCACCAGGTCCCTCCCACAACACGTGGGAATTATAGGAGCTACAAGATGAAATTTGGATGGGGACACAGAGCCAAACCATATCACCTTCCTAAGGTCCCATCTCCAAACACCATCACTCTGGGGGTTAGGGCTTCAACACAGGAATTTTAAGGGGGACACAATTCAGTCTACAGCACCTCCCAACCTGCTCTTGACCTCTAACAAGGATATCAAACAAGCCCAGATGCTAAATTTCAGAACAGAGGAGAGACAGAAAAAAAGAGTGGTTCCTGGCTCTGAAAGGAGTGTCTGTATCACCGGCAACCTGAGTGGAAAAGAAAAAAGAAATCTTTCATTTTTATACTTTCTATTGTGTATTTTATAGAGTTGTGATTCCCAATATGCTAGCCACTGGCCACATGTGACTAGTCAGAATTGAGATGTGCTAGCAAGTGTAAAATAGACAACACGTTTCGAAGGCTTAATATGAAAAAAATGGAAATCATCTCAATAATCTTTTATATTGATTACATGTTGAAATGATAATAGGTTGGATATCAGGTTAAAAAACATATTATTAAATTAATTTCTTCTGTTTGTTCCTACTTTTTAAAAGTGTGGGTTATGAGAAAATCTCAAGTTACACGTGACTCACTTTGGAGGCCAAAGAAGCTCCATCTTGGATACTAATCTGCCAAGTTGGCTTCTGATGAACCCCCATTCCAGGAAGGCCTCTAAGATCCCAATTTCTCTATCATTTCTTGTATGATTGCAGGTACTTACCATAAATCCTTAGGTCAAACAACCTTGATGTTATCCTACTTCAACTGTCTACACATCCCTTCTGAACCACCCTCCCCTCTGGTATACAAGTCCTGGGTCTTGGGGGTGATGGCGCGGGGTCCACCATCTTGTCTTGCCACTGCCAAGACACAGACATGGCTTCTGTCCGTAAGTCCCTACTGAATGATTCTTTCTAAGGAACTAGATATGCCAGCCTCTTTCTTTGGCCTCTCAGCTTCCTCAGATGTTGGGGTAGGTTTGTATACACCTGCCCATGGTAAAACTCACGTTTGGCTTGTATTCTATTCATGTTGGATAGCGCTGACATAGAAGAACCCAAAACAGCCCCCAGCACAGCCGGCCCTCCTGCCTTGGTCAGTGGGAACAAGCACATCAGATCAAGCTCTCATGGGTCTCAGGATCTGGGATGGTGCTTTGGAACTGAATGTTGTGGTGGGACCACTTCTCTAAGGACGGCAAGATCCAAGGTGGGCTGTGAGCACTCTTCCTGAGTGATGGCCTTTAACGGTCCCCAGAGGCAGCCCCAGGGAGATGAGGACCTGGCTGGCTGTCCAAAAATCTGATCAGGCTGGCTCTTGTTTGGTTTAGGGATACATAAATAACTCACATTTTAAACACTAGAACTCAGGCATGAGACGCCCATGCCTGCCTGTCTGTTCCCTCTGAGCCATGCCTTCATCGGGTGGGAGAACCACTAGGATCACAGCACCATCTGCAATCCCTCTTTTTTCTTTTTTTTTGAGATGGAGTCTTGCTCTGTCGCCCAGGGTGGAGTGAAGTGGTGTGACCTCGGTTCACTGCAACCTCTGCCTCCTGGGTTCAAGCAATTCTCCTGCCTCAGCCTCCCAAGTAGCTGGGATTACAGGTGCCCACCACCACGCCCAGCTAATTTTTGTATTTTTAGTAGAGATGGGGTTTCGCCATGTTGGCCAGGCTGGTCTCGAACTCCTGACCTCAGGTGATCTGCCCGCTTCAGCCTACCAAAGTGCTGGCATTACAGATGTGAGCCACTGCGCCCAGCCTGCAAGCCCTCTTTCTTATTTCCTCCAAGCACTGAAGCATGAATTTGTGGTAAGGTAAATAAACGTGTGTGTGTGGCATGGTGGGGGGATACATCCACAGAATGTCACGTGCCCAGCCCTGTTCTCTGTTTGTTACACTTGACTATTAGGATTCCAGCCTCTTGTTCACATACATAGTCTAACTATTTCCTTTTTGGTCAGAATTGGAATTCTTTCCCTTTTTTTTTTCCTGCTATTATAAACAGCAGTGCTATGAATATCTTTATTGTTTTCCACTTGAATTATTTTATTGGAATGTTTTCCCTGAAGTGAAATTGGTTGGCTGGGAGGTATATATGATTTTATAGTTCCTGTGATTTTCCTTTTCATCAAATCACTCTCCCAAAAGACTGCATTGCTATGTATCGCCTTCTGCATGTACGTGTGTGTGTGTGTATGCACGTGCGTGTGTGGACGTATGTGTATACCGTTTTCCCTCAGCCCTGCCAGCTGTGGGTTTGATCATTTGTATTTATTTTTACTAATTAACATGGTATATAACAGATATCTCCTGGATATTATATTTGCATTTGCTTACTTGCTAACAAGAATGAGTAAAGTCCTTCTCTTAAAACCCAGAAAAATAAAATAAACAGCCACCACATCCATGGCTTAGAAAAACACCTCTCAGCTCCCTCCTATGCCAGGACTTGGGGGCACCCACAGCTGACGCCAAGGCTGCGACACGGCTGGCCAGGCCCGAGCTTGGCCTGCTGACCTGTGGCTGTCATCATGGTCCTAGAGGCCTCCTCCAGCTAATAAAGCCATTTCTCTCCTCCAGCCAATAAAGCCATTTCTCTCCTCCAGCCAACTGAAGGCACATCAGGCAATGCCCTCTTCTGCATGGCTTAGATGAGTCCTGCATTTCTTAATTCCCATATGTTCGTTGTTGGGATTGAGAGACATTCTGTTTTACATGCAAAAAAGGTTGCAGGAGATGCGGCTGGTGTCCTGTCCACAGCTTATGAAAACCTCAGGGCAGCCTCCGCACCCTCCCCCTGGGGAAGTTACAAAACAGCATCCTCTGAGAGCCACTGTCTGGGCCTGGCCTGGCCTGGCCGGGACCTGGGGAGAGGAGGAGGAAGGCCTTGCCTGGCTGGCCCACCAGAGGGCGCCTCCCACCACAGGTGCCAGGCTGTGTCCCCAGCCCTGTGGCCTCCTGGCTCTGCACACAACAGCCAGGCCTGCATCCCTCCAGCCAGACATCTCAGCCCAGAGACACAAAGCAGTCATCCAGCTAAAACGTACCATCTGCCTGGGAACGGCAACACTGAAGCAGGTTAATAGCTGGCCCAGAGCAGATGGTTTATTCCAATGATGACTGGGTCCCTGTACCCAGGCGTCTTCCTTAGTGCTGCCTCGCCCACCGGCAGCCCGCAGCTCTCCCTGGGCCAGGCCCCACTGGAAGGGCCAGCCCTGCTGCCCAGAAATCCTGCCACTCCGCCACCCAGACACCGAACACCCAGACACCTAACACACAGACACCTGACACCCAGACACCTGGACACCTGACACCCGGACACCCAGACTACCTGACACCCGGACACCTGGACACCCGATCACCCAGACACCTGATACCCAGATACCCGGACACCCAGACACCTGACACCCAGATACTGAGACACCTGACACCCAGACACCTGACACCCAGACATCCAGACACCCGGACACCTGACACCCAGACACCTGACACCCGGACACCTGGACACCCGGACACCGAGACACCTGACACCCAGACACTGAGACGCCTGACACCCAGACACCTAGACACCTGACACTCAGACACCCAGACACCTGACACCCAGACACCTGGACACTCAACACCCAGAAACCTGACACTAGACACCTGACACCCAGACACCCAGACACCTGGACACCCAGACACCTGACACCCAGGCACCTGGGGACACCCAGACACCCACATACCCATACACCCAAAAACTTGACAGCTAAACACCTGGACACCCAACACCTAGAAACCTGACACCCAGACATCTGACACCCGGACACCTGACACCCAGACACACAGACACCCAGACACCTGACACCCAGATACTTGGACACCCAGACACCTGGCACCCAGACACCCAGACACCTGGCACCCAGACAGTCAGATACCCAGACACTCAGACACCTGACACCCAGACACCTGGACACCTGGACACTCAGACACCTGACACTCAGACACCCATACACCCAGATACCTGGAAACCCAAACACCGGACACCCAGATACCCAGACGTCTGACACCTGGACACCCAGACACCTGACATCCAGACACCCAGACACCCAGACACCCAGATGCCCAGACACCCAGACACCTGACACCTGACACCCAGACACCCAGACAACTGACACCCTGACATCTGGACACCCAGACACCCAGACACCCGACACCTGACACCCAGACACCTGATACCTGACACCCAGACACCCGAATACCTGGACACCCAGACACCTGACACATGACACCAAGATACTCGACACCCAGATACCCAGACACTCGGACACCCAGACACCTGACCTCCAGACACACAGACACCCAGACACCCAGATACCCAGACACCCAGACATCTGACACCCAGACACCTGACACCCAGATGCCTGACACCCAGACACCTGACACTCAGGCACCTGGACACCCAGACACTCAGACACCCAGACACTCAAACACCAGACACCCAGACACTCAAACACCAGACACCCAGACACCCAGACACCTGATACCTGGACACCCAGACAACCTGACATCCAGACACCTGGACACCCAGATACCCAGACATGCAGACACCTGACACCTGACACCCAGACACCTGACACCCAGACACCTGACACCTGGACACTTGGACACCCAGACACCTGACACCAAGAAACCTGGACACCCAGACACCCAAACACTAGATACCCAGACACCCAGCCACCTGACATCCAGACACCCAGACACCCAGACAGCTGACACCCAGACACCTGACACCCAGACACCTGACACCTGGACCCCCAGACACCTGACACCCAGACACCTGGTGGGATGTCCGGGTGTCTTGGTATCAAGTGTCTGGGTGTCTCGGTGTCAGGTGTCTGGGTGTCTGGGTGTCCAGGTGTCTGGGTGTCAGCTGTCTGGGTGTCTGGGTGGTGAGGTGTCTCAGTGTCTGGGTGTCTGGGTGTCCAGGTGTCCAGGTGGTGGGGTGTCTGGGTGTCTGAGTGGCAGGGTGTCTGGGTGGCAGAGGGTCTGGGTGTTTGGGTATCCAGGTGTCCAGGTGGTGGGTTGTCCAGGTGTCCAGGTAGTGGAGTGTCTGGGTGTCTGGGGGTTGGGGTGTCTGGATATTCGAGTGGCAGGGTGTCTGGATGGTGGGGTGGCTGAGTATCCAGGTATCCAAGTGACACTCGGACACCCAGGCACCTGACACCAGACACCCAGACACCTGGACACCCAACACTCAGACACCCAGACACTCAGATACCCAGACACCCAGAAACCTGACACCCAGACACCCGGATACCCAGACACCCAGAAACCTGACACCCAGACACCCAGATACCCAGACACCCGACACCCAGACACCCAGAAACCTGACAGCCAGACACCCGGATACCCAGACACCCGACACCCAGACACCCGGACACTCAGACACCCAGACACTCAGACACCCAGACATCCAGACACCTGATACCCAGAAACCTGACACCCCACCACCCGGACACCCAGACATCCTGCCACCTGAACACCCTGCCACTCAGTCACTTGGACACCTGGATACTCAGCCACCCCACCATCCAGATACCCTGCCACTCCAATACCCAGACACCCCAACCCCCAGACACCCAGACACTCCACTACCTGGACACCTGGACAACCCACCACCTGGACACCTGGACACCCAAACACCCAGACCCTCTGCCACCCAGACACCCTGCCACTCAGACACCCAGACACCCCACCACCTGGACACCTGGACACCCGGACACCCAGACACCCGGACACTCAGACACCTCACCACCCAGACACCGAGAAACCTGACACCCAGAAACCTGGACACCCGGACACCCAGACACCTGACACCAAGACACACAGACACTTGACACCAAGATAGCCGGACACCCCACCACCCAGACACCTGGACACCCTGCCACTCAGCCACTTGGACACCTGGGCACTCAGCCACCCCACCACCTAGACACCCTGCCACTTGGATACCCAGATACCCTGTTCCCCAGACACCAAGACACCCAGTTACCCCACCACCTGGAAAACCCTCCACCCAGACACCCTGCCACGTGGACACCTGGAGACCCCTCCACCCACAGACCCCACCACCAGGATACCCTATCACCCAGACACACAGACACCCAAACACCCTGCCATCCCACCACCCAGACACTCTGTCACCTGGACACGCAGACACCCTGCTGTCCCACCACCCAGACACCCTGCCACCCTGCCACCTGGACATGCCACCACCTGGACACCCAGACACCCTGCCACTCAGCCACCTGGACACCATGCCACCCAGCCACCCGGACACACAGCCACCCAGCTGCCCCGCCAGCCACATGTGGCTGACTCCCTGCTCACCCTCCCAACTGCGTCAGCCATAGGGAACTGGGGTGGGGTCCCAGCACCCCTGGGCAGGCAGTTCCATAGGGGATTACCTCCAGCTGTCTTTCACAGAGAGACAGCCAAGCTACAGATCAATCAACCCCATTCATAATCAAAGAAAATGAATCAAACCAGATGTCAGTAGTCACCCATGAAATTAATCAAGGCATAAGACACTAGCACTCTGCTCCTTGGTGGGGATGCAATGAGATGTGTGCCCCCTTGATGGGAGAGTAAGTTAATGATACCGCCTCTCCAGAAAGGATTCTGACCTAATAAAACAACCAACCTTAAAAAAAGTTGCATACTTCACGGGGCACAGTGGCTCACACCCATAATCCCAGCACTTTGGGAGGCCGAGGTGGGCAGATCACTTGAGGTCAGGAGTTTGAGACCAGTCTGGCCAACATGGCGAAACCCAGTCTCTACTAAAAAATACACAAATTAGCCAGGCGTGGTGGCAGGCTCCTGTAATCTCAGGTACTTGGAAGCTGAGGCAAGAGAATCATTTGAACCAAGGAGGCAGAGGTTGCAGTGAGCTGAGATCACACCACTGCACTCCAGCCTGGGCAATAGAGCAAGACTCCGTCTCAAAAAAAAAAAAAAAAAAAAAAAAAAAAGCTGCGTACTTTTAAATCCAGCAATTTCACTTTGAGGAATGAATCCCAAAGACTATATACCAGAATTCAATAAAGAGAATATTAACACAGTATTACTGTAATACTTCAGCATTACAGTAGTAAAAATCCACAAATGGAATTCACACCAGGCACATGGTTAGGCACAGTGGAATATTATGCAGCCATTACAAATATTTACAAGGAATTTTAAATTACATCAAAAATATTATTTAACATTCATTGATACAGGTGTTCAAAGGGGCATATAGGATAAGAAGGCAAGTACGTTAGAAATATACATACATAGGCCGGGCGCAGTGGCTCACGCCTGTAATCCCAGCACTTTGGGAGGCTGAGGTGGGCAGATCACGAGGTAAGGAGATTGAGACCATCCTGGCTAACATGGTGAAACCCCGTCTCTACTAAAAATAAAAAAAAAATAAAAAAATAAAAATTAGCCGGGCATGGTGGCGGGCGACTGTAGTCAAAGCTACTCGGGAGGCTGAGGCAGGAGAATGGCTTGAACCCAGGAGGCAGAGCTTGCAGTGAACCAAGATCGCGCTACTGCACTCCAGCCCGGGCGACAGTGCGAGACTCCATCTCAAAAAAAAAAAAAAGAAAAAAAGAAAAAAATATATGTGTACCTACATAGCATTAAAACAATTGCAGGAAAGACACCAAATCTGTTACCAGCAGTTTTCTGGGTTGTGAAATTTGTAGTTTTTATTTCATTATATTTTCTGGGTTTTTCTAGGTTTTCAGCAACAAATACTGACAAAAGGAAATGAACAGTTTTCAGAGACTTACTTTAAAACAGAGTTAAAGGAATACACATGAAATTGGTAACAGTGGCTGCCTCTGGGGTCGGCATAGGAGCAGGCCTTCCCTTGCAGCTTGCGCCCTCCCGTACCTTTTAAATTTTGTACCAGGCAGGTATTACTTATTCAAAAATAAATAAATTTCTACAAAGAAGATACAGATATATAAATACTAAAACCACAGGAGCTGAGAAGCAGCGCTTGATTTCCTGGGGGAAATCAAGAAAAGTGCTTTCGGCTCCTGGGGGAGATAAGACTCCAGGTTCAGGCTGCCCTTTTAGGCCCAAAGCCTCCAAGTCACCCCAGGACCCAGCTAGTTCCAGTGTCTTCACTCAGCAAGGCCTGCTCCATCGGACACAAAACTGATCAGGAGTTGGACCATCTCCTCCCTGGGCATTTTTCCCTGCAGTAGGGGTGGGCAGGCTGTGGGAGGGGCTGCAGTGGACACTGGGCCTCTGAGCTGGGACCACCTGTGTCCCCTGGGCCTGACACAGACCAGGACCTGATGCACGAGTAAGAATGAATGGGGCCCAATCGCCTAACAAAGGCAACTCAATTTCAGCCCCGATTGTTCCAGAAGGATTTGCTGTAAGCAACCGGAGAAGTTGGCATTTGTTCAACATGGAAAAAGTGTCCCCCAACTTTGAAGCACTGAACCAAACATCTTTGTTGAGGTTTCATTCTCACGATATCTGCAAATCAACGTTTTTTCCTTCACACTAAAAACGGGCAACTTTAGAGCCCACTAAAGCTATACAAAATTGGGAGGGGGCATGCTCTGATTTTCCATTTTTAGTTCCAGGGTCCGTATGCAGGACTTATTTGCAGGAAGAGCAGGAATGATCAGTTCAACAAGAAAAGCCACACTCAGTTTTCACAGACAGACAACCCCTCCTTCCCACCCCTGCCCTGTCCCCCATCAACTTAAGTGGCATATAAATGATTAAAGTGGCTTCATTAACTCCAGGAGTGTGGCCTGTGCTAGGGCACCTGATTTGTGCTAGACGAGGCCAGCAGAAGAGCAATCGCTCTGCAAGAGAAAGGCTCGGCCCTTCCTTAATCACCATGGGTTATAATTCACCCTGACGTCCTTACACACATGGAGGTGCCAGGATACTGAGCTTTCCTATAAGCAGGGCCTCAGCAGAAGTGCCTCCCTCCGAGCCTCCAGGGCCTGAGAGGAGAGCCCCAAGTCCCTGCCCTGCCCCAGGACCTGGGGACCAAGGAATAACATTTTTTGTAGAGATGGAGGTCTCACTATATTGCCCAGGCTAGTTTCAAACTCTTGGCCTCAAGCGATCCTCCCACTTTGGCCTCCAAAAGTGCCGACATTACAAGCATGAGCCACCTCACCTGACCTACTCTTGCATTCTTTAAAGCCACAAATCTGGTACCTTCCCTCTTGTTCCATTTGTAAGACTTTGAATATTAGAGATATTTTACACATAATATGTGGGAAAATGGCTTTTTAGAAAAACATTTATTGTAATCGATCACATTCAAGTCGTAGTTCTGAAAGCAAAGTGAAAACACACAGTACAGCTATGCCTCAGTATCCATGGGGGATGGGTTCCAGGACTGCAACCTCAACCCTCAGACACCGACATCTGAGGATGCTCAAGTCCCTGATGGGCAATGGCATAGCGTTTGCACGTAACCTACGCACACCTTCCTGTATAATTTAAATCATCTCTAGATTTCTTATAATACCAAATACAATATAAATGCTATGTAAATATGCTACACCATATTGTTTAGGGAATAATGGCAAGAAAAAAAGGTCTGTACGTGTTCAGTACCAATGCAATTTCTTTTTTCAAATATTTCCTATCCAAGGCTGGTTGGATCTAAATGTGGAGACCACAGTTACGGAGAGCTGACTGTACTGGGGAAATCTTTAGGGTAGAAACATTTCTTAGAGATGGTTTATATCACACCACTTCAGAAAGAGCAATACAGGCATACCTCATTCTACTATGCTTTGTGAATACTGTGTTTTTTTTTTAAATTGAAGGTTTGTAGCAGCCTGGCATCAGGCAAGTCTATTTGGCACCATTTTCCAACAGCATGTGCTCACTTTGCGTTTCTGTGTCAGCATTTTGAACAGTAAATATTTTTAAATTAAGGTTTGTACATTTGTTAGACATAATGCTATTGCACATTTAGTGGACTGCAATATGCAGTAAACATGACTTAGATGCACTGGGAAACTAAAACAATGCGCTTCCTTGCTTTATTGTGATGTTGGCTTTACCGAGGTGGTCTGGAACTGAACCCACAATATCTCCGAGATATACCTGTACTTTTTACTAAAAATATTTCATTTGAGAAGTAAACCTCAAGAACTACCAGGACTTTTCAGATGGGAAGAGCGAGGCCCTGGCAGGGCGAGTCTAGGTGTGCAGCCTAGTGGGGGCCGGGGTCAAGTCCACTCGGTATTTGTGGCTTCACTCAGCAGGCCGCCCGTCCCCTCCGTGGGGCCATTCGACAGTCCCTGGGTAGGGGACGGTTGCACTAGGAGGTAAACATGATTCCAGCATGGGCTGCTCCAAGGCCCTGAGACCCCAGGACCTGCAGGGGGGTGGGATCCAGTCCTGCAGCAGGTGCTCTGAAGAGGAGTCATCTCCCAAGATGAGAAGGCCCCGGGGGGAGGATGAAGTGTGGTCAGACCGTCGGCTGAGCGTGATCACTTCCCCAGACCCATGCGGGTGAGAGGACTCAGCAGACGCCTCCGAAGCCTGCGGCAGGCAGGCCTTTACTCTTCACTGGGGGGCCAGTCAGAGGGCTGTCATGGCAGGCCAGTGCACATGCCACCAACACATGCTGCTTCATCAGTAATTTCTGGAACATGACACTGCACAGCGGTGGCCTCTCCAGCGGGACATTACTAGTAATACACTGATGATGTGGAGATTCCCCAGGGGGCATCCGCTGGGCTTCTCCCAACTCCCAAGCCACCTCTTCAGAATCACAGAGTCATTTAAAGGGGCCCCCCACCTCCCCGGAGGTGCGGCCTAGTCATCATACTGGATCTCGGCCCGCAGCTCCTTGGTGACGTAGTTCACCAGCATGGCCAGCAGCTGCTGCTGCAGGGCCTCGCTGCCCATGACCAGCGCGGTCAGCTGCACGGCGTCCGTCCACTCCAGGTGCCTGATGATGGCTGCGGCTTCGTTAAAGAGCCTCTGTTGCTCGGCAGGGGGCAGCTCCATTAGGATCTGAGGAACCGGCTTAAACTGTCCACTTGTCATCCAGGCACCTAACAGCCCCCCGACAGCCCCCCCTAGAAAACATGGAATCGTTCAATTAGTGGGTCTTATTCATAAGCGATGGCCTTACTTAAGTTCCCACTGAGTGCACACCACCATCACCATGAGCAGGCACATTCATGAGCGGGCTGCAGCGGGCTCAGCCGGTGCCACGCCTGCTCCGCCAGCCAGTGTGGAGGGCAAAGGTTTATGCAGTCTTCTGTCCATTTGGCTCAGATAATTGACACCCAACATGCATTCCCTGGGCTCCACATTTAAGGATGCAAAATGAAGCCTGCCTGCCCCATCTCCCACCTCAGTGCTGGGCCCACTTTCTTCTTCATGAGCTGACGGAGGTTTCTGGGCTTACTGTAAAAATCCCTCTCTAATCACAAAGGAGAAGGCTGAGAAACAAATGCATTTTCTTTTTCTTTTCTTTTTTTTTTTTTTTTTTTTGAGACGGAGTCTTGCTCTGTTGCCCAGGCTGGAGTGCAATGGCATGATCTTGGCTCGCTGCAACCTCTGCCTCCCAGGTTCAAGCGATTCTCCCACCTCAGCCTCCCAAGTAGCTGGGATTACAGGCGCACACCACCACACCTGGCTAATTTTTGTATTTTTGTAGAAACAGGGTTTCACCATGTTGGCAGGCTGGTCTTGAACTCCTGACCTCAGGTGATCCGCCTACCTCGGCCCCGCAAAGTGCTGGGATTATAGGCATGAGCCACCACAACCAGCCACAAATGCATTTTCAAGAGAAACCATCTCAGGCTGGGTGCGGTGGCTCATGCCTGTAATATCAGCAATTTGGGAGGCCAGGGCAGGTGGATCACCTGAGGTCAGGAGTTCGACACCAGCCTGGCCGACATGGTGAAACACCATCTCTACTAAAAATACAAAAATTAGCTGGGCTTGGGGGCACATGCCTGTAATCCCAGATACTTGGAAGCTGAGGCAGGAGAATCACTTGAACCCGGGAAGTAGAGGTTGCAGTGAGCCGAGATCATACCCTTGCACTCCAGCCTGGGTGACAGAGCAAGACTCTGTCTCCAAAAAAGAAACCATCTCAGTGGTGAGACTGAATTTCCTCCACCAGGCAGCTGATATGCTCCTTGCCCCTGAACTTAGAAAATCTTCAGTGAGCCCATGTGGTTAAAGGACCTGGGGACAGATAAGGAGGCTCTTTCCTCTTGAAGCAGTGCTTTTCATAGATCCCCTCCAAGTTGTATGATCGATAAATAACAAACTGGCCGGGCGCAGTGGCTCACGCCTGTAATCCCAGCACTTTGAGAGGCCGAGGTGGGCGAATCACGAGGTCAGGAGTTGGAGACTAGCCTGGCCAACATGGTGAAACCCTGTCTCTACTAAAAATACAAAAAATTAGCCAGGCATAGTGGTGGGTGCCTGTAATCCCAGCTACTGGCTGAGGCAGGAGAATCACTTGAACCCGGGAGGCAGAGGTTGCAGTGAGCCAAGACTGTGCCACTGCACTCCAGCCTGGGCGACAGAGTGAGACTCCATCTCAAAAAAATAAAAATAAATATCAAATGTAAGGTAGCTTACTATTTCTACTTCTGCCACCCTAAAAGGGCAGAAACATTATTGTTAAATGTAAACTCATTGCCAAGGCTATGTCATGCTATTCTGGGACTTAAAGACCTTGTATCCACGGAAAGTTCTACCTGAAGAGGCCACGTGCAGAATATGGTGCAGAGAAGCGGAAGGTGCCCTAGGGAAGGGGTCCAAAGTCAAGTGCCTCCAAGAGCCAGGGAGGAACTAAGAAGAGTGAAGGGGCGGTTGGGCCTTACCCGGCCTCTCCCCTGCTGAGATTGGATGGGTGGCAGGCTCTGACTTCATCCCAGTCTATAGTCTGGGCCAACCAAGCCTTGAATCGCATGGACCTTCCGAGGCCCAGGACACAGAAGAGCTGGACAGCTTGGTTCCTATGGAGTGGCAGTGGCTACTTCACGCCAGTTCATTGCTACCACACAAAATACCAGATTTGTAGCTTTAAAACATCTCACGATTTTTAAATATCACCAATCAGATATTTAAAGATGAAGCCCACTAGACTTAGTGACTCACTTTCAACAGACAGAGTATGGAAAGGGAAACAGAAACTTTGCAGTGGAAAAACCCAGCAAACATGCCCTTAACCAAGTGTTCAAGGTGAATATCACTGACGTCATGTGAATATCACACACCCCCAGAATTAATGCAAGACAAGGGAGAGGGGCATGTCACCTCCCAGGCATGCCTCCCAAAGACTCCTAACTCCAGTCCCATCCTAAACACAACTGGCAAATTCAAACTGAGAGATGTTCTACGAAATACCTGCCCAGTACTCCTCAAAACTATCAAGGCTGTGAACAAGGCAAGTCTGAGAAAGTGTTAAAGGCCAGAGGAGACTAAGAAAGCAGGCGATTCAATGCAATGCGGTGTCTTAGACTGGATCCTGAAACCAAAAAAAAAAAAAAAAAAAAAAGGCCATTAATGCAGAAACTGGTGAAACCCAAATCAAGTCTGGAGAATGGTTAATAGTAATGTATTCGTTGGTGTTGGTTTCTTAGGTTTTTTTTTTTTTTTCCTTAGACAGAATCTCACTCTGTTGCCCAGGTTGGAGTGCAGTGGTGTGATCATACCTCACTGCAGCCTCAAACTCTTAGGCTCAAGCAATCCTCCCACCTTGGCCTCCTAAGTAGCTGGGATTACAGGCATGAACCACCATGCCTGGCTAATTTTTTTTTTATTATTTTTCGTAGAGACGGGGTCTCATTATGTTGCCCAGTCCGGTCTCGAACTGCTGGGCTCAAGCAATCTTTCAGCCTCAAGCCTCCCAAAGTGCTGAGACTACAGAGGCATGCGCCACTGCACCCAGCCCATTTTAGTTTTGACAAGCATACAGTAATACATGTGATCGCTAGGAGAACCGAAACTGGATGGAAGATATACAGGAATCCTTTGTACTATCTTCACGACTTCTCTGTAAACCTAATATTATTGGGAAATGAAAAGTTTCTTTCAAAAATGCAACCCAGGCCAGAGAGAACCCACTGGCAGGCTGGACTCAGACAACAGGCAGCAAAACCAGCGCTTGCTTCTTCTGGAAGCCAAGCACCGAGGCCCCTGGAGCAGACACCACCCCGGGTACTGAGCTGGGGCCAGCCCCATATCCCAGAGGCTGAATGCCACACGCAGACAGGGTTCACCTCCTCTGCAAAAGAAAGGCACATTCTGGGAAGGGAAAACCAGCTAATTTACAAGTTTTACTGAACTTTTCCCCATGACACCAGTGAAATGCTCCAAGTCGACAAGAGTTGCACTCATGTGCACTAAACCTTTATGAGAACATCAATATTTGATTTAGAGCAGCACTTAATGCAAAAAGTCGCCAGGAATATCGACCAGCAAATTACTGGCTCTTTGGAGAGGAGAAAATTCCTTTGTTTTCAGGGTAAAATGATGCTCCCGCCCATGACCAGGGACTGGAAGTAGTGAATCCCCCGGGCTCTCTTAGTGGACATCCTGTTCTCTACCAGCTTTTACTCAATCTGAATAAAATATGTGCTCCCAAAATAGCATCTGGGCACAGCTATATGACAAAATGATCCCCAAAGCCTTCCCCTGAGCACTGAGATGGAGGTGGGGGCACAGATGCACAGTGTCATCGAGGAAGAAGGAAACAGCCTTGTCTCCCCCATCTCCGGTTCCTTCCCGGATGGCAAGATGCTGAAGTCAGGCCTCACTAATTCATGGAGTTTGGAAAGGAAAATATGGAAAGGGAAGGTCTGGGGCCACCCACACATTTATTTTTCTCCTCAGTGTGAGCCTCAGCTTAACGAAATGTCCTTGAATGTCAATCCCACTACAGAAGGGAAGAACAGGGCAGGAACCCGGCCAGCGAGCTGGGGAACGGAAGCCAACCTCAGCAGAAAAGTTCAGCTCTCTGACTCCATCTATGGTTTGGGCCACAGCCCCAGGCCAGGTAGACCTTCTGAGGCTCAGGACACAGGAATTCTTCCTTCCCCAAGCCAAAGAAAGTAACTTCATCCCAGCTCCAAGGAACAGTGGAAAAATTAGCCAAACTTTCATTCATTGCCTGAAATTGATTCTCAAATAGAAGCAGGTGGTAAATGGCCAGGCACAGTGGCTCACGCCTGTAATCCTAGCACTTCGGGAGGCCCAGGCGGGTGGATCGCTTGTGGCCAGGAGTTTGAGACCAGCCTGGCCAAAAGGACAAAACCCTGTCTCTACTAAAAATACAAAAATTAGCCGGGTGTGGTGGCACACACCCGTAGTCCCAGCTACTCAGGAGGCTGAGGCAGGAGAATCACTTGAACCCACAAGGCAGTGGTTGCGGTGAGCCGAGATCATGCCACTGCACTCCAGTGTGGGCGACAGAATGAGACTCGGTCTCAAAAAGGAAAGAAAAAAGCAGGTGGTAAAGGAGGTGGGCAGGCCCTCTAAGGGTGAAAGGCAGTTCTTTTGGTGGTCTCTTTCAGAACAAGGGAGCTCTCTCAGAGTGAGCTGGCTCACATGAAATGGCCACACCATATGTGCTGAGAAGGTGCATGGCTCCTCCCAGCCTCCTCCCTGGTTTCCTTTCTGCAGGGACCTCACAGTCATGAAGGCCACCATGGGACCCAGGACACCCTGGTATCTTCAGAGGCCTGCTGCTCTGATACTTATTCTGGGATCCCAGCACTGGGGGAAAGATGCCTCTAGGCCCAAATGACACAGATGCCATTTACAAGAGTACCCCACACTTCTGAGACATTCACACAGAAGCCTGCATTTCCAATGGGGCAAATTATATCTACAAAGATCATTTCCCAGAGGCATCTTTAACTCCACCAACTCCTCCCACAAGACGCATGGCACCACTTGTACAAGTTCATTTCTCCCTGTGTTTCTTTTCTTTTTTCTTTTTCCTTTTTTTTTTTTTTCTTTGAGATAGAGTCTCGTTCTGTCACCCAGGCTGGAGTACAATGGCATGATCTTGGCTCACTGCAATCTTTGCCTCCCGGGTTTAAGCGATTCTCCTGCCTCAGCCTCCCGAGTAGCTGGGATTACATACACCAGACACCCGCCACCACGCCCAGCTATTTTTTGTATTTTTAGTAGAGACGGGGTTTCACCATGTTGGCCAGGCTAGTCTCAAACTCCTGACCTCAGGTGATCCGCCCGCCTCGGCCTCCCAAAGTGCTGGGATTACAGGCATGAGCCACACTGTGCCTGGCCTTCTCCCTGTGTTTCAACGGCCCTTTTATGACATCCCCGAGGCTGGCTATCTCTGTGAGACACCTGCACTTACCAACGGCGAGTCCCGGTGGGCCGCCCACCAAACCCCCGACGAAGGCCATGGCCCCTGTGACCAGGGCACCCTTCCCAGAGTGCTTGACAGCCGCCTTCATCTTCCTCTCCCCAGAAAGGGAGCACAGCAGCTTCATGATGTCCTCCACCATGATAGTCATCGTGGCGGGCCTTCGAGGGAGAAGTTCAGAGGGACAGTTTCAATGAGCATAAGAGTATTTCCATCACAATGCCACTCTAGTTCCTAGAGTTTTAAGGAAGGGTCCCCCTTTTCAGGAAAGCTCAGCAGCTCCAAGCGCCTGTATGACAGACAGCATCCAGACGGTGGAAAGTTCCCACAGACAGGACAGGCAGCAGTTAGTGAATAAGCAAATAGCAGCAGCTGAGTGGATGAAAGGTCTTCTTTGCCCTCTGATTAACTTCTGACTTACGACAGATTAAGGAGCAACCCGGCCACATGTTCTGCTGGTTCATCACGAGGGAGGTGGTCTGACCCTTCTGGCATTAGTGGCCTTTGCACTGGCCCGGGGAATGCCCTGCACACAAAGCCCAGCAGAGAACGGGAAGTCCCGGCGTGAGGCATCTGAGCTGAGGCCAAGCCAGAGCCAGGGAAGGGATGGGACCCTGTGACCACACGGGCACTGACCTGCAGTGGGCCCTGAGCAGAGGGTCAGATACCTCCCTTCTAAGACGGAGACAGTCCCTACAGGCTGGACTCTCAGACAGTGCCAGCAGGATGGGCAGGAAGTGCCTGGCGTAAGTCTGGAAGCCTGCAGGCTCCCGACCCAGGATGGCTCTGAACGAACACTGTTACTAACACACACACTGGGCTGCCTTAAGCAACTGTTCTTAAAAGTCAACACAGTTGTACCCATGGGACACTAAAAGCAGGGAAAAGATAAAGCAGGGAGACAAAGCAACTGGAGAAAAAATACATGAAATCATTCCCAGGCTTTGCAATATATATGAATAGACAGACGGACGGGCGAGTAGACCTTTAGCACAATGACCTTTAGCACAATCCTCCAGGGTAGGGAAAATGTGTGGCATGCTGGAGCCAGGGCAGGGAGAGACGGGCTCTGGAGAGCCCAAAGGCTGAGAAAATCAAAGGGGCCACGAGGTGGGGGGTCTCCTCAGAGCTCTGGCTGAGCCCAAGGCTCCAGCAGTACTTCCCTTTCTCACCAGCACTTCCCATTTCATTCTAGGTGGAAATATTGAAACAGGTGCTACAGCAATTCAACTGAGGAAGTTATGGATAGATTCTATTGCTTATTATCTTTTTTTTTTTTTTTTTTGAGATGGGGTCTTGCTTTGTTGCCCAGGCTGGAGTGCAGTGGCATGATCACAACTCACTGCAGCCTTGACCTCCTGGGCTCAAGCGATCCTCCCACCTCAGCCTCTTGAGTAGATGGGACTACAGGTATGCAATCACCACGCCCAGCTAATTTTATTTTTATTTTTAGTAGAGATGACTACTATGTTGCCCAGGCTGGTCTTGAACTCCTGGGCTCAAGAGATCCTCCTGCCTTAGCCTCTCAAAGTGTTAGGATTACAGGCGTGAGCCACTACATTTGACCTTAATATCTTTGGGTTATATGTTTTATGAGGTTTTTTTGTTTTGTTTGTTCGTTTGTTTTTAAGAGACAGTGTCTCTTGTTGCCCAAGCTGGTGTGCAGTGGTGCGATCATGGCTGACTGCAGCCTTGAACTCCTGGGCTACAGTGATCCCCCCACCTCAGTCTCCTGAGTAGCTGGGGCTAAAGGCATGCAACACTACGCTCAGCTAATTTTTTGTTTTCATAGAGACAGGGTCTCGCAATGTTGCCCAGCCTGGTCTTGACTTCCTGAGCTCAAGCAATCTTCCTGCCTCAGCCTCCCAGAGTACTGGGATTACAGGTGTGGGCCACCGTACCCAGACATGTGTGCTTTTCTGACCCAAGGATGATCCAGAAGCAGAAGTCCCTACTGTAAAATTGCTCTCCCAATCCTGGGATATAATTTTGAGCCCAGAGAACAAACCCATGAATCCATGAGAGGACCGCAAAGCCAGGTCCTCAGAACTTCTCTGCAGTCCCAGGAGAGCATCCTGCGCTCCTGCCCCTGTAAATTTCCCTTCTTTTTCCCCGTTGGTACACATTAGACCTGTGATTCTCCACAAGTGCACGGGAATCACTGAAAACCTTGTCAGATACAGCCAGTATGGGAGGGTAAGATTCTGCATTTCCAACAAGCCCCCAAAGTGCTCCTCTGATCTCACTTTGGGCAGCAAGACCCCAAGAGGGCATAACGCAGGACTCTGACATTCGTTACTCAGTCTTCAAATTCAGAAATTGCAAACAAGCACCCCTAGATATGTCTTTTTGTCCCCATGGAGTATGAGAGGCAGTGGGAGGGCAGGCCTTGTGAGCCCTGCTCACATAAGGGACTGGAGGAGCACTCAGGCCTGGGGGTCCCTGCTCTGGCTACCCTGTGCCCTGGGTCTCCCAAAACCTGGTCTCCTGCTTTCCAGGCCCTGCCCAGCTCCTTTGCTTGCTGACAGGTTGAATGCCTCCTCCTTCTCCCCAGAAGAGAACCCCCTTCCACTATTCCAGTGGTCAAGATTTGTTTACATACAAATGTCTAAACGATAAAATGGCATTATAACAGTGTCAGGACTGAACAGGCAGAAGCCACCTGGAAATGGGGAGACGGAGCGCAGAACCTGATTTATCCAGTCACCATGGTCCTGAAAAGCTATCACACAAACAAAATGACATAGATAGCTAGATAGAGATATACAGAGAGGTTTTTTTTTTTTTTTTTTTTTTGAGACAGAGTCTGCTCCGTCACCTAGGCTGGAGTGTAGCGGCGCGATCTCGGCTCACTGCAGCCTCCGCCTCCCACGTTCAAGCGATTCTCCTGCCTCAACCTCCCGAATAGCTGGGACTACAGACATGCACCACCACACCTGGCTAATTTTTGTATTTTTAGTAGAGATGGGGTTTCACCATGTTGGCCAGGCTGGTCTTGAACTCCTGGCCTCAGGTGATCTGCCTGCCTTGGCCTCTCAAAGTGCTGGGATTATGGGCGTGAGCCACTACGTCCAGCACAAAATGAGATATATTTGAAGTACATATTAAAGTAACCAAAGGAAATAATTTTACAGTAAAATCTTACAAAAAGCTCAAAATCCTGGTGTAAAATATCTAATCACCTTTGAGCTTAGTTCTGGTTTATATCCAGCTTTTCATCTGTCAATTATATTGGAAAAAGAGAGGCACTGCCCAGGTCTCAGGAGGGCCCCTTTGGAGGCTGCAAGGAACCTCCCTTTCCCCGGGCGTGAAGACCCTGAGCCCTGCCATGCTTGGTCTGCAAGGCTGGCTTCCAGGCCAGCACCCAGACACCACTCCCAAAACAGGTTTTCTGCAGTTTTGGGTCTGCACTCTCAAAACAGTTTCTGCACAGCAAGAAAATGCATGTAGAAGTGGAAAGAAGGAAGGCAGGAAACAGATACATAACCACTTTAGCTCTACTGGCTTCCCCCCCCAAAAAAAACCTAGCTTCCGACCTGCTCCGAATGACTTGAGGTGAAAATCTACAGAGGCTAAAGAGATGTCCTTGCAAAAATGCTACTTCCAGCTCTACCTGCTCCAGCCAGGCCAGCATCAATGTGAGAGGAGAGAGAGAAATCAATTAGGCAAATAGTTAGGGCAAGGGTCCTTGGCAGAATTCCCTTCTAACAAAAAGCAGCCTAAGAAGTCGTTGCCCTTTCAGGAAACACAGATAAGGAAGGCAAGCTCTAACACAGAAAGCGGGTCCCCTGTGTGACATACAGACATATGGTGGGCCCCAGTAAGCACAGTCCTCTCCCTTCTTAGAAATACTCAAGACACGGCCGGCCACGGTGGCTCACGCTTGTAATCCCAGCACTTTGGGAAGCCGAGGTGGGCAGATCACGAGGTCAAGAGATCGAGACTATCCTGGCCAACATGGTGAAAACCCATCTCTACTAAAAAAATACAAAAATTAGCCAGGTGTCATGGTGCTCGCCTGTAATCCCAGCTACTTGGGAGGCTGAGGCAGGAGAACCACTTGAACCCGGGAGGTGGAGGTTGCAGTGAGCTGAGATCACACCACTGCACTCCAGCCTGGCAGCAGAGTGGGACTCCGTCTCAAAAAAAAAAGAAAAAAGAAATACTCAGACACAGAGGCTTGCATGGCACTGATAAGAAGAGCTACCCTGGACCAGGCATGTCTACCTTGGAGTGTTCTTCCCCCCCACCACCCAACCTTTTTCACACATGCACAGTAGGAAGAAATAAGCAACATGGAGTAGTAACTCAGGCTAAGAAGCCCACATGTGCACTAGAAACAGTGGGGCGGGGGACTCAGAAATTCGCACCTTATGTAAATGAAGCACCCCTCCCACCAGCTTTTCTATAAAAACCCTTGCATTTCACTGTAAAATGGCAACCCATCTTTCTGGGACCCCTCTCTGATCCAGAGAGCTTTCTTTCTTTTGCTTATTAAACTTCTGCTCTAACCTACCCTCTGGAGTGTCTGCGTCCTTGATTTCCTTGGCCATGAGACCCAGAACTTCAGTGATATCTCAGACAATGAGGCAGGTTTCACTGAGACACAAGCCCAGGGTTCTGCAGAATGGGAGGGCCAGCAGCTATCACTGCGTGTGTGAGGGCAGGCAGAGGAAGTCACTGTGTTTTAATAGTCCAGCACCACGGGTAGAGATGTTGTGGCTGACTCCATCCAAGGTTCAATTTCTTTGTAGTAATCATTTCAGAAGTTAGAGCATTAACAGGCTCTTGTTGGGGAAGAAAGGTTAGTAACTCCATCTCCTGAGCCCTTGCTAAAAAGCTCAGCTTCCTGAATTCTCCAGGCTCACCAGATTGAGAGGGAAGCCCACCCTGCTCCTTCTCCCACCGCAAGGCTGCCTTTGTCTGTAAATGACAGGGAAGTGGGTGAGGAGGGAGGATGGGGACAGACCTTAGGGGGTGGGAGTGTGGCTCCCCCTCCCCCACTGTATCACACCTATTTCACACTCAGATTTATCCACATACCAGGCCTTGATCACAGGAAGCCCATCTGCCAGCCACAGGGAAGGCAAATGCCAACTGGAAGCCCCGGTTTCTTGCAGGCGCCCAGGCTGCTCTGACAGGTACAGAGAGACGGAGACAAGCCCATCTCACCGAGAGCGGCCTAGCTTTCTGAGTTTGGACCAGATTGTAAGAGATAAGGGAGAGGAAGGCTTCAGATAGCTATGAAGAGAGCTATCTGACCTCCAAGTACCCTTTTCTTTAACAAAAAATTAGATCTGGCTCTTGTCAACATTGACCTCCCACCTCTCCATACCCCAGCGCAAAGGCAGTAGGTGGATCCCACCAGCAAACAGTTTTGGATTAGCTCATAGTTGTTGTTTTTTTAAAACAAATTAGTTGCCAATATTTAAAAATCAGGAGATTTTGCATGCACCTCAGATTCCTGATTTCTCCTGAAAAATCAGAAGACCAGATCACATTGGACCTGCCATTCTGTGTAGCAATGGAGGCCAGGGCTGAGCAGGGGCCGTCCCCTGCCCACCCCCATACAGCAGGGCCCTGCCCTCCCTACCCCAGCTCCTCCTGGCAGCATGCACCTTACCTATCTACTTGATCAATAAACAGATCACTTCAAAGCTTCTCAAAGTATCCCTCTTTCTTTTTTTCTTTCTTTCCTTCCTTCCTTCCTTCCTTTTCTCTTTCTCTTTCGTTCTCTCTCTCTCTCTTTCTCTTTCCCTCTCCCCTTCCTTCCTGCTTTTTGTTGTTGCTGGTGTTGTTGTTGTTTTTTCCAGAAACGCAGTCTCCCTGTGTTGCCTAGGCTGGTCGGGAACTGGCCTCAAGCAATTCTTCCGCCTCGGCCTCCCGAGTAGCTGGAACTACAGGTGCTATTCCAAGATGGTGAAACCCCGTCTCTACTAAAAAATACAAAAATTGGTCGGGGTGGCTCACGTCTGTAATCCCAGCATTGCAGAAGGCTGAGGCAGGTGGATCGCAAGGTCAGGAGTTTGAGATTAGCCTGGCCGATATGGTGAAACTCCGTCTCTACTAAAAATACAAAAAAATTAGCCAGGCTTGGTGGTGTCGCCTGTAATCCCAGCTACTAGGGAGGCTGAGGCAGGGGAATTGCTTGAACGAGGGAGGTGGAGGTTGCAGTGAGCCGAGATCGCGCCATTGCACTCCAGCCTGGACAACAGAGCAAGACTGTCTAAACAAAAGCTCAACAAACTACCTGCCATCCCCAAAACTAATCTCACCTCCTAAAGCATTAACGACCCTTCCTGACCAAATCTAAACTAGCGCCCAGATTTTCTTCCCATATGGCTCAGCCCAGCTCCGCTGCCCCACAGGTGTCCTGTCAGGATCCGCTTCACATTTATAATACCTAGCACCCCACCCCCAGCCCCGCCCCTGCCCCACCAGCCACCCCCACTCTACCCCACCCCTACCCATCACATTCCGCACCCCACCCCCGCCAAACCCACATCCCCACCCCACCCAACCTCACCCACTCCCACCACATCCACCACCCGCACCCCACCCCCACCCACCACACCCATGCCTACGCCACTCCTGGGTGACAGCGAGCCAGGGCCCGGGACTCTAGTCCCAGCTCTGCTGCTTACTTGTGTGACTTCAGCCTCTCCATGCCTCAGTTTCTCCATAGGGACAATGACTACACTAACAGTGTCCACCCCGGCACCGGGAGGGCCGGGCTCCCGGCAGGGCGGGGACCCTCTCCCCAAGGCACTCCCGGGTCTCCAGGCCTGCTCTTGGGGTGCCCCCTCCTCTCGCGGGGCGCGGCCTGGGAGGCGCCCCGCCCCGGCTCCGGGCGCTCCTTTACCTGGGGGAGCGGAGGTCTACGCGGCGCGCTCGGCGATCAGACGCGGCTGCAGCCCGGGCCTGGCAGGCCCCGGGCTCCCCGCCCAGCTCCCCAGCCCCGCGGAGGGTCGCGCAGGCCTTGGTGGCGGCCCCGGCGCTGGCCCCGCCCTCCGTCCCACCTTCCGGCTGCGCCGGGCCTTCCGGGAAGCCACGCGCCGGGCCAGCTCCTGGCTCCGAGCTGCGCCCGGCCTTAGGGGGAGCCGGGGGTCGCTGCTGGGCACCCCCTCCCCGGTCCTGGCCCACCCCGCCGCTGTCACCGGGGCCCTGGCTTGGGTTGCGGGTGGCGTAAGGAGACGAGGCGCCCGGAGAAGAGTCCTGGGAACCGCAAGGCCGCGCTCCCGCAGGCCCAGCCCTGCCTTTCTCCCACGCGCACGCATGATCACATCCGGGCCCCGCGCACCTGCCTCCAGGACCGCGGGGACCTCCCGGAGACCTCCCTCCCTTTGGCCTGGAGGACCCCTCTCTCCCCGCAGCCTGGGCACAGAAGAGAGCACAGGGGCATCTGGAGGTCAAGGGTGCTGCGTCAGTATTTGGTGAATGTGTGGGCCGGAGCCAGATTTCCTCTGTTCCAGAGCCTGCTCTGGAGCCTCTGGGTCTGGGGGTTGCAAAAGGAGAAGCAGGTTGGGTGGGACTCGTAATCCCAGCTGCCAGTGAGGCTGAGGAGGGAGGATTGCTTGAGCCCAGCAGTTCGAGCGTGGGCAACACAGTGACATCCCATCTCTACAAATAATAATAAAAATTAGGCCGGGTGGGTGAGTCATACCTGTGACCTACAGCATTTTGGGAGGCTGAAGCGGGAGGATTGCTTGAGCCCAGGAGTTCGAGGCTGCAGTGAACTATGATCCCACCACTGCACTTCAACCTGGGTGACAGAGTGAGACCGTCTCTTAAAGAAAGAAAAAAAAGGAAAAGAACTGGCTTTGCTCTTAGGAGTCTTGGATGGGGACCAAAGCTGAGGCAAGGCAGCCTCTTAGGAAGGTGCAAAGGGCATGAGGCTGGGGTTGCAGAACTGCCTGGGAATACTACTTTATTGAGGCCTGTGGAAAGCTGTCCCTACTCTTGTCATGCAAGGTCTGGCCTTGAACCATCTCAAATCCAAAAGTGGCTTCTGGGGGGCTCTATAGAGAATTAATCCTAACAGGAACCCTGCAAAGCAGGCATGGTTGTCACTGCTATATTACAGATGGGAAGCTCTAAACACAGGCTGCTCTGCCCAAGGCCATCCTGGTTAGAAAGTTTCAGGGCCCAAACTCCAGCCTCGGTCTCGGTATCTCAAAGTCTCCGCCTGTGACCAGCACTCTGCCTGCTTTCCAGGGTGCCATGGGCACCCAGAGGACGGACCCTTTTCCATTTTTAAAAGAATGGAACAAACGCTCTTAATACCAAGCTTCCCCAGGCCTTGGCTGGGATAAAACAACCCCATTTATTCCTGAATCGGAGCTTTTGCTTGAGTTTGGGTGACTTTCAAGAGGGAAAGTGAACTGAGGCCAGGGGAACTCAGCTTGCTGCCTTCCTGGGGCCTGAGTGTGGCGCTCCCGTTTCTCTGCGGGCAGCTCCCTCTGGCGGCACATTGCAGAACTGGCCTGCAGACTCCTCCCCCAGAGATAGTGGGGAAGAGGGCCTGTGTAGGGAAAGATGCTGGGAGTGAAAGAAGCTTCAAAGTCCAGGCCCTCCAGAGAAGGCAAGCATGTAAGAGGTTCATGCAGCCCAGCGCGGTGGCTCACACCTGTAATCCCAGCACTTTGGGAGGCCGAGGCGGGCAGATCACCTGAGGCCAGGACTTTGAGACCAGCCTGGGCAACATGGTGAAACCCCATCTCCACTAAACATGGAAAAATGAGCCAGACATGGTTGGTGCAAGCCTGTAGTCCCAGCTACTCGGGAGGTTGAGGCAGGAGAACCGCTTGGACCCGGCAGATGGAGGTTGCAGTGAGCCGAGATCGCGCCATTGCATGCAAATCTGCAACCCATCAGCCTCCTGGGCCTCATTCTGATACGAATGCAGGCATAACATGACCGCACACTCTGAACCCCAGAGATGGAGCACACAGTGCCTCATGCTCCTAAAGGCAACTGCGGCCTCCTGCACAGTGAGCAAGGCGTGCCGTGGGGTCTCGGTGGTGGCGCGGAAATGGCACTGGCCCAGCACACAGCGATGCTTTATGCTGCTTACAGTGACCTAGGGAAAGTTCTTCCACGTCTCCGTGCCTCAGTTTCCTCATCTGGGAAATGGCAACAAGAGTAGTACTTATCCTATAGGGTTGTTCTCAACATAAAAGGAGGTAATATATATGAATCTAGATTATTCTTGTTTACATTACAGAATGTGAAAATGAGCGGCTTCTCCAAAGTCCCATGAGCCTCATGGGCCCAAGGTAGTGGGAAATCCAGTTCTACCCCCACCTTGACAAAACATTCTCTTGCTGATGGGCCCAACAATGCCCTAGGGTGCTAGGTGGTGTTCACACGGCCAGCCAGAGTCAAAACTCAGACGGGGCCAGCGTTCTATGCCCTCACTTTCTCCCAAAGCTGAGTGCACCAGCTCCTAAAACTTCCATGGCTCCTTCAGGCTAAAGCCACCCACCTAGACCAGGGCTGGATGATCCGCAATGTGGGCCACACCCAAAAACCCTATAGCTTCTTTTGTTGTTTCTTTTTTTTTTTTTTTTTTTTTTTTTTTTTTGAGACGGAGTCTCGCTCTGTGGCCCAGGTGGGAGTGCAGTGGCGCAATCTCGGCTCACTGCAAGCTCCGCCTCCCAGGTTCACGCCATTCTCCTGCCTCAGCCTCCCGAGTAGCTGGGACTACAGGCGCCCGCCACCACGCCCGGCTAATTTTTTTGTATTTTTAGTAGAGACGGGGTTTCACCGTGTTAGCCAGGATGGTCTCGATCTCCTGACCTCGTGATCCGCCCGCCTCGGCCTCCCAAAGTGCTGGGATTACAAGCGTGAACCACCGCGCCCGGCCTGTTGTTTCTTTTTGTTGTTGCTTTGAGACAGAGTCTCCTCTGTTGCCTAGGCTGGAGTACAGTGGTGTAATCTCGGCTCACTGCAACCCCCACCTCCCGGGTTCAAGCAATTCTCATGCCTTAGTCACCCGAGTAGCTGGGATTACAGGTGTGCACCACCATGCCTGGTTAATTTTTGTATTTTTAGTAGAGACAGGGTTTCACCATGTTGGTAAGGCTGGTCTCAAACTCCCGACCTCAGGTGATCCGCCCACCTTAGCCTCCCAAAGTGTTGGGATTACAGGCACGAGCCACTGCACCCAGCCCAAACTTCTCTCTTCTGATTGATAGTCATATTGGATTAAGAGCCCTCCCTAATAACTTCATTTTAACTTGATTACATCTGCAAAGACCCTATTTCCAAATAAGGTCACATTCCCAGTGATGGGGTTAGGACTTCAACACATCTTTATACAATTCAACCCTTAATACCAGGTGTCTTAATCTGTTTTCTACTGCTACAACAGAATGCCACTGACTGAGTAATTTATAAAGAGAAGATATTTATTTGCCTCATAGTTCTGGAGGCTGGAAATTCCAAGATCTAAGGGCCACATCTGGTGAGGGCCTTCTTGCTACATGATAAGATGGCAGAAGTTATCACATAAAGAGGGAGCATAAGAGAGGGAAGAGGGCCACCCTTATTCCTTTATCAAGAGCCCACTCCTGTGATCACAGCATTAATCCACTCATGAGGGCAAAGCCCTCATGACCTCATCACTGCTGAAAGGTTCTCCTAGCAATTTGGGAGGCCAATGCAGATCACCTGAGGTCAGGAGTTTGAGACCAGCCAGGCCAACATGGCAAAACCCCATCTCTATTAAAAATAAAAAAATTAGCCGGGCATGGAGGCACATGCCTGTAATCCCACCTACTCGGGAGGCTGAGGCAGAAGAGTCTCTTGAACTCGGGAGGTGGAGGTTGCAGTGAGCCAAGAAAATGCCACTGCACCCCAGCTTGGGTAACAGGGTAGACTCCATCTCAAAAAAAATATATATATATAAAATATATATCGTATAATATATATAACATATATTATATATTATATAAAATATATATAATATATAAGTTTGGACAAAGATATAGAATTATATAATATATAAGTTTGGACAAAGATATAGAATTATATAATATATAATATAATATATCAGTATATATAATTGTACTATTATATAATTATATATAATTATATATATTATATATATAATTATATATATATAATTTATATATATATAAATATATATATAAATTATATATATATATAATATATATATTTATATATATAATATACATATTTATATATATATTATATATATTTATATATATATTATATTTATATATATTTATATATATTATATATATATTATATATATAATATATAAATATATTTATATAATATAAATATATATATTTATATAATATAAATATATATATTTATATATATATAAAATATATATAATATATAAGTTTGGACAAAGATATAGAATTATATAATATATAAGTTTGGACAAAGATATAGAATTATATAATATATAATATAATATATCAGTATATATAATTGTACTATTATATAATTATATATAATTATATATATTTATATATATTAAATTATATATATATAATTATATATATATAAATTATATATATATATAAATTATATATAATTATATTATATATTATATATATAATATAAAAAATAAATATATAAATATATAAATATTAAATATATAAATATGTATTTATATATTATATATAATTATATATTATATTATTATATATAATTATATATAATACAATATTATATATAATATTTAATATAATATATATCTATCTCACCACAACGGCCATTGAATTTCAACATGAGTTTTAAAGGAAACATGCAAACCCTAGCACGAAGTATTCACCAGATGCCAGCTGTGATTATTATAATCTGAGCACGTGCATAGTACATACATGTCCACCCATGGCACAATAAAAATAACAGCCTTGGGCTGAGCATGGTGGCTCATGCCTGTAATCCCAGCCCTTTGGGAGGCCGAGGCAGGCAGATCACGAAATCAAGAGATCGAGACCATCCTGGTCAACATGGTGAAACTCCGTCTCTTCTAAAAATACAAAAATTAGCTGGGCGTGCTGTAGCGCGCCTGTAGTCTCAGCTACTCGGGAGGCTGAGGCAGGAGAATCGCTTAAATCTGGGAGGCGGAGGTTGCAGTGTGCTGAGATGGCCCCACTGCACTCCGCACACCAGCCTGTGCGACAGAGCGAGACCTCGTCTCAAAAAAATAAAAATAACAGCCTCGGGTTAAGCGCGGTGGCTCACTAGTGTAATTCCAGCACTTTGGGAGGTCACGGTGGGAGAATTACTTCAGACCAGGAGTTCAAGACCAGCCTGGGCAACATAGCAATACCTCATCTTTACAAAAAATTTAAAAATTAGTCGGGCATGGTGGCATGTGTCTGTAGACCCAGCTACTCAAGAGGCTGAGGTGGAAGGATCGCTTGAGCCCAGGAGACTGAGGCTGCATTGCAGTGAGCTGTGATCGTACTGCTACACTTCGCCGGGCAACAGAGTGAGATCCTGTCTCAAAAAAATATTAACAGCCTCGGGCCATGCCTATGTCAAGACTGTTGTGTGCAGGGAAACCATCCTGCCACCTCCCTTCGGTCTTGGGAGAGCTTAATCCTGAAAGGGTTGTGGAAGGACAAGGTGGCTTGGGGACTGGTAATGATCTCTTCCCAGGCTTCATCACTGTTCTTTTAAATAATTAATTCATCTTCTTCCTTGGTGTTTACATCCTTCAAATATTTGTAGATGGTTATCATGTCCCTTTAGTCACCACTTAGCACCACTCTGCATATTTGCTGTCATGTTGAGTGTGTGTTATCATCATTGTCATTATTATTATTATTTCCTCCCAGCTCCCTCCCTCAGTCCCTCAGCCACCATCATCACTCAGTGAATTTCCTCCAGGTTCCCAACCTTTCAAGTACCAGGTTACCCAAGATGGGACATTAAAAGTCAGTAGTGATGACAAGCCCTACTTGTCACAGAGGGCTTGCAGGCCCTCTGGTTCCTCACTAATTCTCATCAGTTTCCCCAAAGCCACAGCAAAAAAAAAAAAAAAAAGACAAACTAAGTAAAAACAGCATGCTTACACTGCAAACACAGCTTCCAGACAAATCCCCCAGCCCCTGCTCCCAAACAGATAATCCTCAATTTTCTCAAATACAAAATCAGGATGAGAATCCCTGCTCTCAACAACCTGGGATTATTGTGAGGATTCAAAGAGGAATAAAAACTGAAAGGTGCTTTGTAAACTATAAAACAGGGAGGGTGGTACTATCAGCAATGCCTTCCACATAGGATGGGATTTCTACAAAATGTTCCAGAGGTCAACTGTTCTAAAAAGCTAAAAATTCTAAGTTAGAATTTACAAATGAACTCGATAGAGCCAAGATTCACCCGAAAATCTGTCTATTGAAAGAATATAAAGAGATGCCCTACTTAAAAATCTACTCATAGATGTTAGTATTCCAAATAAAGTGTGGAACTCAGAGCTGGAGGCTGATGGGGCCTTGGAGTTTACAGATGGCCCTGACGAGACTTTAGAAGGTCAAGCTGCTATAAAAGACTTAAAAAAAATCCACCTTGTCTTGCATTTCAGATCTCACTGAAGAGTTCTTCTGTGCCTGGAAGACTTATTTTCAGTCTGAGAAGAATGATTTTTCAATGGTTCTGTTGAACATGCAATTCTCACGCAAGTATTTCTATAATTATCCTGTTTCAGTTATAATACAGTTTCTGGAACAATAGGACTTTTATTGTATTGCCATATCTGTTATAATAGATGTTTTATTACAGAAAATTATGGTAGAGTCACTATTATGATTCTGAAGTTTTTATTTCAAATTGCTCAGAGGATGCAAATTCTTTCTCCCACTAGTTTTACTTTAAGGCAGCTTTGAATTTGGGGTGGGGGTGGTTTGTCTTTTCTTCTATTGGAGCTTTGGTCTGTTTGAGGTTTTGTTCTATAGCAGAATGTTCTCTTTCGCTCCAGTGTACATAAATGAAGTCACCCATGGTATTTGCTTGTTTGTTAGCCTGTGGTGCACACAATTTTAAAAAGAATGTCACCTAGATTGTCTCTATATATCTGCAAAATTTCTTTCATTATTGCTGGAGAAGTCTCCATAACCCTGGTATTAATTTTTTTTGAGATGGAGTCTCACTTTGTCTCCCAGGCTGGAGTGCAGTGGTGCAGTCTCGGCTCACTGCAACCTCTGCCTCCCAGGTTCAAGAAATTCTCTTACCTCAGCCTCCCTAGTAGTTGGGACTACAGGTGTGTACCACCATGCCTGGCTAACTTTTTATTTTTTATTTTTTTAGACGAAGCCTCGCTCTGTCACCCAGGCTGGAGTGCAGTGACACAATCTTGGCTCACTGCAACCTCTGCCTCCCAAGCTCAAGCAATTTCTGGCAAATTTTTGTATTTTTAGTAGGGACGGGGTTTCGCCATGTTGTCCAGGCCGGTCTTGAACGCCTGACATCAAGCGATTTGCCCTCAAGTGACCCACCCACCTTGGCCTCCCAAAGTGCTGGAATTACAGGCATGAGTCACGGCACACGGCTGACAAACTATATTTTGAGAAGGTAAATACTAGTGATCATGAAACACTAATACTAGTGATCATGAAAACAGAGGAGCTGAAACTTCTAGGCACATTCAGGCTAGGTCACATCCTATTTCAGGTGGTAGCTCCACCTTGAAAAGCAGGGGGCTGGAGATTTTCTTGGTTAAATTAGAGGCTGCAGACACCCGCAGCTGCTAGAGGCAGAGCTGGGATTCAGGAATGGGCTTGCTGACTCCAACAGTGAAGGTCTTCCCCTCCAAGAGACCCCACCCGTGGGGAAGGGTGACCCTCAAATCTTGGACATCAGGTCCAACTTTCGGCCCAGTTGACTTTTCCACAAAGGAAGGATTTCAGGGCTCTGAGAAGTCCCAGAATATCTGCCCACAGCAATCTAGCATCATCAGAACCCACCTTCACGTGTAGCCACCGTGTCTCCATGTTCCTGGTAATGCACGCTCCCAGGCTCAGAGTCTGGAACTGCTGATGGAGGGGCGGGTTCTGGGCCCTGCAAAGAACCGAGGCTCCGCAGTCACAGTCTTCGATTAGACAGAGCCCCTCCAGTTCTCAGACGATTTCTTAGGCTACCCCGAAAATAGAGAGAGGAAGGGACCTGCCCTTGATCACACTGTCAGTAACACAATCAGAACAGAAATCTAGGGCTCTTGGCCTTCAAGCCTCTGTTCTTCGCTTAACACACGGCTGGCAGAGATGGGGAGACCTGAGAGGGCCCTGAGGGTGAGGGCATTTGCACTGGGTGCAGAGCGCCTTTGGAAGGCAGGGAAGTCCAGGAAGGTAAACACACACACACGTTGTAAATATGGCGAAAATCAGAGAGGAGGAAATGTCAGGGACTCCTCCAGCACGGAAAACATCCTGATAGTTTGGAGCGCCGGGAAGAGTGGGCACCTTGGAATCTGCAAGGCATTCTTTTGCGTTTCACCTGCAGTGGGGTGGGGTCTCTGGGGTCTGCCCTCCCTCCTACTCTACATGCATTACCCATCTTATAGCCGGGCCGTCCCTGCAAAATTCCAGCTGCATGGGGGAACCACACTTCTGACTTCAGAATGAAACCAGTGTTTTGCACACATTCATTCCTCAGTCCCCTTGCTGGGACCCTTCTCTGTTATGAAAGCAGAGATCCCACCCGAATAGGGTGACTTTGGGGCGATGGATTACCTTTGGCAGGTCCTGTGGGTCAGGAATTTAGGGGTGCAGCGTGGGCCCACAGCATACCCAGTAGCCAAGGAAGACCCTCCCCTACCCGAGGCTCAAGCAGGCGCCAGGCCCCAAACCCTCACTCCTCTCTGGTCTAAATCCCCGCCGTAGGATTTTATTTTTCGGTGCTGAGGTGCTTTGCTGGAGGAGCTGCCAGGGGGAGCTGCGCGGGGCAGGCCCGGGGTACCAGAGGCCCTTGCTTTAGCGGCGGCCCTGCGTGTGCCAGAGGCTTGCAGAGTGATCTGAGCACGCCAAGAGATTGCTGTCAAGTAAGCTCCTCCACAAATCTGCAGAAACCTCAAAGATTACAGCGCTCGCACGGCAGGAGCGCAGCGGCTTCCCATACGCCGGCAGACAATGGGGCGGAGGAAGGAAGGGGACGGTGGCCTGGGGACCCCCGCGCCCGCAGCACGTGCACCGAGCCTGGAGCGCCCGCTTTACAGATCTTGTCGCTCCACCCCTAAAACAAAGGCCCCGGGGCCCCATCTGTGCCGGGCGCGGGGGAGGGCGCCGCACTTGCTGCCCGCCGCGTGCAAAGCGAGCCAGACAAAGGGCTCAGCCCTGCAGACGCGAGCAGTGGGGAAATAATTAAGCACTAAGGAAATATTGTATGTGGATTTGAGACCAACGGGAAACGCGCTCCCAAACAATGCTCGTTGTTTGCACCGAGCCGCTTTTCTGCTAAGTTTCATCAAGTAATTTGCATGCCATTTCAATAAAATTAACGAATTATGGTCGAGTTTTTTGTTTTATTGACCTAAAATAAAAATCTTCCTTTCCTTTATTATTGAAATAATTCGCCCCCCATCCCCCCCGGCTCCCATCCTCTGGGAAGGCTGCACAGCGCGCCAAGGAAATCTGTCCTCCCAGCCAGACCCCAGCGGCCTTTCTGCTGCGCTCCACAGCTAACTCCCCGGAAACCCTGCGTTTATTCTGGCTGCCCCCTTTGACTGTGGCAATAAATAGAACTTCAACCCTCTCACTTTCTTATGCCTGCTTTTCTTACAGTGAAAGCACCAGATTTCCGCGTAGGAGGGACTCGGGGGCAACGATGCAATTGGAAGGTAAGGGGCTTCTCTTAAAGCTGCATTTGCAAAGCGAGCACACTGTTTGCTAAGGTTTTATATTGCATCTTTTAAAAAAGATAATGTGGGGCCTGGCATCGTGGCTCACACCTGTAATCCCAGCACTTTGGAAGGCCTAGGAGTTCAAGACCAACCTGGGTAACATAGTGAGACCTCGTCTCTACAACAGATTTAAAAATTAGCCGGGTGTGGTAGCCTGTGCCTGTAGTCTCAGCTACTTGGGAGGCTGAGGCAGGAGGATCACTCGAACCCAGGAGTTTGAGGCTGCAGTGAGCTATGATTGCATCACTGCCCTCCAGCCTAGGAGACATAGCAAGACCCCATTTCTTTAAAAAAAAAAAAAAAGACTAAGAAATCATCACTAATTGGTATTATTAAGGAACAACATCAGTATCACTGTAGTTGTTATTTATTGCTGCATATCAAATGCAAAACTTAGTGGCTTAAGACCAATGTCCTCTCTCACAGCTCCCAAGGGTCAGGAATTTGAGAGTGCTGTAGCTGAGCGGTTCTAGATTGGGCCCTCTCTTGAGGCTGTAGTCATCTGAAGGGGTGCTTGGGCCTGGTGATGTGCTTCCCAGAGGACCACTTTCTCATGTGGCTGGGCTGTTGGCCATGAGGCCTGAGTGCCTCAGCATGTGGGGCTCTCCACAGGCTGTTCCAATGTCCTCTTGATGAGGAAGCTGGCATCCTCCAGAGGGAAGGATCCAAACAACCAAGCAGAAGCCACAGCGTCTTCATGATCTGGCTTAAAGGTTGCACACCATCACTGCAACACCCCTACACATTCGTCCATGTGGCTGGGACTGCACAGAGGCATGAAGGCTGGTAGGCATGGATCACTGGGTCCAACTCAGAGACTGGTTACCATGAGTGATTATCATTAATATGATTTGGTAGGGCTGTTGCAAGTGCCTGGAGGAGGAGAGTATTATACAGCTAAAGCCATCATTTCTTGTCTTTCTAGTCAATGCAAACAAAAGTGGTCAGTTACCTTTAATGGTATTCCCAGACAACAAACATGGACTCAGGGCCTTCCCAGTGCCAGCTCCCCCTTCAGACTGGGGAATAGAACAGTAGCCAAGAGAGATAAGGTCCCCTTCTGGCATCCCTGACTTTTCAGAGAAAGAAAACGTAAGTGTATGCATGAACACAGCAACCAGAGCTACAATACTATCGAGACAGTGCTGCCAAATGGGAAGTACAGGCCAGGTTTGGTGGCTCACGCCTGTAATCCCACCACTTTGAGAAGCTGGGGTGGGAGGATCGCTTGAGGCCAGGAGTTCAAGACCAGACTGGGCAACATAGAGAGCCGTCACTACAAAAATAAAAAATTAGCTGGATATGGTGGCGCACATCTGTAGTCCCAGCTACACAGGAGGCTGGGGCAGGAGGATCGCTTGAGTCCAGGAGCTCAAGGCTGTGATGAGGTATGATCGTGCCATTGCACTCCAGCCTGGATGACAAAGCAATTTAAAAAAAAAGAGGGAAAGTCAGGGAGGAGACTAAGCTCTGAGTGCCAAGGTTGGAGGTCTGTACACCCTGGTCCTCCCTAAATTGCAAATCTGAAATGTCCCAGGCATTGCAGATTTCCTGCAAGCCAAACCTGTTAGTAGAACAACAGACAAAAAATAAGATTTTTTTTTTTTTTTTTTTGAGAAGGAGTCTCACTCTGTCGCCCAGGCTGGAGTGCGATGGCTGCGATCTCAGCTCACTGCAACCTCTGCCTCCCGGGTTCAAGCAATTGTCCTGCCTCAGCCTCCCAAGTAGCTGGGATTGCAGGCACCCGCCACCATGCCAGACTAATTTTTCGTATTTTTAGGAGAGACAGGATTTCACCATGTTGGTCAGGCTGGTCTCAAACTCCTGACCTCAAGTGATCCACTCGCCTCTGCCTCCCAAAGTGCTGGGATTACAGGCGTGAGCCACTGTGCCTGTTTTGATATTGTCACACTTTCATGGAATACCAACACTCCCCCTTCCCAGAAGGCAGGCTCCACAAGGGAGGAGGCTGTTATGTCTTATTTATCCCTGTAGCTCTCATGCCCGGAATGATTGGTACATAATTGGTATCACTAATGACTGTCATTAATAATAATTATCTAATGGCTATCAGCCTTGTTGGTGTCCCCAAGTCTTTCAGGTTTAATGGACGTCCCCCTTAACATTAACAAATAAAAGTGATTTAAGCCCTCAGTCTACTTACAGTGAAACATGAGAACTACAGATGAAATCCTCAGCGCCCCCCAACCAACTGAACAGACCCCCTCTTGGCCAAGGGGACCCCAGAGGAAACTTAACCACAGAGTTCCCAGCCATGATGGGAAGGGAGGTCAGACACACCCCGCTCTACCCACTCCCTTTTGTGGCTTAAACACAAATGAGCAGCATTCATGTTAAAATAGAGGTCATGGTGGTCGCAGTGGCTCACGCCTGTAGTCCCAGCACTTTGGGAGGCTGAGGTGGGAGGATCAACTGTGGTCAGGAGTTCGAGACCAGCCTGGCCAACATGGTGAAACCACTTCTCTACTAAAAATACAAAAATTAGCCGGGTGTGTGGGTGCCTGTAATCCCAGCTACTCAGGGGGCTAAGGCAGGAGAATTGCTTGAACCTGGGAGGTGGAGGTTGCAGTGAGCCGAGATCACGCCACTGTACTCCAGCCTGGGTGATGGACTGAGACCCTGTCTCTAAAAAATAAAAATAAAATAGAGGTCATAAGACTGGCAGAATGGACTCTGTGACAGTAAGATACCAAATCATAACCAGGACCTAAGGGCCATATCAGGGAAGGGTTAAGTCACACACCCCTACACTTAAAGAATAAACTAGTTTCCAGCTGCCGCAAGGGGTTTCTTTTTCTCTAGCAGCTAAACAAGCCAATGGCTTGGAGATAGGTAATATTAAAACAATTGCAGTTCGCCCGCTGCCAGACACTAACTGACCCTCGTTCCACCAGCCAGAACTGCAGCTTTGATTGGACAAGAGGCTGATTCAGTAACTTTCTCCTGATAAGAGACCACTGACCATGGCCTGGTTCTGCCCATTTACAGAGGCTGTGCAATGCCTTCATGTCCCTGATTCACCTTTTGACGTCTACAGCCCGATTGTAATACACTTAAATGTGTATTCTCCACTCCAAGGTGAACATGGGATGTGTGTAACATGCATGTTTGCTTATCACACATGTGTATGGCCTCCTTCCAAGAATATTCATAGCTCTTCCTATATCCCGTTGAATATGTATACCTGGCCAACCCATTCAGCTTGAATTCCTGTCTTATCCCCTCCCACCCTTCCTCAAAGTGCCTGCCTATTGGCTTCTACTGGAGACTACACTTCTTAGCCAGTCAGGGTGGCTGCCTTGCAGGTTGTAACTCTATATGAGAAATAAAGCCCTCCTTTTCTAAATGATTTTTAATTATTTTAAATGAGTGATTTTTAAGCTAGCAGACACCAGCCCGGAATCTCTAAAGGTTGCTGAGAGAGGTGGTAAGAGCCACCTGTGCGTTTCTCCTGATCAGGAGCCTCTAAAGCCTGATTCTTCAGGGTTCGCCTCCTCGCCTCCCTCCTCAGCTCCTCCAGCCCTCCCTCTGTTCAGTGTGCCTGGCCCAAATGAACTGGGAGCTCCAGACCTTCTCGGGGACTTCCCCAAAGTCTCTATAACACAAGGTGTTGGTGCCACAGACTTTGACTGTTGGGTCTACAGTGGCCAGTGAGGGTTCAATGTAGCGGCGTGGCTCACCAGGTGCCTGGAAGGGAATATTGAGACCTCCTGGTTCTTGAGAGTTACTTGGGCCCAGCCAGGCTCTCAGCATCTTACAGGGTCTCCTGCTACTCTCTTATCTGTGGACCAGCCTCTTCCTGGACTCCTTTTCCCATATCAGGGACAATAAAACACTCACCCACTCCAGGCCACAGCTTTTGGGGTCCAGAGCTCTGAACTAACACCTTATGTTTAGTGAGGTCAAATTTTTAGGCTTAGTGCCCATCTTTCTTCTACTTAGTTTTATTTTAAATTATTTTTTAGAAACAGGGTCTCACTGTGTCACCCCGGCTGGAGTGCAGTGGTATAATCATAGCTCACTGCAGCCTGGAATTCCTGGAATCAAGTGATCATCCCACCTCAGCCTCCTGAGTAGCTGGGACTACAGGTGCATGCCACCACACCTGGCTAATTTTTAAATTATTTTTAGAGACAGAGTCTCCCTGTATTGCCCAGGCTAGTCTTGAACTCCTGGCCTCCTGCCTTGGCCTCCCGAAGTGCTGGGACTACAGGCATGAGCCACCACACCCAGCCCCACTCTTCTAAGTGGAGGGAAGGTTTAGTCTGCCCCCGTAACGAATTATGCAACACTCTTTCCCCCTTAGAACATACAAGCACTCTGGTCAAAGTTTCTGAGATTTTATTTTAGGAGCATTTTTCATTTTGGCTAAACATAGACATATATACCCACAAGACTGCCGGTTAAAACAAATAAAATATCATCTTGAGGAAACAAGCACATCTTGAGTAAGTTTCTTTCAAGATGTTTTGGTGCATTCTATGCTATCACTTTGCAGAACAATTTGTTGTCCATGCGGTAACTTTAGGGGCTGTCTGAGATGGTCTGTTCCTAAAAGACTGTGGATGGGAGAGGTGACAGTAAATCCTGGAGAGTGGAGTGAATCCCAGCCATTCTGTGGACAGGTGGGCTGAGGGAGAAGTTCAGAGGGCACTCTAGAGTGATTTGCAACGTCTCAAACAGAAATATAACATCTTCTTTCATCCTCTGCAGAGTCTGGAGCTAAATTCACACCTTTTTTTCCCCTTCCCTCACTTAAAATCAAATTCTCGCCCTTAATACTTCCTTTCAGAACTGCACCGAAAATGACGATGTCTTCTCATGCATATGAATTATCCAAAGTGTAGGAAGATGCGCCCCCACTGGAGTACGCTGAAGCCTTTAACCCAAGTACATTTAATGCTGCGAAGCCCCGAGTGAGGCAAAGGTGTCTTTTTATTTTAGAAGACATTTAGGACAGTTCATGTCACTCTGCACAGATGCACTGAAATTGATTGTGGGGCAAACTATAAAGAGAGCTTATGCTCCCCAAATCTGTTTCCGAGCCAGGTAGGATGATGAATTCTGAGGTGGGACTGAGGGGGAACGGTGGCAGCTCTCTCCCCTGCACGCACCGGCCAACTACTTCCCCGTTTGGACATTGGCGTGACACCCTCCTTCCCTGTTCATCTGTGAAAATGTGCAGCGTTTTCATTTAAAACCTCCTGCTCCAACATGGGGCCTTCTGCAGACCGCAGGGACCCCCAACAATTACTTGTTGGAAGAACAAATGAAGCATAAAGCATGATACTTTATTTTAAACATACAGGTGGCACAAATTTATTTCCAAAGATTTAAGCACCTGATGACTTCTCCTTAGAGAAAAAGCAATAAAAGGAGCCTCTTCTGTCACAAATTTCCACTTAGCATGGTTTGTGCAGAGGCAGAATTTCAGGCTTTTACCACTGAGCTCTGGACATGAAGCAAAGCTAACACTAGAGGGTGCTATAGATTAGGAAATCCAGGGACCATGGGCGCCGGAGCGCGTTCAAGACGCTGCCCTCCCGATTGTAACCTAACAAACTGAGCGTGTCACTTTGCCAGAATTTACCCCTTCACCATTTCTGCTATGATGAAATTATCCAGATATGTTTAATTTGAAATTTTAACTTAGTCTGTGATTATGTGGAATTTCAACACTGGCTGTGGCCCAGTGCAGTGGCTCACTCACACCTGTAATCCCAGTGCTTTGGGAGGCCAAGTCTGGTGGATAATTTGTGGTCAGGAGTTCGAAACCAGCCTGGCCAACATGGTGAAACCCTGTCTCTCCTAAAAATACAGAAATTAGCCTGGTGCCTGTAATCCCAGCTACTCGGGAGGCTGAGGCAGGAGAATTGCTTGAACCCTCAGGAGGCAGAGGTTGCAGTGAGCCGAGATCACGCCACTGCACTCCAGTCCTGTCTAAAAAAAAAAAAAAAAAAAAAAAGGACTGAGCCCAGGTCTGTAGGATAGACACTTTGTGTTTGTATCTTAAGTACTTTGCGATCTCACCCTTACAAACCTGATACTAAATTCCACTTACCTACTTCAGTCCTTCTCTGAGGGAAGGTGGAGTTTGGAGGCAATTTTAGGAAGCAGGATGAGGAAACAGGGAAGGTGACACAGTGAAGGACAAGCCAACACAAGGGTGGATTACCAAGGCTGGTCCCCTCTACAGGCACCCAGGGCTCGGTCCCACGCGGACTGCTGAGTAGACAGAAGACCTTTCAGAATCTTCTGCCTCTCCCCCATTTGCTGAGAGTTCCCTGGGAACGGTAACCCCCGTACCTTCGGGCTGAACATATGTTTGCATGCTGAATGGGCTCTTTCTGCCATCCCATGCCACAGCATTCAGGAAGCCCTGGGGCCAAAGCAAACAGCATGCTTGAGGCAAGGTGCTGTGAGGCCCAAATGAGCTGAAGCTTGCACAAAACTGCTCACCACTGCCATAGCTGAATCAGCGGAGGCCAGGAGGATGCGAGGCGGTGCCCGTGATTGTCTGATCATCTCCCTCTTGGACCGCTGAGACTCAGGCATGCCCTGCATCAAATCCAACCTGTCACCAGGTCTTCAAGGGGGAGGCCTGCGGAAATCCTACTGTGAATGAAACTACAGTTGCTATTCATCGTCTCCCTCCTGCACCTACCACTCCAGATGTCCCTCACTCTTGGCCAGCACTTTGGCTTGTTTAAGTTGTGTGCCAGGTGAGGTGACCACACCTTCCCCCCTGCAGTTTCTGAGTCTTTCCTGAGCTTTGTCTTGGTTGGCCCTTGGCTGCTGTGACTGCCTATTTTATCTAATTGCAGGTTCAAGATTCACCAAGAAGGCAGGGCGCAGTGGCTCACATCTGTAATCCCAGCACTTTGGGAGGCTGAAGCAGGCAGATCACTTCAGCCCAGGAGTTTGAGACCAGCCTGGGCAACAGAGCAAGACCCCATCTCTAAAGAAAAATAATTATTCAGGTGTGGTGGCACATGCCTGTAGTCCCAGCTACTCAGGAGGCGGAGGTGGGAGGATCGCTTGAGCCCAGGAGGTTGAGGCTGCAGTGAGCCGTGATTGCACCATTGCACTCTAGCTGGGCAACAGAGCAAAACCCTGTCTCCAAAAATAATAAGTAAATAAATAAATAAGATACTAAGAGACAGCCCAGTGACTCTCCTGAGTCCCAAACATACTCATCCATCCCTCATGGAGAAACAACTCTATCTCCTTGCAATAATCAGAACTAGTTTCTCCTGCCAGTTTAATCAGTACTTTTTTTATTGCAGTAAAATACACACAACATAAAATGTGCCACTTTAACCATTTTATTATTATTATTATTATTATTATTATTATTAAGACGGAGTTTCACTCTTGTTGCCCATGCTGGAGTGCAGGGGCGCGATCTTGGCTCACTGCAACTTCCACTTTCTGGGTTCAAGCGATTCTCTTGCCTCAGCCTCCGGAGTAGCTGAGATTACAGGCACACGCAGCCATGCCCAGCTAATTTTTGTATTTTTAGTAGAGACGGGGTTTCACCATATTGGTCAGGCTGGTCTCAAACTCCTGACCTCAGGTGATCCACCCACCCCTTGGCCTCCCAAAGTGCTGGGATTACAGGCGTGAACCACCATGCCCAGCCCATTTTAACCATTTTTAAATGTTCATTCAGTGGCCTGAGTTATATGAACATTGCTGGACAACCATTGCTACTATGTATTTCCAAAACTTTTTAATTGCCTTAAACAGAAGCCTTGTAACCATTAAGCAACACCTCCCCATCCCCTCTCCCCTCAGCCCCTAGTAATCACTAGCCTACTTTCTCTGCTACTTTGTCTCTTGTAGATGTTTCAAACAAGTAGAATGATATGATACTTGTCCTTTTGAAACTGACTTATTTTACATAGTATAGTGTTTTCAAGGTCCATCCATGTGGTGCATGTATTAAAGCTTCATGCACTTTTATGGCTGAATAATGTTCCATTGTATGTACAAGGCGTGCCACATTTTGTTATTCATTCACCTGTTAATGGCAACTTGGCTTGTTTCCACTTTTGGGCCCTTGTGGATAATGCTGCAGTGAACATCAGCATGGATGTCTCTGAGTCCTGCTTTCAGTTCTTCAGGGTATATGCCTAGCAGTGGAGTAGCTGATTCTATGTTAATTCTATGTTTAATTTTTTGAGAAACTGCCATATTGTTCTCCAGGCTGGCTGCACCATTCCACATTCCCACTAACCGTGCACAAAGATTCCAATTTCTTACCAACACACTCTCATCAATACATGTTATTTTTAGTTTATCGTGTTTTCATTTTTCTTTTATTAATATATAGCAGGCATTCTAATGGGTGTGGGGTGGTATCTCATTTTGGTTTTGATCTGCATTTTCCTAGTGTTTAGCGATGTTGAGTATACTTTCCTGTGGTCATTTGTATATTTTCTTTGGATGTGTATCTGTTCAAATCCTTTACTCATTTTTAATTGAGTTGTCTTTTTGTTATTGAGTTGTAGGAGTTCCTTATATATTCTTGATTTTAAAACTTTATCAGATATATGATTTGCAGATATTTTCTCCCATTGCATCGGTTGTTTTTTCAGTTTCTTGATAATGTCCTTTCATGCACAAAAGTGTTTAGTTTTGATGAATTCCAATTTGTCTCTTTTTCTTTCTTTGCTCATGTTTTTGGTGTCGTATCTGAGAATCCATTACCAAATCCAAGGTCGTGAAGATTTACCTATATGTTTTCTTGTAAGAGTTCTGATGTTTGTCATTGATCCATGCTGAGTTAACATTTATACCGTATAATGTAGGGGCTACCTCTTCATTCTTTTGCATGTAGAAACTCCGTTATCCTAATTGTTGCTAATTGCCTCTGGCCCACTGACTTGAGAAGCCCAAGAGGACCAGGGAGTATTTGTATTTTCAAGTTCTGTAGAATTGGTGATGTTCCCTGGTGGAGGAGTCCACTCTCCGCTCCTCCTCCCCCATCAAGAACTAAGACGTCGAATTTGCTAGAGCCCCACCCAAAGCTGTGGACACAGGAAGCACACATTTCTCAAGGTGGTCTCTGCGAGTGATGGTGAGAGCAGCCGATCTCACTCCCCCCGCCACCCCCTGGGTTTCCAGCCCCATGTCTTTCTGCTTTTGGGATCATAGCACCATGTGTCTGCTCTTGGTAAGGCACGTACACCACAGTTTCAAGGATAGTATCCCAATTATACAGGGTGTGGGCTCACGCTTTCACCCTGGCATAGCCTTGGCACAGGTCATCCTGATGTTCTTGTAGGCCTGCTGCTTCCAGAGGAACCTTGGAGCCATAGCTTCTTTGCTGTAAAACAGACCCCTTGGCTTGAGGCAGTGTTGTTCAAATCCCCTGCCAATAAATCAGAGACGACCGTAAGTGCTCTGTTGGTGATGCCAGTGAAGGCACTGTTGCAAGGAAGGAAAATCCATATCCAGAGTCGGTGTTCACTCTGCTAGGACTCATCGCTGTCTCATCAATGACAGAAGGGGTCTCATATAATGAACTTTGCACTGTGACTGCCTGATCTCCTTGTGAAATGGTGCCATCTTGAGGGCTCATTATTAGTCCATGTGGTTGGCAGGTAGGGCATTCAGTAGCGGCAGCAGCCAGGTCATCTCTAGCAAGAGGGAACTTGTGTTGGGCTCATGCCTCCCTTGACTTTTGCCACCATGGCCACACCATTCATGGAACTATCTATTTCCCCTGCCGTGGGGTGGCTGATGCTGGCTGATGCCCAGAGGATGAACCATCCTGTCCACCCAGTTGCTAGGTGCCTCCTCTGCAGGAGAGGCTTTTTGGCAGACCTTAACGTAAGTCCAATGATTGGCACGCTAGTGCCATTTCCATAGGTCAGTAGTACTGATTTTTCCTTTTGTCTCAGACACCAATATGGCTCGGCACAGCAGTTACTGATCCTGTCTCTATTTGAAATTTTAATATTTTGCTCATCATGGATTTTTGTATTAATTTTAACTCTTTAAAATATTGCATTAACATATTATGCATCTTCATGTTATTATTATTCCTCTTCAGCTTCCCAAAGTGCTGGGATTACAGGCTGAGCCACTGTGCCCAGCTCAAATGCATTATTTTCACTGCTGATGTGTTGCTGTTGTGTCCTCCCAATCTATGGCTTAATGGGTCTCACTGTAATCAGTTCCAGGAACAAAGTCACTCACTGTCCTGTGGGTAGTCTCCGAGTCTCTGCGAGGACCCACTGCACGGCAGGAGCTAGTCTCAGACTGAGGTGAGTTCTCGGCAGCAGAAGGCACCACCGCACTCCCAAGGGCTAAAGGTTTACCCTGCACCTCTCCTACTGAAGCTTGCAGAGGGTTGGCATGGCAGCCTTCTTCATCATAGGAGACTCTAAGACTGCTACTTTTGGCTCCTCTGGGTTGTGCAGCTTGAGTGGAAGAGCAGATCCTCTCACAGCCTAGACCTCCTGGCCAGCCGTTTCTTGCCCTAGACTCCACTCCGAGTGGCAGTCTCCCAAGCTGTCTAATAGGCGTATGGGAGAAGTATCAGCAAGTATGCTACTTCTAATGTCCCAGGTGGTGCACCCAGCACTGTGCCTCTTCCCTAGTGCAGCTGAAGGAAAGCTGCCACTGCCTGTGCCTTCCTTTACAAGGGTTGTCCTGGCATGTGTCAGACCACTGGGTCCCCTAACAACCTTGCCAATGTGCCAGTCCTCTGAATGTTTCTGGGCTTTAGCCCCTGCCCTTGGCTTGCACGTGTCTTCTTCCTAGGACATCCGGGGTGCTTGTGTCATATGCTGGTAGCATAATGTCATCAACAGTGCACCAGTGTGCTGTGCAAACTATCCCGAGACAGCCTGTATGCATGCAAAGTATGCTCAAAAGTACCCAAGGCCGAGGCGTGGCAGCTCATGCCTATAATTCCAGCACTTTGGGAGGCTGAGACTGGTGGATCACTTAAGCCTAGGAGTTTGAGACTAGCCTGAGCAAAATAGTGAGACCCTATCTCAACTGAAAACAAAAAAAGAAAAAGAAAAAGAAATTAGCTAGGTGTGGTGATATGCGCCTGTGGTCCCAGCTACTGGGAGGCTGAGGTGGGAGAATTCATTGAGCCCTGGAGGCTGAGGCTACAGTAAGCTGTGACTGCACTATTGCACTCCAGCCTGGATGACACAGCAAGACTCTGTCTCAAAATAAATAAATTTATTTATTAATACCACATCAATCGGTATTTCCCGATTTTCATAATTGAACTGTGGTTGTATAAGAGAATGCCCGTGGCCAGGCGCAGTAGTCCCTGCTACTTGGGGGTTGAGACAGGCGAAACCCCGTCTCCACTAATAATATAAAAATTAGCAGGTCATGGTGGCACATGCCTGTAATTCCAGTACTCAGGAGGCTGAGGCAGGAGAATCGCTTGAACCTGGGAGGTGGAGGTTGCAGTGAACCAAGTTTGTGCCACTGCACTCCAGCCTGGACAATAGTGTGAGACTCCGTCTCAAATAAAAATAAAAATAAAAGAAGTTGCCTGGCTTAGTTGTGCTTACTGGACTCAGAGCCCCACATGGAGTCTGCTGACCTGTCTTGGGATTGAAGGGTGATAGGTGAGAAGGATGGAGAATTTGTAAAGGGCCGGCAGTCTCCCTGATCTGTCTCTTCTAATTTTGTAGTCGGACTCCTCCTATTTGGTTCCTGGGCGACCTTCAGTTCTTGAATTTTAGGGTTCCAAACAACAAGTGTTAAGTGAAGTTTGGGGCCTTTTAAAAGGTGTCAGTGCTTGAAATTTGAGACAATAATAATAGCTGCCATCTTACGGTGAGTTTGTCAGCTCTGGGTTGTGAATTTTATGTCTGTGACTGCATCTCATCTCATTGATGTAAAAAGTAAAATTAGTTTTGCCAAGTACTGCCTTCAGTCATTGGAGGTTGGATTTCCCTGTTTCCAACTCTTAGGGAGTCTCTACTGGGGCCAGTGTGTCAGCATCACCTTGGCCCCTTCTATACCTTAATGCCCTCGCTGAAGGGTAAGCTGGGATCCCTTTGGCCCCACGAAGCATTAAAGCCTTCATGTCCTCTCATCAACACACCCCATTCCAGGGCTTCTGTGCCTCCCCAGCCTCCATGTCCCGTCCCCGGGGCCTCGAGAGCTGCTGATGCTTCTCTACACCCCCTCAGAGGGCTGCAGGGAACTGGGGTGGGTGTGCCCCTGTCTTTCCTGCCCAGGCTAATCCGCCTCGCACTCCCTTCCAGCCTCCTGGCTTGGGACATTTCAGTGTCCTCCACCTTTATACCAAAGACTGTGCCCCTGTCACTATATCCATGTCAGCCTCTAAGCCCCCGGCTCCCAGGACCACATGCCAGGCCCTCTGATGAGCTCCCCAGCCACCCTTCTGTAAGGGTGTGCAGGTCCTGAGCACAGCAGGCACTCAGGCTGGAATAAGGTATGGGGCACCTCTTCCCGACGGCACCCTCAGTCTCTGCATGTGGCTCTCTCTACTGGAATTTGGGAGGCCAGGGCAAGCATCTCCCTTAGGCTCCCCCGACAGCATGGGGAGACCTCAGCCCTCCCACCAGCCTGAGCGGTCCCAAGCTCAGCCGCTAGCCACAAGCCCCAGGTTTGCTGCCCAGGCCCAAGCTACCCACGGGCAGTGAGAAAGGTACCATCTCCCAGAATGGGACCCTCTTGCCTGTGTGGTCAGTGCCCTTTCTCCTGGATACAGACCTTCCTGAGCAGCCAAAACTTCCTTCTCGCCCGACGGGCAAGGAGACCTGAGGATTAACCGCATGCTTAGCAGCTTCCTGGAGGCCCCCCCTTGGAACTGGAAATAGTCCTGGATACCATGATTGAAGCAACTTCAGGCTGTACTGAGCCCACGCCTGGCTCTGGGGTTGCCCTCCTCTGCACCTCCTGTCTGGTCACCTCTTGCTTTTCCTATGCTATGCAGCCAAGCAGGTGACCAGGAAGGCCTCTCACCCAGAAGCCACCTGGCTCCTGCTACCCACTGTGCACTTGTTCCAGGTGCATTCCCAAGGGCCGACTTCCTTGGTTCATTTTGACAAACTTTGAGGTTGCTCGTCATAGCCCTTAAGAATGGAGACAAACACCCTCCCTCCCCCATTTTCCAACCCCCGATGTACACGGGCAAAAAACAGAAGCTCAGAGAGGGTGAGGACTTTCCACAGAGTCACACAGCTGGTGAAGTCGCTGGTCTAAGCCTTTAACTAGGGCCAACTTGACCCTTCACCTGCCTGCCTTTTCCCACCCCTGCCCTCCCTACAGGTGCTGTCTGCATGTAGAATCTTTCAGGCCCAGATTCAGGATGTCCAGCTGAGTGTGGGAAGGGTGGTGTGGTATGGGCCCAGCCACATGGTAGCTGAAAGGCTCTGGGGCCAGGGGGTCCTAGCTCCCAGCCCCGCCCCTTAGAGCCTCACCAGGGACTCAAGTCTATTGACACAAGGGCCAGCACCTGTCACGAGGTCATCTTCCCTAACATATACTTTCATTTAGGGGCAAAGAACTTCTCTTTTTGTTATTTTGCATTAAAATAACCAAGATTCATCCAGACGTGGTGGCTCACACCTGTAATCCCAGAACTTTGGGAGGCTGAGGTTGGAGGATTGCTTGAGTCCAGGAGTTAGAGACCAGCTTGAGCAACATAGTGAGACTCCATCTCTACATAGAATTTTAAAAACTTCCAAAGAATTAAAAAATATATATTAGCCAGGCGTGGTAGCATGTGCCTATAGTCCCAGCTATTGCGAGGCTGAGGATCACTTGAGCCTGGGAGGTCGAGGCTGCAGTGAGCCCTGACTGCACTACTGCACTTTAGCCTGGGAGACAGAGTGAGACCCTGTCTGAAAATAATCAAGATCAACCCTGGACAGAAAGGAATTGCTAGAGTAATACCCTTTGACCTGAAATGCTGTGGGGTCTAAGGTGCTGCCTTCCCCTCCGCCCTGTGTGCTAGTCCTTGTATGTTAAGACTCAGTAGTTCCCCGTATCCCAGTAAAAAGGCAGGGGTGGGATGATGGGTACACTAAAATCCCATTCCCCACCAGCACACAATATACTCAGGTAACAAACATGCGCATGTACCCCTTGAATCTAAACTAAATTAAATTTTAAACAAACGCAAGGGTGTGACCTGGATGGAGTGGTACAGTCATCCCCTGGCACCAAGCAGCCCATTAGCCCAGAATGGTTATCTGATCAGATGCCTGTCTCCTATGGACCTATGGGAGCTGGACACAGGGAAGGAGCCTTTGATGCCGTGGAACAAGGTGGAGGAATTGTCCATGCGAAGTGGCCCCTGAAGAACTGGTACGAAGGGGTTGGCTGCAGTGGTTTGAGAGTCAGGGACTGGGTTGGGGGCCTGGGCCTACAAGGCTTTCTAAGCCCCCTAGGACTGGGGACTTTGTCCTGGATGCTATGGGAGGCCACTGAATGGGGTGGGATAAGGGGCAGGAAGGATGGGTCCACAAGAAAACTGATCAGAGTGACTTTTTTTTTTTTTTTTGACACAAAGGCTTGCTCTGTTGCCAAGCTAGAGTGCAGTGGTGCAATCTCAGCTCGCTGCAACTTCTGACTCCCTGGTTCAAGCAATTGTCCTGCCTCAGCCTCCCGAGTAGCTGGGACTACAGTTGCGTGCCACCACGCCTGGCTAATTTTTGTATTTTCAGTAGAGACAGAGTTTCACCATGTTGGCCAGGATGGACTCGATCTCTTGACGTCATGATCCACCCACCTCAGCCTCCCAAAGTGCTGGGATTACAGATGTGAGCCACGGCACCTGGCCCAGATTGACTTTTAAAAGCAGGACCCAGGGCCGGGTGCAGTGGCTCACACCTGTAATCCCAGCAGTTTGGGAGGCTGAGGCGGGCAGATCACTTGAGGTCAGGAGTTTGAGACCAGCCTGGCAAACATGGTGAAAACCCGTCTCTACTAAAAATACAAAAATTAGCCGGGTGTGGTGGCGCGTGCCTATAGTCTCAGCTACTCAGGAGGCTGAGGCAGGAGAATTGTTTGAACCCGGGAGGTGGAGGCTGCAGTGAGCCAAAATCACATCACTGCACTCCAGCCTGGGCGAAAGAGTGAGGCTTCATCTCAAAAAATAAAAATAAAAATAAAAAATGAAATAAAAAATTCTGGCCAATAAAACAACAACAAAAAAGATCCTGGAACCCTTCTTTCTCCTTCTTGCTCCCTCTCTTGCCACATGACATGCCTGCTCCTCCTTCCCCTTCTGCCACGAATGGAAGTTTCCTGAGGCCTCACCAGGAGCAGGTGCTGGTGTCACGCTTCTTGTACAGCCTGCAGAACCGTGAACTAAATCAACCTCTTTTCTTTTTAAATCACTCAGCCTCCAGTATTTCTTTATGGCAATACAAAATGGACTCAGACACTCCTTGATCTCAAACGTCCCAGCTTTCAGAACGGTGAAGCATAACTGTTCATTGTTCAAGCCCTGGCTCATGGTATTTTGTTATGGTGGCCTGAGCTAATACAGGAGGCCGGCTGGGGGCCTGGCCCTTGAGAGATGGGGGAGGCTTAGAGCACAGCGGCAGGGGAGTAGGGAAGAAGCAGACAGGGTAGAAGACACATTCTGTAGTGACAGACCCACTCACTGGTTATGGTCTGGAGACTGGGATGGAAGAAAAAGGACCTCAGGAATGACTGCCAGGTTTCTGGGCTTGAGCTACAGGGGAGGTGG